>NC_000023.11:9637488-10262488 GCF_000001405.40 Homo sapiens | reverse complement strand
AAGAGTCTGGGAGATATCCAGAACTCCATGAACAATGTATTGCTCTGGAAAATCACTGGCTAATCTAGAGATTAACAGGCATGGGGCTCTAGGTCAGGTCACTAACAGTATGTCCATTTTTCCTTGTTCTGGGAAAGAAAGGATTCCTAAACTGACACTTTTGTCATTATCACAAGGTGCTACAAGACTCTTGTTTCAACCCAAAATATAATTAAGACATGCTGCAGAAAGGAAAAAAACTGGAAATAGAAGTATAAAATTACTGAGATAAAACTTCCCCTGTTCCAAAATTATAATTTGCTATGTTAATGATGTTATTAGAGAAAAGAGAGAGAAAGCCTGTCCTTCAGTGCTTCCCATGATGAGAGTTATGTACAACAGATATCACCAATTGCCATCATTTCTGCCCCAGGTGAAACAAAGCCATGTGCCAGCCAAGCTTGGCTACTGGCACACCTCCATTTGCCTGCACCCCCATCTTGGAATGGCACCCACAGCTCCAACATTTGAAAGATAAAGAAAAATCTCACCAATAGAGGACTTAAAAACCCAATTTCATTCATATGTGATTATTACTTGATACTATCTCATAGGAAAAATGGAATAAATTATAAAAAAAAACTCCTCTTGTGTTTGCCTATCTCTTGGTATTTTGAAATGCCCATCCCAAAACTTTCAAAAACCAATGAGATAGTCAGGACTATCAAGGAGAGGAAGTTATCCCTGACCTTGGTAAAATCCAGAATTACACCAGCATTATCCTAGAGAGGTAGGTCTGGAAAGTAATTATAAACTATTCCATGGTGTTACTTATTTCTTTTTTAAAAAGGCTATTTTTAATATGCGGGATATACTAATCTATCTGAAGATCGGGAAAATGTCTATCCAGGAAAGAGGCAGGTGCTGAATCTGACTAATATGAAAACTCTTATTCCTTAGAGATAAATACTATTGAGAGAGTTGTATGATTTACCAGAGTCACCATGACCTGAACCGAGAAATCCTTGGGACCATCCATCAGCCTCAATTCTAATTTCTTGCTACCCACCCAGTCTTCTCATTTCTAAGCCCATTCCCTGGATGCCTGGACACCAGGACAGAAAGCTTCAGAGTGGTTGGCACAAATACCCCAGCCACATACAGGTAGTGCTTGCATTTGTGTCCTGTGTTATCCCTTAGTCTTTTAGGTGTTTGACTAGCTTGAGTCGATTCCCAACAGCCCAATATGTCTGATGAGATCATTCAACTTGGATTTCTGTTCTTGAATACCCAAAATCTAGCAACACCTCCTCCACTGCCTGAACAGTCAGTTCACTGCCTCATCTCAACTCCCATCTCTCTGACTGCACCAGTAAAGACTTCTTCCCTGAATGCACCTGCACTCTCTCACAGCCAAGGGGAAATTCTACTTCTAAAGAAATAAATACATTCATGATTTGGTTCTCTGCTTGCCTGTTGTTGGTGTATAGAAATGCTTGTGACTTCTGCACATTGATTTTGTATCCTGAGACTTTGCTGAAGTTGCTTATGAGTTTAACAAGCTTTTGGGCTGATACAATGGGGGTTTCTAGATATAGCATCATGTCGTCTGCAAACAGAGAAAATTTGACTTCCTCTCTTTCTATTTGAATACACTTCTTTCTCTTGCCTGATTGCCCTGGGCAGAACTTCCAATACTGTGTTGAATAGGAGTGGTGAGAGAGGGCATCCTTGTCTTGTGCCGGTTTTCAAGGGGAATGCTTCCAGCTTTTGTCCATTCAGCATGTTATTGGCTGTGGGTTTGTCATTAATGGCTCTTATTATTTTGAGGTATTTTCCTTCAATACCTAGTTTATTGAGAGTTTTTAACATGAAGGGATGTTGACTTACAAGTGGGGGCTGAACAATGAGAACACATGGACACAGGGAGGGGAACAACACACACTGGGGCCGGTTGCAGGGTGGGGTAGTGAGGAGGGAGAGCATTAGGAAAAATAGCTAATACATGGTGGGCTTAATACCTAGGTGATGGGTTGATAGGTGCAGCAAACCACCATGGCACACATTTACCTATGTAACAAACCTGTACATCCCACACATGTACCCCAGAATGAAAAATAAATTTTTTAAAAAATCACCTTGCTTAAGAATGTAACATAATTGAACAGTTGATAATCACTTTCCAGACCTGCCTCTCTAAGATGATGCTGGTATAATGCTGGATCTTACCAAGATCAATACAACTTACATAAACTAAAGTCATTCACCTTTGTTGTCATTTGTGATTTAACAGGAATGGGCACAGAAAGAACCCAATTCCTTCAACTACAAAGTAGCAATCGCATAACCCTTTGCTTGTTAAATCTGTCCAGCTACAAAAATGATCCTAATAGCGTTTGCCTTAAATTTCTCCCTTAGGACCACAAGAAAAATTTTATGACACAGCCAGTGATGCATACTCTGAAGGTACCACAGAAAACCATTATTTGTATTCACATCAAATCTCAGAGATTAGAAGTCAGATTGGTGAACTAGAACTTCTGTTTTGCTCCCTTGCATGTAGGGCACAAGAAGTCACCATGGGAATGCATTCTGATTCCTGTACACTCAGAATAATAAGAATTTTGTGCATTTTTGTTTTCCTGCCAGTGAAAATAACAGAATTTCAGCTCAGTTTCCTCATACCATATGACTTGGAATTTAAGCCTTTTACTTGGATGACTTACTATGGCCGTTTATAGACCTATAATTTTATGTGCCACCTTCCTATAAAACTCACTCCAATTTGTAAACCCAAGGCCAATGATGCACAAACCAGGTGTTTGGAGACACATTAGACAGAGTAGTCTCAGAGAAATGAGAACATTTGAGTCTAGGTTAACATGTTTCTTGACTCTTCCTCAGACCTTGAATTTCAGCAACTTAGCAGGGCCAACCTACACACAAAGGAGCTCCATTCTCTTCCCTCATGTGCCTGTTGGCAGAAGACAACTCGTATGGAAAGTGGTTTTTGGAATCGATGTGATTCTACATGAGGTTCTATGCAGAGTCAATGCCTCTGCAAGGAGAAGCAGGCTTGCCCACACATGGTTTGCCCTGAGAGCATGTACTGTCTGTATTTATCTCCCTGTCTATATGCAGCCCACTGTCTTACAACAGTGCAGTGCAAGCCCTGCAGCTGGTAGGATATCAAAACCTGAAGGCCTAGATTTCAAGTGCCAGGTCTGCCTTTTACTTCCAGGGCCATTTTCAGTGCTGTACATAGGCCATTTTTGGAAGTGGTTCTGAGGAGAAGTGCCAAAGAAGAGGGTATTGGAAGCCTTTTGCTGTACCCACTCAAAACTTGGGATTTTCTCATTCCTCCTCCCTTCATCTTCCAAGTTATCTTATCCCTTGAGAGAACATTGGTTATTTCTTCATCTGCCCGTGTGTCAGCTGGGTTCTCCAAGAAGCACGCACAGAGATGGAGTTAGAAATGCAACATGTATGTTGGAGAGTAACACCTGAGGAAGAATTGGGCAGAGGAAGCTTCCAGACTGTGATGTTGACCTGGCAACTTCTCCATCAACCCAACAGGGAGCTCTAGAGTAAAGATTACCCTTAGAGGAGTCTCACATTGGGCAGAAATGGCTAGAGCCTTTATTGTCTTGTTCAGTCCTTGGCCAGCGACTGCTCTAAGAAGTGCATGTCCTTGGCTCTAAAGCTAATAGAGCGAATGAAATACACTCCTCAAAGCTTAGCAGCAAGATTTTTTCTTGAAGCTTGAGAAAGGATCTAAGCATCATATCTTCACATCTGCCGTGACCAGCCACCCTTCCACTGGGAAGTAGCTCCACTCTCAAATTCATGTAATTCTAACAGGGCAAGGAGTTAAGACCCCCTTTCTTTCCCACAGACTGAGCACATACCCCAGGATAGGTCAATCCAAATCAATTTTGAACATTAGGCATGGGGTGGCCAAGGTCTCTTTCTCTGCAGTAACTCTAAGGACCATATAACTTGGAGCTTCTTGGGGATGTCTTGTCACCATGTGGATATACCTTTCTAAGAATCAGGCTGAGGCAAGCAGAATCAAGAGATGGAACAAGAGACAAGAAAATAGAGACCTGCTGGTTACGGATAAGACACCTATGGGCCACTTCAAATCCTCTTGGCCTCTGCCCTGACTCCACCAACTGCTACTGACACCAGTTCCATGTAGGCTTTGACCAGCCTCATGCAGGTGCAACCTGACAATGTTTTCCACCCTGAGACTCCTCTGAGACTGCAATGAGTTCATTTTCTACTCTGTAGCTTCTCTCTCATAAGACACCTGTTGAACTGGCTCAGCACTCACCTGTGCAACCCATCCATATGAGGGGTGCCAATACCCAGGGGGCCACACTTGATGAATGAGGGACAGAGCTGATGAATAAATGCTTCCCCCTTTGTCACCAAGAAGGGCAGTCCTGAGATGGGTTCTATAAGGCTCTCCTGAAGATCCCATATGGCGTTGAGCTCCAGTTTCCCATGGTGCCAGCCAACTCATTTTTGCATCCTTCTCTTAGGTCTCTTGCATTCCCTTTCCCGTGCTGCTCCCAAATAAACTACCCTCACACGAGCCTTTGTCTCAGCCTCCTTGATGGGGGAACCCAGTCTATGACAGCACTGTTTGAATACCTGGATCCAGCTGTTCTTCAAACTACTTCTTTGGACTTCCCAGTTCCTTGAGCCAACAAAGTTATAAAGTTTTTTTTTCCTTTGGTGTGTGTGTGGGGGGAGGGGTGGTTTGGAGTGTGTGTGTGTGTGTGTTTAAGCTAATTTAAGTCTTTGTGATTTGCAACCAAAAAAGAACTTATCAACACAACTCCATTTTCCTCTTCTAAGTCACCATCATACCTCCATGACGGTCCACCACCACTTCTACCTTTCCAACATCCCTCTACCCTCCCAGTTAGCTCTAGTAAGATGAAGTATCATAATTGACTCCTCCTCATCCATCTCATCCCACAGGTATGGGGATGCCAAATCTCCCTGGAGATGCCAAATCGCCTCCAGATATGAAATCTTTCAACCTTTCGGTGGCTTTGAATCTAAAGTGTGTCTCTTGTAAATGGCACACTGAGTTTGAAGTGCCTGAGGGATCTTCAGCTGCATCCAAACAGGAAGTTAAAGAAGCCAATCTGGAGTTCTGGAGATAGACCAAGGTCAGAGACTGGGGAGGGATGGTCAAAACCAAGACCCTGGCTAAGGTAGCAGACAGAGCTTGTACAGATGAGAAGGCCAAGGCTGGAGCCCTGCAAGCCCATATTTATGGGTAGGAGGAGGGCAATGCTCATTGTCACTTACCTCAAAATTACGGGCATGTCATATAGGCCCAGAAGAAACCTCAGCAGCAAAATAGCAGGTGCCACAGAAGGTGGAAAAGGATTCAGGAGGTAGCAGGACCCACACTGAGTGCTCCTTTCCTCACACAGGGACCCCCATCTGTCTGGGCATTGGCAAGAATCTGGATCTGGAGGTACAAGTGAGCCATTTCAGCATCTTCAGCCACAAGATAGGCATGCATCTTCCCTCTGAGATAGCTCTTTTGTCAGTGCCAATCAGATCACTAAAGGCTATTTTTGACTGAGGCAGGAACATGGTTTCGGAGCCTAAAACTCATTTTCTGCCCTCTCCTAGACTCAAATCTCTCATTTGTTATCCTAGATTTTCCATTTCTTCATTAAAAATATCCGTTTCTGGTGGCTATTGATTACTTCCATGGCAGAGTGACAGACCTGAAATCTATTTCATTTGGAATTTGCACACAATGAAGGACTCTGGAAATGTCTTCAGCTCAAATTGCATCAGGAGGGATTTCCAAAGGGAGAGGGCAAGAGCTGACGTCCCACAAACCTGGTCTAACTTGGCTTCAAGAGGATTAGTAAGTGTGCATCCCAAGGAGGATACAGTGTGAGGTTAGCTGAATAGAAGGGGAGGTGACAGCTGATTTTTGAGAAGGCATTTTGATGAAGTTTCTAAGCAAGGAAAAAATACTTGCTGACAGACAGCAGTCAATACTGTGATAGCAGACAATTTTCTGGGGCTTTGACTAGGAAAGCATTTTGTCTTAAGCAAAGCATCCATATTGCAAATGCCAGACAGTTAGCATAGGCAGCACACAGTCACGACATTTGAAACTTTGGATGTTGGAGTTCACTGCTCTTCTAATTCTTTCTAAACATACTGCTTCTAATATTTGTCTTTGAAGATTATATCATAAAAGACAAGACAAATTCATTGGTCACTGTTCCCAAAACATTAGTTTGCCAAAACTGAACTATGTATCACAAGAATAAATAGAATCGGATCCCTGGTGCTTGCATTTTGCAGGACTGTGTACTCCAGTAAGATGGTTGGGGGTGTGGAGGAGTAGAGGAGCTAAACTTCAAGATGCAAAGGGCAAAAACATTCGTTTCAGCTCCCTGATCCTGGATATCTCTTTGGTCCGCATGTTAATTTGCAAAGAGAAGCTTGGCAGTGCCCATTTTTCTAAGCCTTGACGTATTAATCGGTAAATTAAAAAAAAAAAAAACCTATGGACTAGCTTAGCACAGAGGTGTCAAATGGTTCTTACTGCTTTCAACATCATTTCAACTCATTTGCAACATTTGCAAATGAGTTATACACAGTTTCTCAAGCTGAAAAGGACTAATTGAGTATCTGCCATACAATCAAACCAGAGGCTGGCAAATTATGGCCCGTGGGCCAAATCCATCCCACCACCTGGGTTTGTGTGGCCCACAGACCTTGCTGGAGCAAGCTGCCACTGTTAGTGGGGAGACCAGCCAGAGCATCACCCTCTGCCCCCTATTTCCCCCTCTGTTCCCACAACCTGCCTCCCAGGCCAGTGGCACTGATCAGGGCCCACACTGGACACCGCCTACACAGTGAGGTCTCTGCTGTGGGCGACTGCTGGGCTTCAAGCAGTCCAGGACCCTTCAGTCAACTGCCCAAGTTCAGATGGCCCAGTTCTCCAAAAGGAGAGAAGGGTGCACCAGAATGTCACCAGGGCAGAGAGCGAAACAGATCATGGTAGCGATCCTTCCCCAGATCCAGGCCCTCCCCCTTCCTCCCAGAGCCTATGGTTCAGATTCAAAGGGCGGTCACTTTTCCCCTAGAGAAAGTCTGCAGTAGATGGCACCTGGGCAGAAAGCTGCCTGCCATCCAGGACCAGCCACCCTAATCAAATGGGGCAGGGAGCCACAGGACTTCTCTCTCGTTATCTCAGAATTCACATGGTATTCTCAGTTTTGCCTTTTGGCCTGCAAAACCCGAAATATTTACTATCTGGCTCTTTGCAGGAAAAGTTCAGGACCCCTGGTATAAATTCCCATAAAACACTGGATCCAAATAGAGTAATCATTAAGGTGAGGAGGAGGCTGGAGAAGGAGAAAGCCCTGAGGGCCTATGTTGGGAAATCAGAGGTTCGTAACATGCATTTAAGAGAAAGATGCAAACTATAGATTTACATAACTGAATCCACAAACTTCTGCAAGTTGCATTCATTTCTTACCTGTTGTGTCATCTGCACACCAGGCTTGGTTATGTGGGGTATTTGAATGCCACCTACTGGGCACAAATGGCCTCCAATCATTGGAAATGATTGTTCACACTTGAAAAAAAAAAGGAGGTAATAGCTGGCATCTGACTGCATTGCCCGCACTGGGTCACACTGCACACCACAGCTGGCTGAAGGGCTTGAAGTACAGGGAAAGGTATTCTCTGTGGCAATCAAATTTCTCACTCGAGCAGAGTTTCTCAGCCTCTTTGTGAGAGGGCTGTCCTGTGCTGTCAGATGTATCTCAGCCTCCCTGGCCTCTACTCATGTAGCAGACTGAATAGCGTCCTCTGAAAAGATACGTCCAAGACCTAAACCCCAGTACCTGTGAATGTAACCTTATTTGGAAATAGCATGTCTTTGCAGACGTCATCAAGTTAAGGACCTCAGGATGAGATTATGCTGGATTTAGGGTGGGTCCTAAATCCAATGACAGGTGTCCATGTGAGAGAAATGAGAGGATGATTTGAGATGCAAAGACACAGAGGGGAAGGCCGTGTGAAGTCAGAGACAGAGACTGGAGTGCTGCTGCTATAAGCCATGGAATGTCAATGACCGCGAGTGACCAGCCAGACCTAGGAGAGAGGCACAGAAAGGATTCTCCCTCAGAGTCTCCAGAAGGGACCAACCCTGCTGATATCTTCTTTTCAGATTTCTGGCCTCCAGAATTGTGAGATAATAAATTTCTGTTATTTTAAGCCACCAAGTTTGTGGTAGTTTGATACATACAACATCAGGAAACGAATACAACCTACTAGATACCAGTCGCGTCCTACCCCAGTTGTGACAATCAAAAATGTCTCCAGATATTGCCAAATGTCCCCCGAGGAACAAAATCGCTCCTGATTGAGAACCACTGTGTGAGCACTATGCCCTCCAATCTGAAAGGAAGGAATTCTGGAGCTCTGTGAAGGCTGCCCAGCCATCCTACAAATTGAACAGTAGGTGAATACCATTGACGTGTGAGGCAAATGGGAAATGCAACCAAACTGAGGGAGATGAAATGCAGAAACGACTAGGAACTTTCTTTTTTGTTGATGCAGACATTTTGTTGACACAGACATTCTCTGTAAACCACCACTAGACACAGCAGGAACCCTTTTTAATCCATTTTGATCACAAAACATTAAGAGAATGATTGTCTTCACTTTTTTGTGAGGTAGGAGGTGAGACCAATGTCCTAGAAATAGAAACTAGTGACCATCACACGCACTGGGAGTCCCTCCTGTCACACAAGCGTGTGCCACGGAGAAAGTGCAACAAAGGCATTGCTTCTGCCTCCTGACTCTTGGCCTCTTCCACTACCAGTTAAAGCAAGATGTTAACTTTACCTCTGTTTCTGGAAGTGAACTTGGGCCACTTCCAAAAAGAGTGTAGCAGTGCTGTTGCTGGGTAGAAGTGTGAGCTTGAGAATCAGGCTGCCTGGCTTCAGAGCAGAGCTCTGCCTTGCACTAGCTGTGTGAGCATGCTCAAGCCACAAAACCTTTCCAGCCCTCATGTTCTCATCTGTAAAATGGGGGTAGCCATGGTGTGCTCAGCTTAGAGTGAGTATTCAAAATGTAATGAACATCAAACAGGCTCAGCCTAGAGTTTGACTGGCATAGTAAAGTGTTCAGGAAATATTTGCTCTTATTACCCAGAATGAAGAACATTCATGAATTAGCCAACCAATCTAGTGAGAACATTAAAGATTTATGCTTTGAAGGCACTACCAGAGGAGCAGAGCTACAAAACCTTTGGATTCCAAGTGCCCCAAAATGGAGCATGTTTGGGCATTGAATTTTTGATTATTTGGATAAAGGATTATCCACACAAAAAAATAGTGTGGGTAATCAAAAGCAGAAGTTAATCCAGAAATAACTGAACTACAGTCAGCAAATGCCATCAACACAGATCTCACTCCCAGCAATAGATAACCTACCTACATGCGAGGTCAGGGTCTCTGCCCTGAGAGGCCGCCAGCAGATTCATGACAGAAAGCCTCAGAGAGTAGCCAACTCTGACCTTGATTTGGTTACAGTAGTCCACAAAGCTGATTTCTGAAAGCAAAAAGGACAGCTAAACATCACAATGACATTGGATCTCCAAAACACAAGTCAAAAATATGTAATTTTTAAAAATGTGAATAGTGGTTGTATTAGTTTCGTATCACTGCTGTAACAAATTACCACAAATTTAGCGGCTTAAAACATCAAAGATTTATTATCTCATAGTTCCAGAAGGCAGAAGTCTGAATGGATCTTATGAGTTAAAAACAAAGGTGTTTTTGAAAAGATCAACAAAACTGATAGGCCACTAGCAAGACTAATAAAGAAGAAAAGAGAGAAGAATCAAATAGACACAATTAAAAATGATAAAGGGGATATCACCACTGATGCCACAGAAATACAAACTACCATCAGAGAATACTATAAACACCTCTATGCAAATAAACTAGAAAACCTAGAAGAAATGGATAAATTCCTCGACACATACATCCTCCCAAGACTAAACCAGGAAGAAGTTGAATCTCTGAATAGACCAATAACAGGCTCTGAAATTGAGGCAATAATTAATAGCTTACCAACCAAAAGAAGTCCAGGACCAGATGGATTCACAGCCGAATTCTACCAGACGTACAAAGAGGAGCTGGTACCATTCCCTCTGAAACTATTCCAATCAACAGAAAAAGAGGGAATCCTCCCTAACTCATTTTATGAGGCCAGCATCATCCTGATACCAAAGCCTGGCAGAGACACAACAAAAAAAGAGAATTTTAGACCAATATCCTTGATGAACATCGATGCAAAAATCCTCAATAAAATACTGGCAAACCGAATCCAGCAGCACATCAAAAAGCTTATCCACTATGATCAAGTGGGCTTCATCCCTGGGATGCAAGGCTGGTTCAACAAACGCAAATCAATAAATGTAATCCAGCATATAAACAGAACCAATGACAAAAACCACATGATTATCTCAATAGATGCAGAAAAGGCCTTTGACAAAATTCAACAACCCTTCATGCTAAAAACTCTCAATAAATTAGGTATTGATGGGACGTATCTCAAAGTAATAAGAGCTATCTATGACAAACCCACAGCCAATATCATACTGAATGGGCAGAAACTGGAAGCATTCCCTTTGAAAACTGACACAAGACAGGGATGCCCTCTCTCACCACTCCTATTCAACATAGTGTTGGAAGTTCTGGCCAGGGCAGTCAGGCAGGAGAAGGAAATAGAGGGTATTCAATTAGGAAAAGAGGAAGTCAAATTGTCCCTGTTTGCAGATGACATGATTGTATATCTAGAAAACCCCATCGTCTCAGCCCAAAATCTCCTCAAGCTGATAAGCAACTTCAGCAAAGTGTCAGGATACAAAATCAACATACAAAAATCACAAGCATTCTTATACACCAATAACAGACAAACAGAGAGCCAAATCATGAGTGAACTCCCATTCACAACTGCTTCAAAGAAAATAAAATACCTAGGAATCCAACTTACAAGGGATGTGAAGGACCTCTTCAAGGAGAACTACAAACCACTGCTCAATGAAATAAAAGAGGATACAAACAAATGGAAGAACATTCCATGCTCGTGGGTAGGAAGAATCAATATCATGAAAATGGCCATACTGCCCAAGGTAATTTGTAGATTCAATGCCATCCCCATCAAGCTACCAATGCCTTTCTTCACAGAATTGGAAACAACTACTTTAAAGTTCATATGGAACCAAAAAAGAGCCCGCAAGTCAATCCTAAGCCAAAAGAACAAAGCTGGAGGCATCACACTACCTGACTTCAAACTATACTACAAGGCTACAGTAACCAAAACAGCATGGTACTGGTACCAAAACAGAGATATAGACCAATGGAACAGAACAGAGCCCTCAGAAATAATGCCACATATCTACAACTATCTGATCTTTGACAAACCTGAGAAAAACAAGCAATGGGGAAAGGATTCCCTATTTAATAAATAGTGCTGGGAAAACTGGCTAGCCATATGGAGAAAGCTGAAACTGGATCCCTTCCTTACACCTTATACAAAAATTAATTCAAGATGGATTAAAGACTTAAATGTTAGACCTAAAACCATAAAAACCCTAGAAGAAAACCTAGGCAATACTATTCAGGACATAGGCATGGGCAAGGACTTCATGTCTAAAACACCAAAAGCAATGGCAACAAAAGCCAAAATTGACAAATGGGATCTAATTAAACTAAAGAGCTTCTGCACAGCAAAAGAAACTACCATCAGAGTGAACAGGCAACCTACAAAATGGGAGAAAATTTTCGCAACCTAGTCATCTGACAAAGGGCTAATATCCAGAATGTACAATGAACTCAAACAAATTTACAAGAAAAAAACAAACAACCCCATCAAAAACTGGGCGAAGGACATGAACAGACACTTCTCAAAAGAAGATATTTATGCAGCCAAAAAACACATGAAAAAATGCTCATCATCACTAGCCATCAGAGAAATGCAAATCAAAACGACAATGAGATACCATCTCACACCAGTTAGAATGGCGATCATTAAAAAGTCAGGAAACAACAGGTGCTGGAGAGGATGTGGAGAAATAGGAACACTTTTACACTGTTGGTGGGACTGTAAACTAGTTCAACCATTGTGGAAGTCAGTGTGGCGATTCCTCAGGGATCTAGAACTAGAAATACCATTTGACCCAGCCATCCCATTACTGGGTATATACCCAAATGACTATAAATCATGCTGCTATAAAGACACATGCACCCGTATGTTTATTGCGGCATTATTCACAATAGCAAAGACTTGGAACCAACCCAAATGTCCAACAATGATAGACTGGATTAAGAAAATGTGGCACATATACACCATGGAATACTATGCAGCCATAAAAAATGATGAGTTCATGTCCTTTGTAGGGACATGGATGAAACTGGAAACCATCATTCTCAGCAAACTATCACAAGGACAAAAAACCAAACACTGCATGTTCTCACTCATAGGTGGGAATTGAACAATGAGAACACATGGACACAGGAAGGGGAACATCACACACCGGGGACTGTTGTGGGGTGGGGGGAGGGGGAGGGATAGCATTAGGAGATATACCTAATGCTAAATGACGAGTTAATGGGTGCAGCACACCAGCATGGCACACGTATACATATGTAACAAACCTGCACGTTGTGCACATGTACCCTAAAAGTATAATAATAATAAAATTTAAAAAAAATTTTTTCAAAAAAAAAAAAAACCAAGGTGTTGGTACAACTGCATTCTCTCTTGGGACTTTAGAGGAGAAATCTGTTCCTCGCTTTTTCTAGCTTTTAGAAGCTTCCCACGTTTCTTGGCTCATGGCTCCACATCACTCTAGTCTATTTCCATTGTTACATCTCCTCCTCTGACTTGGACCCTCCTGCCTCTTTCTTCTAAGGATCCTCATGATCACATTGGCCCATTTGTTCCACCCAGGATCACCTCCCAGTCTCAAGCTCCTTAACTTCATCACATCTGCAAAGTCCTTTTGCCATGTAGGGTAACATATTCACAGGTTCCAGGGATTAGGATGTAAACATCCTTGGGGGTGATTTTTGTGTCTACCACAGTGCAGAAATCCTGGTGAAATGTATATCTAATCCAGGATGGTCAGAATCATGTTGGATCATAAGAGAAGAACCCTCCAGTTATGTCATTTTTGAGATTGTGATTCAAAGCATTCTTCTTATCCATGAATGCACTGAAGGGCACTGAAGGCACACAGAGGTCAGGGTGAATATATTATGAGAGTCAGGGCCAAGGGCAGCTAACAGAATACACGTGACATCCATACTGAGAGGTCTGAATAAAGGAGTCAGCTCACCTCTGGTGAAGCAAGGAAGTCTTGGTGGAGTAAGGAGATTCTCAGGGGCTAGGTAATGAAAGAACAGAGACAGTCTGGTTGTCTGGACAGGTTATGAGCATCTTAGGCAGATGGCGCCACATTGACTCAAGAGAGCTAATAAATACCTTAGTACCCTTCTTCCTTTCTGCAGTGATAACTCTGAGACACATGTTCTAAACTATCTCCAGCAGCCAACAGCAGCAGCGATTTGCTGAAGAAAGCACGCTTTGTTGGTTGCCTTTCCTTCTCTGTTTCACCTCTTCCCCACTCTGCCATGCTGTTTCCTGGCATCACCTTCCAAATAAATGACTTGCACTTGAATACCCCGAGACAGGGGATTCTGCTGTTAGGGGAACCCAGACTGAGACAGCCCCCTCTATACTGGCTGCAGCCTCCCTTAGAGGAACATGAAGGGGATAAAACACTTTCTCCAGTGCCTGTCATTATGGAGTGCTTGGGAGTGAGGGGAGAATCACTGTACTTTGGAAGACATCCACTTGCTGATGGAGCAGTGACAACCAGTCCAGACAGGGGAGATGAAAGAGGTTAAAGGCCTGAATCACAAAGAGACCCAACACACTAAAATGTATCCTTAGCCCCAGATATTCCTATTTCAGAAAGGCAAAGATTAGACTGTTCTTCCCGCTTCACCATATGCCCTGTCTAACCCTAAGTATTAGCTTTCGTCCTTTCACAATGTCTCCTCTTTCAATTTATTCAAGCCTGGTCTTGAGTCGTAGCCACAAACACTTTGTGAGTTATTCAAATATGTAATGCACTAGGTTATGAGGCTTTGGGATAAGGCAAAGAGGAAAAAGATATATTCTTAGTCAGTAGTGTGCTAGTAAATGCTCCAGTGAGGGAGAGGAGGAAAGACTGGTTTACAGTATTTGCCAATTTCTGTGGTGTAAACATTTCCACCATGGCTGATTTCAAGGTAGGAATGTGACATCAACTGGCCCATAAAACGCCTGCAAATGTAACCATCAGCTCTTGAGAGCTGGTACAAGCTAGCTTCATCACGCCACTACCCAGCATTCTAGGAATTTATAGTGGTAATAACTGCATAGTCTGGGTACACTATCTGCTTTATCAGACTGACCCCAAAGTGGAAAATGGCTCAATACCACAGAGCTTTGTTTCTTATTCACATGACAGTACTGGGCAGGTAAAGAAGTCACTGGGAAGTCCTCTTCCACAGTTATTAAGAGGCCCAGGCTGACAGCAGAGCTGCCATCTTCAACACATGGCTTCCAAGGTCATGCTGGGTCATCTCCATTCCAGACCAGCAGAGAGGAAGACTGCAGGGGATTGCTGATGGGCTCTCCAGGCTTCACTCCTGCTTACATTCCATTGGCTAGAACCAGTATTGACCACACCTAACTGCACGGGGAGCTGGGAAATACAGTCCAGCTATGGACCCACGAAGAAAAGGAGAACACAGATTTGGTGAGCATCAGCTATCTCTGCTACAATCACATTTTTGGGCATTCATGCTCTGCCATCTGCTGTGCCCAACAAGTTTGTATGGGTAGACGAATTACCATATTTTATAGATGAGAAAATCAAAGCTTAGAGAGGTTAAACGATTTGCCCAGGGTTACACAGCTAGGAAGTAACAGAGCCTGGATTCAAAACCATGTCCATCTTATGCCAAAGTTAAAGCCCTTCAATAGATCATTTACACCTGGCTTTACCTCTATAAAAAATGGTGGCCAGAGGTGTTATGATCCTAAATCAGATACCAGCTAAAGAAATGTTCCTTTGGCAAGACACAGTTTTCGACCTGCCCCTCCCAGCTCTCTTGCCCCAAATGAGTGATGCTGAAGTTTTAATGAATGGCCCCATCAACACAACTCATAAGAAGTGATGGGTTTTAGCAAACAGGGACTGATTTAACTTGTAGTTGCTTCCCTCTGAAGAATGTGAGAATCCAAGGTGACTGGGGACACTTTGGCTGGCACAGACTGGAGGGAAATGGCATTTTCTATCTCAAGCATAGAAGGAGTGGTGGAATGGAGCCAGGCCCTCAGAAGGGAGGAGAGAGAAAATAAGAGAGCTTGGCCCTCTGGCCCAGAGCAGCTAGGGTCCCTGCTGGGCCTGATTATTAAATTGCAATAAGACAGCTCAACAGGAGAAAAGCATACAGATTCATTTAATGCCAAGTTTTACGTAGCACAGGAGCCCTCATAAGGTTATGAAGGCCCAAAGAAGCAGTTACGAGTCAGTCACTTACATACTGAATCAGACAGGGAATAGTTAAGTTGTGAAAAAAGCAACTACATTATGTGGGGAGGCTAAAAAGATAAGAGTTATTGTAACAAGGTCTGCATGGAATTCTGTTTCAACTTCCCATCCTTGATAAGATTGTTATTTCTTTTTGTGTAAGAAGGATGTCTTTCACATGAGAATTTAATCTGCTTTTAAGAAACAAAATGATCAGAGTGAACTTCTTGCACCTGCTTTTTCTGTTGTTAAGTCCCTTTAATTAAAAATAGTCAACATGCCAGAGCAGCGTATTTTGGGGTGGCATATTCTTAGCTCCCTCACAGTCAAGTTGCAGATAGTGTCCTGGGATGTGCCTACAAAGCCAGGGTCTACCCGTCACAGTGTCTGGACATCATCTTGGATGTCACAGCTGAAAAAATTTTTTGAACTACTTCTCTAAAGATTACGATACTCTCTCTTATCTATAGTTTTATATTTTCATTCCCCTTAGACCTCGTTATTAGGTGTGCCCTTTGGATATTTTTCTACTAAGTCAACAGAATCACTTAAAGTTCTTATATTTGGAAGAGAGAGAGAATCTATTAACCAAACCCAGAAATACTGAAATTTTATCTCATTTCTATTCTCTCTCAACATTGAATACCAAAAGAACTTTCCAGTCAGTGGGGCACTTTTCCCCTTTGATGTGACATGTTCAGTAAAGTCACCGGCATGGGTTTCCTGAGCGGTTAGTCACCACAGCTTTTAGAGCCTGCCACACTTCTTCGCAGGTTCAGTTTGATCAAAGATACACCAGGGCACACAGTGTCTTCAGATTACACTTTTATATTCATTCTTTGGAAGCTCAGGGCATCTGAACTAAGCAGCTTCTCTCAGGCCATGAAACACCAAGCCGATTACTGTTTTCTTTTGACACCTAGTGTTTTATGTGACATTTCACACAGTGGCAGATAGGTCTGTTTTGGGGAAATGCTCCATGTCTCCAGAAAACTCTGCCAGGGTTATTTTCCTGATTTATTCTAAAAGGTCACAGCTAAAGAACAGGCTTTCAGCATTTATCCATTGTTCAAAAGCATACATTATATTGTTTATCGTCAATATACGACATACGAGAACTGACACTGAAGAAAGATAATGGAGACACAGCTCTTCGGCCTTGAGAAACTCATAAGTTTGACCCCAAAAAAAAGTCAACCCTAGTTTTTCCCTTTTCAGAATTCCCACATTAGAAATCAATATTCTTTATTGGCTCCAGGATAAATAAATAAAATAGAATCACAAGTTACCCCATCTGCTTCCAGGGACTGAGCTTTGGAACTTCAAATGAAGCTACTATGTAAAGCAGGGCCTGCTCTTGTTAACTCCTGGAGTGAAACTTGAATGTCAAAGTGCAGATTTGAAACCGTCATGAGCTCACATGGTCCCACCCATTTTGGAAACAGCATGTGCTTTGCAGTTACATTCTCTGAGTCCAGTAATTATAAAAGCAAAACCCAAATCAGATGCTGTGATTTCCCCCAACAGCAGCTCCTTTTTGGAGCCTGTAATCATCGTTTGTACTTTCCCATGTCTGTCTGCGGGAGCCCCCTCTGCCCGTCTTCCCCCATTGGCAGCTGGTGCTGTGAACGTTTGCTTGAAACAAACATTCTTTCCTGGGCATACATGTCTGTCCCCTCACTCTGGGCGATCAGTGCACAGCCTTGAATTATGTATATGTTGGTGTGGTTTTCAGATTGGGAATGGCAATGCTGTGGAGGGGGAGGCTCTGAGAGGGACTGAGGGTGAGGCTGAATTCCGTCACCCACATGCCACACAGAGGTATCCCTTGCCCTTGATGAGTTTTGACTGATGATGCCTCTCTGTGTTCATCTCAGAGACGATTTGGAGCTCACGTTACAATGTGACTTCTGGGGACTTTGAAGTCCCAGCTGCAGTGTAACAGCACTGTAGTGATTAGGGGGCCAGCCCTCTCCGGGAAGGGGGTGGCTGCACCGTGGAATACAAAATGCAATTATAAAGGAGCACCTGGGATAAAACCGAAGCAAGGAATGTGGCTTTGGCTCCAAGCAGAAGGGGGCTCATTTAATCACACAAGAATGTTCATCTCAACCAAGTGCTTGATTCAGAAAAACCCAAAACTTTGAAAACAAAAAGTGAAATGAAACAGTAACAAAAAAAACCCTCTGACCTGCCAGCACAGCAAAGGGATGCAGAAACTCTTAACACCTTCATGGCTGCCTAAGAGGAAGATGAACTCCGCAGAGGCTCAACTCAGGGCTGGTGAGATCCTTTTGCTTTTTCTGCCATCCGGGTACCTTCATATTTCCCCAGATGTGCACAGATTTTCACTTTTCTTATAACTTCTTGTGTTCATTCTGCCCCTCCCCAGCCAGAGCCAATTTCCCAGAGGCAAGGCCTGGTTTTCTGTGTGTGTGTGTGTGGTTTTTTTCCAGTTTTAGCCCCTTACTTCCATTAAAATTTATCTATCCGCTTTCCCAGCACATTAAACCAGTGGTTCTCAAACCGGAGCTGCCTCTAAACCGGCTAGAGGTTTTGGTAAAACACAGAGGAGTAGGCCCCATCCCCAGACTTTCAGATTTACCAGGTCCAGAGTAGGACAGATAACTTGCATTTCTAATAGATTGCTGGGTGATCCTCATGCTTCTGGTACAAGGACCATACTTTGAGAACCACTGGGTTAGACCCTGAGCCAAGCTGGGTTGTTATATTGTAGGAAAATGTTCCTAGACTTGAAGTCACGAAGACCAAGTTTGAGCTTCCTCCAACAAGACCACCTCCTAGGTATATTAACTTGAGCAAATCCCTGGAGCCCAGAGGTTCTCAATCTCACATTAGAATCACCCGGTGACCTTTTATAACGTTGATGGAAGACCCCACCCAAGATGGACTTAATCAGAATCTCAGGGCATGGCTCCGGTGCATCAGTATGTTGCAAAATCTCCACAGGTGATTCTTCTGAACCTCAGTTTTGTCTTCTAAATAATAGGTATAATTTTTCCCACACAGAACCATTGAGACAAACACAAATAAATATTAAAATCCCTTCATAAATGACACAGTGCTATTCAAGTGTTAAGTGTCATTTTCTGTTACAGAAAACATATTTAAATTCTGACAGAGGCCATAAACATCTCAGTTAATATCTAAGTCAGGACAGATATTTCTGGCACAAGTTAAGCTGTTGGAGAAACTTGAAGGATGGAAAATCATTTTAACAAATCCATCTTATTCCACTGACACACGCATCTCTCCTTGATTCTGTATTTAAAGCATTTCTTTATATTTTACATATAGTCTAAGAAAGTTAAATTACTCTTGGTGACTATCCAATGGTTTGGTGACCCCAATTTACTCTAAGCCAGGAGCCAGCAAACTTTTTCTGTCAAGGACCTGATAGTAAATATTTTGGGCTTTGTAGGCCAGATGGTCTCTGTTGCAATTATTTAACTCCACCATTGTATCACAAAAACAGTTATAGACTAAAACAAACAAACATAAAAAGCAGCCATAGACAATATGTAAGCGGCTGCACATGGCTGTGTGCCAATCAACTTTAGCTGCAAAAACAGGTGGCAGGCTGCATTTGGCCACGTGCTATAGTTGGCCAACCACTCCTCTAAGTTTCAAAGAAAGACACAAAAATGTTCAAGTTGACTCAAAAAAGCAACTAGGAATCTTTCTAATGAGATGTACCCAGCAAAGAGCGATTTCATCGACATGCTTGCGTGCATGGTCTGAGTGTGGGAGGCAACTGAGAAGGACGACAGGGTGGTCACACAGACAGTTGAAAGTAAGCCAATCACTTTGAAATTACCAATTGGCGTGAGACTTATGTCCAGGTAAGGTGACTGCATTCTTCCTGGGCTCACCATTAGGTTCTCAGAAAGAAGGAAATGCACCCTCTCCCCACTAAATTGCTGTTTTCTGCTTAAAGGCTGAGGGAACTCTTCCCCAGCCATGGGGACTCGTCGAAGCAGGATGGGAGTCCCCATCAGTCTTTGCCTTACACTAGCAATTTTCATCCAGCGTTAGGAAAAAACCAGCAAAATGACACCAAAGGGTGATCCCTTTTCCCATGCTTTGTAAATCACAGTGCTCCCTTCTATACAATTAGGGGAGGGGAGGGGGGAGATCTGCATACCTCCCCCCACCCAGGACACTTGGCAACGTCTGGAGACGTTTTTGGAGTCATAACTAGGTGAGGGGTGCGATGGCATCTAGTGGGGAGAGGCCAGGAATGCTGCTCGCCATTGTATAGTGCACAGGACAGCCCCAAATGTCACTAGTGCTGAGGCTGAGAATCTGAGATGGGGCATCACGTAGGAGGATAGCTGTAACTGGGAAAGTCTGGGGACTGAGAAATAGGGCTTAGAGCTCTTATGCCAAGCTTCTCCCTACCTTGTTTCTCTGGACAGGCTCCTTCAGTGGCCCAATCACTGCAGTCATCACTCCTTTTTCCTTTGGAAGTAAGATAATCTTAGAGAAAGTTGGGTCTTAGCGCTAGAAGTAAACTCAGATCACCTGGTCACGCAAGGCAGCACGTCTCAAATTGTACTCTGCACACAAATCACCTGGGGTTAATTCTGCCTGACTCAGCAGACCTGGATGGGGCTTGCAATTCTGCATTGCTAAGTGGCACTTACTCCAGTAATACAGGCACAGGTAGTCCCTAGATCACACTCTGATTAGCAAGTCACTGCTTTCAGATGATGTGGCTGCAGTGCGTTAAAGTTAAGTCGGTTCTTCCAGTCACTCAACTAGAAATTCTCAAAAGAAACTTAAAAAAGACTTCATGGACCCTCACGCTCTAGCCACCAACTTAGTTAACCACAGATCCACCCTTCCTCTGGCACCTGGCAGCATCCTGCAGACACTGTACCCTGGAGGCACTTTGGGAAATCATCTCCACTGAATGCCGTCCTGCTCTTTCTCCCCAGCATTTTTTTTTTTTTCTGAGACAGAGTCTCGCTCTGTTGCCCAGGCTGGAGTGCAGTGGTGCAATCATAGCTCGCTGCAGCCTCAAACTCCTGGGCTCAAGCGATCCTTTCACCTCAGCCTCTCAAGTGGCTAGGACTACCAGTGCTCACCACCATACCTGGCTAATTTTTTAAAATTTTTTTGTAGAGATGGGGGTCTGTGTTGCCCAGGCTGGTCTTGAACTCCTAGCCTCAAGCAATCCTCAACCACCACAGCCTACCAAAGCACTGAGATTACAGGCATGAGCCACCACACCTGGCCTCTCCCTAGCTCTTTAATAACCAGTGGAGACTCCTGCCCCATGGAGCAACTTGGCTTGGCCACTCCCTGGAGAAAGTTCCTTGCTGATCATGTAAACCACTCAGCAGCCATTCCTAGAAATGTCTTTCTGGGGAGAGGCTAAAGTTTGAGAAATGTAAGAAAAGGAAACCTGTTTCATCAAAAGGGAGCTAGCCCGCCCCAATTTCCACTTGGGTTCGTATCAACTGGAAACAGGTGGAAGCCCTGAGAGAGTGAGTGTGTGTGAAATGAACATGGAGTTCTGCAGAAGGAAGGAATGTTCTACCAGCGAGCATCCCCTGGATCCAACCTGTTAGGAGCCTGTGGGACGAGAATTTATGGATGTGTTTTCAATTTCTCTGAGAGAGTCTGTTTGGATTGAGGAAGGCTGTTTCATCTTTGAAATATGTGTTCCATAACAAGCGCTGGAATCACACATCAATTGCTCCCTTCGTTCTGTGAGCCAAGCCCTGACTAAAGGGGTTTGGAAATCCCCACAAGGTGCTCTCTGCTTATTGCTCATTCAGAAAGAAAAAACATGTCTTTAATGAAATGCAATGTTGAGGAACAGCCAGAAATAGATGCTCCCTATCTGCCTTCACATATGGTAGCTTCTTTCTGGCCAATTGACCACCAATGAACTGGGGAAGAGCTTTAACAATGGGCAGTCCAGGCACCCCGTGCTCAGCTGAAGCACACTGGTCCTGATGGAAATTGATGGAGATGGACGTTTCTAGTCCTTTCTCAACCCATGAAAGCCCAGGAAACCCATGCATGACCCAGACTTTTATTTGCAAGGCCATCCTGGTTAGCTCTAGCTAAGCCTCCAGAATTAAAACTGATGGGCTGTCACTTTTCAGACAAATTCTATTTGTTCATTCTCCCCCTCTGGTTTTTAACAACATCATGGTGACCGGAAATGTCCAAGGCCCACAAAACGCTGTTCTTTCATGAGTTTTACTAACAGACTCATTTCTACATTAACACCATGCTGGAGAGATTTTTCTTTGTCTGGAAGTGCAGAGGGTATTGAGTTTTAGGTTGCCTGAAAATAAGCAAGCTATACACTTTCTTGTGTTCCATGAATTCTTGCTCCAAATTTCAAAGTAATCAATTCATAGTTCAGTATCCATGCATACTGATGCTTTTCTGCTCTTCAAGCCAATATAAAGGTACAGAGAAATGGAATTTTCTACCAAGTAGCTTCCTTTCTATAATTTCCCATTAATTTGGAGACAGATTTTTTTTTCTAAATATATCCCTTAAGAGATCTGAGTTGTTGCTTTGTTTTGTTTTGTTTTTTGGAAAAATGACTGCAGGGACTGGGAAAAAAGCATTTGGCTAGTCTGATCTGCGTTTACTTTCTGTGGCCTTATAATTAAACTAAAGTGTTATATGTCCTTTAACAACACACAATTAATTGAAGTATTTCCAACTAAAGCTACTGAGCTTTAGATGATAATGTCTACCATTTGCCTGGTCATATTCCATGCCAAGTACTGTACAGCAATTACCTCATTTAATTCTCACAGCCATGCTGCTGTGGCAAGAGCAGTAGCTCACTCTACAGAGATGAGGAAACTCAGGCTCAGAGAAGTTCAGTCCCTTTGACAATGGCACACGGAGCCAGGACTCAATGGAGCCGGAACTCAAGTGCAGTCCTATCGGCCTGTGACATTGGTGTGACTCCCTGAAAACTCAATATTGAAATTCTGTTGGAAGAATATTCTGGCTGGGTGCGGTGACTCATGCCTGTAATCCCAGCCCTTTGGGAGGCCGAGGCGGGTGAATCACTTGAGGTCAGAAATTCGAGACCAGCCTGGCCAACATGGTGAAACCCTGTCTCTACCAAAAATATGGAAAATTAGCCGGGCGTGATGGTATGCAGCTGTAATCCTAGTTACTAAGGAGGATGAGACAGGAGAATCGCTTGAACCCAGGAGGCGGAGACTGCAGTGAGCCAAGATCATGCCACCACACTCCAGCCTGGGTGACAGGGTGAGACTCCATCTCAAAAAAAAAAAAAAAAAAAAAAAAAAAAAAAAAAAAAAAGATTCTCCTGTTTGCTTTTAGGATATCATGAGACCACAAAAGTTTCCAGGCATGGCTTTAAATGCCACCGATATGCCAATGGCTTGATTTATATCTCAAAACTTAATGATTCCACTGAGCTCCAAACTTGAATGTCTAAGAGACATCTCTCATGTAGCATTTCCAAAAGGGAGCTCCTCACCTAGTCTAGCCCATCTCAGTAAGTGGCAACTTGGTTGTACCATTTTATAACCAGTCCATCAGCAAATCTGTTGGCTCTACCTTGGAAATACAGTTTGCCCTCTGTATCCATGGATTCTGCATCTGTGGATTCAACTGTGGATTGAAAATATTCAGGAAAAAAAATGGATGGTTGCATCTGTACTGAACATGTACAGACTTTTTTCTTGTCACTATTCCATAGACAATGCAGTGTAACAACTATTTACATAGCATTACATTGAACTAGGTATTCTAAGTAATCTAGAGAACGTTTAAAGCAGACAGGAGGATGTACGTGGGCCATATGCAAATAATACAACATTTTATATAAGGGGCTTAAGCGTCATGGATTTTGGAATCTATGGGGGGTCCTGAAAGCAATCCCCCACAGATACTGAGGGGCAACTGTATAACTGGAATTCAAGAATTTTTCTGGGGCAAGCCCCCATCATCACTCACCTATTTGCAATAGACCCTTTTTTTTTTTTTGAAATGGAGTCTCGCTCTGTTGCCCAGGCTGGAGTGCAGTGGCACGATCTCAGCTCACTGTAACCTCTGCCTCCCAGGTTCAAGCGATTCTTCTGCCTCAGCCTCCCGAGTAGCTGGGATTACAGGCGCCTGCCACCACACCTGGCTTGTTTTTGTATTTTTTTAGTAGAGACAGGGTTTCGCCATGTTGGCCAGGCTCGTCTCAAACTCCTGACCTCAAGTGATCTGCCTGCCTTGGCCTCCCAAAGTGCTGGGATTACAGGCATGAGCCACCGCACCTGGCGTATCTGCAATAGACTCCTAACCGGAGCCCTGGCTTCCAGTCTTGCTGTCCAACAGCCAGAATGGTTTGTGGACAACACAAGTCAAATCATGTCACTCCTCTGAATTCCAGAACTTTACCTGGTCCTTCAAGACCCTGAAGCATCTGCTGTGTCTACCCTCCTCCCAAAGGGAAAACAAACCCAACTTCAAATACCCCCACTCCCATCCCAAGGCTGCAGCCATCCACCCCTGGTGGGCCCCCAGCAGGCTAGGCCCATTTCCACCTCAGGACATTTGCACTTGCTGTCCCCTCTGCTGAGGATACCCTTTCCCCAGCTGTACCCCCAGCTGGTCCCCTCCCCTAACCAGTGGGGACTCCTCTAACCACCCATATTAAATAGCACCTCTTCTAGGTCAAGGATCTGTGGGCATCCTTTGTTCCTTTCTTTTCTTTCTTTCAAATTTTCTGTAAAGTAGAAAGTTTTCACAAAAAAAAAGAAAAAATACTTGTGGGAAAAGACATAATTCAACCCTTGTGGTTCCCAAAGTAATAAAGGGAAAATTTGCTCCTGAAAGAAAGGATGAAAGAATGAATGAATGTTAGACCATTACCCAAGCCGTACTCCCCAGCCTTCACACAGGGCAAGCACAGATGGCCTGAGGACAGTGTTCCTACCCAATCCTTGGAAACTGATAGCCTCAGTCTGAATTTTCATTTGGTCACCGCCCACCCAGCCAAGAACAAGGAATTTTAAAGCTGACTAAATGGACTTCACAATCTGTGTGCCCGTCTTAAGATGGCTCTTTAACTTTACTGGATAGTTCTACCAAGTCATGGGGACCAGGTTTCCAGAGGTTCTACTGCGTAGAAACACACTGTGAAATCAGTATCTCTTCCATTTACATGTTTGTTGCAGACTCTGTGCTTGTTTTATTTTTAAAAATAGAGTTCAGACATTTAATATTTAATAAGGTGTCAACGTTTACACAGAGTGTTACAATAAAAAAAAACCAACACGTTGCTATGTGGTCGTTCCAACACCAAATGTGAATATATCTCATCAAAGTCGCACGTAGGCTCATTCCCAGCACCTCTAGGATAGCAAATAAATAGTTATTACCGCGCCAGTGAAAATAGGGTCTGCTTAATGTTTCCCAAGTCAGATATACAGGCTCTCTCCTCATGTAAATCATTTCAAAGGCTAGAAGCTTAGTCTGATAGAACACTGCCCATACAAAATTAAAGCATAATATTACAATTATGTGGTAATTCAATAGTTCTCCTTGGGTTTCTCATCTTTTCCAGCTTAGCATCTAATAATGAATACTAAGTAGAATTTGCACATGTTGGTAATTTAAAGTAATCAGTTCTCACCTAAGTGAAACAAACTGCTCTAAAATTTTCCATTTCTGTGACTTATTAGGCTCAAAATCTATCAGTTTACACATCTCCTTTGTAAGGTCTTTGGGAAGGACTGAATAAAGAACTGAGATTACCTGGTTCAAAGTAACAGTAAGCACTGAATATTGAATGACTTCGACTTCTAGCACATTCTGCCTTTCCCTAAAAGCCACATGAGCATCATGCAATCGCAGGGGATGCACTAAAAACGACTTAGAAGAAACACACATGTCACTTCCAGGGTGCCCTTATTTGGTGCTTTTGTACAACACATTTCCTCAGTGAGAGCAAGAAACATGTGATGTATATCATGAAAGAGCTCCTTTCCCATGATGTGTTGATGGTTTTTTATGTTAAAACCCGATTCAGAAGGAATCCAGAAAGTTCTACAAATGTCTAAAGCCTTTGGTTCTGGAAGAGGAAAAAAAAAAAAACCTTATTCTGAAAGATGCTTATTTCACCTCCACGTCCCCATGCTGTTCATCAGATCACCAGATAAAGTGGATGGAAGTTCTGCATTTGGAGAGAGCAAATACCCTTGGGATCCCTACCCAACTACGTTTACAAGAAAGACAGAGCATGGCAGCATGTTCCCCATGGGGTTTGTCTGAGCCCCCGGGCCCCTGGGTGAGTGGACCACATGGCTGAGTTAGGACTCCACGGAAGGAAGGCAGTTTGCTGTGGTAGTCCCCACTGCAGACTCCTCATCCTTGACCTTAGTCCACCTGTCCAACTCTGGCCTTCTATTGAGGAGAGCCTGAACCCCACAATAAATCAGAGGTTCAACTTACGAAAGAAAGTAAGATTGGGTTGTTTCAGTCAAGTAACTCTTCCAACTGTTTGCCATGAATTTGCAGGTATCTCTACTCTAAGCACTGGGGAGGACACAAATCCCAAGGTCCCCCTCGGTGACCTTGGCCCGGAAGCATAATTTCCCCTCATTCCCCCCCATGGCCTCAGCCAGATTAGAAAGAAATGCTGTGGTTTCACTGACCTTTGGCTATCTTTTCACTGTTTCATGTTCCCTTTTGAAGCCACTTGTTTCAGCTAAAAGGACCTCCTGGATTCTATAAAGCCAGGCTATGACTAATACTCTTTCCCAGCACACGCTGGCTCTGAGGAGACCACAGGGGAATAAGAGGGGAACTACATGAAGCGGTCATTAAGACTTTTTGGATTTAAAGCCCAGGAGAATCCAACTTCACTTGTAAACGTTCCGCAGAAACCACAACACCAACACTAACATTAAGACCTGTTACTCAAGGCTTACGTGCTATAAATACGACAATGAATTTTATTCTTTTATAGGACCAAGGATTAAATTCTCTACTATTGACTGGATATTGTCACACTGAGGTGGCTACTTGATGTTATTTTGGAAGGAAGAGGTCAATGAATTACACAAACAAATTTTCTTATTGTGTCAGCATGATCTGACTTAAAATTTCTTAACCTGGAGAAAATATGTATTTTGCACATTAATTAGAAGTTCCATAGAAACCCATTTGTAGCTAGGTTTTTGTCCAACATGAAAATTCGTATTAGAGCTAAGAAATTATGGATTTGGGCTGGGAATTCTAGGTCAAATCTGAGAAAAGGGGTGGGGAACAGGAAGGTTAGAAGAACATTCACAGGGGTTTAGCAAGAATGAAAACCGGAAGGGCAATGACAAGGACACGATGATGGCATCCAATACAGCAAACTTCCCCTCCTGAAGACCAACACTCTTCCTTAATAAGATAATATGAATTTCGTTCAGAGAGTAATGTGCCTAGCTCAATATTTTCCTTCCCACACTAGTGTGCGGCTAGGGGGAGCCACGTGACAGACTTCCAGTCAATGGATACAAGCTGAGCGTCTCTGGGGAAGCTTTGCTTTCCTGATAGACATTGTACCTAGTTGCTTGCCTCTCCCTTCCTCTTCCCACTTAGAAAGCAGACATGATACCTGACAGTTCAGGAACCATCTTGCAACTCTGAGGCAATAAGCCAGAGGACAAAAGGTAAAAACGGTGAAAAAGAAATAGCAACGGGATGGGGATCCCAATGATGTTATGGAGACAGTCCTGGAGTACCCCCTCTCAGGGTTCTTATCCAGCCCTTCAGTGTTTGCTGGGTTTTCTGTTATTTGCAGCCGAATGCACACCTAAGTGATACAGCACTATCCAGTGACAATGAGATTGAAAAGGATGAGGGGCACTTAGTGAAAAGGAAGGGACAAAGACTAAAGAGAAAGGGCAAGTGGGATAATCTTACTTACACAGATCGTATGGTGGACCTAATACATAGCTTAATTCCTTCCCGCAGAAAAGACCGAAATCCTGACTAAAAGAGTAAATGTGTCGTTAAGTTCAAATACAAAGATGCCCAGTGCCCAAATTGGCTATATAAAATTTAATGCTGTCCTCCTGTGCTGTGATTGCTAGTATGAAGTGCATGCTTATACATTACAACTGGATGTTTTGCATCCTACAGAGAAGATAATGGAACAGATTTAGAATCAATTTAGTATTTCTCTTGCAATCCATTTGGAGGGATTCCAACTGACAACGCATATGCCTCATCCTCTCCACAGCCGTATCTGATAAGACCTGAGAGGAAAAATAAGTAGTAACATTGGGTAGCCTGTTTGGACTCTTGCATATGCTACTTGAAAATGAAAGCACGCTTATGGCAGGCTGGGGGCATACCGGCTATGGCCCATGGAAGTGCTGAGCTGATCAATATTGAATGCATGGGCAAAAGCAATAAATAAATGAAGCAAATGCCATGGGGATGCAAATCAATGATCGGGTGAGTATACCCTCAAAATAAGGATGTGTCCCTTTGTATGGGAGGAGACACACCGCAGTACTGTATGCTCCAATAGTTCATCGTGCAGTCCCAGGATGCCAGTCTTGCATAGAGAAATGATTTCTTCACACTCATCATGGCAGGTGCCCCTGATGTTGGTTCAGAAACTGATGGATAAGCCAGATAACAGGCTGAGAACAGGAGCAAGAAACAGGACGGTCGTGAGCGGACCCACTGGCATACTTGCAGCTTTCACTGTGTTCAAATTTAATTTCTTTTTCTTTTTCAACAAAGTAAGCGCAAATGTCTTTAGTATGATTCAGTAACATAGCAGCAAAACTTCAAGAACCAATAAATAAGGACGCTGACATGCCGATGCCCCTTTGTCTTTTGGACTCAACACTTCACGTGTGTTCATAAGTTACAAACATCAGCCTTGAGCAGAAGGAGTAAAAGTTTCTTGAGTCAGCATTCATGCTCCACATACTTGTACAGATCACATCATTTACATCATTTACCCACCCACATGCCCCCACAGCAGTAGCAAACTCATTAGGAAACACAGCTTGAAACTCATACGGGGTTAAAGCTATAAAATGCCTACTCATTGATGTTTTTGTTTTTGTTTTTAAAGGTTTCATCCTTCTTCCCCGCCTTTCCAAAAAAGCTTTTGTTTCTGCTGTCCCCAATGCATGATCTTTCATTGGGATAATAACATATCATTTATTTCTTTTTAAATGACACAGTCAGTGTTTTTCTGAAAATAATTGCCACCTTGTTGCTAATTAAACATGATGGATTCGGGGTCCTGGTTTGCCATCTGGGCCATATGTCTCAGAACATCCTTTTTTGTGATGATGCCAAGAAGTCTCCTGGAGAAGAAACAAAATAGAGAAAAGAGGTCAGCCTTGAAACGACGACTCATCCCTCTCCCTAAACCCCAGTGCCTTTTCCATGTGGACACAGAGACAGACAACATTTCCCAGCCTCCCTTGTGGTTAGGCAGAGCCAATGGAGGGAGCACTGGCCAATGCCTGTGGGTGGAAGTGACAGATGCTGCTCCCAGGTCTCCTGTGCATTTCCCCCCACTCTCTCTTCTCATCTGGCAGCCAGAGGCACAGGAGCCAGTGAAGGGCTCTGAGGATTGACTTAGGAGCCACCAGATTCAAACACCTAGGTCCAGAGCCCACCTGCAATCCACAGTGGATGTAACATGTGAGAAAAATAAACCTTTATTGCATTAGGCCACAGAGATTGCAAGCTTGTTTATTACGGCAGTAAACCTATGATGACTACTATATCCTCTTAAATTTCAAGACTATAATCAATTTTAAAAGGGTTTATGAAAGGCATTGTCAAAACTTGACCACACCACAGGAATGCCAAGTGTAAGGTATTTTAAGTATAAGAAATTTTAAGTACAAGATAAAAAGTGATTCTATTTGTAATTCTTACTGGGAGGATAAAGTTGACATTTATCTCTGACTATATACGTAAATTGCCTTCTCTTCCAAAATTCCATTGCTTTCAACTTACAAAAAGAATGCCACTTCCCAGAGTCCATTGTATGGGACCACCAAGACTGTATATCACACAGTGCCAAGGAGCACTGCTCACAAACACTGCAGTAGAAATTGTGCCCTCTGGATTATACAGTGCACATTTGCACAACCATTCATAGCAAGCCTTGTTTCATTATTTTACTAAATGACCACCTGCAGGAACACATCATGTCCCTTGGGTAAAATGAAAGGTCTGAGAGAAGGAGAAGTGAACAACTTCTTTGGAAAAAAAGAAGCTCCATTCCCACATAAGTTTGCAAAACACTACTCACTGTATCTCCACTGTACCCCCCAAAAAAGGGGTATGCAGAAGCAAACTCTGGTAGTCTTGCATTAAAATACTTTATAGCTATTAAAATAATGGGTTTCTACTCTGTGTAATATGATAATATACAAAAGAAATCAGAAAACCTAACTGTAATATACTGTCATTTATTTAATTAAGGCAAAATTAGTCAAATTTATCTCTTAGTGAATATGAAGAAGGGATGTAAGTATTCTAAGCAGTATTCAAATCAGTTACACCTGGTGAAATAGACACTGATTATTCAAACTGTCAGGCCAGAATTCTGACTTTTTTGGCTCTGACAACACTGGACCTTAAACAGTCTTGGAAAAGGTATCCGTTTCTTGTGTTGGTTTCCCTATGTATCACACTGAGAGAGACAGCAAATAAGACCCCTTCCCCTCCATCTCATGGCAACATCTTTAGGAGAGAGGAAAATAGTGAAAGAGCATGCTAAGCAAACAGAATAATGACAATATGAATTACAAAAACATTAAAAGAATATATCATGACCCTACAGGGATTGTTTTTCTTAAATGGGGAGGAATACTTGATAAACGTAGGAAGCAGGACAGAATTTGATAATTAATACTTTGCAACCCCCAATGTAATAGTTAGCTTAGGCAATAATTGTCAATGGATACCAAAATCACTGGGCGAATGGTTGCTGGAAAACAGAAAATTCACATGGTCTCAAAGTACTTTCCTACAGATTATGAACAAAGAGAAAAATGTCACTTTACAATGGAGGGTTCTGGCCATCACCACCTCATCCGAGCAATGGAGCTTATCATCAACAAAGTCAGAAAAGCAGACTCCATAGCGTTACCTATGTTGGAATGCTGCCAAAAACGACTTATGCCAAACTGAATCATGAGGAAGTAATCAGACCCAGAATGTGAGACTACTGGTCTGGACTCTTCAAAGGAAATCTTTGCAAGTAACAAACCTGCACATGTATCTCCTGTGTCTAAAATAAAATTTGGAATTATGTTTAAAAATCTCTCATTAAAAAAACAACAACAAGGCAGGAAACTGTTCTAGACAAGAGACTAAAAAGGCAAAAGAATGCAATGCACAAACCTTGATGGAATTCTGAGTTGATATTTGAATGAATATCAACTGGATATTGGATGATATATTGAGTTACTGTTAATTTTACATCATCATGGTTTGGTAGTTATGTAAAGAAAACGTCTTAGAAGACGTCTGCTTCATTCATAATTGCCAAAACCTGGAAGCAACCAACATTTTCTTTAGTAGGTGACTGGATAAACTGAACCATGGCATATCCAGACAATGGATATTCTTCAGCAATAAAAACAAAAGTGCTATCAAGTCATGAAAAGACGTGGAGAAAAATCAAAATGTGTATTGCTGAGTGAAAGAAGCCAGTCTGAAAAGGCTACATACTGAATGATTCCAACTACATAATATGCAACATTCTGGAAAAGGCTAAACTATGGAGACAGTAAAAAGATCAGTGGTTGTCAGGGTTTGGTGGGTGGAAGAGAGGGATAAATAGGCAGAGCACAGGGGATTTTTAGGGCAGTGAAACTACTCTGTATCATCCTGTAATGGTGGACACATGATATTATATATTTGTCAAAATCCACAGAAATATATGACACAGAGTACACTCTAAAGTAAACTATGGATGTTAGTTAATAATAATGTATTGATATTGGTTCATCAATTACAACAAATACAACAGTAATGCAAGATATTGACAATAGGGGAAACTGAGGGGAGTGAAGGGGATATATGAGAACTCTGCATATTTTGCTCAATTGTTCTGTAAGCCTAAATGTTGTTATAATCCTGAAACAAGAGCTACCTAAAGGAAACAAATGTTAGCACTCTTCTTTGCGGTGAGATGCTGAGTTCTCCTGGGAAAACCCATCTGTGAGTATGAACACAGTTGACAGATTCAAGGCCCAACAAGGGCTCTGGTCTCCTCACACAGGAAGGTTGCTGGGTCCAGCTGGCAGAGCCTGAAACCATTTCTTTCCATCCTGATTTGTTTTAGCTGCTTCGGGCTCAACTGTCATAATGAGGGCCCATTGCAATCAATCAACCAGAGATACACATTTTCTCAAGGGCACTGTTACCCAATACTTCGCCAAATCACCCTGCTTCTACGGTTGCAAAAGCTTTAGTGGGCCCCGGTCTCATTAGAGTTGCCCTTTTGCTTTGGCAGCCATGTATTGCTGCTGAGAAGAGCAGTCCAGGCCTCCAGACTTGAGGCATGTCAGAGCCAGAGGCCCACATAAGAAATAAAGGTTTCCCAATCAACAAAGTGAAGAGACAACCCACAGAATGGGAGAAAACACTAGCAAACTACCCATCTGACAAGGGATTAATAAGCAGAATATATAAGGAGCTCAAACAACTCTATAGGGAAAAATCTAATAATCTGATCAAAAAAACGGGCAAAATATTTGGATAGACATTTCTCAAAAGAAGACATACAAATAGCAAACAGGTGTATGAAAAGAGTACAGCTGGATAGTTTGTAACACAAAGGGTAAATGCTTGAGGGGGTGGATGCCCCATTCTCTATGATGTGATTATTATGCATTGCATGCCAGTATCAAAACATCTCATGTGTTCCATACCCAAAGGAATATAAATCATGCTGCTATAAAGACACATGCACATGTATGTTTATTGCAGCACTATTCACAATAGCAAAGACTTGGAACCAACCCAAATGTCCAACAATGATAGACTAGATTAAGAAAATGTGGCACATATACACTATGGAATACTATGCAGCCATAAAAAAGGATGAGTTCATGTCCTTTGTAGGGACATGGATGAAGCTGGAAACCATCATTCTGAGCAAACTATCACAAGGACAAAAAAACAAACACCGCATGTTCTCACTCATAGGTGGGAATTGAACAATGAGAACACATGGACACAGGAAGGGGAACATCACACACCGGGGCCTGTAGTGGGGTGGGGGGACGGGGGAGGGATAGCATTAGGAGATATACCTAATGTAAATGATGAGTTAATGGGTGCAGCACACCAACATGGCACATGTATACATATGTAACAAACCTGCACGTTGTGCACATGTACCCTAGAACTTAAAGTATAATAAAATATATATATATATATATTTTAAAAATCTCATGTGTTCCATAAATATACACATCTACTATGTACCCACAAAAATTTAAATAAATGTTTTTAAACAAGGTTTCCTCCCAGAGTCAGGAAATTTTGTTCTAGCTCTGATAATTCTAATTAATTTCAAGAAAGCAGTGACAGCTAGGAAAGGCGGCTTTGTTACTGGGAAGGGCCTCTATTTACAGGCAGATAGGAATCCCCAGTGAGGCCCCCTCCCATGCGGTAGCAGCAAAATGCAAGCTGGGCCAATAGGACTCCTTCCACCCATCCAGCCCTCCACCTGGGAAGGCTTTACGCAGGGTTTCTCCACCTTGGCACTAGTGACATTTAGGTTGGCTAATTATTTGTTGCAGATAGGCCATTCTGTGCACTGTAGAACATACAGCAGCATCCTGGGCCTCTACCCACTAGATGCAGCAGCATCCCCATCCCCCATTATGGCAACCAAAATGTCTCCAGACAATGCCAAATGTCTCCTGTGGAGGGGGGACAAGATAGCCCCTGGTTGAGAACCACCATCCAGATTAAAAAGTACTAAAATAGTTCTACACCGGTTGGTTTATAGCCACTGAGCTAGACACCCTGGGATGTACCCTGCCAACCTCATACCTTATAGAACTGCAGTGAACTCCCCACAATTCATAACAAATCAGTTCATTATCTGGCACCAGCTCTTAAACACTTTGACTATTACTCCCAGCCAGAAGCTTTCAGACACAAATAGACCTCTGTGGGTGAATCTATAATACACCGTCAGCATGGGACACAGGAATCCCGTTACCTGGCCCCATATCCTCTGTATTTTACTGAACAGGTATCCCAAAATGCAGCCATTCCAGGAATCTGGATACTTAAGGATGCTGCCACATATCTTCCCATCACGCCCAGGTCTACTCCCCACTGTCGTTGGTCCCAGAGGGTGCTGTACGGAGGGGATTGATGTCCTCAAGGGTCAGGGTCGGCTGGCAGGGTTCTCCATCAAAGGTCCTCCCGGTACCTGGCAGCTGATTGTGCCTCAGGAGATAGGAGACCTGGAAGAATCCAGATGGGACTGGCTCTGCAACCAATTCCCTTTAACCCTGAGCAGTGTTTTGCTTCTTAGAGTCTCACCTCCTCATTTGAAAACTAAGGGGAATGGGGGAGGGGGGAGGAGGGGATGGAGGATGGTTAATGGGTACAAAAAATAGTTTAAAAGAATGAATACGATCTAGTATTTGATAGTGCAACAGGGTGACTACAATCAATAATTTAACTGTACATTTAAAAATAACTAAAAGAATTGGAATGTTTGTAACCCGAAGGATAAATGCTTGAGGTGCTGGGAGACCCCATTTACCCTGATATGATTATTATGCATTACATGCCTGTATCAAAATATACCATATACCCATAAATATATACTCCTATGTACCCACAAAAATTAAAAATAATTTAAAAAAAAGAAAAAAAGGGAAACCAAATGTCCATCAACTAATGAATTGATCAGCAAAATGTGGTCTATCCACACAATGCAAGATGATTCAGCCCTAACAAGGAAAGAAGTACAGACACATCTTCAGTGTGGACGAACCTTGAAAACATGATGCTCAGTGAAAGAAGCCAAATACAAAAGGCCACATAGTGCATGACTGTATTGACATGAAATGTCCAGAATAGGCAAGTCCACAGAGACAGAAAATATAGAGTAGTGGTTGCCAAGGACTGTGGTATAGGAGGTAACAGCTAAGGGGTGTGGGGTTTCTTTTTGGGGTGATGAAAATGATCTAAAATTGTGGTGATTAATGCACAACCCATTTTCTACTAAAAACCACTGAATCATGCATTTTAAATGGGTGAATTGTACAATATGTTAAATAGGAATGGTGAGAGAGAGCATCTTTGTTTTGTGCTGGTTTTCAAGGGGAATGCTTCCAGGTTTTGCCCACTCAGTATGATATTGGCTGTGGGTTTGTCATAAATGGCTCTTATTATTTTGAGGTATGTTCCATCAATACCTAGTTTATTGAGAGTTTTTAACATGAAGGGATGTTATTTTTATCGAAGGCCTTTTCTGCATCTATTGAGATAACCATGTGGTTTTTGTCTTTCATTCTGCTTGTGTGATGAATTACGTTTATTGATTTGTGTATGTTGAACCAGCCTTGCACCCCAGGGATGAAGCTGACTTGATCGTGGTGAATAAGCCTTTTGATATGCTGCCGGGTTCAGTTTGCCATTATTTTTTTTTATTGAGGATTTTTGCATCAATGTTCATTAGGGATATTGGCCTGAAGTTTTCTTTTTTTGTTGTATCTCTGCCAGGTTTTGGTATCAGGATGATGCTGGCCTCATAAAATGAGTTCGGGAGGAGTCCCTCCTTTTCAATTGTTTGGAATAGTTTCTGAAGAAATGGTACCAGTTCCTCTTTGTACCTCTGGTACAAAGAATTCAGCTGTAAATCTGTCTGGTCCTGGGATTTTTTTGGTTGGTAGGCTATTTATTACTGCCTCAATTTCAGAACTTGGTCTATTCAGGGGTTCAACTTCTTCCTGGTTCAGTCTTGGGAGGGTGTATGCATCCAGGAATTTATCTATTTCTTCTAGATTTTCTAGTTTATTTACATAGAGGTGATACAGTATTCTCTGATGGTTGTTTGTATTCCTGTGGGGTCAGTGATGATATCCCCTGTATCATTTTTTGTTGTGTCTATTCGATTCTTCTCTCTTTTCTTCTTTATTACTCTAGCTAGCAGTCTATTTTATTAATTTTTTCAAAAAAACAACTCCTGGATTTGTTGGGTTTGTTGATTTTTCGAAGGGTTTTTTGTATCTCTGTCTCCTTCAGTTCTGCTCTGATCTTGCTTATTTCTTGTCTTCTGCTAGCTTTGGGGTTTGTCTGCTCTTGGTTCTCTAGTTCTTTTAGTTATGATGTTAGGGTGTTGACTTGAGATCTTTCTAGCTTTTTGATATGGGCATTTAGTGCTATAAATTTCCCTCTTAACACTGCTGTAGCTGTGTCCAAGAGATTCTGGTATGTTGTCTCTTTGTTCTCATTGGTTTCAAAGAATTTCTTGAGTTCTGCCTTAATTTTATTATTTACCCAGGAGTCATTCAGGAGCAGGTTGTTCAATTTCCATGTAGTTGTGTGGTGGTTTTGAGTGAGTTTCTTAATCTTGAGTTCTAATCTGATTGCACTGTGGTCTGAGAGACCGCTTGTTATGATTTCAGTTGTTTTGCATTTGCTGAGGAGTGTTTCACTTCCAATTATGTGATTGATTTTAGAGTAAGTGTCATGTGGCGCCAAGAAGAATGTATATTCTGTTGTTTTGAGGTGGAGAGTCCATATAGCCCAGAAAATCCTAAGCAAAAAGAACAAAGCTGGAGGCATCATGCCACCCAACTTCAAACTATACTACATGGCCACAGTATCCAAAACAGTACAGTACTGGTACATAGATCAATGGAACAGAATAGAGATCTCAAAAATAAGACCACATATCTACAACCACCTGATCTTTGACAAAGCTAACAATCAATGGGGAAAGGACTCCCTATTTAATAAATGATGCTGGGAGAATTGGTTAGCTATATGCAGAAAATTGAAACTGAACCCCTTCCTTATACCTTACACAAAAATTAACTCAAGATAGATTAAAGATTTAAATGTAAAACCCAAAACGATAAAAAGCCTAGAAAAAAAATCTAGGCAATACCATTCAGGACATAGTCATGGGCAAAGATTTCATAACGAAAACCTCAAAAGCAATTGCAACAAAAGCAAAAGTTGACAAATGGGATCTAATTAAACTAAAGAGCTTCTGCACAGCAAAAGAAACTATCATCAGAGTGAACGGACAACCTACAGAATGGGAGAAATTTTGCAATCTATCCATCTGACAGAGGTCTAATATGCAGAATCTACAAGGAACTTAAACAAATTTACAAGAAAAAAACAACCCCATCAAAAAGTGGGCAAAGGACATGAACAGACACTTCTCAAAAGAAGACATTTATATAGCCAACAAACATATGAGAAAAAGCTCCACATCACTGATCATTAGGGAAATGCAAATCAAACCCACAATGAGATGCCATCTCACATCAGTCAGAATGGCAATTATTAAAGTCAAGAAACAACAGATGCTGGTGTGGAGCAAGAGTGTGGAGAAACAGGAATGCTTTTACACTGTTGGTGGGAATGTAAATTAGTTCAACCATTATGGAGGACAGTGTGGCGATTCCCCAAAGACCTAGAACCAGAAATACCATTTGACCCAGCAATCCCATTACTGAGTATATACCCAAAGGAATATAAATCACTCTATTATAAAAATACATACACACGTATGTTCGCTGCAGCACCATTCACAATAGCAAAGACATGGAACCAACCCAAATGCTCATCAGTGATAGACTGGATAAAGAAAATGTGGCACATATATACCATGGAATACGATGCAGCCATAAAAAGGAATGAGATCATGTCCTTTGCAGGGACATGGATGGAGCTGGAAGCCATTATCCTGAGCAAAATAACACAGGAACAGAAAACCAAACACTGTATGTTCTCACTTACAAGTGGGAGCTGAACAATGAGAACACATGGACACAGGGAGAGGAACAGCACATACTGGGGCCTGTCGTGGATGTGGGGAGGGAGAGCATCAGGATAAATAGCTAATGCATATGGGGCTACCTACCTAGGTGATGGGTTGGTAGGTGCAGGAAACCACCATGGCACACGTTTACCTATGTAGCAAGACTGCACTTCCTGCACATGTATCCCGGAACTTTAAATTAAATTAAATTAAAAAAGAAAAAACAGAACAGTCCCCCCGGAGCGCCTGCCTTGGGTAGCACCACTTAAACTGGATTATGTCCATGTTCTTTAGTAGATAACAAGCTCCTTGGCTTTTTTTTTTTTAAACACTTTTTGTGCCCCCTACAGTTCCCAGCTAAAATAGATGCTCAATATAATGTTGATTAAACCAATGTTGCTTTGAAAAAAATAAGACTTGTTAGTGTTTGCAAAGTGATGATAACTATAACACACACACACTCACATACACACACACACACACACACACACACACACACACACACACGGAACCCTCCCATATCTATAAATCCTGGTTTTTGTTTCCTTGTCTTCACCCTGGAGACAGTATCAAAAGATCAAGCATTTGCAGTTCTGAAAACCTCCTTTTAAAGCTCTGTGACTGTAATGTCTAAAAGTTAAGTTGATTATAACAGCACTAGGGAAATATGAATTCAGGAGCTGCCTTGGGTTCGTGCATAAATTGTGCCCTGGCCCGCGATGGTAATTATCACAAAAGAAGAAAGCTGAACATCAACCCAGAAGGAGGTAACATCAAATCCAGCAGGCTTCGTTAGTGGCATGAAATGTCCTATTTGATTTAAATCAAGTGTTTGAACTTCCAGCCCCTTTGAGTAGCAGTTGAAGCGAATTCAGCGAATTATAAATGGCCAGATCTATGACCAAGGACATAATTCAAATTCGAGCAGCTGGGCTCTTCTGCGAAAGCTATCCTGTCCAGGCCCCTGTGGACCACCTAGCAGGGCTTGGGGAAAATCTGACACCATCTCCCTTACTCACTTTTCCTTTCTAGAACTTTCATAGGGAAAATCTCACCCAAATTCACTCTTAGCAACTGGAGGCTTCCTAGATTGCGGCATTCCGATTCCTGGTCCAGTTTTATGATGCCCCTTGAACCCCAGGCCTGAGAAATGCTGCAGGTGATCCAGGCCAGCGGTGGAGCTCAGGCTCGTGGCCATCCCGAGCAGGGAAGGTACAGGGTGGGCGAGCACATCAAACATGAGAGCTGGCCAGAGACGTGCCTGCCCTGGCAAGAAGCCCAAGGAGATGAAAGGCCCCGCAGACAAGCATCCCTTGCCAGCACTAACGCAGCAGCATCTGTGTTTGTGTAAAAGATGTAGAGCGAGAGAGAGTGCGATTTTGCTTTCTTGAAGCACATTCAGAGCCAATTTCGGCACCCAGATCTTCACAGGAAGACCTCATGGGGCTCTATGAGGTGTGAGCGGGCATTAAGGGCAGAGTTTCCTGCCTGAGCTGAAATTCCAACGATAATTGACTTTGGATTATTGTTTTAAAGGAAAGGAGAAACTGCTACACACTTGAGACAGCATGGGCAATCACAGTGGTGTTTATACCAAGAGTACTGGAAACTCAAGTGCATAAATCGACTTCAGTGGTTCTCAAGGTGGGGTCCCCAGACCGGCAGTTGCAGCATCACCTGGGAGCTTGTTAGGAAAGAATATTCTTGGGCCTCACCCTAGACTTCCAGGGATCAGTACCTCTGTGGCAGGGCCCAGAAATCTGGATTTAACCTGGAGGTTTAATCCTCCAGGGTATTTTGATCCACACTCAAGTTTGAAAAACCACTTGAGCTCCTTTAAAATTCATCAGCAGAAATGATCCCTAGCCTTGTCAAACACAAGGACTCATTTATTTTTCCCTATTGATTGCACCTCCCACATGCAAGACACTGCTCTGTCTGTAGTCAGAGCTAAGGAGGATGCTCACTCTGCTGGCCAGGAGTTCTCTGGGTAAATCTGCAAATTGCAAAGCCTGTCCCCCTGTGTGCTTGCTACCAGGACAGCAGGAAGAAAGTGGAATGAATAGGATTGCTCATTTGGCTATACAGGCACATCCAGTCCAAGGTCACTCAACTGCACGACTAGTGACATTTTGGGCCAGATGTTTTGTTGTGGAGCTGTCCTGTTCACTGCAGGATGTTTAGCAGCGCCCCTGACCTCTACTCACTAGATGCCAATAGCATCCCTCCCTCCAGTCATGACACCCCAAATTGTCTCCAGACATTGCCCAATGTCTCTGGGAGGTAAAATCATCCCAGTTGAGAACTGCTGTGTTAAACTAGAGTGTGCTGGCTCTGGAAATATAAGCTATATTAGATAGTTGAGCCTCTGGAGTCTATAAAGGCCTAAACTTTATTAGGTACCAATGTCTCCAGAACCCATTCCCCGCCTCCTACTCCCAGCCCATAAAGGAATAAAATGGGCAGATAACCCTAGGTTCCAGGCTACCCTGACCAAGCCGACCCCTTCCCTTACACAAGCTTCTGACACCATGGAACTTGTGACACTCAGAGGCCAAGGAATGACCTTTAAGGAACTGCTTCTCTGGTGCTACTACAGTGGACCCTCGATCTTTGCATTGTTGGTTTCCTGATTTGTGACAACACAAAACAAAAGTGGCAGCAGGGACAATGCCATGGGGCCATCAAATCTCTCCATTCTCCAATCATGTTTGTTTCGAAAACAAAGTTGTTTCAAACAAATTGATATATCAGGAACAATCTGAGCATAATATGAATTTTACCTTTGCTTATGTGTGATTTCATCCATGAGAAGCTCTAGGCAAATGCAGGAAACTGTACCCAGCTGAACCCAGTGGGATCGGCATACACAAAATGCACATGCCCGGCCCCCAAACATCCACAAGCGACCTCAGTTCATGCATGCGTGAAGAGCCATGCCCATCCACACCTGCTGTGACCACTTCCCCTTGAGTTCAGGCTCCCCTCCTTCCACCCCTTCCCGGTAATTCGGAAGTGGCACAGCTTGTGAAACCCACCCCACAGCCAACTTCAGGCCTTTTTAAGATGAAGTGACATATTTCTGTTGTATCCCTGTATTTCTTAACCATTTAACTAATGTGTAACATGGTACTACCACTATTCTTTTTACAAGACAGGGTCTCATTCTGCTGCCAAGGCTGGAGTGCAGTGGTGCAATCCTGGGCCACTGCAGCCTTGGAAGCCTGGGCTCAAGTGATGCTCCTGTCTCAGCCTCCCAAGTAGCTGGGACTATGGGCACACTTGGCTGATTTTATAAAAATTTATCTGTAGAGATAGGGTCTTGCGACCCAGGCTGGTCTCGAACTCCTGGGCTCAAGTGATCCTCCACCTCAGCCTCCCGAAGTGCTGAGATTACAGGCACGAGCCACTCACTGCACCTGGCTCGGTACTACCATTCTTATTAGGCTTCCACCTCTTTTATGTCATATATCACTGATGAAGTTTTTGACTGTTGTGTACCTAACCCCATTTTTCCCACAAGTCCTGTGGTTTGCATGGAGCACTTTTTGCGTAGTGCTGTGATTTTGAGGACCGCATACATCACGTTATAGCAGAACCTCCTCCCTAAGCCAAGTGTCACATGGGGTGGTAGAAAAGCAACACCAAGCCCTTCTCCTGTGGCTCCACCCCTTTTTACTCAACCTCCCTCAGCCCAGGCAGCAGTCCAGCCTGGACCACCCCCTTCTCTGGCTGCACGGCTGCCCAGCCCTCAGTCCCAAGCTCCCTGTACATTTCCTCCTCAACACATTCACCACAGCTTACTGCCATTCTCTGTCAAGGACTATTCCACCCCATGGCCCTCCACATTCTTCAGGGCTGAGACCATGTCTCACTCATCTTTTTCTCCCTAGGTCATTCTGGCCACATGTCCGGCTACTCACCCGCTCCGCGTCACCAGGCACTGCCGAAGCCCCAGTTTCCGGAAGATATCCACCACCGTTTCCATCGGAGTGTGGTCTGTCACTGTAAACGGGCTGAGGTTCAGGATGCGCCGCAGCTTCAGGGGATGTGGGCTGTTGGCCGGCAGCTCGGGGGGTTCCTCCGTGAAGTACATGATGGAATTGCTCACAATGCCCTCCTGCCTCTGTCTGGCGTTCTCTAGAATGGGGTGAGCAGGAACAATGAGCCACACAAAAACCCCTTGCTGAGCAATTCCCCACCCCACACTCACACACACCATCTAGAATCCCACAGAAAAGGGGTTTGGAGGATGAACCACACATTCTTAATAAGGGGCTTTAGCCAAACATCTGTGGAATTGGCATCTCTCTGCAGCTAATGCTGTGTGAGGGTCCCCTGCTGTGACCGGATCATTTGTTGCCAAAGTCTGGCAAGATGGGCCTGACCCAGATGGCCCCTTTGGGGACATTCACTGCTTCACCGCAGACTCCGGGCACCCCAAACAGCCCAGGGCCCTCCACTCTGGCTTTCCTTACGCTCCTTCACCTCATCATGGGCTGGAGTTTGAGGTGACAAGAAACTTACTTAGCTGCCCGATGACCTTAATACATTGTTTTTCTTTTTACGAACTAACTTATAACTGGCCCAAATGGCATTATGAATCCTGGGAGGAACAAGAAACCAATACGGCCAGCCCAGGCTCACAGCCCAGAAATGCAGCTCAATCCCAAACGCGACCCTTGGGTCCAAAGAAACAACCCCAGAAAAGCTGCATCCCCCCTCAACCCTTCGGATCTCCTGTCTTAAAAATGGGCCATTTTGTGGATCCCTCAAAGAAAGATAGTAAAACTGTTATGGTAGCAATTAGCCTATTTCTGTCTATAGAAAAGGCCATGTGAAAGAAAGCTGAAGAAAAGTAGGGTAACAGGAACTCATTAGAAATACAGCTTAACGCGGTGCTAGAAACCCAGGCTATTTTAAGCCACACATGAAATAAATCCATCGGTCTCAAGATATTTCTCCAAGGCGATTTTCCTTCTGTTGGAATTTTAATCTTTCTTTTGGTTCATGGGAAAAGGTTAGGGAAAATGTACAGCAAGGCTTGCTTTAAAATGGATCCTGGTTCCCATAATACACTTCTTACCTTCTCAAAGACTACTATTCACCTATATTGTTCTTTCAAAAATAAAATTCTAACTGCCTCCTCTAAGGCCATTTAGTGCAATAGAGTACTCTAATGGAAAACTGGCAGCATCTGGGGTCAGGCTGAGTCTGAAAAAGGGTCTCTGTTTAAAAGAGGAACAGAGGGCCTGCTGGGCAAATGCCTTCACATTACATGGGTCAGGTTAAATCAAGTTACATCAAATGGGGTATGATTCTGCCACAAATACCAGACGACTCTGAGGCACAACGCGTTTTCAAATGTAGACTGTTCGATATATACTACGTACTTCTCTCCTAAACCAAGATGATTCTGTCCTTACCCACTAAGGCAGGGAGGCAACTGGCAACACACACTTATTTGCTCATTCCCATAGACCAGCCGATTCTCTTAAAGTCCCACTAACAGGATTTCCATCAATTTCAACCACTGAGTGAATGTCAGGATTGGATCAAGTTGCAAACCCCAATCAAGAGTTGATGACATGGATTTGCTGAACCCCTTCTAAAACCAAATACAATTTAATAAATGGTCGATCCACTTGCTACAATAAAATAAATAACATGCTTATATCTCCTTTGAACCTACTGATTGGGTTAGAAGCCCTGATTCTAACAGCCACTAGCTCAATGAACTCTTGCTCACCAGTGCACTCCCAGTGCCTGGACAATGCCTAACACACAGTAGACACAAAACAGATATTTGCCAAATGCACATATGAATGAACGGATGAGTAGGTCTACTAAATGTCAGTGTATCTGGTTCTGCCTGCCACATAAAACTGAACCTATCTCACATAGGAGGCATCAGGAAGGAAAGCACACAAGGTATTTACTGCCAAGCAAAAATATAGGCATCAGCTAGGGTCAGAGCCAGAAGCCTGAGCTATGCACCTTGCTGTTCCCACAGTGGCAACTGCTACTCTCCTCAGAAAGGTTCTGCTAGGCCACTTTGGAACTCTATTACAGACTTACAGGAGGCTTCAAACTTTGTGGGTAGAGGTGCTAAGAACAGGCAAAAGCCTGTGAATGGAAGAACAACCAGCAAGAAAGCTCTTTGCAATTCTCTACCAGGGTGAAACATCTGCTCTCAGTTTGGACCAGAAATCATCAGACACCAAAATGCCTGCATGTAAGTTCACAGAGGGCAGAGGCAGTGTGCTGTCATCCCTGGACTCTGAGCTTCTAGGATGGTATCAGCACATGGTGGACACTTAAGAAATATTTCCTGTGTGAAAGGATAAACCAACTAACTCCTCACCCAGGGGATGAGCCAGTGCTACAAGAAAAGAGACCCACAGACCCTAGGAACACTTGGGAGTCTGTGTTGAAAAAGAAACCAAAACAATACAACCGAAAATGCATCTTTTTAAAAGACCTAAAAGACAAAAAGGAAATGCACTAAATATCAATCATGTCTTCTTTGGTGATAAGAATGTAGGTGGCTTTTTAAATGTTTCCTTTTTCTTCTGATTTCCCCAATATTTGGAGTGTGTATTACTTTCATTTTGAAAAAATGTAATAAACTTCATTTTTAAATGTTTTAAAAATAGTTAAACTGTTTTTAAAACTGTCTTTAATGTAGGAGGTTTGTCATATATTCTACTAGAATGAGTCTCAGTGGCCACAGCTCTTAAAAAAGAATGTACATTTTAGGCCAGGCACAGTGGCTCATGCCTGTAATCCCAGCACTTTGGGAGGCTGAGGTGGGCGGATCACTTAAGATCAGGAGTTCGAGACCAGCCTGACCAACATGGTGAAGCTCCGTCCCTACTAAAAATACAAAAATTAGCCACGCCTGGTGGCATGCGCCTGTAGTCCCATCTACTCGGGAGGCTGAGGCAGGAGAATTGCTTGAATCTGGGAGGTGGAGGCTGGGGTGAGCCGAGATGTCGCCACTGCACTCCAGCCTGGGAAACAGAGCAAGACTTAGTGAAAAAAAAAAAAAAATGAAGGAATGTATATTTTATGAGCACCTGCTAAGGTTACTCAACATTCCATTTCCTAGAAGCAATATGTTCATATGCCAGATGTAGAGATGGTAAATAATAAAGTATGGGTAAGAGAAATTTCACAAACTATGTGATAGGCCAAGAAATTTTTCAAAATTGGAAATAATCACATATTCATTAGGCTATTGAGTGGCTTTAGAGCAATGGTTCTCAACTGGGAGCAATTCTGCCTCCACCCTCAGGGGACATTTGGCAATGTCTAAAGACATTTTTGGTTATCACAATAGGAGAGGGCAAGTGCTGCTGACATCCAGTGGGTGGAGCCCTGGGATGCTGCTCAGCACCCAAGAGTGCACAAGACAGCCCCAGCACAGAGAATCATCAAGCCCCAAATGTCAGCAGTGCTGAGGAGGAGTACTCCCACTTGAACTGTGTTTTTAGGGAAGTAATAGTCTATCATCCTGTTAATTAAAAATGCTTAGCCAGGCATGGTGGTGCAAGCCTGTAGTCCTAGCTTCTCCGGAGGCTGAAGCAGGAAGACTGCTTGAGCCCAGTGGGTAGAGGCTGCAGTGAGCTATGATCGCGCCACTGCACTCCAGCCTGGGTGAAACAGCGAGACCCTGTCTCAAAAAATTTTTTTAAATGCGTCCATAAGACAGATATAATTAATGAGATAGGTTAAAATGGAAAATTGAAAGCAACCACAGAAGTAGTACAAAGATGATATGATAAAAAAGTAAAGATTATACAGAAGAAAAAGCAGATTGTTTTACAAGTTATTGTCTGTCTACTAAAGCATGGAGAAGTCCCTCTATGTGTGTGTGTGTATATATATATATATATATATACACACACACACACACACATCCCCAACAGAAAGGTGTAGATGACACCACTATTCTCCATGACCTAGTCCAGTAACTAACAGCCCTCCCGGGCAGAAACCTCTTTCTCCCTTGTCTGACAGACCTGACACTTAGCTTCTTGTTCAGTGCTGGATGTAGACCCCTTTCTGCAACTAAGCGTCTTCCACATGCTGGAGAATCATTAGGTTGGTGCAAAAGTAATTGCGGTTCTTGCCATTGAAAGTAACGGCAAAAACCGCAACTACTTTTGTACCAGCCTAATAAATCATCCACCAGACCAAAAAAACCTGAGAGTTTCCTTAACTCTTCCCTGAAACTCTAACTTTCCACCCTTTAATCATCTCTGCAACTCCCCGCTGAGTCCTCTTTGAACCTCTACTTAACTGCAGAACTCAAGACAAGAAGCACCTGAGCCCTGCTAAGTACAGGCGAGTCCTCATATTTGCAGAGCAATGAGAGGTAAAGGCCCATTTGCCAGGAACTTGAGCAAGAGTCGCATACAGCCCCGTGTGCTAGTATGTGATGGTGAAGAGAGTCACGTTGCCTAGGTGGTGCTAACGACGTGCTCTCTAACAAAGATAACGCCATGCTTTGGCATTCCAAAACATAACAAAACATTTTCAGCTTCATGTGAGCAGTTGCTACAATTTTTAAACATGATATGTAAGAAAAATCCTTATTTACCTCACTTACCTTTCTTTTCTGATCCATACTATCTTGGATCTGTCTATAATCTTTGCTCCCAATTCCTCTAGGAAGTGAAATTGGCATGGGATAGTGTCTAGCTAAATGCTGTCATATTTCTATACTCATAAAATGGCACAAGATTCCTCAAATACAGGTCATGCACCTGTATTTCTCCACCAGAGTACAGGGGCTCTTCTATTTCCACAGGCCAGAAAAACAGCTTTTCTGATTCCTCAGAGCAAAACACTCCTTCCCTCTGCACAAACCATGTAAATAGCACCTTCTATATTATTATCGGTCTGATTGAAAGCATATAGGTAGTATTTACACCGTGTGGTGCCTCTTCAGACATTCCAAACATAGCTTCGAGAAGAGTACTTGGTTGGTAAGCTTAAATTTCTTCTCTAACTGGTTGATGACAATTACTGCTTCCCACTTGATTACAGTAATGGGTTTCAGCAAAATTAGTAAGCTGCCTCTTAGCAGGTGTGCCTGGAGCTATACAATAGATAATAGATTCTGTGACATTTATTACCTTAGTTTTTAAATTTCAACCTTTGCTTAAAAGATCCTAGGGAATGAAAAAATTTTTAAAGGCTGCTGATTACAGTATTTTTAAACAAACCCAATCCTACTTAACCTTAAAAAAACCTCATTATTTATAAGGCAATATTTACACAAAGGCACCTACCTACCCGTTAAGCAACAGGACCTATAATAAGGAGAAGCATCGCCGAACACTTAAGCACAAACTTGCTACGGTGTCTAAAATACAAAATCAATTTTTACTTTGGGGGAGGTAAAAATGTTTGAGTGTCAAGCTAAAATGGGAGAGGATAGCTTATCTCAACTTATTGTTATAAAGCCTTTGATGAAGATGCCTTAAAGATATTTTAAAGCTATGTAACACTGGGAAGAGGTTTAAGGGAGGTGCCTTGGAAACAGGAAACAAAGGACAGGGAGAGAAGTAAGCAGTTGCCTGGTGGAGATGTATTAACAGTGGGCCATTCCAACATCAGACCAGGGAAAGTCCCATTGACAAGCTTCAAGAATACTCTAGAAGATATATAGTAAAACTGTCGTGTGCACATGGGAGCCACGCCATGGGCCCTGGTCTATCATGAGATGCTGGAATGTTGTACAGATCACAGAGCAAGGATGGTGAGCGTGCCCGTGGATGTGCTATGCTGGTCCTTGCCCCTGCCACCTTGAGGCCCAGCAGGACTCTACCCCTCCAAGGCTCACAGCTTCTCCTTGCCTGGGGTCCCAGCAACTCACAACCAGACCTCTGGCCCTCAGCCCGCAGCCCTAGGCCCCTCTGTCTTAGGAATTCTCCTACCTCCTGTTTACCCTTCTGTTGGAGCCATCCCTCGGCTGATGGGGCCCATGGGCTTGCTTCTCTGATCCACCTGTCGTTGGGACACCCTGACCTGGGCATCATCCCATACTCCCCTCCCCCAACTCAACAGCCTGCCCCTCAGTGCAGCTGATTGTCATTCAAACACAAGAGGAAAATCATCTCACGCAATTGGTTTCAGCGATGTCTGCACATTTACCCACAAGGGCCTCTAACTGTGGAATCTGACATCATATCACAAAGTGAAGCAAAAGACTTGTGTGGTGGCAAGGGGTGTCTGGGGCAGAGAACTCGTGATCTCAGCCGGATGGTTGGTACACCTGAAAGTCTCTGAGACAGCTCAGCCCGGGCCACTCCAGGCTGTCGCCTCTCTTCCTTCTCAGCTTTAGCCAACAATTGCTGAAAGGCAGCAGCGGAGCAGGGCCAGGGGGCTGCTTGCAAACATGCAGTCACTTTGCAACCAAGAATGTCTACCCAAGACTTGGGTTTAAAGCCTTTTTCCTTACAGTGTGACGTGGGGACCAGCAATATCGGCGTTAATGGGGAACTTGTGAGGGATGTAGTATCGGATCCCACCCAAGACCTGCTCAATCAGAATCTGCTTTTGAGCCAGACCCCTGGGTGACCCAGAGACATGTGAAAGCTTGAGAGCCCCTGGCTTAATGCACATCACCTCAAAAATCTTGGATAATGTTAGGGGTACAAAGGATGCCATTCGGCTCTTGGTAAAATGTGAGCTTCCCTCTCTTTACTCACTTATTGCGAGAATCAGTTCCCTCCTCTGGGCAAATCCAATGAGGCGCTCGGAGTCTCTGGAGACCACCACGGGGAAGCCGTTGTAGTCGGTCTCCTTGATGAGCGTCTCCACGTCCTCGACAGTCATGCTGTCCTGGGTGAGCACCGACAGTGGCGGCTCTCCCCGCCGGGGCCGCATGACGTCGGTGGCCAGTGTGCGGTGAGTAAACTCGTCCTTCACGTCAAGGAAAGGGTACCCATTTAAGTGGATGTGGGCCTCGTAGATGCCTTCTTTCCCAAATGCATCAGCTACCCACTTGCTGGTCACAGCCGCCGCCATCAGGGGCACGATGTACTCCAGACCCCCGGTTAATTCAAACATGATGACCACCAATGACACCGTCATCCTGGTAACTCCACCTGCAACAGAGGGGAGGAGTAAGATTCCAAAGTGCAAGCCGGGCAGCTCACGGAAGCATGATTTGGGGAAAATGACAGACAGGCTGTAAATTCCCCTCACACCTGTTCCAAGCAGACTCTCCTACATGCTTCCTACACTGGGCCTCTGGAACCCAGGCCAGGCCCTGTCAAATGTGGCTTTGCGTTGGGGAGCCTGAAGTTGCATCTCACTGGGGCCTCTGCTCCAATGACGGATCCCGGGTTGTCTATTCACCGTGGCCCACACAAGCTTTTTGGTGAGTGGATCCTACATGGGCTCTGCAAGCTTCTGACTAAGCAAGCATGGTGCTCTTCAAGAACCCCATAAACAGAATATCACAGAAATTCTTAAGGACTATAGACAGGGGACAGACCCACCTTTGTGCCCCTGAATGATTAGGTGGAGAAGCGCCTTCTGCTAAACCAAGATTTTTATTTACAGACAGTCCCTGACTTACGATGGTTTAACTTACAATTTTGCCACTTTCCGTGGTACAAAAGCAACAGGCATTCAGTAGAAACCATGCCTCAAGTACACAGGCAACCATCTGTTTCTCACTTCCAGTACAATATTCAATAAATTACAAGAGATATTCAACTTCATTATAAAATAGGCTTTGTGTTAGATGATTGTGCCCAGATGTAGGCAAATGTAAGTGTTCTGAACATGTTTAAGGTAGGCTAAGCTAAGCTACAACGTTTGGTAGGTTAGGTGTATTCAATGCATTTTCAACTTATAATATTTTCAGTTTATGATGCATTTATCAGGATGTTAACCCCATCATAAGTTGAGGGCATCTGTTTGTGTGTGTGTGTGTGTGTCTGCATAGTGAGCGAGACATAGCCTTGGTGCGTTAAGCCATTGTGATTTAGGGGTTTACTTGTTATAGCCACACAACCCAGCCTATCCTGAGTAAAGAAAATGTTCAAGTCCATGTCTTCCTTCTTGGCAGTCCTCTAAGCCAGATTAGTTCCCCGGTCCCCCTCCCTGCCCCACCCATGGTCGTACCGAGGCAGGCCGCAGCTCCCACCATTGCGTACAGCCCTGGCGTGACACAGTCTGCACCGGGTCTGCACCAGTTCCTGAAGATGATCCAGTCATGGTGATGGTAGGCCAGCTGCTCCACGCCAATTCCCACCATCCTGCCCGCTATCGCGCCCACAGCCATGCTGGGGATGAAGAGGCCCGACGGGATCTTGAGGAGACACAGAGAAAAGCAACATGAGGGAAAAAGACCAAGTCCCCGCTTCACGACCCCCAAGAAACACATTCCCCCTCGACGGGCTTGCATTTAGCTTCAGTCTTCAGAGGAGGTGCAACTCTGCAAAATAGGTCAGCTGGGGAAAGGTGGGACAAATAATTTGACCTGCCTAGTCAGTCATATCTACTGCAACTTAGAGAGGACGCAATTTTATACTTTGATTCCCTCTCCTTCAAAAGCTGGCTGGGTTTGCCTGCTGTGGATTAAAGAATGATAAGCCCCACTGCAAATAACATTCAAAGTGAGCATCTGTCAGTTGAGACACCACTTTCTCTCGCCCCTTGCCATGTCATTCAGAATGGCTTTTAAAATTAAATGTCAAGCCACAGCATGAAAATGGAAAAGAAGGGCCTGCGACTGCTCCCAGGTAAAATAAAGAAGCTAAGTCCATCATTGCAGCCACCCTGGATCTTCCAGAAAGCACTTCAATGGCTCCCTGCCCTCTCTAGTAGGTGGTAGCTGAATACCTGTCAGAGAGAGACGAGGGAGGCAATTCCCTCTTCCTAATGAAGTACATTTTCTAATAAGTATTCTGAATATTTTCAAGCCAGGATAGGGGCAGCAAAGAAATAGAATGTAAACTAAGAGATCTTGGTACCAGCGTGTTCTCTACCCTGCTGGATGAAGATACATTTTAGTTTATCTAATGACCACACATGTACTATAGAACAAGCCTGACTCCCTGTGTTCGCTGAAATGACACGTGACCGCTGACCATGGGCAGCAGCTGCAATGATGCCAGCCAGCCCCAGGTGGTTACCCATCTGAGGATGGAAGCAGAACTTTAACCTAATTCAAGTGAAGTTTGGATCCTTGGGTGTGATTTCTAGAGTCAGAATACTCCTTAGGAAATCATTCCTTTCTGAGCTTCCCCTTATTCTACATCATTTATATCCCTGTAACATCAAAGGAGACTTTTCTCAGCAAGCATCATAAAATGTTACCAGCATCTTCCTGAGACATGAAAACAAATCCCTTTGCTAGGAGATGACAGATCAGAGACAGCCAGCTGTTTAATAAGGCCTACTCATCCTTGTTCTTAAGGCCCAAATTCAGGTTTGTATTTGACCACTATGACACACTCAAGTAAACAACTTCTTAGAATTTTTTTCTTTTTTTTTTTTTTTTTTTTTTTGAGACGGAATCTCGCTCTGTCGCCCAGGCCCGTGTGCAGTGGCGTGATCTCAGCTCACTGCAGCCTCTGCCTCCTGCGTTCAAGTGATTCTTATGCCTCAGCCTCCCGAGTAGCTGGGACCACAGGCGTGTGTCACCACGCCCAGCTAATTTTTGTATTTTTAGAAGAAATGGGGTTTCACTATATTAGCCAGGCTGGTCTTGAACTCCTGACCTCAAGTGATCCACCCACCTTGGCCTCCCAAAGTGCTTGGATTACAGGCATGAGCCACCATGCCCGACCATTAAATTTAAAAAAAAAAAAAAAAAAGACAATTCAGGCTGGGTGTGATGGCTCACGCCTGTAATTCTAACGCTTTGGGAGGCCAAGGCAGGCGGATCACTTGAGCCCAGGAGTTCCAGACCAGCCTGGTCAACATGGCAAGACCCCATCTCTACAAAAAATACAAAAATCAGCTGGGCATGGTGGCACGTGTCTGTAGTCCCAGTGGGCTGAGGCAGGAGGATCACTTGAGCCCAGAAGGTCGAGGCTGCAGTGACCCATGATTGTGCCACTGCACTCCAGCCTGGACAACAGAGTGAGACCCTGTCTCCAAAAAAAAAAAAAAAAAAAAAAGACAATTCAGGCAGGGCACAATGGCGCATGTGTGTAATCCTAGCACTTTGGGAGGCCAAAGCAGGAGGATCACTGGAGCTCAGGGGTTTAAGACCAGCCTGGGAAACATAGGGAGCTTGGTCTCTATTTTATATTTTTAATAAAAATAAATAAAATTAAAAGACAATTCATAGAAATGCCACACAGAAAGCAATAGTAATGGAACACAAAAGGGGGCTCTGGGAGGTGGATAATGTTCTGCTTCTGGTCCTGGGTGCTGGTTACACAGGTGTGTGTGTGTGTTTTATGAAACTCCATCAAGCTGTACACTTCTCTATATGAACGATATACTCTAATAAAAGTTTCTTTAAGTAAGTAATGATAGCATTATTCATAATAGCCAAAAGGTGGAAACAACACAAATGTCCATCAAAGGATGAGTGGATAAACAAAATGTGGGATCTCCATAGAATGGAATACTATTCAGCCATAAAAATGAAGTAGTGACACATGCTACAATGTGAATGAACCTTGAAAACATTGCACTAAACGAAAAAAGCCAGTCACCAAAGGCCACATATTATATGATATCATTTATATGAAGTGTCCAAAATAGGCGAATCTAGAGACAGATTAGTGGTTGCCGGGGCTGCAGGAGGGAAAAATGGGGAATGACTGTTAATGGAGATGGGATTTCCGTTTGGGGGATGAAAATGTTCTAAAGCTAAATACAGGTGTTAATTGCACAATATTGTGAATGTATGTAATGCCACTGAACTGTATACTTTAAAATGATCATTTATGTTTTATGGGTTTTACCTCATTTCAAAAAAAAAAAAAAAGCTATAATAACAAAATCCCAGGTTCCATAAAAGAAAGTTCTTTAGGAGGGGCTTTTAAAGTATTTTAACATAATGATTTTAACAAATGATTTTAACACAATGAAAGAGGAAACCAGCTGTCTCTTCTCTGGCTTTAGGAACAAGAGTAATGAAGGCATGTGCTGTTGGGTGTGGTGTGGTGGCTCATGCCTATGATCCCAGCACTTTGGGAGGCTGAGGCAGGAGGATCACTGGAGCCTGGGAGTTTGGGACCAGCCAGGGCAACACAGCAAGAGCCTCATCTGTACAAAAAATTTTTTTAAATCACCAAGTGTGGTGGTTCACGCCTATGATCCCAGCTACTTGGGAGGCTGAGATGGGAGGATCATTTGAGCCCAGGAGGTTGAGGCTGCAGTGAGCTGTGATCATGCCACTGTATTCCAGCCTGGGAACAAGACGAAAGGAAGGGAAGGGGGAAAGGGGAAAGGGGGAAGAGGAAAGGGAAAAGGGAAAAGGGAAGGGAAGGGGAGGGAAGAGAAGGGAAGGAAGGGAAGGAAGGGAGGGAGGGAGGGAGGGAGGGAGGAGGAAAAGAAAGCATGTGCTGTCATCCACAGCTCTGTTCTTCAAAGAGGATGTGTGCAAAGAGCCCCTGTCATGCCCAGCCCTACCCAGACGGGGGACACACTCACTCTGTGCTCCCGTCATACCAGCGTGGTGCTCATCACAATGTCAGAACTCCAGGTCTGCATCTCTTTCTCCCAGAGCTGTGTGCTCTGCAAGGGCAGCTTTCTGTTTGGGTTCTGTATCCCTCAGACTTAGCACGATGCCTAAGATACAGCTGATACTCAATGCATGTTTAATGAGCCAAACTGAGCCAAACCTGGGCTTTTTCCACCACCTGGCATCACCTGGCCAGCGGCAGGAAACCTGTGGTCACCACCACCTGTTCTGGGAATGTGTGAAGTGGGTTTGATGCCTAGCTCTGTCTCCCATAAGCTGTGGGTCTGATCAAGCCACTTAAGATCTCAGAGCCTTAGTTTCCTCAGTTGTAAAATGGGATTAAAATCTCTATTTCATAAGCTTATTGTTTATTAGAAGTTATTTCCTATTGATTAAAGGAATGTCAAGTGCCTGGCACATGAGAACATTCAAGAAAGGCCAGTTCCCCTTTTTTTCCCACCGCAATTTTATTTTAGAGAGTAGGGTGCTGTCCCCAGAAGGACATGGGTCCCCACCCCATCTTCCTTCCCTTTCACTTACCTTCATGCCAAAGGTAAATATGGTAACGACGATTTTGAAGATCAGTGCCAGGGCCAGCTGCCACATGGCCGTGTAAACACCGACACCAGCCGGCCGGTCTGGAATGTCATCCACAGGCCGAGTCATGTTGGGGTCATTGATGTAGTCACAGAGCTGGGAAGACTCAAGGGCTCCACAGTCATTGAACAGCTCAGAAATGAGCTCGCTGGTGCTCTGGCGTGTGTAGGGATTGGGGTAGGCAATGATGGCAGTGATGGCAGTCACCACAATGACCTCCAGCACCGGGTACTTCCCCAGCCTGGTGGTCTTGCGCCTCCTGCACCAGGCGATGTTGCAGCGGATGAAGAGGGTTCCCCACAAGCCCCCGAAGACCCCAAGCAGGATGAAGGGGAAGAGTTCAGCCATGTACCAGGGCGTGTGGTATTCCACATAAAAGAGAACGAGACGGCTATTCCCAAAGGGATTGATGGATCTCAGCGTAAAGGCCGCCACCAGGGCTGCGAAAAATGACCTCCACAAGGTCTTCAGGGGAAAGTAGTAACTGACCTGAGATGAAAAAGTGGAAAATTAAAGACTGGCCGGAGAAAGAGCTGCTCAGAGCCAAGCCCTCTGGTTGGCAGGAAAGTCACACTCTAAGTCCAAGAGTGGACACACTCATTCCATGAGCCTGGACTTAATGTGACCAAAACGCATCAGCAAAGATACCTGGAGGAATCTAACTATGTCTAGAAGTGGAATGGACACTAATCAAGGTGGGTTTGGGCTATATTTTTAAGAGAAAAGTATTTAATCATAATTCTGTTCATGGCACAGAGACTCCCCTAGAAGCAAATAAACCTCTGGATTGGATTCTACAGAAAACAGAGTAGATCAGGGTTTGGAAAACTCTGGGCTGCAAGTCACGTGCAGCCCAGTGAATGCATTTGTATGGCACATGAGTTAAGAATGGTTTTTACATTTTTAATTGATTGAAAAAGGTGAAAAAATCTTTTGATTTGAAATATTCAAAAGAAGAACAATATTTTGTGACATGTGAAAACCATAAAATTCAAATTTCAGTGCCCATAAGGAAACATCTATGGAAATGCAGACATGCCCATTTGTGTACGTATTGTTCACAGCTGCTTTCATGCTATGACAGCAGAGCTGAGCAGCTACAACAGAAATTGCATGGCCCACAAAACCAAAAACATTTACTACCTGGCCTTTTACAGAAACGTTTGCCAACCCCTGGAATAACCCGTTTGGGTTACCAAAATCAAAAATGCTTAATTAAGTTGGTTATGAGAGGGAGAATACTGTAAATCTTTTTAAAAAATCACCTTGGCAATTTTTGAAACAATACTTGAAAACAGGAATTTATCGCTGGTGGCCGGGTATTGTGGCTCACGCCTGTAATCCCAGTACTTTGGGAGGCCGAGGCAGGTGGATCACCTGAGGTCAGGAGTTCAAGACCAGCCTGACCAATATGGTGAAACCCCCATCTCTACTAAAAACACAAAAATGAGCCAGGCGTGGTGGCGTGCACCTATAGTCCCAGCTACTCAGGAGGCTGGGACAGGAGAATTGCTTCAACCCGGGAAGCGGAGGTTGTAGTGAGCCAAGATTGCGCCATTGCACTGCAGCCTGGGTGACAGAGTGAGACTCAGTCTCAAAAAAAACAAAAACAAAAACAAAAACAAAACAAAAAAAAAACAGTGGAAATTGTGGCTCCTTAATTAACTGCCGGAATCTTATCCAATACTTCTTTGATTCTAACCCTCAACGGGCCTTGCTGCTCAAAATCACGAATTCCCTCAGCTGCCCATTCTCACCTCTTCTAGACTGAAAAGCACGCCTCCAATTGGTGCACCAAAGGCAACAGAGACTCCAGCAGCCGCTGCAGCTGAAAGCACCTACAAAACAAATAGTTCTACATAAGCTTCAAGGCCTTCCATGAAAACAAACGTGCAAACCTGCAAGTCAGACAGCAGGAGGGGGCTTTGAGAAGAAAGTTTCGCTGCAGATGGAAGCTGAGCTGGCTCACCTCCCGCCTCTTGCCCTCATTCTTGCTGTACTTGGAGAAAAGGCTGCTGAAGAAGTTGCCACAGCAACAAGCCACGTGCACTAGCGGCCCTTCCTTCCCAAGGCTCAGACCGGAGGACACTACCAGCACCAGCGTGACTGTCTTGATTAGCAGGGTCCACTTCCCCAAGTAGCCCCTGATGATAAAGCCGCTCAAAATGGTCTTTATCTGAAACAGAGGATGGAGAACAAGAGGGAATGAACTCCTTCAATCCATGGCTAGGAAAAGAGCTATAATTCCTCTGAGAGACACGTTCAAAGTTTAGATTCACTCAATAGCATGGAACAGAAACCATTTTCATTTTTGATTTAACTATAATTTTATATTAACTGAAATATTAAAAACTCAATGCATGGTAAATCGTAAGGAGTCCTAGAGTACCAAAAGATCCTAAAGAGGACTGAATAAATCATTAACAAGGTCTCACTTGATTTATGGCATTTTATCCTGTTCACATTACCTTTTGTTATGTTGAGAAGAGACATGTACCTATTGATGTTAACTGTTAACTTTTGACTCTGAAATATATCCTAGATTAAGAGATGGAGAGCTGGCTGACTATGTGACAAGGCAAGGAGAGTGAAGTAGTTAAGAATATGCTACCCCAGGCTGGGCACAGTGGCTCACACCTGTAATCCCAGCACTTTGGGAGGCCGAGGTGGGAGGATCGCTTGAGCCCAGGAGTTCAAAACCAGCCTGGGCAACATAGAGAGACCCCATCTCTGCAAAGAAAAAAAAAAAGAAATTAAAATTAGCTTGGCATGATGACATGCACCTGTGGTCCTAGCTACTTGGGAGGCTGAGGTAGGAGAATCACTTGAGCCCGGAAGGTCAAGGCTGCAGTGAGCCGTGATCGTGCCACTACACTGTAGCCTGGGTGACAGAGCAAGATCCTGTTTCAAAAAAAAAAAAAAAAAAGGAATATGCCACCCCAAAATATGCCACTCTGGCAAACTGACTATTTTGGGTTAAAGGCTCTTGAAAAACAGCAGGTACAAGAACAAGAACATCACCTGACCATTCTGTTTCTTTTTCTTTTTTTTTTTTTTTTTTGAGATGGAGTCTTGCACTGTTGCCCAGGCTGGAGTGCAGTGGTGCGGTCTCGGCTCACTGCAAGCTCTGCCTCCTGGGTTCACGCCATTCTCCTGCCTCAGCCTCCTGAGTAGCTGGGACTACAGTCACCCGCCATCATGCCCGGCTAATTTTTTGTACTTTTAGTAGAGATGGGGTTTCACCCTGTTAGCCAGGATGGACTCCATCTCCTGATCTTGTGATCCGCCCGCCTTGGCCTCCCAAAGTGCTGGGATTACAGGCATGAGCCACCGCAACTGGCCCATTTTGTTTCTTAAAAGCTGGAGATGAAATTCCCATGTGAAAGATGCCCTTCCGATACTAGAAGGAAGCATCATTCTTATCATCAAAGACAGGAAGTTGAGGCTGAGGGAAATCTGCATGAACCAACCTTGTTAGACTAACCCTCATCCTCCTGGCCACTTCACCCAGCTAACCCCCCAGCCCAGGCTCCTCTGCCTCGTCACACTTTCATAGATTACTACTCGTCCAATTCAGCACATAAGTATTCAACCCTAACTTCATCTTTGGGTCTTCACTCCTTATGAAGGCTCCCATGTCATGTAAAATTCATTAAATAAACATGTATGCTTTTCTCCTGTTGATCTGTCTTATATGTCAATTTAATTCGCAGGCCCAGCCGCAAACCCCTAAAAAGGTGTTTGCCCCTACAAGAGCAAAATGACAGTTGAACTTTAGGTCAGGGGTTGACAAACTACAGACTGTGGTCCAAATCTGGCCCACTACCTATTTTTGTATGACCCACGAGCCAAGTGTAGTTTTAACATTTTTAAAAGTAGTATGTAAAAAAAAAAAAAAAAAAAAAAAAAAAAAAAAAAAAGACTACTAGCTTTCTGGTGAGAATAGTTGCTCCATCTTGCCCATTGGCCTCCAAGGCCTAATATATTGACTCTCTTTCTTTTATAGGAAAAGTTTGCCAACCCCTGCTGGAGGCAATGAATTAATGAATTTTTACTGTCCAATTCTTTCAACTTTTCTGTATGTTTGAAAATATTCTTAATACAACAGTAGAAAATGAAGAAGACGCTCAACATTCCAATGATATATGTTTGGGGGATGTAAAGATGTTTGAATCCATCATGACCCCTTCTCTTCTATCAAATCCTACCCTCTTTTATTGTAAAGGACTTTGACTATAGGGAGTGTTATCTTGCTCCATTTCCAGACCTGCTGCATTTTATAAATACCAAATAATGGCTTTCTTCCTAAACGTTCACTTGAGTCTTTGCCTAATGCTTTTAGAATTCAACTGGGTGCCTATCACAGTGATTAACTTCATACACCAAGGGCCTCTCCCCTGCCAAAATGGTATTCTCTTAGATATAGAAGCATCATCAATGATCAAACAACTTTTCTACCTCCAACCCGTCCCCCAATTGGCTGAAATGGACTGAATGTTTACTGCCGGGTTAGCAACTTACAAGCCTGTAATCACAGATTAATTAGACACCAAGTGAATCAGTCAATGAAATCTGTGGTCAATTTCTGGTTTTCCCATTATGTAATACATAATGGGACAAGGTTATCTCTTGTCAGTGTTATTTATGTAACTTCAAAACACCTCCTTGTGGGCATTGCTCTGCCAAGTAATCAGTTTCTCAAATAGCTACTACAGTCGTTCTCAACCGTGGCACTCATCAGAGTCACCTGGGGAATTAGAAAACACTGCTGGCTGGCTCTCACCCCAGAGATTTGATATAATTGGTCTGAGGTGCATCCAGGGTATGAGGATTTTTACAGCCTCTGTAGGTGACTCGAAAATGCAGCCCAGGTGGAGAGCACTGCTTGATTCCTGAAAAGAGCAGCACAGAGATTCCTTATTTCTCAATACAGTATTTAAGGGAGAGCCGTGAAACACTCTTTGTTCTTTCACCAGGTCCTTCTACTGAGCATCATGTCACCTTGGGCGATTTGGGGAGGGTCATGAAGTGAGCTCATCCAAGAGTGTGTATGTTCCTGAAGGACTCAGTGAGCTCCTTCCTACAGAACATGTGCAAGGTCTCCTAGCTATACAGTCAGATGGTGTTTCCTGAACTAGCCTTGAACTCGTGGCAGACAAACTAGTGGTGGTTAGACCCGTCCTTAACTAGTGGTAGTTAGCTTAATTGAGCCCGTGCTCTGGGATCTCAGATCCCTTTATTTAAGGGATGTTTTATTACGCCTGCCACAATTCTGCCCTTTTGTGTTGCCTCAAATAAAATTATCTATAATTTTTTGTCAGTTAGTTAATGTGGATTTGGACCCAAGGGTATAGTTTAAAAGCGTAATACCATTTAGAAAATTACAAGCATCTAAATTACCTGAGCCTTTGCCAGCCATGACATGTGGTGAATTGAACAATGTAATAGGTATTTTGTAATTCTCTAACATGATTTTATAAAATTCTCATGATCAAATTAGGGACTAAATAAGACAAATTCATTCCCAGTAGATGGCAAAATCCAATCACTTGCTTTAATTTGAATTCATAGAGACTGAAGCGAGCAGGGCTTTAACGAGATGTACTGCAGCGGATTTGTGACTTGCTGGTGTTAACCTGAAAACCAGAACTCTTTCCGATAAATAAATATTTGTAAGAGTGTTTATGTTTTATGTTTTTTAATAAACTGAAACATCAACACAGAGTAAGTTCTGAGAGGGTATGATTTCTCATATAGTTGACACGACAGTGGTTCTACTGACAAAAGGAAGCAAGTAGAAAGAGGACACCCTTACCCAGTTCTCTCTCAAGTCCCACGTGCAACAAAAGCTGAGTATTCACTCTTTTTTTTTTTTTTTTTTTTTTTTTTTTTTTTGAGGCAGGGTCTGGCTCTGTCACCCAGGCTGGAGTACAGTGGCACAATCACAGCTCACTGCAGTCTCAATTTCCTGGGCTCAAGTGATCCTCTCACCTCAGTCCCCAGAGTAGCTGGGACTACAGGAGTGCACCACCAAACCTGGCTATTTTTATTTTTTTTTTATGAGACAGAATCTTGCTCTGTCACCCAGACTGGAGTGCAGTGGTGTGATCTCAGCTCACTGCAACCTCTATCTCCCAGGTTCAAGCGATTCTCGTGCCTCAACCTCCCAAGTAGCTGGGATTACTGGCACGTGCCACCACGCCGGCTAATTTTTGTATTTTTAGTAGAGACGGGGTTTTGCCATGTTGGCCAGGCTGGTCTCAAATTTCTGGCCTCAAGTGATCCACCCAGCTCAGCCTCCCAAAGTGCTGGGATTACAGGTGTGAGCCACCACACTCTGCCGCTTATTTTCATTTTTTTGTAGAGATGAGGTCTCACTACATTGCCCAGGCTGGTCTTGAACTCCTGGGCTCAAGCAATCTTCCCACCTTGGCCTCTGAAAGTGCTGGGATTACAGGCAAGCATTCACCTTTAAATGTGCTTTATAGAACTTTTATAGAGAGCATTTATTACATAAAATAAAAAAAACCTTCTTTAAATTTGCTTCTTTTTTCTGTTTTAGAAACAAGGTCTTGCTCTGTTGTCCGGGCTGGAGTGCAGTGGTGCAATCATAGCTTACTGCAGCCTCGAACTCCTGGCCTCAAGCAATCCTCCCACCTCAGCCTCCTAAGTAGCTGGGATTACAGGCATGAGCCCCCGTACCTGACCTAAATTTGCATTTTAAAAAATGTTTCCAAAGGAATTTTTCACTCTAAGTAATCAAAATGTTTTAGAAACAAATGCTAGGGAGGATGAGCAATTTTTTAAATATACATAAGTGCATCACAGTCAAAGTTCATTCTTACACAGTGTGCCATATAGCAGCTTATGGCAGATCACCTCAGACAATGATAAACATGTTTTCCAAATAGTTCAGTCAATATCTTTGCTAGAATGAATGAAGAACAGCTTCATGTCTCAACTGAAGTCAGTTTCCATATTTAGTTGGGTGCTGACTGGGAGGAGATTCTTTTTACCCATGATTTATTTATTTATATTTACTTTTTACTCTGACCCTCTCCTCCAAGAACTGGGAAAAATACTGTATCCTTATGTTAAGAATTTCCAGCTCTACTATAGTAACATGAAGACTTTGCTACTGCTGGGTCAAACCTCCATTTGGTTCCTGAAAGTTCTTTAAAAGATTGTTATGAACTATTTAGGAAATAGAGAAATGAATCCATCACGCACTTATATAGAGTTAAAAGAATACTAATAAAAGCGAGTACCCATGTGCCCACTACCAAGTTTAAGAAACAGAAGAGTGGCTACCTCGTGTTTGCCTCCCCAGTCGAACCTTCCTCCTTCCCCTCACCACTTCCTACCATTTCTTCCCCTTTCTCTATAGTTTTAGCACATACGTTTTTTCATTTTAGCTGTTTATAGACGTTCTATCAATCATACTTTCTCCTTGTAAAACTTGCTTTTTCACTTAACATCACATTTTTTAATTTCATCCATGTCTATGTATCCCTTGCACTTTTGTCACATAAGAAACAAATGCTCAGCTAGGTACAGTGGCTCACACCTGTAATCCCAGCACTTTGGGAGGCCAAGGCAGGCGAATCACTTAAGCCCAGGAGTTAGAGACCAGTCTGGGCAACATGGTGAAAGCCCACCTTTACAAAAAGTACAAAAATTAGCCAGGTATGATGATGCACACCTATAGTCTCAGCTACTCAGGAGGCTGAGGCAGGAGGACTGCCTGAAACTGGGAGTTCAAAGCTGCAGTGAGCTGTGATCATGCCACTGCACTCCAGCCTGGGCAACAGAGTGAGACCTTGTCAAAAAAAGAAAAGAAAAGAAACAAATCCTCAACTCAGTATTTTACTCCTTCTGAGTTCAGCTATCACCAATAAAATGCCCAATTTAGATGATGACAAAGTCCAGCCAGCCCTTCAAAGATAGAACTGATATTCGAACTCCCTGTCTATAAGGACACCAGCTGAGCCACACATCTACAGTTCTTGGAAGGGAGAGATGGGACTACCCAGTGTGCCTCTTACTGCTTCTATTTTCCACCAATTCCCCATCGGCCATCTCCTTATTTGCAAAATGCTTGAGTCAAAAATGCCTACTGTTGGGCAGTGGGATCACAAACTGAGATGTTTTAGACATCAAATAAAATACAGTCAGCTCTGCTACGACACTTGGTTGGAAAATGCAAATTTGCCTCAAGCACTGTGGCTCACTCCTGTAATCCTAGCACTTTGGGAGGCCAAGGCGGGAGGATTGCTTGAGCCCAGGATTTCAAGACCAGCCTGGGCAACATGGCAAAAACCTACAAAAAAATACAAAAATTAGTTGGGCATGGTGGCACGTGCCTGCAGTCCCAGCTCCACAGGAGGCTGAGGCGGGAGGATCACTTGAGCCCAGGAATTTGAGACCAGCCCGGGCAATAGAGTGAGACCTCGTCTCTATATAAAACAATAAAAAAACAAGAAGGCCAGGCGTGGCGGCTCACGCCTGTAATCCCAACACTTTAGGAGGCCGAGGCGGATGGATCACATGAGGCTAGGCCAACATGGTGAAACCCCGTCTCTACTTAAAAATAAAACCAAAAAAAAAATTAGCCAGGCATGGTGGTACACATCCGCAACCCCAGCTACTTGGGGGGCTGAGGCATGAGAATCGCTTGAACCTGGGAAACGGAGGTTGCACTGAGCCGAGATTGTGCCACTGCACTCCAGCCTGGGCAACAGAGCGAGACTCTGTCTCAAAAAAGAAAAAAAAGAAAGAAAGAAAAAGAAAAGGAAAAAGAAAAAAAGAAAATGCAAATTTGTTCCAATGCCACTCATGTTAGGGAGGAATTTGAGCATAACTCAAATTTTATGTCTATTTATGCGCATTTCCTCCAGGAGAAATACCAGGTAAATGCAGAAAATTGCACCCAGTCATGTAGGAAAACACAAAATACACGAGTCAAACATCTACCGGTTCACACATATGCCAGGGTGCCACACCCATCTACGCCTGCTGTCTCAACTTCCCCTACAACTTCAGATAACCTTCCTTATGCCCTTCACAGCAACGCGTAAGTTGCAGCCCTTGCGACACCCACTTCCACAAGCAAACTTCAAGTTCTTTGCAGGAAGTGACATATTTATTGTGGTATTTACATATTTCTTAGCCACTTAATGTGTACAGCTGTGCTCCTGTTTTTACTAGGTTCCTCTTTTTGTCATATGTGTCAGTGATGAAGTTTTGTGTATTGTGCCCCTAATTCATGTTCCCCATAAAGCCCTGTGGTTTCTGTTGTGTGATTTTGCATGGCATGGTGATTTTTAGGAATGCGTATGTTGCATTATAGCAGAACTGGCTGCGCTGAGAAAACAGGTTGGTAATACAGCTTATTTTTCAGGTTCCTGAAGCAATATGTTAACATCAACCATCAAAAATTCAGCATGACATATTAAGACTTCTTTTTTCTATCTTTCCTGAAACAAGACCATGTTGAATTTTGCCTCTGATTGTCTTTTCATGACTTCAGCCCTTTCTGCAAACTGCCTGGACCACCATCAGGGCTGCAGGGTCCTCCCAAAGGGTGTGGATTTACTGCCATACTCAGCCCACAACTACATCTTCAAACTCTCTAGCCCACTGCCTGTGTGCATCGCTAAGGCATCAACCCAAAGGAGAACTGAACTGCATGGATTACAGTGATAATACCAGAACTTTTAAAATTACTTCTGGCTAAAATTTCCACCATCTGGGCTTTTCGGGAATCAGCTCAATTATCATGATTCTGCCCAGTAGGTCCTCATAGGTTTCAAGTTTGGTCTCAGGCACTCCTCTTAATCGGTGAGGTCACTTCCCTCATGCTTCGGTTACATGAAAGTGCTGAAAACTATTTATAAGAACTCGAAATTCACGGGGGTACGTTCACAGTACATGTATTAAAGGCAGAATTCAGGTTTTTAAAAGATTGCTATTAGCTTGCCACCAGAAGAGCAAAACATGGCAAGAGAGATTTCATCATCAGTGAACTTTCACAGCAACAAACCTCCACTATCGTCTCTCACATTACATCACAGATGCACTGATGAGTTATTACAGCGTGTTTATGTGTGTGGTTAATGAACTCTGATTCCACAGGCTTTAAGAGTTATGCCTGGTTTACAAAGACAAGGCTTTTATCATCTGAGAAGCAATAGCACAGAAATCTTGAAGACAGTGTGTAAATCCTGAAGTCAGAACACTGGGTTCAACTCACAGCTTACCAGCTTGGTTACCTGGGGCAAGTCACTTAACCTCTCTGTGCTTTAGTTTCGTCAACTATCAAATGCAGAATAATAGTACCTACGTCATAGTCTTATTGAGAAACTTAATGAGTTAGTAGAAGTAAAACGCTTGGAACTGTGCTTGGCATGACAGTGCTACAGAAGAATTTGCTATTCTTATTATTGGTACCAAAAAAATCAGCCAGAACTCACCTCTGGTATGCCAGAGCCACAGGCATATGGTGCAAATACACGCACCAGGGAGACAGCCAAAAATGCAAACAGCAGCGCCCATAGGATGTACATTAAGTAATTCAGAATGTAAGCACTGGCACCCTAGACAACAGACACAAAACACAAAAGGAAACATTAGCCACAGCTGACCTGAGCAACAGACTCAACCCCTCCCCATCTGTCTTGACAACAAAAGCTTTGACGGGATTGGGCAGGTTTGGTCCCAGTCCTGTATAAACCAAAAGGCCAGCGTAGGTTTATCAGCTGTTGCTATTGCTACAGTCAGTACACACAAACAGAGCAGCGGGTGTTTCTCTGGGAGCTGTTTACACGCGCCTTCTACACAGGGAAGGCTCAGCAGTAATGGAAACCGTGGATGATGCTTGGTTTTAATCACCACTTGCATAGAGTTAATCAAAGGTGTGATGCAGAAAATCCTGCCTCCGAGACCCTGGCAGATTAGTTTTGTCTTGTCTGTGGTGGCTTGGTCTCTCTTAGCTTTCATTAAGGCCACGCCCAAGCACAGCAAGCACCCGCACTGCCAATGAATACGGGTCGGGCCTGTATTTTAGAATACTGCTGCTCAGGGTGGGGTCCATGGTCCAGCCACATCAGTGGCTTATGAGACATGCAGACTCTCAGGCCTCACCCGAGAACTGCTGAACCAGACACCAGACACTCCCGGCTGGGGCCCAGGTCAATATGTTTTAACAAGCCCTCCAGGAGGTTCTATGCGCACTAACATTTGAGAGGCACTATCAGAGAAGAAAAACGTGATCACTTTCAGAATAATTCATTGAACCATTTATTCCAAATTATCTGATGTATGGAGAAGGTTTTCTGAACCAAAAACACAGTCTGGGGTCCTATGCGTGAAAGGCCTGGTCTGCTGGGTACAGACCACACTCTCTAGACCTCAGCTTCTTGCCACCATCTGGATTACTTAAGTAAAGGGGGCAGAAAAGAGAGGTCACCTACAAGTCAGGCCATGGACAGCCACATGTGTGCCTATTAAATGCAAAAACACGTTCCAGGAGACTGCTCTGGCCTTTACAAGCACATATATTCACACCCTATGCGGTGAGAAATCGGACTAAGAAATACCTTTCACCCACTTAAATATGTACTTTTTTGGAGGCTAAAAATAACTCTCACTCTTACTAAAGGTAATTCTTCGAATCAAAGTATAAATCTTAAAAACAGCTGAAAAGATGGATGGCTGTATTTCCCCAAAACACACATTGCAAGTAGGAGAGAAGAATAAAAATATGGCGCACAGCCAATTCTGTCTGCCCGCTCCCATCAACCCAAGTAGAGAATTTCTTTTTGGAAGTAATGGAGAGCACTGAGAACATGTGAGATTTCAAGATCCCTGTCTCCTTCTGAGATTTGAAGGAATTAATTTTCAATTCCACTGAGAAAGAGGTTTAGCAAAAATGGCAAAGTGCATTCCAAATGTCTTCAGCTGTGGTAAGTCAGTCAGGCAAAAAAAAAAAAAAAAAGTGGGGAAGGGAGGAGATGTATAAATAGATTACATATACCTTGAAAGATTAGTTCTAGCTTGAGAGATCCTCACATTACCCCTAATGTGAAGCTTGACAACCTGGTTCCTCCTCACGTGGCTTTCTGATCCTTTAATAACTCATAGTCATGGTGGTAACCACTGAAATGGGTTAGAAGTTAACTCTTTCCTGAACTAAGATTTTAATAAAGATCTGAAGCTCTAAATGCTATAGGTCTGTGGTTCACCACTATTATCTCCTGTGCCTAGGGCATTCTCTTTATAGAAGGCCCAGAACATCCTCTATAATGTGGTCATAAAATGCAATGGAAGATGACTGAAAGCACAATGAGATGCCACTTCATAACCACTAGGATGGCTATAATCAAAAACAGATAATAACAAGTGCTGACAGGAAGGTGGACAAATTGGAAGTCTCATACACTGCTGGTGGGAATGTAAAATGGTACAGCTACTTTGGAAAACAGTCTGACAGCTGCTCAAAAGGTTAAACATAGAGTAACCATCTGACCCAGCAACTCCATTCCCAGATATATACTTGAGAGAAATGAAACATATGTCTTCACAAAAACCTGTACAGAAATGTTCATAGCAACATCATTCATCATAGCCAAAAAGCAAAAGCAACCAACAAATGGATAAATAAAATGTGGTCCATTCATACAATAGAATATTATTCGGCCATAAAAAAATGAAGTAATGGTTCATGCTACAATAGGAAGAAGTCTGGAAACATGATGCTAGGTGGAAGAAGCCAGACACAAAGTCCACACATTGTATGATTTCATTTACATGAAACATCCAGAAGAGGCAAATCTAGAGAGACAAAAGGTAGATTAGTGGTTGCTCAGAGCTGGCAGGTTGGGGGACATGGGAGTGACTGCTAATGGAGACAGAGTTTTGGAAAGGATGACGAAAATGTTCTAAAATTAGATTGTGGTAACGGCTGCAAAACTGAATATACTACAAGCATTAAATCGTACACTTTAAACGGGTGAACAATGTGAACTGTGAATTTATCTCACTAAAGCTGTTTTTTTTAAAGGATAACTTAAAAAGTTATGTTCTTCTCAATTAGAAGATATCAAAGTCAACCTTGTTTCTTCAGCATGATCAGCAAACCACCTTCGGTAAGAAAAAATAAAGCCAAATATAACAAGATAAAGCCAAATATGAGGCTTAAAGTGTATATATATATATATATGCATTGTGCACATGAAACAGTGGGGAAGGGTTTTGCAAGTGAAGTTTGAGTGGTAGCATTAGAGCTGGAAAAAGCCCGTCATCTAGTGTTAAGCCACGAACTTCAGAGCAGGCACTTGAAGGTGAAATCACAGACATTCACAAATCTCCCAGCAGCATTCCCAAGCACGCATGGAACGGCAGGGGTCCCCAGCCAGGACCCTGCCCAAATACCCACCTCTGACTGATTCACCAGCAGCTCCGACCATTTCTGCCACAGGGGACACTTGTCTCTGTCCTCAAAAGTGGTCTCGTTAGAAGTCCAGCAACACTGCTCATGGCTATACCAGAAGGCAGACAGGCAGACCCCCTCCTTCAGGTCCGTCATCCAGTCCACGGCGAGATCGATGACCCCAGCCAAGGTGCCTGGAAGAAGTAACACGAGCCACTAAGAGGAATCGCCCCATGATGCGACAAGAATGAGACCAACACGGCGGCCAGACAGGGGCACATCAGCAATGATGGCCCAGATTCCAGAGCAGGCAATAAACTTGCAATGGGGCTGTCACTTACATAGGAAGCTTCTTTCATTAAACTTGCAGCACTTGAACATTTATGTTATGGGCAAGGCAGCACAAGCCCAATGAGAAATACAAAGGGTTCAGTAGCTTGAACTGGGTAGGAGAGACAAGCAACTTTTGCAATTTTTCCCTTTCCAAGTTTTTGACATTGGGTATTTATAGTGTAAAAGACAGAACTCTCTCAATGGCTTCTGGGGCAGGATCCTAGAATCACACACATTAATATTTCTCAGGGAAACATGATAATTCAGACAAAATGGACTCATAACAACTACGACGGCCTCACATCATAAATGAGTAAGGTTTTGCCACCAAATGAGAACCAAATTCGGGAAGATCCTGTTTATTAAAACTCTCTGCATTATTTAAATTATAAAGAATTATGGGTCTATAAAACTAAATAAGTATTTTAAAAGCCAATAGAAATGGGAGAAAACGGAATGTGCAGTTGAATGGATCACAAAAGGCGGCCTTGGGTCTCTTTCCAGAATAATGCATTCTCATCTCTCACAAAGGCAGAGAATGCTTTCAAGCATCTTCATTTTTCAGCCTTTTCACTGCATCATTATTACAGGATCGGTTCTGCATCCACATCCTCACCAAAAGCATCCACACCTGGCATCAGCACTCACCCCTCCCTTCTCTTCTCCTGGTGTTGCATCGGACACCGCCCACCTCAGCTCTACATCTCCTTCCTCCATGGGGCCTCGTTCTTCCCATTCCCCTTTCCTTCTCCTGTATCTTCAACCTCTTCCTCTCCTTGCCATCAGCATTTAAACATTAAAAAAAAAAAACCCTCCCTGTTTCCACTTTCCCTCTAGTCACCATCCAATCTCTTTCCTTCCCTTGGCCCAGTCCATCCCCTCAATCTACCAGGAGATTCCCATGCAGCTAAGGCAATGGCCTTAGCTCATTCCTCTAGAACAGGATCCACAAACTACAGCCCATGGGCCAAATCTGGCCCACAGCCTGTTTTTGTAAATAAAGTTTTATTGGAGCACAGCTACACCATTCAATTACATGCACTCTGTGGCTGCCTTCATGCTACAGTGGCAGAACTGAAGAGCTGAGATAGAAACCACATGGGCCACAAACCTGAAAATATTTACTCTCTGGCCTCTTGCAGAAAAAGTTTGCTGACCCCAGTTCCAGAGCTCTCAGCATCATCTGACTCTGTTGACCACTCCACCCTTCCAGAAACACCTCTTCCCGTGGCTTCCACATCATGCTCTCCTGCTTTCCTCCTCACTCTCTGGTTTGCTCTGACTCCTCTGATCTTTCTGACTCCTCCACCCAACTTCTAAAGGCCATTTCCTCAAAGCTTGACCCTAAACCCTTTTCTCTTTTTATACTATGCTCTCAACCCTGGCAACCTTATTCATATCCTACTATTTACCATTAGGTATAAATGTACATCTCAAGCTATGCTTTTCCAAGCACATAGAGCCCACTGGCTATTACAGAGCCAATCACTACATAGCCCAGCCGTCAGCTTCCGATGCCCACAGCAGACATCACCAATCAATAATAGCACACTCTATTGGATTCCCCTTCACAATTCTTTTGACATGCCCATGACAGACATCACTAATCAATCATGACACACACTTGTGGACCTACCCTCCCAAATCTTTGTAGCAAAGCCCCAGGCAGTCAAAGCCAATGAATGGGCATTGTCAAAGAACACAAGTCTATTTGCCTTCTTGGGTCTACTAGATATCTCCACTTCAGTCCACCACCATCCGACACCGAACTAAAGCATCCTCCTCCCAGCCTCAGCTTCGTCCCAACTGGGAGAGGAACCCACCATCCAGGCACACTACTGTGCAAACTAGAAATCTGGGAAAGCAACCCCCTTCCAGGCAATCCCCATATCCCAGCAGCTCCACCTCTGAAATCTCTCTTGAATCACTGCAGTTTCCCCCATCCCCACTCGGGCTGTCTTTCAGATCACCGTGTTGAAGTCATTGCTGGCTGGACTGCTGCAGGAGCTTCCTCTCTGGTCTCCAGCCTCAGTCCTGCCCCATTCATGGCCTCTCCACACTGTGGTCAAATAGGCTTTCCAAATGCCAGACTGACCTGTGCCACTCCCCTGTGGAAAGCCCTGCCATGGTTACCCATTATTCTTGGGAGAACACCCAAATCCTCAACAGGTCACCCACCCTGACAGCTGGCCCCTCAGATCTCTCCAGCTTCATCTCTTTCCCTCACTAACTCCCCACACCCTGCCCACTCCATGTTCCTGGAATGTGCCACGCTCTCCTACCTGCACCATCTCAGCAAGCACTGCCCTCCCCTCCCATCAGACTCCTACTTATCATCCAGATTCCAGCATTTATATCACCTCCTCTGGGAAGTCTTTCCTGATTTCCTAAGCCTGGGTTAGGTGTACTTCCCTGGCATTCCTGTGGCTGCCTGTCCTTCCCCATCACCACACCTCTCGCATCCTAATATCACAATTAGCTCTCTTTCTCTTTTTCTCCGTGTGTGTGTGTGTGTGTGTGTGTGTGTACTTCCACTAGTCTATAAGTGGTGGGTAAAAAAGGTTTCATTGTTTGGTTTTCATACCACAGTGGGGGGTCAGGCCTGGCATCCAGACCCTGTGTCCACTCTAAGTGGGCAAGGACCCTATCTGTCTTGTCCATTGTTATATCCATGTCAGGTGCATGGTTGGCACTATATATCCATGTTGAATAAAATATTGCAATAAATAAATGAATGAAAAAATCAGAAAACTCAGGTCCATTCATTCATTCAAGGGATAGTTACTGAACATGTACCTACTACACGGCAGTTACTCATCCATGTCTTGGGAATACAGCAGTGCAAAGAGTAGACCCAGGCCCCTGCCTTTGTGTAACTGTACCTGGGACAGGAGAAAATAAGTATATTAAAGGCTCTGTTAAAAAGTATAAGGGCCAGGCGCAGTGGCTTATGCCAGTAGTCCCAGCACTTTGGAAGGCCGAGGTGGACAAATCGTTTGAGGCCAGGAGTTCAGGACTAGCCTGAACAGCATGACAAGATCCTGTCTCTACAAAAAAAAAAAAAAAAAAAAAAAAAAAATTAACCAGATATGGTGGCACGCGCCTATAGTCCCAGCTACTCAGGAGGCTGAGGCAGGCAGATTGCTCAAGCCCAGTCTGTAACGAACCATGATCGCGCCAGAACCAGACCCTGTCTCAAAAAAACCAATTCTATTCCTAGGCATATACCCAAGAGAAATGAAAACATCCATGCACACAAACACTTGAACAAAAATGTTCATAGCAGCATTCTTCAAAATAGTCACAAAGTAGAAAGAACTCAAATATCCATCAATGGATAAGTGGATAAACAACGTGTGGTCTATCCATACAATGGAATTGTACTTGGTAGTGAAAAGGAATGAAGTACTGACACGTGCTACAACATGGACAAACTTTGAACATATTATGCTGAGTAGAATAAGTTAATCACAAAGACCACATATTGTATGATTCCATTTATATGAAATGCCCAGAATAGGCAAATCCATAGAGACAGAAAGCAGGTTAACAGTGGCCTAGGGCTGGAAGGGGGATGGTTGGGGAGCAGGGGCTTGATAGCTACAGGGTATAATGATTCTTTTGGGCATGATAAAATTATTCTAAAATCGACCACGGTGATGGTTGTACAACTCTGTGATACATTAAAAACCACTGAATTGTATACTTTAAATGGGTGAATTATATGGAATGTGAGTTATATTTCAATAAAGCTTTACATACATACATATATACATCCATAGAGCAGGTGAGGGAGGTGAGGCTTACAGAGAGAGGGATGTAATTTTATTGTTTTTTAAATTTTAAATATCAGACAGGTTTGAAATTTTTAAACATGCAATTCAATAATGAAAGACTTGATTCCAAATATACAAATATATATAATTAGTCTAATTAAGTTAGAGATATCATTAGCTATTTCCTGATTTATTCTTTCATTTTAAAATGGACACATAAGATTGTATGTTGTAATCATATACAACATGATGTTTTGAAGTACATATACCTTGTGGAATGGTGAAAACTATTTCCTGATTTAAAGTTGGAAACTGAAACCCAGTGAAAAGAAATCCTACATGCTCAAAGTATTTTCTCTAGATCATGAAATCCTGGATGCAAGCTTGGTTCCGCTTAATGCTAGTTTGCAGAGTCAGCTAAGTAAACACTGCCCCCTAGCAACAGCACGCAAGAACCATAATATTTAGTATTTCATGAGGTCTTTCCACAGGGTCCGGTAATGTCAAATTTAGAACTATCCACAGTTCTTTGTTTTTCCACAGGAAAAACAAAGGCAAAGAGCTCATTATCTTGATTTTTTAACTTTTTAAAACTGACACATAATAATTGTGTATATCAATGTCATGTTTTGATCTATGTATACATTATAGAAAGACTTGATCGAGCTAATTAAAGATCCGATCATGCCGTTATTTTAATGGCAAAAACCACAATTACCTTCGCACCAACCGAATCACCTCCCCAGTTTATTTTTGTGGTGAGATTATTAAAGTCTACTCTTTTAGCAATTTTGAAATATACAATACATGATCATTAATTGTGGTCACCATGCAGTGCGACCGCTCACTAAAGCTTATTCCTCCAGTCTAACTGAAACTTACGCCCTCTGATCAACATCTCTTTCCCCATCCTGTCCCCACCCCTCCCTCTAGCAGCCACCTTTCTACTCTGTTTCTATGACACTGGTTTTATTTTTTTGGACTCCACAGATAAGTGACATCGTGCAGTATTTGAAGAAGAAGGTGAAGAAGATGGGAGGGTCCTGCAGATATCCAGGGGCAAACAGGATGATCACCCCAAGTTTCATCATTATTCATTCATTCACAACCCCCCTACTGCACACCCAATCTTCCTTGCTGATTCTGGTTCTGACTGCGCTTCAGCAGGCCTCAGCTTTCTTTCGTGGTCCAACAGTGACACCTAGCGGTGACTTCTGATAAGCACATGCGGAGATGCTGTGGGCCTACCCATGAGGGGAGTCCGAAGACAACAGCCACTGAGGGGACAGCCGGCCAGGCAGTGAGACCCCAGGTCCTCTCCACTGTTAGTCCAGCGAGGAAGGGGGAAGTGAGTGGGACGTGGCTCTCTGGCTGTCCCTTCAAAGTGCATCCAAATCAAAAGAACACTGTAGTCCCTTCATTTTCAGCATCACCCCATTCTCACCCTCCCATGTATTCCCCTGCTGACGTGCGCATGGGCTCTCCTTTGGCCAGTGGTGCTCACCCCTGGCTGCACATTACAATCACAGAGGGGAGGGGCAGGCTGTATTCAAGCTAGAGGTCCTCTCCAGAGATACTGTTTAAGTGAAGCCAGGGCAGCAGCATATTGTTTTTAATTCCCCCTCGTGAAAGAGCTGATGGAAATCAAGTGGATAATAAAGCCAGCTGGTCAAAATCAGATTAAAGTCAGCCCAGTTGGGCTCCTAGGTCAGTCAATGAATCTAAGCTGTGCCGTTATCAGAACATCTATTCCTGTTCTGAGTTTCTTCATTTACCCTATTTATTTCTCCTTCCTACGAGCCAAGAAAAATGACACACTATAAGGTTTTATCAATCTACTCTAAATAAGGACATCAAAATTCATAGCAAACTCCCACCTGGCCCACCTTCAAAGGCCTTTATAGAAGCAGTCAAGCAAAATTGGTCGTCCAATCCCTTGTGACAATGAAGTCTAATTTCCTGCCCTGGCTGCTGCCAGTACATGACGGGAAATGCCACTGGTAAAGGAAGGACAGGCTTGGAGAAACGGACAGACAGCATCTGTGACTAGTAGGAAAGAACTCCCCCTCTGAGCATTCCTCTTAGCTCTTTACGGAATGCTGAGGCAGGTGAGGGAGGTAGAGCCCTTCCCTGGCAACCAAGCCCCTCCTCCGATGAGCTAGGGAATAAATCAAGATCACCTGGAAACTGAAAGCCCCTGGAATCACAAAACTCTATCTGTGCCCCATTTGTGTTCTGTCCTTCTTAGACCACTTACTACATATATTCTGCCTGTGTTCTAGTCAATTCCCTGATCTGTTCTCTAACCATAACTATTATGTTGTTATATGCAGGGGATTTTTATTAAGGAAACCTCTTCGTCATGCCAAATTTTTTATTCTTAGACATTAACCTTCACAATCTCCTAAAAGGACATAAGTTTCAGGAAACTATTTCCCGGAAGGGCTGGTGCGTTTGATATTAAAAAGACGTGTTTCCCCTCCAGATAGCATCCATTTACTCTGGAAACATCTACTGCTCGCAAACACGGTGTTGGGATTCTAAAAAGGAAAGATGCAGAGTTCCTGAGGGTCAGGATGATGGAGGCCCCTGGGCCTGCCTCAGCTCCCGTGGGTGTCTAGCATGGTGCTGACTGTTGCAGGATGTTTCCAGTTCATCCCAGAGCCTACCAGTAGTAGCAAAAGGCAATCTCATATGACATTTTGTTATTGAAGATAAAACAGTCCCTGATTTTGTTGTCATCTACATAATCAAGAATAACCGAATATAAAATGTGTGCTTGGCTGGGCTCAGTGGCTCACACCTGTAATCCCAACACTTTGGCTGAGGCAGGAGGATGGCTTGAGCCCAGGAGTTTGAGACCAGCCTGAGCAACACAGTGAGACCCCATCTCTATGAAAAAATAACAAAAATTAGCTGAGCATGGTGGCGCATGCCTGTGGTCCTGGCTACTCAGGAGGCTGAGGTGGGAGGATTGTTCAACCCCGGGAGGTGGAGGCTGCAGTGAACTGGCATCATTCCACTGCCCTCCAGCCTGGGCAATGGAACAAGACCGTTTCCAAAAAAAATGTGTGTTTTCAGTCAAATCCGGTATAGTAAGAAAACTCTGCTCTGTGTGGAAAGGCTACCAGCTCTATCGTCACAGCTCTTCAGAAGCCTGTGCCTGAGCTCATGCCTTGGGCATGCCTTATTGATGATGGATTTTAGGTTAAATATACAGCCATGCATTTTGCCCTTAGATATTTCAAGTAATAAATCCCTCCCACAGGGGTAAAAGCGACAAGCGACACGCGCTATATTCCAAATCTCCCAGAGGGTTCGTGTTTTGAGGTTTCGGCCTCTGCAGCTTCCCACGGGAGTGCCGCATGCCCATCCACGTACCCGCCAGCAGGCCGATGAGCAGCATCACCACCCATCCCGACCAGGCATCCAGCAGGCTCTTGATGAACTCCCATATGGACTCCTTGCTCTTGCTGGTGATCTAGAACAAAGCAGATACAGCAACTGATCCGAATGCATTTTCGAATTCATGCTTTTTTCCTTGAAACTGTTTCCTCGGGAAACAGGGTAATTAAGAAAATAAAATGAATGTCATCAAGCAGCTAAATTCCCACTGATGTGATTCTTTCAGTTATGTGCCGCAACGGTACGACGAGCTTTCTAGTTCACAGAGCTATAAAGATGCCACAAAAGTCTCCAAAGAATTCGAGCACACACTCAAATAATTCACTTAATTAAAAAACATACTAAATGTGATTTGATCTTTGATGATTTAAAAGCTATGCTGAAGGGGGACATTGGTTCGGTGTCTCCATTCTGAATATGAGTTACTATCTTAACTTACATTGCTAAGTTTCATTAAAAAGCCTCTTCACACAGACTTCATCTCCTCCTTTTGTTTTCAAGGTTAAATTTTAGCAGCACGAACTTAGAATTAGCTGGCACAGATCACGTCTCCCACAGCAGATGGACTACCTACACACACCTCCCTGTGCTAACAGAATCCTATGCTCCTCTGAGATCATCATTCCCTCACGGCCTTTTAGAGCAGTGGTGGGCAAATGTTTTCTGTAAAGGACCAGAGAGTAAATATTTTGGGCTTTGCGGGCCGGATGGTCTCCGTTGCAACTCCTCAACCCTGCCACTGTAGCACAAAAGGAGTCATAAAAATATGGAAATGGATGGGCATGGCTGAGTTCCAATAAAACTTTATTTCTAAAACAAGGTGCCAGCTGGCTTTGGCCCGCAGGATGCAGTCTGCTGAGCTGTGCTCTAGAGGGAATGCTGCCTCGACCCCACATTCCTGCACTGCAGAGCCAAGAGGCTGCAACATCTTCATGACTGAGCCTGGCTCCCTACACATTCCCCTCCTCCTTTCGTGCCAGCCCTCGTGAGGCGATGTGACATGGTCACACTGTCCATGTCACTCCTCACCCTCGTCTGAAGCAGCTCTCCCCTCACCGCCAGCCCCCATGCCGCTGGCTCGCCTCCTACCTGACCTCTCCATAGAGGGTGACCTTGTGAGCAGGCCCCTACACAACACCCTTTCCATTCACAGGGGACTGCTCTTGGCAGGGTCCCCTCTTGTCACAGGCTCCCCATCTGCCTCCCCTGGACCTGGTAACTCTGGGCACTGCCTGGGGATTTGACTACCTCTTCCCTTCTGTCTCTGCACACCCACGCCACCGTGGCTGTTTCTAAAGCTTCAGCCTCCACTTGCACACAGGGACCTCATTCTCCCCCCGGCCCTTCCCTCACCCTTGAACCACAGAGTTCTCGCCACCTGTGATCACCCATCCGCAGCGCAGCTCAAACCAACGCATCTACACAGAACTCAATGGCCTCCTCCGCAGTCTGCCAGTCCCCCCTTGCTTCCTCTAGGCATCAAAGGCATCATCCTCATCAGGCCAAAGCCTGGTGTTCTGTGACCCCATTCCCCTCCTGGCCCCAGCACCTCCCCTGAATCCCGTCCGTGGCGCCTCAAAATACCTCTCCATCCTGATCCCCTCTCTCCACCTACACATCACTGCCTTCGGTCTCCTGGACTCATTTCCAAGCTTCCTGTTTCTCCCTTTGCAGCGCATCTTTATTGTCTTCTGTGGCTTTCAGCATGAAATGCAAACTCCTCTCCACCGCCAGCATGGCCGTTCCCCACGTGGCCCTGCTGCCTCCATTTCCACACTCATCCCTATCCCTCCCTCTGCAGGAATCCTCCACCAGATCCTCGGAGCTCCCTGAATTGCCCAGATACATCAGATTCTTTCATGCCTCTGTGACTTAAAAAAGGGGGGCATTCCTGATGTTTAGAATCCTCACCGTTCCTCTGCCTAGCAAAATCTTAGTCATCTTTCAAGACCCAACTGAAATGTTACCCTTGCTGAAAAACCCTTCCCTAACCGAACCTAAATGATCCCACAGCACTTGACAGATAACCATTGTGGTCCATTAAAATATATACTGATTGCCAACTAGACACCAGGCACTGTCATATGTGCTTTCATATACACATAATCTCATTTCCTTTTCAGGCATAATCACTTCCATCCTCATGGATGAGAAAACAGGTTCCAGAAATGGCACCTGCAAAGTCCCCTCCCTCTCCTCCACACCACAATCCCTCCATATGACACAACGTCCTGCCCAAAGCTCCTGCTAGTACAATGATCTGCCAATATATCTGCTCCTCCCACTGGCTCTTTTCTTCTTTAGACCCTAACCCAGCACATGACACGTACGTGGACCTAAGCCCCAGCTCAGTAACTTTTGAATGAAAACATGGCTTAGCCATTTGCAGTGTGTCCTTTCGGAATGCCACCTACCTTCCTGTGTCTGTCGGTGTCCCGTGACTTTTCCCTTAGCCAGTCGATGGTGTGGAAGTCCTCATACGTCCCCACATCAGGGAACGGCTCATCGAGGAAATCCATCAGGTTTCCAGAGCCACTCATCGCTCCCGCATTGACCATGCTAATTACACCTGGGCAAGAAAACCGGTCGTTAAAGACATGAGCAGGACATGCCATGGCCATGCAAGAAGAATAGTCCATGTGCCCTATTTTCTTATATAAGAAAAATTATTTCAGCATAGGCATCTGTGCTGTAATGAAATATATACACAGTCAATTATCATTATTCGTGGAGGTTATGCTCTATAAAGTCACCTCAAACACTGAATTACTGAATACTGAACTACTGTTCCCAAGAGAATACAGGGTTAAGTTCCTGCAAAATCTTTGGTCACATTTTCATCAAACAATCAAGATGTACCTTGTTTATATACTTCTGTTTAAAGACACTCTAATAGATATTGTTGAGTTATTAACATTGACCTCACAGCCAGCAGCACTATCACTCATGCCTGAACAAGGCTTCTCCATAAAACATGTCACAGCCCTCCTACACTCAGGAACACCAGACAGCTTCCCAGCACTGCATTGCAGGGCCATTTTAAACAGCAAAATTACCAACAAAAAAAGCACAAAACTGTGAAAAACATGGCACTAAATAGAACACGAAAAGGACCCTTGTTGACAGGAGGAGAGTGGAAGCAGGAAGGCAGAGCATCGCCTTCTCAGACCTCAGCAAGGAACGGGCACTGCTGGCACTTTTTGTCGCTCTACACACACACGTATCTATGAACAACCTCGAAAGCTCCACGAGTATTGATCTGGGGGGCTACACATAACATTTTAGCCAGTAGGCAAATTTGCAAATATGGAATCTGCAAATGAGGATTAATTAATTATATACATTCCTGGAAAACCTCACATTCTGCAAAAGCAAGGTGTCCAAATGACAGGGCTGGAGGGGCAAATAGGGTTTAAATGAAAATAATGGTAATCAAAGCAATAATTGGTTCCTATGGGAGACAAAGTGGACCACTCAGGCAGGCAGCCTATGTGATTGTCATCATGGATATTCAAAATGTACTCCAATGGCACAGTGAAAATGCTGGCAAGACTTTAATGAGTTGGTGGGAGCCCAGGCAATCTGCAGATGGCAGGAGCCCTCTATGTGAGTGGGGCCACCCTGGAGCTGGACAAGGGAGGTGGGACAACCTGCCGCGAGCCAAGAGCCATGAGAAGCTGGTGGCACGCTGCCCTGGGCAAGGAGCTCCAGGACAGATGCTCATTTTTAATGTCTTAAAATGCAGTCAAAAGGGCTCCTGCTGCCAGGGCAGTAGCACAGTTGAATGTGTCTTCCTTTCCTATCCAAGATAATAATTCTACTCCCACTATTCCAGCTCTCCTCACCTGGAAAACAATCGCGAGTGAACCAACACCATCTCCCATATTCTCCCACCATCAGAGCCTGATTTACAGATTGCACAGGAGCTCATTTCAGCTGTAGAAAATGCTTTGCAGTGGGACCAAGGCTCACCACCAGTTAGCAGAAAAAAGAATACAGTCTTACAGAGACAAGAGGTTGGAATATGCATAAATAAGAATTACTTTGGCAAAGAGCATGGAAATTTGAATTATAGGATGAGGACCACAAAAGTGCTGGCATAGATGGTTAAAAATCTGAAGGGTGGTTATAAAAACATTTGAGTGCAGGCTTCTCTCATGTATTTATATATCTAGAGGACTCAACCACGACCCAATGAAACTGCATTTTAATCAAATTGAAGAGTCACTATGGGCAAAGTAGGGTAATCACCTTACAAGCAATAAAGTGGTCACAGTGATTGATTTATTGATCATCAGTGCAACTCGGCTGCTTTAAAACTTTAAAAGTTTGAGGTTTGAGCCATGCCAAGTTGAAAATAATACCCCCTGATGAGTGCCCAGGGAAGAATCACATCGCAGAAGTCAGTAGCAACCAATGATATGAGGAAGAGAGTAAAATTAGAAAGCAAAGATTTCATTCTCATGTATACAAAAACAACATGAAAATAACCTCTTAATATATGTGGGAAAGAAAATCTCTGATGGGAAAAACAAGACGACAGGCTGTTGACCCTCCAAGAGAGCCCTTGTCAGAAAAACCCAACCAGCAGATAGAATCGCAGAGACTTGGACAGTCTATTCAAAAGGAGTTGATACCACCTAAAATTTAACTACATCTCTAGTCAAACAACTACTTCAGGCAATAATGCTTGAAACAAAAAATCACTGTAGAGAGCAATCATATCTTTAAACTTTGACGGAACATGCAGTGGTCCTGAGGAAAATAAACAGGCTCTGATCTGCAGAGCCTCAGAGGACTTCCCTGGGGACCCAGAAGGAGGTGTTGGTGTCTATTGTGAGGTTGGGATTAAAAGATCATCTAGGGGCCAGGCCCGATGGCTCACGCCTGTAATCCCAGCACTTTGGGAGGCCGAGGCGGGTGGATCACCTGAGGTCAGGAGTTCAAGACCAGCTTGGCCAACATGGTGAAACCCCGTCTCCACTAAAAATACAAAAATTAGCCAGGTGTGGTGGCAGGCACCTGTAGTCCCAGCTACTCAGGAGGCTGAGGCAGGAGAATCACTTGAACCTGGGAGGTGGAAGTTGCAGTGAGCCAAGATTGCGCCACCGCACTCCAGCATGCGCGACAGAGCGAGACTCCATCTCAAAGGGGGAAAAAATCATCTAGGTCCAGCCGACCACAGATTTATGTGTGAGTCCAGCCAAGATCAGCCAACTTTGGCCCCATCCAACCATGCAGCCAACCTGTAGACTTGTGAAAATAATGAATGGTTGTTGTTTTAAGCCACTGAGTCCTTTGAAGGAGTTGTTATTCAGCAGCATGATAATTATGGGTTAATAGGTAGAATGAACTTGAGCTCTGAAGGAAGGAAGACAGGTCAAGTTAGCTGGAGCAATGCAGACCAACTCTGGGGAGGACTGGAGCAGCCATACATGACAGTACCAATAGTGAGAGGGTGGAGTGGAATTTGCCTCAGTTCAGGCTGGAAGTATCCTGCCTGACAAGAGAACATCTCTCCTACACAACCATTATTTGCCTCCAAAGGAACTGTGGAAGGAATGCAGGACACCTATATCTTGCAACCAATGCCTCAAGGCAAAAAAGTATCAGTAGGTTTGGTCTCCAAGCATGAAGACCCCAAGGAATCAGGCTCAAGTTCTTCAACAGCAGATCCTGTCCAGTAAAACTCACTTCACCCAGGACCCAACGAAGACAAGCATGTATTAATACAATAGTATTAATGATGTCATTTACAGCTCTGATGTTAAAAGTGACTCTGAATGGGTCAGCTCGCTCTCAGAACAGGGATCTGTAACACTCGAAGGAAACCTGGACTTTTTATGGTTGGGTATTAGCAATAACATAACAGGTTCTAGAAGATGAAAGAAAGCAGGAAATCACCTAGATCAAGATCTAGAAGGACAGATTCTAAGTAGAATCAAGGCTTGGCTGAATATAAAAATGCTACCCTAGGTGAATCATGGTTATCCATGTTTGACCAAAAATGTCAGGTAGAAACCCGTATCTTTGAATGTGCTTTTCTCTTCTACCTTGAACCTTCTCCTCTGCCTTGAAAGCTCCTATTCACACTGCAGAACCCTGTTCTGTTTCACCCTATCTGTGGAACTTGCATTAATTTCCCCAGACACAGTTGGGGCATCTTCTTTAGCCATTCCAAAGGATTCTTTCTTTTTCTTTCTTTTCTTTTTCTTTCTTTTCTTTCTTTTTTTTTTCAGGGTCTCACTCTGTCACCCACAGTAGAGTGCAGTGGCACAATCACAGCTCAACACAGCCTCAACCTCCCAGACTCAAGCGATCCTCCTGCCTCAGCCTCTTGAGAAGATGGGACCACAGATGCATGCCACCACACTGGCTAATTTTTTTTTATTATCTGTAGAGATGGGGTCTCACTATGTTGCCCAGGCTGGTCTCAAACTCCTGGGCTCAAACAATCCTCCTACCTCAGCCTCCCAAAATGCTGGGATTACAGGTGTGAGCCACTGCACGCAGCCCATCATATCTTTATCTATCCTGGTACTGGGGTCTCATTGGACTCAGCAAGACCATCCTCACCCAGGGTCTTTCACAAGGTCTTGGTCAGACAGGGGCTGGAGCTGGCATCATCCGAAGGCTTGTTCACTCACACATCTGGTGCCTGGGCCAAGAGACTCAACAGCTGGAGACTAGAACAGCTGGGGTTCCCAGGCCTCTCTCTCTTTCCATGTGGCATCCCCATGTGGTCTCTTCAGCATGTGACTTTGGGTGGCAGTATTTCTTTTCTTTTCTTTCTTTCTTTTTTTTTTTTTTTTTTTTTTTTTTTGAGATGGAGTTTCACTCTTGTTGCCCAGGCTGGAGTGCAATGGCGCAATATCAGCTCACCGCAACCTCCGCCTCCTGGGTTCAAGCTATTCTCCTGCCTCAGCCTCCCAAGTAGCTGGGATTACAGGCATGCACCACCACGCCCAGCTAATTTTGTATTTTTAGTAGAGATGGTGTTTCTCCATGTTGGTCAGGCTGGTTTCAAACTCCCGACCTCAGGTGATCCGCCCACCTCGGCATCCCAAAGTGCTGGGATTACAGGCGTGAGCCACTGCGCCCGGCCAGGTGGCAGTATATCCTACCCAGAGGCTCTGGGCCCCAAAGCAAGTGTGTTAAGAGAGAGAGACCCGGCAGAAGCTGTATCACCTTGCGTGGCTCAGCCTCAGAAGTCAGATACCGTCCCTTTTGCCACTTGCTGTTCATTGAGGCAGTCACAAAATCCCACCCAGGTTCAAGGAGAGAGAAAGTAGACTCTACCTCTTGATGAGGAAATGGCAAAGTTCTAGATGAGCATTCCGAAGTCAGAGATATTATTGTGGCTATTTTTTTAAAACACACAACCAACCACCCAACTTACAAAACTTCTTGACAAATACAGAAAACTATCAAGAAAAAAAATAAGGATTACCCATCATCATGCCCTTGATAACTCCCATAACCTGTTGGTATGTTTTCTTCGTAGTTGTATTTTAAAACAAATTGGCAGTATGAGATATTTGGATCTTCAATATTGTACTTTGTCCCTCTATATTCTGATGTTCATCACAAGAGAGGCAGCATCACACGCATACTGGTTAAAACACAGACTCCAGAACAGCGCTGCATGAGTTCAGATCTCAGCTCTGCCACTTACCACCCGTGTGACCTTAAGCAAGTTGTTGGACCTTTCTTACTGTGCCTCAGTCTCCCCCATCTATGAAGTAGGAATTGCAGCACTACCTGCCTCAGGGTGCTGTGAAGAAGACGGAATGAGCTGACATTTGTAAAGCAATTTGTGCCTGGCATGTGGTTAGCGCTTCATAAATGTTTGTTAAAATGAAAATCATGTTTCATGAAAACACCCCTTCCTTATCCCCCTGCATGTCGCCTTGTTTCTGAGGTTGATCTGCTCACTCCTCTGCTTTCTGTAACTGATAGAGGGGACCTGATGGACTCCAGTTCTGTTCAGGGAGATTGTGGTGGTCCAACTGAGCTTCTGGGGGACCTTCTGGGGGATTCCACTTACCAAGAATCAGTGAGGCCATTAAAACATGAATCTATGCCTGACATTCGAAATAGCTTTTCCTAAAAACTCCTCAAAGCATTTACTTTGAGGAGACTGTTTAGACTGTTTTCTTTCAAATCTGAAATACCTCTATTCAAAGTGGCAAGACCACTAACCAAGAGACTTGTACGACTCCCAAGTATGGGTGTGTGACCACAGCTGACCCTCTCTGCCCCTCTCTCAAAAGCCAGGACCCTGGGATGCTCCCTCCCCTGCCCCTTCAGCCCAGTACATGGCACAGGGAATGAAACAGCACCGGCCCCTTTCACCCTCGCAGGGACAAGCAAACCTTTTGTCATTAATTAAAACTGTTTGTCTCTGCCACAGATAATGTTTAGGGCTGGGACTTTACAGAAAGTTCAGCGCTATCTTCACTGCCAGCTGTGATTATCTGTCATTACAGAGCAGAAAATCCTAAGAAATACACTCTTCAGTGTCAGCAAAATGAAAACCTTCAGATCCTCTGGGTAGTCATCTCGCACCCTCAAAAGGGATCCTCTCAAAAGTTATCACAATATTTGCAACCATTATGGCCCTTAACATCTAGAAGTGGGGACCAAGAAGTTTAATTCAGAAGAGATTGAGAACTATATATAAAAAGCAACCTACAGGTAAGCAGTGAAGTCTTTTTTAATGTTTTTGTTTTGTTTTTTGTTTTGTTTTTGTTGTTTTTTGTTTGTTTTTTTACTGCTCCATTTCATTGGCTGTGAAGCAATGAAGTCTTGGAGGAACCAGCAAGGAGCCGACAGCCCAGGCTCAGCTATGGGAATGGGCCCCAGTGGCTACTACATAGATTCCCATTCCTCTCCAATCAGACCAAAGGAAAACAGACATCAGGAAAATGGGGGCGAAGTCAGGCATAATCACAGGAAAAGTCCAGGAAGCAAGTTATCTAGGATCTTTTAGTTTATCCTGTTTTTCTGAGAACTGCAGTTTTAGTAAACAAAAGTAGCAAAATTAACATGCCCATGTTAGCTACATTCTAGAAACTGCTCTGTGCTACTCAACTGGCTTGGATCTAGAGGAAGAGTCTGGATTACCTGGGGGAAGTCAGGCATTCCCCCTGCCTGTCAACTTTCAAGATATCTGCATTTGGAGGAGTAGCAGGAAGAATGGATGAGGTGGCTGTCACCTTGAGACCTTTTCCTTCTGACTTGTACAGATACACACAGGTCTGTAGCAGCAATCTCTTACAGCATTTTTAAAGAGGTAATTCACATACCATAAGATGTACTCTTTTAAAGTGTACAATTCAGTGGTTTACAGGAAATTCACAAGGCTGTCCAATCATCACCACTATCCAATTCCAGAACATTTTCACCCCCCTAAAAATGACCCCCTACCCATTAGCAATCACTTCCTTCTCCCAGCCTAGGCAGCCACTAATATACTTTCCATCCTATGCGTTTGCCTATTCTGGACATTTCGTATAAGTGGAATCATGCAGTAAGTGGAATCATGCAGTATGTGGCCTCTTGCATCTGGCTTCTTCCACCTAGCATAATGCTTTCAAGGGTCATCCAGGCTGTGGTGCGTATCAGTGCTTCACCCCTTTTTATTTATTGCTGAATAAGATTCCATTGTGTGGCTGTATCACATTTTGTTTATCCACTCATCAGCTGACGGCCATTTGGGTTGTTTCTACTTTTGGGCTATTATGAATAAGGCTGTTAGGAACATCTGTGTACAAGTCTTTGCATGGACATATGTTTTCATTTCTCTTGGGTATATGCCCAGGAGTGGATTGCTGGGTCAGATGGGAACTCTGTTTAACCTTCTGAGGAGCTGCCAGACTGAAATCACTTTTCTTGAGTAAGCTTTTTATTGAAGTAAACATGTATTCGTAAAATGCAAAAATCATAGATGAACAGCTCCACACATTTTCACAAAGGGAACTCACCCATGTATGGAGTGCTCAGATCATGGGACGAAACATGACCAGCCCCTAGACACCACTTCAAGCCCCCGCTAGTCCCTGACCCACCCCAAAGGGTAACCACTATCCCAACCCTCACACTATAGATTACTGTTGCCTGCTTCTGAACTTTAAAGAAATGAAATCTTGTTTCCAGCTTCTTTCATTCTATATTATGTTGCAAGATCTACCCATGTTGTTCAGTGTAACTATCTGTTCATTCTCTTTGCACTGTAACAGGGGCCACCAAACTTTTTCTGTGAAGGGCCAGAGAGTAAATATTTGAAGATTTCTGGGCCATGCAGTCTCTGTCTAGACGACTCAGCTCCACCGCTGTCATTGCAAAGCAGCCAGAGACCATAGACACATCAATGCCTGGTGCTGTGTTTCAATAAAACTTTATTCGCGGACACTGAAATATGAATTCCATATCATCTTCATGTGTGGCAAAATATTATTCTTTTGGTTTTTTCTCAACCATATAAAAATGCAAAAACCATTCTTAGCTCATAAGCTGTACGAAAGCAGGCAGTGAGCTGGAGTTGGCCCACAGGATCACGAACTTGGCCGACTCCTGTTTCACAGTATTTGACTGAGGAATCAGCCCCAATGTAGTTATCCATTCTACTGCGGGTGACACTTGGGTGATTTCCCATCTGGAGCCATTACACTTTGTGCTGCCATCAGTATTTACACCGTCCATAAAACGCTGTGGTTGAAGCCCTTCCACCTGTTCCCTCTGTCCTCTGCCCAGCAGTGGCCAGGTGCCACAGTACCTGCCAATGTTTATGCCAGTATTCCCCTCCCAAATCAGACCATGTCAGATTATTTGCCAACTTGCTCTATTAGCTAATCCCCAGATGACTTGGACAGATGGAACGGAAAGTCATAACTCAGATTAAAAGATTAAGAGTCTCCAACAAGCAAGGAAGGCCACCCTAGAGGCAAGTCCCGGCAGGGTCCCCTGCCAGCGTGGGCAGGGTAGAAACTGCTACTAAAACCACCTCCGGCTCTCATGAGCCTCTCCCACAAGCTGTTCCTGCCCCTTGCTCCTTCCTGTTTCCTCGTAGTAACTTAACTGATAGGAGTTTGCAAATGTTTCTGAGAAAGGTCCAGGTGGGAAATCTTTTCAGCTTCGCGGGCCATATGCCATATAGTCTCCATTGCGATTACTGGACTGTGCCATTGTACAGCAGAGCAGCCACGGACAATATGGAAATGAAGGGATGTGGCTGCCTGCTGACAACACTTTATTTACAAAAACAGGAACAGGCTGGATCTGGCCTGCAGGCTGTGCTTTGCCGGCCCCTGCTTTACACCATGGGTGTTTATTGGGCATCTGCTACCTGCCAGGCCACTGTCCAAGGCACCAGAGCTACCAGCACATTTGCGGCCCTCACCTCCCAACAAAACCCAGCAAACAAATAATCGTGACCCACGGGGACAAGTATAATATAAAGACAAGTGGCCACAGTCATTCCCCTTAGGATTATTTAAGGGAAGGAATGAGTTTCCAGAAACCCAACAATGCAACTAAAGGATGTCACCATCAACATTTCAACCTTAAAGCTTTGGGAAAATAAAGATGAGTTCCTATTACACACATACACACACACACAGAGAGAGAGAGAGAGAGAGAGAGAGGGAGAGGGAGGGAGGGGGAGAGAGAGAGAGAGGGAGGGAGGGAGAGAGAGAGAGAAAGAGAGAGAGAGGGTGGGAGAGAGAGAGAGAGAGGTTTCTGTGAGATCCTACAATCAGAAAAGTTTCTCCAAGTAATTAGTGATCCGAATGCTTCAAGATTCCGGGTGCCTCGGCTCATGAATAAAAATATGATCATACCATAGCGCTAACAAAGTGTTCAAGATCATCACAGTTACCTGTAGTGTTCACATGACACCATGAAAAGCATAGGACACAACAGAAATTCTAGAACACACAGCCAGAGGAGAGGGCCCAAGAACATCAAGTTCAGAGACAGGCCATGGTCAGACGGCAGCTAAAAATAAACATCTCAAAAGCTTCATTTCTTACAGATTTTCCAGGAGCCCCAGTGACTCATCACAAGCAGCCTTTACCGAGCTGCTTTTCTTCCAACCTTGTGGATTACGAGAGGTGCTGGCCTCAGTGGCTGCTGGCTGCTGGCTGCCAGTTCCTTGGTGCTGGGAGCCCCTAGTCTCAGAGGGGGCTTCACTGCAACCCAAGACGACTGCTGGTTCAGCTCCTGCTGGTCCAACAAGCCTGTATGAGGAATGCTTCCCCCTTTTTCCATCTCCTCCAACCTGTAACTCCTACCTCGTCAGAAAGAGAAGGCAGGACAACCCTCCCAAACCTACCACGCCTCACCTGCCATCCTCCCCACGGCCTTCAGACCCTAAGCTGGAGCTCCTACCCAGGTCACCGCAACCTCCTAACTGCGTAGCCCACCACTCCAGCTCTGCCCAAGTAATGCCAAGGTAATTCCCTCTCTGACCCACGGCCATTCCTCTGTCACCTTCAGTGGCTTCTCATCTACCCACCCTTTGACTCAAGCACTTCCCAAAGTATGCTTGCAATGAGTAAACACAGAATACAGAGCAAAAGAATCCGGATGCATCCAAACACTCTGTGTGATCCCGTTTACATCATGTTCAAAAACGGGCAGAAGTAAATTAACAAAGCTCAGGAACCAGAATTCTTTGGTAAATCTACAATGAAAAGTAGAGACGTAAACACAATAGAAGTCAGGAGAGTATTCTGAGGGGCAGGGAGGTGAGGGGACTGGGGAGGGGACAAAAGATGACAGCAGCAACAGTCTTTCCTGACTTGAGCAGAGGCATGATGACACAGTGTTCCTTTTACAATTCGTCCAGCTATATGGCAGTGTAGGGCAGCCTGGAGGGGAGGAAGAGCTCAAGGGGGTGACAGAAAGGTAGGGCTGACAGCAGGGCACAGGGTGGGGGGAATTAGGGAGCAACTGGGCTCCGCAGGTTGCCATGGGTGTCACCAGCCCTGCTGAGCTGCAGTCTGCTCACCTGCAATATGGGCTAACAAGACCACCTCCTAGGATGGTCCTGAAGACTGTTTATAAAATGCCCGCCCTGGAACAGGGCCCAGCTGTTCGTTGCCACATAACAGATATTTGCTAAATGAGCTTGTTATTGGGTGAAGGGTCAGCGGAGGACTTGGGTCCGTAAAGGGCTGCTAGAGTGGTCCAAAATAGCCATTTGTGCCTCCATCAGAACTCTCCCAGTCTCCTTCAATTGCTAACAAAGCTGGCCCCTGGCCCCAGATGTGGCACAGAACCCAATCTGGCCAATGACAGTGCCCCGACCACCAGGCACAATGACCGGCTATGGGGATGAGCGTGGGACCCATGCAGGGCCGCACACATGGACGAGGGGGAGAAAGGAAGTCTCTCTTTCCACGGTAGTGGCTAACTTGGAACCACCAACCCTACCAAGGGTGTATGGCGGGAGGGAATGAGGCCAGAGGCAGACACCAAAGTGTCCCCTAGAGACCATTCTGCCCCCAGGGGATGCTTGACAATGCCTGGAGACATTCTTGGTTATCACCTCTGGGGAGGGGGATTGCTATGGCATGATGTGGGTAAAAGCCAGAGATGCTGCCCAGCGTCCTAAATGCACAGGACGACCCGCACAGAGAAGAGTGATCTAGCCCCAAATGACCACAGTGGCAAGTTGAGACAGCTAGAAAACAAACAAGCCAGAGACCCAGACAGACGCCTTCCAGTTCCTGAGCCCAGGCTCCCTACATTCCAGCAGATTCCCTGGGTTTCTTTCCCAGCTTACGTCACCTAGACCAGCGCTTCTCATATGACAATGCACATGCGCATCCCCTGGGCTTCTGGTTAAACTGCAGGTGCTGATTCAGCAGGTCTGGGGCATGGCTGAGGCTCGAATTTCTCACAAGCTCCCGCCCCCGCAGAGGCACTTTGGAGAATGGCCAGGAGGTAACAAAGAAAGAAAAGAGACCGGGCTGCCTTCAGAAATCGGGGAGCCAGGAGCAGAGGACAGAGAAAGAGCCACAGAGGGAGGAGATTAAGCAGTCACGTGACTGGGAGGCTGGGGAAGGAGAATTCCAGAAGGGTACTGCCAGGGAACCCCACGGTTCCCAGCCCGGGGTGCGCAGCCGAACCACGTGGGAGCATTCAGAAAGCCCAAGGAGCAGGCCCCGCCCAGAGTCATTAAACCGGGGTCCCTGAGGCAGCGCCCAGGCATCAGCATTTTTAAAAGCTCCCCAGGTGCTGCCAATGTGCGGCCTCGGGTGAGATCTGACTCCGACTTGGATGAGCCATGCATCCCTTAGGGTCTTATTAAACGGCAGATTCTGATCCTGGAGAGCTGGGGTGTGGCCCAAGACTGCATTTGAGACGCCGAATTTCTAAGGCACTCCCAAGCGATGCCTGAGACCACCACACGAGGCTCTAGGAAGATTGGTTTCATCTGGCGGTTGGCAGGGTCTTGGAGATGTCTGAGAGGGGAGGGGAAGAGGGCAGTCTTGCAGTTAGTTGCCTTTGAAGAATGTCGCCAGGCTGCAAGGCCTGCATTACCGTGATCGTCATCAGACTGTGTCATTTCACTCCTTCCTGCTCCAGCTTCAAAGCTTCCCCACAAGCGCCTCCTCCAGGGTCTCCTGCTCCTCGAATAACATAACATGCTTAAGAAATGCAATCCAACACAAATTAATAGCCATCTTCAAATTATACAACAGACCGCTGTTCTCTTAATTTACTTGTGTGGAAGGAGGGAAAAAAATGTTCTGGCATGAATGTTTGAGGCTATAGCAAACATTTGTTTATCTGCCTATTCACGCTGCTCAGAACTGAAAGATTAGAAGTGGAAGTTTAAAATACAGCTAGTGTACCAGGATTTTCTGCCCCCACAATGCTCACACACACACACACACGCATGCCCTCTCTCTCTCTCTCACATACACACACACACACAAACACACACACTTTCCCATTCCTCCAATGAGCAGACACAGGAAGGAAGCATCTACCTAAGGAGGTTAGAGCGAAGCCTTGACCTCGGTCTCTTCATTCACAGTTACAATACTGCCACACGACCCCAGGCATGCGAACTACCCTATACACATGGCTCTGTTGTCCCCATCCAATTTCTAGAATAACTACTGTATCTGATGCTGCCAGCGCCCCACTCATATCACTCAAAACCTTCCAGTAAGCTCTAGCTAATTTCCAACCATATCGCTTAGTCTAAGGTCACTGTCATTGTTTTGAGACCCACAGAAGGTGGCTCTGCTTACATGGCATGCCTGAAGTGCATTATTGGGAATAGGTATTAATCGATGACTCTCAAGAACTGACTCCCGAGGGAAAAGGCTTGCGGGGCAAAGTCTGGAGAAAACCAGACATCTTCAAATGTCCTACTCCCTTGTCCCTTGAATGAGATTATTTCAAGGCATGTGCTTTGTACCTGTGCAGAAAACACGTAATATAGCAGACCTGAGACTGCTCTCCTTAGAAAGGCCTGTTTGCAAGGTTGGCCCTTGGCTGGCATCTGGGAATTTGTATTTTGGGAGGGTTCCCACCATTCCCAGAGCTGGTAAGAGTGGCTCACTGTGCCTAAACTCTTTGTCCAAATACTGTGATCTATGCTGAATGCCTGCTTTCTCTCTGGGAGTCTGGAATTTTGATGTGTGCTAGGCAGAGGGTGCCTATGTGAGCAGCCCCCAATACAAATCCCAGGCGCTGAGTCTCTAAGGACCTTCCCTGGTGGACATTTCACACATGTTGTCTCAACTCACCATGGGCAGGAGTAGGCATGTTCTGTGTGACCCCACTGGGAGAGGACTCTTGGAAGCACGTGCCTGCTTTTCTCCAGACTTCACCCCATAAGCCTTTTCCCTTTGTTGATTTTTCTCTGTGTCCTCTTGCTTTACTAAATCATAGCCATGCATATGCCATGTGTCAAGTTTTATGAGCCCTCCTAGGAAATCACCAGACCCAGAGGTGATCTTGGGGGCCCATGACACAGCGAGCACCATTTCCTAGAGTTTCCAAAGTGTGGAATTAAGCTCCAGTCGCCCATTGCGTGACATTAACAGCCCGGCCCTAATGGCTGCCTTCCTTTCCTGGTCTCACTTCCCCACTCCCCTCCCAAATCAACTTGCACCAGAAACCTAATTTCAAGTTCCACTTCTGCAAGGACCCAAACGAAGGCAGCATCACATGGCATTTTATATTTCTTCAGCCAGTTATGCCCTTGCCTGTGTAAACCCATGTGAGTGATCTTTACCTCTCCTACACAAATGAGCAAAACCTAGGGCTAGGCAAACAGTTATTAGAAATGACATCAAAAACACAATCCATAAAAGAAATAAAGTAGTAAGCTGTACTAGTTGGGCAAAGTAAAACTTTCCCTTCATTTAAGAATTCAGAGCCGGACGCGGTGGCTCACACCTGTAACCCCAGCACTTTGAGAGGCCGAGGTGGGTGGATCACCTGAGGTCAGGAGCTCGAGACCAGCCTGACCAACATGGTAAAACTCCGTCTCTACTAAAAATACAAAAATTAGCCAAGCATGGTGGTGGGCACCTGTAATCCCAGCAGCTACTCTGGAGGCTGACGCAAGAGAATCTCATGAACCCGGGAGGCGGAGGTTGCAGTGAGCGGAGATCGCGCCACTGCACTCCAGCCTGGGTGACACAGCGAGACGCTGTCTCAAAAAAAATTCAGAAAAACTCCCTAATATACTTTATTGATTGCCGACATACATCAGTCCCCTAACAAAAGGGTCCAAGCTGTGCTGAGGCTTCTGGCAATTAGGGGACAACGTGGGCACTAAAATGGCCTGTCCTAGGCTTCCCGACAGAACCCTGGTGGCTTATCACCGTCTAAACCAGTGGTTCTTCAGCTTGAACGTGCATCAGCATTACCAGGAGGGCTGGGGAAACCCAGACTGTCAGGTCCCACCCTCAGAGCTTCAGATCCGGCAAGGCTTGGATGGGGCCGGGGAATCTGCATTTCTAACAAGCTTCCAAGGGAGGCTGCTGCAGCTGATCCAAGGGCGCACATTAAGAGCCACTGGCCTAGTATAACCTTTTGTTCCCTTCCTATTTTCCACTCATTTCATGACCTGCATCCTTGCCATTGTGTTTTAATCACTAAAATTTTAATATTGTTTATATTAATATTTTTAACATCAATCTTATTTAGAAACTGCATTTTGTTCAAGTGATTATTTACAAACATGCTTCCTCCCATATTTGGCTGTGAGCTCCTTGAGGGCAAAGGCTTATGTTACTCATCTCTATTTACTATCCGGACCTGCATAAAATGAAGTGTTTGCTGAATGTTGCTATATAGAAATAGTGTCCACTAAGCCACAAAAAGCTTAGCCAGGCACACATACTACCTCTATTCTACAGGGAGTGTTATTAATACTATATCCATCAATAGATATAAAACCCTATCAAGTAGTCAGCTATTGAATGCTTTGGACATCACTGCACAGACATGCTCAAGAATCAAGATAAGAGGGCGGGTGTGGTGGCTCATGCCTGTAATCCCAGCACTTTGGGAGGCCGAGGCAGGTGGACCACCTGAGGTCAGGAGTTCAAGACCAGCCTGGCCAACATGGTGAAACCCCATCTCTACTAAAAATACAAAACTAGCCAGGCATGGTGGTGCATGCCTGTAATCCCAGCTACTTAGGAGGCTGAGGCAGGAGAATCGCTTGAATCCAGGAGGCGGAGCTTGCAGTGAGCCAAGATAACACCACTGCACTCCAGCCTGGACAACAGAGCGAGACTCTATCTCAAAAAAAAAAAAAAAGAAAAGAAAAGAAAAAGAAAAAAAAAGAATCAAGAAAGATTTTTATCTGTACATGTACAGAGAACAAAAGGCTATGTAGGCCAGCCTGAAGTCACTGCCATGTCACACGTGAGTGGTTTTGAAACGTCCACCATCACCCACCAGTTTTATAATTTGTAGCAAAATTAAAAAATTTTAAAAAGAAAAACAGAAAATATTTTTTTAAAGACATGATAATAATTTGTAGCAATGCCTGTCTGAGGGGCATACCTTGCCTTTCCTTACTGGTTTTGTTTGTTTGTTTGTTTGTTTTTCTGAATTCATCTTGTTTCCCTTGTTACTTTTCACTCATGAAAAGAGTTGGGCTGACAAAAACAGGTGTCCTCCTGATATCCAGCCACAGGCATTCGACACAGAATCAATGGAGCCTGAGGGAGTGGACTCTGGACCCATAACAGAGGCTAAAAGCACCACAAGCTGACGGTTTCTTATCAGCCCAACAAGACAAATCCTTCACTGTTTTTATCCAAGTGGAGGAGGTGACAGCTTGAGAGGGAAACTGCCTTAAAAATCCCTTTAAGCTCTCTCAAGAAGTTTCTCGGAAATAAATGTAGATACACTGACCAGAACATTCAATATAGGAAATCTTGTTTACACAAAGATTTAAACTATTAGACTATATAATCCTATAGATAGAAGAAGCTCAACAAACCCCAAGCACACACAAAAAAATGAAGAAAACTACACCAAGGCATAGCATAATCGAACTGTTAAACAAGTGAAAAAGAAGATCTCTTAAAAGCAGTGACAGAAAAGAGACACTTTACATACAAAGAAAGCTATTAGGCTATACAGGGCTATGAGGAGGAAAGAGGTACCACTCCATCCCATAATAAGAATGAAGCTCACAAGCCTAATGTCAAGTAAAAGAAAGACACAAAGAAAAGCAGACACAAAGGGATCCGAGATTCCATCCCTATAAAGTTCCAAACAAGCAGAAGGAACCAGTGGCGTTATTCAGGATAGCAGTTACCCTTGGAAGGGGACATGAGGGTGGCTTCTGGGAACTGGTCATGTTCCATTTCTGGATCTGGGCACTGTTACCCAGGTGTGTTCACCTTGTGACAATTCATCAAGCTGCACGCTTACCTTTTGTGCACTTTTCTGCACATGGATTTCAATTAAAAGTTGACCAAAGGCAACCCAAACAAGCCATCAGCTGGAGTTAAATCTCACTGCTTCACTTTACAAAAGTGAGGTTTTTCATTGGCATGCTTGCAACACTTCTTTGAAGTGCCCGTGAAATACTTTCTCTTTTCAAACACCCATTGCATCCTCTCTTGCAAAAATGACCTCCCACTGAAATAATTGAGGTCAGAAGTCTGAAAGCCCTGACAAAGCAAAGGCGCTGGAGTTGGCAAATCCCCTGTGCAGCGGGCAGAGGACACGGGCTCCACATTGCATTACAGGCTGTGGCGTGTTTCCCTGGTGCTGGAGGAAAAGGGGGCTGCTCGCATCAAAAATGACATCCCGCATCTGCAAAGGCCGAATGCCCAAAGTAACGCCCAGACAGCCAAACCCCACTGGCATTTGGGGAATATTTTACTGAAGCCTCCAGGCTATAAAGAGATACACAGGATATACATTTTCATGAAATACAGACCGTTGCCCATTTACTAAAAATCTATATATCCAAACTCATCCTCAATATGCCCTAATTTATCATCAATAGACCTAAACTTTGCATGAAGCTCCTCTCCTCTCCAACCTAGGAAGGAAAGAGAGAGAAAATACCATGAACAAATATGGAACGATCAGAGAAAAGTGGAGCTTCAGAAGGGGCAAAACGAAGGCAGCTATGGCCAGAGCCTGGGGAGCTGACCCAAGGAGAGACCAGCACTGGGCCTCCCCTCCAAGAAAGCTTTGGACCATTACTAGTCATTTCAGTTATCTGAAGCTGCATCACTAATTACCATTTACACTGACCATTCACACGGTTTCTATGTGTCAGGAAGTGGGGAGCAGTGTGGCTGGGTCTTTCTGGCTCAGCGTCTCTCAGGAGGTTGTGGTCAGGATGTCAGCCAGGGCTGCTGTCATCTGAAAGTTGGACGGGGGCTCCCTCACATAGCAACCAACTTGCTCGCTGGCATCCCCACAGGATACCCTGAATGTCCCCACGACATGGCAGTTGGCTTTCTCTAGAGGGGGTGGTCCAAGAGAACCAGGAGGGTCTCTAATGACCTAGCTTTGGAAGTCACACACTGTCGCTTCCACGGTATCCTATTGGTGACACAGGTCAGCCCTGAATGGTTCCATATGGGAGGGGACCACACATGAGCATGAACACCTGGAGGTAGGATGGTCGAGGCCCATCTTGGAGGCTGGCTCCAATACAAAAGCTTTTCACTGCCTTATTCCACCTTGCCTGAAACCCCAGGAATTTCATTTTCATTTGTAATCATTTTGAGTCTTGCTTTTAAAATGCGGGCACCTTTAGGATGATGAGGTGGCCAGGACTCATTCCACCCCTTCTAGCTAACCCTCCAAACACCAGAGGGGAGAAGACAGGAAGGCACTGACAGTGACGGGAGCCAGGTGGTGGCCCCCAGTGAGGGGTGGAGGGCCACACGACCAAGGAGTTTCAAACAGGGGGAAGCTCAGAGCAAAAGGATGTTCAGAAAGAAACTGTGCCTGTTTCAAAATTCTGCCTCGAACCAGCGGAGACACTTCCTTTTTCCTCCTCCCACTTCCTCCCCGGCCCCGGCCCTGCCCCCAGCACTCCCTGTGTTCCTTCAATCACAGTCTGGCTTCCATAGGACTAGGCAGCTGTTGTGTGACCATGGCAGGCTTCCTATGGACCCAGGGCCATGCAGCCATTCGTTCCACGTTGAAACCCAGCCCACGTGTTGGAAATAGGATGAGGCCAACCACATGTGGCCTCGGGTGACACAATGGCCTCAGTGTTCTCACACCCCCATCCCAGGGACAGGAGGGCTGGGCTGTGAGGTGTTTGTGTTGCTGGTGCCAAGAGCCAAGGGTTTGGAATTTCCCCAGAGACTTCTTCCCATAATAATAGTCACAACGCCTTTGTACAGGGCTCCGTGTACCTGGCTTCATTCTAAGCACTTCCCCCGTGTATGAAGTACCGCCTCCCTCAGGCCCACGTTACAGATAAGTTACAGATAAGCAAACTGCGGCACAGAGGTTAAGTCTCACACACAGTGAGGGGGCAGCTGGATCCAGCCCAGGTCCCAGGGGCCTTTCTCCACAACAGCAGGCAGGCCTCTGCCACCTCAGGACCCAGAGCCATGTGCCTCCATGGAGAGGGCACTGGGGGCCACGTTTCTCCTACACCGTGTGAGAATAGCTTAATTAAAGGCCCCTGGGTCGCGCTCTCATGCATCCACAAAAAAATGCTGCTGCACGTGCTTGCTAGGGCTGCCGTAACCAAGCACCACGGACTGGGTGGCTCAGATAACAGAAAAGGGTTTTCTCCCAGTTCCGGAGGCCAGAAGTCTGAGATGAAGGGACGCGCGCTGCTGATGCCTTCGTTTCACCATGATGACCTCTGTCAAGGCCCTATCTCCAAATAAGGTCACGTCTTGAAGTACTGAAGGTTAGGACTTGAATCTATGAATTTGTTGGGGACACAGTTCAAGCCATCACAGCTGCTGAAGACAGTGCAGGTGGGAAATCCCTCGCTCTTCTGGCACCTCCACAGCCTGGCCTTCCCTTCACCATTTTCTGACAGGTTTTCTCCACAACAACCTATTTTCTGCTTATCCAAGGTTCACACCCCCTCATGGATAAAAAGAAAATTTCAGGAGCCACTCGTGACTGGCAAGTGTGTAAAGCCTAAATGCTGGAAGGCACCCAAAACCGCGTTCATGTGCTGTTCCTGGTGGCCCGGGACGCCACGGTGAAGAGAGGCAGGCCACTCTGACCAACACACGGGCTGACATTTGAGCCAATTCCATGTTTGGGGTAAAAGGCGAGCTGGTGTGATGCGTGACTAAGCTAAGAGGAACAATCTCTCGGCTATCTGCTAACCACAGAGGCCTTTTCACCCAACCAGCACCTCCAGGGGTTAGAGTGGAGGGCGAAAAAGAACTTTCATATTTAGCCAAATCAACCCAGAAGGGAAGTGAAGAGCCAAGAGATAGGAGGACACAGTCAGCCCATCGGGAAGCATCGCGAAACTGCGGGCAAGGCTCAGGGGAGCGGCAGCCACAGAGAGGAGCCGCAGGCCCAGCACCCAGGACCAGGAGCAGCCTCCCCCATAAGGAAACACAGCGTTGGGGTAGCTCTCACATCAGCAAACCCCAAACCCATCCTGGGCGCCCCAACTGCCTCAGATGGAAAGAGGGGAACACCACCCTCAGGGGGAGCGCCCACCCACAGCCTCTCCTTCATGACCCTGCTGTTCCCATGTGTCGTCCCCAGGGCAGGTCAAGGGCCTGACCCCAGCCTTCCAGGACTCTCCTCTTCTGCAGCTTCAAGAGGGGTTCAAGTCCCCTCTGTGAGGAAGGCTCCGGTCTCACATCTACTTTCAACCCAGCCAACAGCAGGCTCTCTGTTGAATACGAGGGGGCTGAGTGCTCAGGGCTGAGGGAATAGCCAGTGCAAAGGCCCTGGGGCAGGGCAGGACCACGTCAAGAACAGTGTGAAGATGGCAAGCCAGCAGGCAGGGGCTTCCATGAACCCCCGATTGCAGGCCACTGCATCCCGCAGAAGCGCACGTGACAGGCGGTGCAGGGCGACCAGGGCCACTTGGAGAAGGCAACAAGGGAACAAGTGTGGGGGTTGACCCTCCAGCCACAGAGAACAGCCAATTCAGAGACTCAGTGGCAGGAACAAATGTGCTGGGCCCGAGGACAGCAAGCAAGCTGTGTAGCCAGAATCACCGGAGCCACCGGCAGCCTGACAGCTTGGGAGACTTCAGCCACGACAAGAAGCGGGAAAGAGAGCTTTTCAGGTGTCATGTGGGAATGTGCATGGCCATTTCCTCTGCTGTCCCTGGGAGGCCACCGCCCATCAAAGGTGATGCTGCGACTGAGCCGGATGCATGAGGACACGTCTGCAGCCTCCATGTCCTGCCCTGTAGTTCACACTACCCTCCCACGCCAGGCTTCTTTGATCACCAAGGGCCCACTCTGGCACCTAGGACAACATTGCTGCTAAAGAGGTTAGCTCCTCAGTCCAACTCACCTGGTCACCCTGGCCACTCCCCATCTGGCCTCCAGCCTCGCCTCCTAGCCTCCTTGCTGGCTGCCCTGCTTTCTTTCTCACCCACCTCTGACTCTGCTCCTGACAGCAGCCAGTCCTTTTAACCCAGTCTCAACATGTCACTCCCCGACACAGGAGCATCCAGTGGCTTTCCATCACACTGAGGACAATCCAGGGTTGACACCACAACTGCCAGTTCCAGGATGGCCTGCCCCCTGCGCCCCTCTGAGCACCTGTCCCCACCCCTACTCTCTGGGTAGCTCTACTTTGCACACGCCGATCTCCCTGCTTTCCGCAAACGCTTCCTGTCCTGCCCTGCCTCAGGGCCTTTGCACTGGCTGTTCCCTCAGCCCTGAGCACTCAGCCCACCGTGCTCAAGTGGCTCTCTCTCCATTCGGATCTCTGCTCAAGTGCGACCCCTCAGAGAGGCCTTCTTGCCCTCCCTGACCAGCGTTTGGAGTCCAGTGCTGTGCATCCTTTGCTGTCCATCCTTTCACTCAACACACAGCCTATCCAACAGCTACTTCCTCTTCCCTCAGCTCAAATCAGTCCCGTGAGGGCAGGAACCTTGTCCATTTGGTCCTAACATGTATCCCACTGCCTAGACTTGTAGGACTCAACCAACTGGGGGCAATACTGACCCCCAGGGGACATTTGGCCATGTCTAGAGACATTTTTTGTTATTACAACTGGGAGATGGGGTGCCACTGGCATCTAGTGGATGGTGGCCAGGGATGCGGCTCAATACCCTACATTGCCCAGAACAGCCCCCCATAAAAATGAATCATCTGGACCCTAACGTCCACAGTGTCAAGGTTGAGAAACCCTGGCCTAGACGCACAGACCCAAGGAATATTTGCTGAATGAAGAAGTAATTAAGGGGCCGGGAGCAGTGGCTCAAGCCTATAATCCCAGCACTTTGGGAGGCCGAGGCGGGCACATCCCCTGAGGTCAGGAGTTCGAGACCAGCCTGGATAACATGGTGAAACTCGTCTCTACTAAAAATACAAAAATTAGCCAGGCGTGGTGGTGCGTGCCTGTAATCCCAGCTACAAGGAGGCTGAGGCAGGAGAATCACTTGAACCTGGGAGATGAAGGTTGCAGTGAGCCGAGATCAAGCCACTGCACTCCGGCCTGGGCAACAAAGAGAGATTCCATCTCAAAAAAAAAAAGAAAAGAAATGAAAGTCATTTAAAAAAATACTTATCACAAAAAAAAAAAAATTCCTGCACATAAAAAAGCCACCCACTGAAAATGTGGTTAAACAAAGGTCTTGTTACCAAGGGAAAGTGTGTATGGGGGAAGGGATAGGAGGGGGGACTGTCCCCACACACCTCTTCCCCCAGGTTGGTAGAAGAGATGCGTCATCACACTAAACCCCTTTGGTCTGCTACTGCAAGGCTGACAGGTGGAGAGGAGGCAGGTAAGGCGAGGACCTCTGGGGCAAAGTGGCTGGGGCCTCTGGCCCATGTGATGGGGGCACCTGGAGCACAGGTTAAGCCCTGGGCTTCACCCCCAGACCTATTCAGTCAGAATCCCCAGTGTGTCTAAGGGTTTACATTTCTTTTCTTTTTTTCTTAATTTTTTATTATGAACATTTTCAATTACACAGAACATCATCCAGAAGAATCCAGTGAATAACACCAATCAGACTGAACAGTTGTTCACATTTGGCTCTATCTGCTTTATCTCTTTCTCTCTCTTCATTTAACTGAACCATTTAAAAGTAAATTATTGATCTTGAAGCCTGATCTTCAAAGTGTCATCTGGGGACTCCTTGGGCTCCCCAAGTCCCTTTAAGGGAGTCCATGATGTCAAAAACATTTCACAATATTCTGACATTGTTATTTGCCTTTTTCTAAGTTCATTCTCTCATGAGCATACAATGGAATTTTCCAGAGGCTACATGACATGCGATATTGAAACAGATTGAATGTAGAACCAAGTATGAGAATTCATCTGTCTCCTATTAAGTCATACATTAAAGAGATCTCAAGAAAACATCAAAAAAAGAAAAAAAGTAAATGACTGCTACCATGACACTTCATCTCTAAACACTTTAGTATACATCTCTAAACAAGAAGACTTTTCTACATAAACACATGTATTAGCTATCTATTGCTGCCTAACAACTTACCCCAAAGCATAGCAGCAGGACACAAACATCTATCATGTCACTGTTTCTGTGTCAGGAACCCTGGAGTGGCTTAGCTGGTGCCTCAGCTCAAGGTGTCTCACAGGGCTGCAAGCATCTCAAGACTCAACTGCGGCCAGGCGTGGTGGCTCATGCCTGTAATCCCAGCACTTTGGGAGGCCAAGGTGGGCGGATCACCTGAGGTCAGGAGTTCGAGACCAGCCTGTCCAACATGGCAAAATCCCATCTCTACTAAAAATACAAAAATTAGCCAGCCGTGGTGGCGTGTCCCTGTATTCCTAGCTACTAGGGAGGCTGAAGCATGACAATCGCTTGAACCCAGGAGGCGGAGGTTGCAGTGAGCTGAGATCGCTACCACTGCACTGCAGCCTGGGTGACAGACCGAGACTCTGTCTCAAAAAAAAAAAAAAAAAAAAAAGACTCAACTGGGCCTGAAGGGTCTGCCTCCGAGCCCGCTCACACCCTCACACCGTCAGCGGGTCTCAGTTCTTCTCAGGCTGTTGGAATGGACCTCGGGTCCTCACCACGGCAGATGGACCCTTTTGTAGGGCTGATCACGACATGGCAGCTTCAGTGTAAGCAACCCAAGAGAGAAAACACACCCCAGGCAGAAGCCCCTTTACACCCTCATGGTGGAAGTGCCTCTCCCCCACCCCTTGCTAGACGTATTCATTGGAAGTTCATTACTTGGTCCAGACCAAACCCCAGGGGAGAGGGTGATGCCAAGTTGCAGCTGCCAGGGGTGGGGATCACTGCATCTGTCCGAGGGGCTGCCGAACACATCACAGACTGTCACATCTAATCAAAGCAGCAGCAGTCTCCTAGTGTCACCTAATAGCCAGTCACATCAAAGCATCTCCAGGCATCCCCAAAATGCCTGTTACACGTTTGTTTGGGCCGAATCCAATCGAGGGCCACAAGTGATATTTGGCTATTCCGTCTCTTAAGTCTCGTTTGATGGAGAATACCCCACCTCCCTTTTTAAAAATTTCTTTCATGATATTACCTTGTTGAAGAGACAAGGCCAGATGGCTCATACAGAGCACCAAGCCCACTGGAGGCACACAGGAGCGTGACAGGCCTGCCCTGGGATGTCCGTGGACTGAAGCCTGTGAGGACAGTGGCGTGGGGAGTGGATGGAGCCAGCTGCTCTCACCCTAGCCCTCTGCACAGTGGGTCTTCCTCACCGAAGGCCAACCTCCCCCACCAGGGCTTTCCTATCTCCCCCCAGGAGACCATTTTCATGGTGCCAGGAAAGATGAGACAGACAGAGAGAGAGAGAGAGAGAGAGAGAGAGAGAGAGAGAGCAAGCTGATGGCAACGGAAAGGGAACCCAGGGGAGGGACACATCAAAGTCCAAAGCCTGGGGCACAAGGAAATGTTTTCTGGCCATTCTAAGCACCCCACCACCACCACATACACACACATAGTAAACATGTCCCCCCCTTGCTATGCTGCTGCCACCCCCGCTTCCTGTCTCTTGGGAGTTTCCCAGCCTGCAGACCCTCTCACTTCCATCCGTCCCTCCCCAACAGCCAAGGAAGCAGAGTCAGCAAGCACGGTTGGCCCCACTTTACAGATCCGACAGCAGCTCTGCAGGGTGAAGTGATGCAGCCACGGTCACCCTCCTAGGTGTCAAAGCCAGATCTTTAGTCCTGGACTGAAGCTTAAAGCATGCGACCATGTCTGCCCAAGCGAGTGTCCGTGTCGCTGGTGGTGCGGGCCATTTGTGTTTGCCTCCTCCTAGCTGCATAGACATTACCACCCTCTCGTCCTCACCACGTCCCCCACCAGCACCAGATGTCGTGTCGTTTCATCCTCACAACACCTCCGAGTGGACACTGTTATTCTCATTTTTGCAGACAAGGAAATGGACTCTCAGCTGTTAGGTCTAACCCAGGGTTAGACTACGTCCAGGGACGTGCTCCAGGTCTGCTGAGCACGAAGCCCCGGCAGGTTTCCACACACGTTCATCTAGTGCTCTGTTTTTTTCCTCTTTCCCTAACACTCTCCTTTCTGCCAAGCTCGCCTCCCAGCTACAAATGGCATACAAACAGCTCCTCCCCTTTTCACAGAAGCTATTTCTGGAAATTCACAGCATAAAAACGCCTTCACATTGTGTTTTCCAATATATGTGATATTAAGAAAGGGAATCAGATTTCTGATCAAGGGCTTGGCATCAAACCAATCATAAGAAAATGAATTCTTGGAGCCCGAAGAAGAATATTTCGAGATCATCTCAATCAGTGGTTCTCAACAGGGGGCAAGGGAGCCCTCAGGGGACATTTGGCAATGTCTGGCAACATTTTTGATTGTCACAACTGGGGGCTGGGAGGGGGAAGTGCTACTAGCATCTAGTAGGTGGAGGTCGGAGATTCTGCTAAACATCCTACAATGCACAGGACAGCCTCACCACAAGGAGTTATCTGGCCCCAAATGCCAGTAGTGCCAAGGTTGAGACACCCTGACCTAAATCCCTTTGTTACTTTGAGGACGAGATAGTCGAGGCCCAAAGACACTAAATGACATATCCAAGGCTGCACAGTCACAAAGCCAAAAGTGGAATCTAGGTCTGTATTAGATCCACCTCTATCATCTGCTTTGCTCTATCTAGGGTTGGGCTGGAGGAGAAGGGAGGGCGGGGACCCGGGGATCTTAATTTGTGTAACCAAACTGAACCAAAGGAAGAAAATTGCAATAAACAAGTTACTAAATTACTGCAGCAACACATCTGGGTGTCCCAAATTCTGAAAGAAATGCCTCCTTCAATTATTGATGGAAATAGCATTGCTTTACAGGCCCCCCAACGTTGCTGGTTGGTCAAATTATTCATGATGTGAGTTCCAATACAGTTTAGTGACAACAAAGCTTCCAGAAGGGTCAGGTTTTAGAGGGGAAAATAATGCCACATTCTCCCCCTAAGGGTGCCCCCACACGTCCTGGCTGTAGTTTCTTCCTGACCCCGAGAAAGGCATGTAAACGCTCTAGAAACAGTCCATTAAAATCCCCCACCCACTGTCATGCTAGAACTGAAGTCACCTGACCCCTCCATCTGGCGCTGTCATCAAGCCTCTCCATTCAGCAAGCGAATTATCAGCGAGAGAATTAACAAGAACTCTGGGAATTCTTAGGTTTTGGTGTTATCTCCACCCCCACTCTCTGCTAAAGATCATTTGGTTCTTAGAGATGTAGCTGTCTCTTACGCTCACATGTTATCTTTGGAAGCTGCAATTTATTTTTATTGTATTGGATACCGTTCTTTTTTAATCTACTTAAAACACCTGGAAGGAAAAAAAAAATACGTTTCTGACGTATGCCCTGTAAATGCTGGAACCTTGCAAAATAATGCAAAGCAATTTAGATTGCACATCTGGCTCTTAAATTGCTAACCAAGAAGTTTCCACTCCCCAGCCCGCTTTTGCTTTGAAAGAAATGAGGCTAATTACTGAGGACAAAGGCCTGTAATTAGTAAACATGTCGTTATTTAAGAAGCAGAATGACACTAGGAAAACACTTGATAGTTACCTCTTAAAAGCCCCTCTGTCTACTTAGAATGCATGCAGTGTGGTCACTTCAGATTTTGTTCCCCCGCCGGAGCGGTTTTTTCCCTCCCCCGTCTTTCTGTCTGGCCCCTGCCCGCTTTCTCGGGGCGGGCACGCCAAGACCCAAGTCACGCGTGGGCCTGCCACGGGCCATCCCCGGCCGGGTGCATGCAGCTGCAGCAGGCAGCTGTGGGCAGCAGGCGCCGCAGCAGCCAGAGGCCCCACTTTGGGTTTCTGGGGGCGCAGCCGGGCTGCAGGCCCGCGGGCCGGGCTCCACCTGCAGCGTCCGCGCTGCCGGGGGCGCCGGGGAGGGCATCCAGGCGCCGCGCGCCCCTTACCTGCAGTGCCGCATCGCGCCCGCGGCCGCCCACCTGGACAGCATCCTCGAGCATCCTTTCTTCAGCGCGACGGCTGCGAGCGCCGTGACATCACCAGGAGGCGGGCCCCACGCTGCCACGTGACGCCCTCGGGGCGAGGCAGGGAGGTGTGCGCGGGGTGGGGGGAAGACCCTGGAAGTCCCGGGAGGTGAGGGTCGATGGCCAGAAACCCTCGCGCTGGCCGCCCCTCAGGCGTTTCGCTTGATGTGTGCAGCTTGCCTGGCCTTTCGCGAAGAATTATGAAAAACAACACACAGGAGGAGAAATCCAAATTATTACAGGCTCCAAGCGAGTAATAGGATTTCAAAAGAATTAGCAATAAAGGGATTACAGTGAAAGGAAATACAATTTCATGTTTTATTTTAAAACTAGTATTTATCAAATGCAGTGGAGAAATAAACATTTTGTGCAAATCAAAATGACACAAAATATAGCATGGACATACTTTGCCTAGAGTTTCTATGTTTCAAGCCGTATATCGAGTATTATACCAAACACTTTAGTTCAAAGCAATTCATTATGGAACATTATACTAATTGCACGGATGAATAATGCTTTAATTACTCTGAATAGCTGCATTCCAATATTAATTTGTATTTGCCAAAGGAAAAAATGGTGACACCACGTATTTCTACTACTTACTTAAATATGTGATGATTTAAAATAAAGCACTGCTACGTGAGCATGGTTGTATTTGTGTCTCTGTTTTCTTACATCTTCTGGCAAGGCATTTAATCTCTGAGACATGACTTAATTCACAATAACTCATTATTTCACATTTTCTAATCTTTATCACATTCTGAAGAAGTGAGTCATTTTACTATCACAGAAAATATGTACAATGTCAACATTTCTCATTCACAACTGAAACAGCCTTGCCTAGAAAGACTTTAGAAAATTACAACTGTGATAATTTTGTAAATTTGAAATAGCGTATTTCAAACTTAAGCAGTGCACATATAAACTTTTCTTTTGCCAAAATACACAAGCGTTTTTGAAATGTAAAAGGACAAAAGCAAAGACTGCTTTTATTTGTATTCCAATTGCAAATAGATTCATTTACTTTCACTTGAGTTAAAAATCACAATTTTAACATTCCCTTTGCTCACAGCCCTGAAGGAGACATGAAATAGATTGTTTTACAAGCAGGCTAGAGTTAAGTTTACTTGCAGTTTATTCCATCAGCTTTCGTGTCCTTCTATATTTAACCCTGGCCCTTATACCGTGATTCCCTCCAAATTAACCAAATTTCTGTTCAGAAGGTTAATCTCTAATTTGGGGATAAATACAGCCCTTGACTCTCACAGCGATCAATTATTTTCAACACCAGATTTTAAAAATCAACAAAGTCGCAGTGTACTTTACTAGGTCACTCCTCTCAAATTTGTTTTTCTGAGTGATAAGCAGCTTACCTTCCGCTTTCAGATTCTGAGATAAAGTTAAAACGCTACCGAAATCTCCTGCTCCTTTGGGTTGAGGGTCTAATGGAGGCAGAAACTGACAAGCTCATTTTCCTGCCAGAGGCAAATGTCGATTTCAGCCCGGAGGGCCCCGGAGGCCGGCTGGGAGCATCACGTGCTCGGCCCAGCCACTCAGCCCTGCCCAGCCAGCCTGGTCACCTCTTGGCTCCGGAGCCCCGCCGTGCCAGTGTCATTCGCCTCCTACCCCCGGAGCATTCGTGTCCAGAGAAAACCCGGCGTCCCGGAGACAGGACGCCCCACCCTCAGGGGCTGGGCTGCACGGAATTCTGTGACCGGATTTTCCAGCATCAATGGGAGGTGGTGGGTATACAAAATGCCCTGCAGCCTGAAGAGGATGGTAGCACGGTGCAGACAGCCTTGCTCCGTATTCCGGCTTGGCTGAAATGACGAAATACAGGCAACCTTCTTCATCCTGGAGCAGTTTTTTTGCAGTAGGTTAGTTTCACCTTCTCTTTTTTCTAGGTGATTGCTCAATTGTAAAAAACATTGCAGCAAACCGGCAATTCAGACAAGGCCCAGAACTGGGCCAAGCAATTCTCAACAGAATGAGAGAGCTGTCTGAACACCCTCCACCCTCGCCTTTCAAATTGTCATTTTAGCCAAGATTAAAAAACAAAACCAAAAAAAGCAAAAACCAATACCACCCATGGGAATGTAAGTTGAGCAATCTTTCTGGTGGTCTGTTTAGCATTTTTCCTACCAAATGCCTTACAGATACACAGTTTCGCCAATTACTCCGGGCCCTACAGCTGTTGGTATCATGTGCTCCAGCAACTTGATGTCCAAGAATTTGTCCTGGGGTGTGGGGAGTGGGGGTGGGGGGAAGAACGGTGTGCAAACCCCTGACTAGGGAAAGTTTGCTGCAATATTACTTATGATCTCAAAGCACTGGAAACAAGTTAAATCTCCAAAAACAGGGGATGTTTTAAATTATAAGCCATCTGTGCAGTGGAAGAATTAAAACTAATACGGTGGTACACACGGATGGAAAAAGACATGTGCAGCGGATTAAATGGGAAAAAAAATGGAAGCTTCAAAGCATTATGTGCTGAGTGATCCGTCGTTTCTATGTAGGTGTAATATATTTATATCTACACATATACCTTTGCGAACACAGAAAACTATTAGGAAATGAATTCACTAAAGTATCAAACATGGTATCTCACTGGTTAGTGGGATTAAGGGTGTTTTAAATTTTTCTTCTTTTAAGCTTAGAGATATCGTCTAATTTTTCCACAGTGAATATGTATTGCTTTTATAGCAACAAAAAAATTGTTTTCTTAAAAGCACCATATAGACATGATTATGGAATAAACAAACAGTTTTGGCTAATTTTTTAATGCAGATTTCATTACTTGAAGATCCTGAATTCTTAACCACAAAGTCCCGAGGGAACAATCCCTAGCCATCCTAGATTATTCTGCTCATGAAGATCTTTAGGAAAGAAAGTGCCATTCAGGGGCCGTTGTTAATATTTAACCATCTGTATGTCCAGTTTTAATTTCTCTTCCATTTAAACCTACTTCTTTTTACTTTGCTCTGTGTGGAGATAGAAAGCTGGTTATTACCATCCTTCATGAAAAGATTCTTTCAATAGTTACGGAATAATAACCTTTGAGTTTTTTGTTCATTCGAGACAGGGTCTCACCCTGTCTCCCAGGCTGGAGTGCAGTGGCACGATCATGGCTCACTGCAACCTCAAATTCCTGGGCTCAAGCAATCCTCCTGCCTCAGCCTCCCAAGTAACTGGGACTACAGGCTCTTTCCATTGTCTTCACAGATTTCTCTTTCCTATCCCTTTGAATCTTCTACATTTTTTCTCTTATCTGCCAGTTTTCTACAGATGTCATACAAGGTTTAGAACAGCGGTTCTTAATGGGGTGATGTTGCTCCCTTTCCCCCAGGGGACATTTTTGGCAGCCACAACTGAAGTGGGAGGAGCCGTGTGCTCCTGGCATTGAGTGGGTAGAGGCCAGGGCTGCTGCTGAACATCCTACAGTGCACAGGACAGCTCCCTCTCCACTCCTACCTCCCGGGACAATGAACATTTCGGCCCAAAATATCAGTACAATAGTGCTGAAGTCGAGAAACCCTGGTTTGAATTACTGATGGAGTATAATTTGATGCCCAAGATGTTCCATTTCCCAGCCATTTTCAAGAGTTCCCCATTGTATGATGTGCTGGAAGCTCTCTTCATTATAAATCCCTTAAAGGTAGTACTCCCAGCATGTGGGACGTGTCATTGCCCACCTGTGTGTGCACCACAAACCACCTCTGAAAAGAGACATCGGGAACTGCTAAGGGTGTTATCTCTAGGGAGGAAAACTGTGTGGCTTGGCACAGAGGTGGATGGGAAATTTTCATAGATTTGGATGCACTGTATATTTTTAAAACAGACATTTTCCCACCACTAAATTGTTAAAACTCACTATTCAATTATTCTATAAATGGTGGGTTTTACAAAACCTAGAGGTGAGGACCCTATTGCCTCTTTGTGTCCAAGCCCCCATATATATGTGTGTGTGTTTGTATATATATTATATATTATACATATATATTTTATATATATATATATATATATATTTTTTTTTTTAGACAGTCTTGCTTTGTCGCCCAGGCTACAGTGGTGCAATCTCAACTCACTACAACCTCCGCCTCCCGGGTTCAAGCGTTTCTTGTGCCTCAGTCTCCTGAGTAGGTGGGATTACAGGCGCCCACCACCACACCTGGCTAATTTTTGTATTTTTAGTAGAGATGGGGTTTCACTATGTTGCCCAGGATGGTCTCGAACTCCTGATCTCAACTGATCCGCCCGCCTCAGCACATGCACCCTGTAGAGAGTGCCTTCCTCTGCAGCATGTCATCTGATTCTCGCAGCAGCTGGTTAACAGGAGTAGGGCAGATCTGCTGTGCACCCATTTTGCAGACAGGCTCAGAGACAGCCCTGACATCAGCCTCCTGTTCTGATGGAGGCTGGAGCACCCTGGGGTCAGGCTAGGTCTTCTCTGGCCAGGACCCCAGCTTCTTCCCCAGGCGCCTCTGACCATCCCCTCCACCCTTCTTGGAGCCACAGCTTCCTGGGACCCTCTGGACAGCACTCACCAGCTTAGACCCAAATTATTTACTCGCATTAACCCCTGAGCTCCTGAGCTCCTGAGCTCCTGGAAGGACAGAGGGGAGCTGCATTTACCTGCTCTTTGAAAGCCCAGCATATAGCACTGTCTCTGGGATACAGTTTGTTACACCAGAACTAAAATTTTCCCAAATGTTCTCAGCCAACCGCTTTAATCATACACCATCTTGAAGTATTACATGGCTGTATTGCAGTATTACTGCCTGTGCTATTTTGCCAAGCTTCTGCAAGCCCCACTTTTCCCTTCTGTAAAACAAGGAGAAGGAGGAAGAGTAATAGTATCCACCACTTGTAGCTGAGTGAGACGTAAGTGAGAGATCTGGAAAGAGCACAAGCAGTGCCTTATTATTAGAATTTGAGACACAAGAAAAGTTGTGTACCCCTAAATACAGTGATCAAGATACCCTCTTGTATTTTGAACCAAGTGAAAAAAGTCAGTAAAGACCCTACAACCGAAACACACACGCACAGAAACTATGTATAATGCTCCCCGTGGCCCAATTTATTTGCACCCACATAAACCTCCCCTTCAGATACCTCCTGGCCAAGTAACCCCTCGCTGATTGGAATTGACTATGCTCCCTTGCCCAACACTGAAGGGGAGTGAAACAAACCACAACAGCCTGTCCTTATTTAAAATGTTCATATCTTGTACATTGTAATTTTCTGCACTAATTTTGATTTTATAAATTATATATGTACATATATATGTACATATATATGTGTGTGTGTATATATATACATATATATGTGTGTGTGTATATACATATATATATATTTTTTTTTTTTTTTTTGAGATGGGGTTTTGCTCTCGTCGCCCAGGCTGGAGTGCAGTGGCATGATCTTGCCTCACTGCAACCTCCATCTCCCAGGTTCAAACAATTCTCCTGCCTCAGCCTCCTGAGTAGCTGGGATTACAGGTGCCTACCACCACACCTGGCTAATTTTTGTATTTTTAGTAGAGACGGGGTTTTGCCATGTTGGCCAGGCTGGTCTCAAACTCCCGACCTCAGGTGATCCACCCACCTCAGCCTCCCAAAGTGGTGGGATTACAGGCGTGAGTCACCGTGCCTGGCCAGTATATTATCTTGATTACTGATTTTTGTGGTGCCCTCTTACGTTTTGCACCCAAGGTAAGTGCCTCCCTCACCTCCTCCAAATTCCAGCCCTGAGTATCTGGTAAATTATTCTATAAATGGGGGATCTTATAAAACCTGGAGGTGAAGACCCTATTTCATCTATCTTTGTATCCTGAACTCCTTTACACCTGAATACACCATCTCCAATGAATGAATGAATGAATGAATGAGTTGCTTCCATACCTAGCTGGGGGCTATGCACATGGCCAGCATCCTAAAAGATTTGGGGAATAAGTAAGTGACATGGGATATAAGAATATGCAATCCAGCCTTTTCTAGGCATTCTGGGCTGTGTTCACAGATCTCAGCAGACATCCAAAAGCTGCAAACTCAGACCCCATTGCCCTGACATCGATCCAAAGTGACAGCCTTGACTGACGTGACAAACAACAGCTTTGAAATCCCTCTGCTTTTGCAGTGGAGTGGAGTTGTTGTCAAGGACATTGTCTGTGCTGGGAAGCCTGAGAAAAGAGCCCGTGTAGCTCTAAGGCCTAAGAGAAGTGTTGCCATCCCTTAAAAAAACCATATGGTGCTTTTCCTCTCTGACAATAAGAACTGTGGAGCTGCCACTGTCTCCTTTTTCTCTGTGAGTGCCAGGAGACTCAGATGTTGCCAAGGCAATTCAGTAGGCCTGTCTCCTCCAGTAGGCATATGCACAGTGGCATGTCAGTCATCGTTAAATAACCCAGCTCTCCAAGGGTGGGGCATGGGGAGGGAGGCTTGATTTGTAGCTTGTGCTGATTCTCCTGGTGTAAATTCTCCTGCCATGCCTTGCTTCGAACTACTGAATGGGGAGCTGGAAACTGATGCACGATAGCCATCATTGGACAGCATCTCCACCACGCACAGACAGAAGTCAGTTATCTTATTGCACCTGGACAGTGAACAGCTTTTCTCACCCAGGACCTGGCCTCTGAGAAAAGCTGCTCCTTGTCCAGGTGCCTTGGGTTGGAAATGGGATTTTTCTAGAATTGCACTGCTCTATGGTAGCCACTAGACACAGTTACTATTTACATGAAAATGAATTTAACTTAAAAGTTCCAATTCAGTCCCTCAGTCACACTAGCCACATGTCAGATGCTCAAGAGCTACATGTGGCTTGTCACTACGGTATTTTAGCGCAGATATAAAACAATTCCATCATTGCAGATAATTCTATTGGATGATGCAGTAAAATATTTCTTTTAAACGAACTCCATTGCAATAAAACAATTTGTGTTTATTACTCATGGGATTCTGCCTGTAATTGCAGGGTAGAAACAGCAATCTGGCCAGAGCGTCTGTTAGTGGGAACAATGGAAAGGCACAGATTCCAGAAGGCCGTGTGCCTCTAGCCACAGGTCTCAGACAAGATGCTTCCAAATGCCACTGAATGTGCAGCCTCTGCCGTTGGACTTCACCAGGAGCCTGGGAATCTTCTAAGAGGGGAGCGTCTGATCACTTGTTCCAAAGCAAAACTTGAGATGCATGCCGGAGTACATACATACTGAATACAGGAACCGGCCCTTCAAAGCTCAGTGCTTCTAGGGTGGGCTGGAGAATGACCTCCCCAAAGATGTTCACCCCCTTATTCCCAGGACCTGTGAAGATGTTGCTTTACGTGACAAAAGAGATTTTGCAGATGTGATTAGATTAGGGATCCTAAGATCGTGGGGAGATGATCCTGGGTGGCCCCAGTGGGCCCAGTGTCGTCACAAGGATCATTATAAAAGGGAGGCAGGAGGGTCAGAGTCAGAGAAGATTGGCAATGGAAGCAGAGATCAGAGAGGGAGATTTGAAGCTGCTACACTGCTGGCCTTGAAGATGGAGGATAGGGCCATAAGCGAACAAATGCAAGTGGCCTCTAGAAGCTGGAAGAGGCCAGGAAACAGAATCTCTCCACTAGCCTATGGAAGGAACACAGCCCTGCTGGCACTTGATTTTAGCCCATTCACACCCAGTTTAGACTTCTACCCTCCAGAAAAGGAAAAGGATGAATATGTGTTGTTTTAAGCCGCTAAGTACAGCAGCCATTGGAAACGAACAGAGCCTTGGCTCATTGATTCATCCGATTCCTATTTACGGAGCCCTCCGTCTGCACCAGGCAGAATGCAAGGCCCGAGGGTCAGCCACGCTCGGGAGTGACTGTGTCCCTCTGCTGAGTCCCTCTTACAGTCCATGGGGAAGACAGTCATGAAACAGGTCTTCCCAATCAAGAGTGGGGAATCCCTGATGAGAGAAGTGTTGAGTGATGTGGAAAAATACCGCTAGGGGTTGAATTATGTACTCCCAAATTCATATGTTGAAGTCTCAACTCCCCAGTACCTCAGAATGTGACTATATTTGGAGATAAGTTCTTTAAAGAAGTGGTTATGTTTTCACATCAGGCCGCTAGGGTGGGGCCCTAGTCCCATCTGACTGGTGTCCCTATGAAAAAAAAAAAAGGAGACCCCAGGGTCATGCATGCAGAGTGATGACCACGTGAGGAGGCAGCAAGCTGAGGGGAGAGGCCTCGGGAAACCAGCCTGCCAGTGCCTTCATCTTGAACTTCCAGCCTCCAGTGAGAAAATCAATGTCTGTTGTCGAAGCCACCCAGTCTGTGGGACTTGGTTACGGCAGGCCTAGCGAACTCATACACGTACATAAAGCAGAGGGGCCAAATTTCTTCAGGGATGGAGACCACTTCCGGCCTCCTTGAGAAAGTCATGGTTAAGCTATCCAAGGACAAGTGGGAGTTAGCTCAAGTTGGGGACTGTGGAAGAGTGGACCAGAGAGAAGACAGGGAGTGCCCATAGGTAGCCAGGAGGGAAAGGCCTTCTTTCTGCTACAGCAACTGCAACAAGTAAAATTTGGCCACAGTAGCATTGCTCAAAGTTATTTTTGCCTTTTGTTTGTTTGTTTGTTTTTGAGACAGAGTTTCACTCTGTTGCCCAAGCTGCAGTGCAGTGGCATGATTTCAGCTCACTGCAACCTCCATCTCCAGGGTTCAAGTGATTCTCCTGCCTCAGCCTCCCAGGTGGCTGGGATTACAGGCGCCCACCACCACGCCCGGCTACATTTTTGTATTTTAATGGAGACAGGGTTTCACCATGTTGGTCAGGCTGGTCTCAAACTCCCGATCTCAGGTGATCCACCTGCCTTGGCCTCCCAAACTGCTGGGATTACAGGTGTTAGCCACCATTCCCAGGCTAAAAGGTTTTTTGTTTGTTTGTTTTGAGACATCCAGAGTAATGAGTGTCTTTTGTATGCGAAAGAGATGATGGTAGCTGAGGGCCCTAGGTAGCCTCAGGATAGGGGCTGGTCACCAGTCACCAGAAAGACCAAGGCAAGATAACAGATTGGGGACTTTTAACCCCACCTCCTTGACCTCCGGGGAGGGGAGAGGGGCTGAAGCTTGAGTTTATCACCAGTGGTCAATGATGTAATCAATCATGCCTATGCAATGGAACCTCCATAAAAACCAAACACCACATGTTCTCACTCATAGGTGGGAATTTAACAATGAGAACACATGGACACAGGGTGGGGAACATCACACTCCGGGGACTGTTGTGGGGTCGGGGGAGGGGGGAGAGATAGCATTAGGAGATATACCTAATGTAAATGACGAGTTAACGGGTGCAGCACACCAACATGGCACATGTATACATATGTAACAAACCTGCACATTGTGCACATGTACCCTAGAACTTAAAGTATAATAAAAACAAAACTTCAGTAACAAACAAACAAACAAAAGCCCACAAAAGGACAGGGTTTTCCGTGGGCTTCCAGATAGCTGAATACACAGAGGTTCCTGGAGGGTGGTGCCTAGGGAAGGGCATGGAAGCTCCGTGCCTTGCCTTCCATACCTTCCACATCGCTTCCATCAGGCTGTACATCTGTATCTTTGGTAATATCCTTTATAACAAATGGCTAAACATGTTTCCCTGAGTTGTGGGACCACTCTAGCATGTCAGTGAACTTGAGGAGGGGGTCATGGGAACCCCCATTGTATAGCCAGTCGGTCAGAACCACAAGCCACAACCTGTGCTTTTCATTTTTGTTTTTTGAGACAGATTCTCACTGTGTCACCCAGGCTGGAGTACAGTGGTGCAGTCTCGGCTCACTGCAACCTCCGCCTACCGGGTTCAAGTGATTCTTCTGCCTCAGCCTCCCGAGTAGCTGGGACTGCAGGCGTATGCCACCATGCCCAGCTAATTTTTGTATTTTTAGTAGAGATGGGGTTTCACTGTGTTGGCCAGGCTGGTCTCGAACTCCTGACCTCGTGATCTGCCCACCTCGGCCTCCCAAAGTGCTGGGATTACAGGCGTGAGCCACCGCCCCGGCCACTTTTTTTCTTCAAGACAGGGTCTCACTCTGTCACCCAGGCTGGAGTGCAATGGCATGAACACGGCTCACTGCAGCCTTGACCTCTGGGGCTCAAGCTCAGCCTCCTGTGTAGCTGGGACCACAGGCACATGCCACCATGCCCAGCTAACTTTTTGTATTTTTTTTGTAGAAACGGGGTCTCGCTATGTTGCCCATGCTGGTCTTGAACTCCTGGGCTCAAGCGGTCCTCCCACCTCAGCTTCTCAAAATGCTGGGATACAGGCATGAGACACCACACTCGGCCTCAACATCTTATTTAATGGGGAAACACTAGTTTTTCCACCAAAGTCTGAAAAAAGGTAAATAGCCTTGCATGTATGTGTATTTATCTTATTGTTATTTTCTGTCTTTATGCAGACAAAGACAGAAAACAAAATAGACAAAAACTCATGAAGAAATATCCAAAATACATACGAGTAAAACTATAAAGCATTCCTGAAAGGCACAAAATTAGTCTTGGACAAATGGAAATACACTCTTGGATAAGAGGATTCAACATCATAAAGATTGCGGTTCTCCCAAATTTGTACGTTTAATGCAATTCCAGTAGATTCATAATTTTTTTTCCCTGGAGCTAGACAAGATAATTATAAAATTCATTTGAAAGAACAAATAAGCAAGAATATCCAGGGAAGCCCTGAGAAAGAAGAAAGGAAGGAGGGCTAGCCCTAACTGATATTAAAACTTACCAACAAGCCTCTATAATTAAAGCAGCTTTGCTCATAAGCACAAATTTTGATTGTGCTGAGATGCTTTCTCACCTCTGCAACTGGCAAAGACTCACAAATGTGACACCATTCTATTGCTGAGGTTGTGAGGGAACTGTCTCATACATTGCTGGTGAGAATACAAAATGGCAAAGTCCCCGTGAGAAAAATGCAGCAACACCCAGCAACATGCCGCATGCATTACTGTTGACCCAGAGATCCCACTTCTTGGGATGTATCTCACGAAAACCCTGGCAAAGGCCGGGCAGGGTGGCTCACACCTGAAATCCCAACACTTTGGGAGATCGAGGCAGGAGGATAGCTTGAGACCAGGAGTTGGAGACCAGCATGGGCAACACGGCAATACCGTTTCTATCAATAAAATAAAAAAAGAAACCCTGGCAAAAATGTGAAAAGATGTCTGCAGAAGACTTTCATTGTTGAATTATTATTTTTTGAGACGGAGTCTCGCTCTGTCGCCCAGGCTGGAGTGCAATGGCACGATCTCGGCTCACTGCCACCTCTGCCCCCCAGGTTCAACCGATTCTCCTGCCTCAGCCTCCTGAGTAGCTGGGATTACAGGTGCACGCCACCATGCCCAGCTAATTTTTGTATTTTTAGTAGAGATGGGGTTTTACCATGTTGGTCAGGCTGGTCTCAAACTCCTGATCTCATGATCTGCCCACCTGGGCCTCCCAAAGTGCTGGGATTACAGGCATGAGCCACCGCGCCCGGCCTGTTCAATTATTTTTAATAGTATGACTAGAAACAACCAGAAGATGGTTGAATAAACAATGGTACATCCACTAATGTTGTGTGCAAAGGTAAAATGAAAAGAACACTTACACATACCTTTGGGGGATATGGGGATGGGGTGAATGTATTTTGCTTGTGGGTTGGATGTGAATTTGGAGGGGGGGGATGCAGAGGACAGATCATAGTGGATTGAATGGTGGGCCTAAAGATATGTCTACCTGGAACTTGGGAACGTGACCTTATTTGCAAAGAGTCTTTGCGGAGGTAATTAAAGACCTGGAGATGCGATCATCCTGGATTAACCGGGTAGGCCCTAAATCCAATGGCAGATGTTCTTGTAATAGAGAGAAGACAGGGAGAAACGCAGAGAGAACGGTGATGTCACGATGGGGCCAAGACTGGAGTCATGTTTCTTGCACAAGCCAAGGATTGTCAGCAGCAGCAAGAGCCGGAAGAGGCGGGAAGGATCCTCCCCTAGGGCCTTTGAAGAGAGTGTAGCCCTGGTGACACTTTGATTTAGCACTTTTGGCCTTGAGAACCGTGAAATAAATTTTTGTTAAGCTACCAAGCTTGTGGTAAATTGTTATAGCAGCCAATACAGACTTTGGTGGTCTCTGGGATATATCTATTTTTCTTTTTTTAAAGAAATGCAGTCTCACTACATCGTCCAGGCTACTCTTGAACTGCTGGTGTCAAAGGATCCTCCCACCTCAGCCTCCCAAGTAGCTGGGACTACAGGTGTGCACCACCACCATTGGCTGGGATATACTTTTAAGTGAAAAAAGCCAGGTGAAGAAAAGTATGTTTTTATGCTACCATTTGCCCAAGGAGAGAAAAATACAAATATAGATGTGTTCATATTTGTGTAGTCATGTGTATATGTGTAAATGCACACATGTATATATTTGTATGTACACACTTACATATTTATATACCTGCTTATATTTTAAAATAACAATGCAAGGAAAAACAGTAATCTCTTTTCAATGGTTACCTGTAAGGAGAGGGGAAAAAATAGGGTAGAGGCAAGAATAAAAATCTGACTCTGTGGGGCGTGGTGGCTCACGCCTGTAATCCCAGCACTTTGGGAGGCCAAGGCAGGCAGATCACTTGAGGTCAGGAGTTTGAGACCAGCCTGGCCAACATGGTAAAACTCTGTCTCTACCAAAAACACAAAAATTAGCTGAGCATGGTGGCACACACCTGTAATCCCATCTACTCCAGAGGCTGAGGCAGGAGAATCACTTGAACCCGGGAGGCGGAGGCTGCAGTGAGTTGAGACCGCGCCACTGCACTGCAGGCTAGACAACAGAGCAAGACTCCATCTCAAAAAAAAGCCAGACATAACTACAATGAGATACCACTTGGCATCCCCTAAGATAGCTATAAGCAAAAGGACATAACAAGTGTTGGCCAGGATGTGGAGCAACTGCCGGTAGGAATGGGAAATGGCACAGCTGCTTTGGAAACAGTCTGGCAAGTCCTCAAAGAGTTAAATATGGAGTTACCATGTAACCCAGTGATTCCACTTTTAGGTATTGACCTAAGAGAAATGAAAACATATATCCACAGAAAAGCTTAAATGTAAAAGTCCATAGCAGCATTATCCATAATGGCCAAAAAGTGGAAGCAAAGTGTCCATCAACTGATAAATGAAGAAAATGTGGCCTGTCCATGCAATGGAAGATGATTCAGCCATAAAAAAGAATGAAGTCTCAACACACACTACAACACGGATGAATCTTGAAAGCATTATGCTAAGTGAATGAACCCAGACACAAAGGCCACATGTTATGTCATTGATATGAAATGTTCAGAACGGGCAAATGTGTAGAGACAGAGAGGTCAGTGGTAGCTGGGGTCTCAGAGGATTGGGGAGCAACTGCTAATGAGTCTGAAGGCTTTTTTGGGGGGTGATGAAAACGTTCTAAAAATTGTGATATTTGCACGACTCTGAATATACTAAAACCACTGAATTATACATATTAAATGGGTGAATTGTATAGCATGTGAATTATGTATCAAGAAAAGCTATTACCAAAAAAGAAAAACACAGACAAAAAAAATCCCAATAAGTGAATCATGTTTAGATTCTGTTCAAAGAGTTAAAGAATGACACAAGATAAATGGGAGAGAAAACCTTGGCTATTTGGTAACAGTAAGGAATTATTAAATGCTAAGATGTGATAAGGTTATTATGTTTTTCTCTTTTAGCAATACATATTGAAATATTTAAAGATGAAATGATAAGCTATATGGGCTTTGCTTCAAATTCTAAGAGGAGGAGGTGGGCTGGAGGGTAAAGGAGAGGGCAGCCGTGAATGATCGTGTTGAAGCTGGGTGAGCGCTGCGTTCAGCTATTTTCTCTGATTTTATACCTCTGTTTTTATGCTTGAAAAACACACATTTTTATATATTTAAGCTTCCATAATTAAACATTCTTTTTCCATAAAGCCACACATTTCCACTCTGTTCTTAAGGCAGGTTAGTTTAATTTTATAGAAGAAATATTTTTCAAACAGTACAAATGACACAATTAGAGAGAAAAGAGTGACAAAAAACAAAGAGATGAATACTGATTATAACTTATTCCCACAACAGAAGGCTACTTATTTCTACAATTATCAATCAAAGCCTGACAATTCAGTGATTAGATGAAGTGAAAGCCAAATTCCCTTTTACATGTGGTACTATTTCAAAAGAACCCTGGTGGCAGGATCCTGATGGTTTTGAGACCAGAACTGCTTCTAAAACCTGGCAGCGTTTTTTTGTTTTGTTTTTATCGCGAGGCCTGGTAGATGGACAGATTGAAACATAGATGGAAACACCTAGGACTTCACTTTTCTGGCATGTGGGGTATTTTCTGGGGTTGGCGTGGCAGTCTGAACTAGTCAGAAGCTCCAAGACCACGTCATGAATGACAAGCAACATAGGGCGCTTGGTGTCCTTCTGCCTGCTCAGGCCACCTCCACTGCCTGCATCTGCACCTGCAGAGAACTGCGCGGCTCTCTGGCCTTCCTTTGTCTTTTCTTTCCTTGTCATGGCTGCATTGAGCTGCAAAAGCGGACACAGGCAGGGAGGCAGGGGGAGGTTCAAAGGTAAAGGTGGCAAACACGAGGGCTCCTTGGACTGATACGGAAGCAGGCACTGCATCTGTTTCTTGCAGGCTATCAGTGAGATTCTATTTTTAAAAAACCCAGCCAGGCATGGTGGCTCGCAAGTCCAAGATCAGCCTGGGCAACAGAGCAAGACCTTGACTCTAAGAAAAAAATCAAAATAGGCTAGGCACAATGGCTCATGCCTATCATCTCAGAACTTTGGGAGGCTGAGGCAGGAGGGTCACTTGAGCCCAGGAGGTTGAGGCTGCAGTGAGCTATGACCACGTCACTGCACTCCAGCCTGGGCAACAAAGCAAGACCCTGTCTCAAAAACAAAACAAAACAAAAAAACCCCTTTGGGTGTCAGGGTGGATGGGAAGTACTTCAAATGGAAATCTGTGCAGGCTGGGCAGTGAAATTTATTTGAAAACATTTGTCTAGGGCTTCCTGCACTGACACAGTGGGTTTCCCCACATTACTACTTAATAGGGCTTGGCAGAAAAGTAGCCTCAATCCCTCCCATTTAGAGAGATCCTTGTGGGGCACAGGCTGGGTGTCCTGGGGCCGGGGTGGAAATGAGCTGCCTCCCTGAACAGCCTAGGGTCCGGCAGTGTGGATGGTTGTTTGTTGCCCTTCAAAGTTTCAACAGCTGGGGCCTGGAGACGGGGCCTGCCCAGCAGCGCTGGGAAGGACCCAGGGTGCTCCGTGTCTCCCCACCTCTGTTGTGGGCACATATAAAAAGGAATTGGCCAAAAAGAAAAAAAAAAGGCAAAACATGGCAAGGCTAGAGGCAGAAATACATAGCAAGAGACAAGAAGTGTGAAAAGCATCAGGATTTCAGTCTTACCACCACTGACGAATTCCATTGTCTGTGATAGGTCGCGTGTCAATGAAATGCTTTTACAAAATCCACTTTTAATAAATGTAAAAAGGAAAGCAGGTTATACAAGGGGGGAAGCTACAGACTGATGAGAAGAGAGAGGCCTGATTCAAAGGGATACCTCCAAGGGAAGGGAAGAAAGGTCCAGGAGGAAGAGTTCTGAGTTCTGGTTCCTCTGACATTTCCTGTGGCCCACCCCATTGATTCAAATCGAGGCCTCATCGAGAAGAGTGCATTTCATCTACAATAAATATGTATTAGGCAAAATATTTATATCATTTGGCATTTCAAAGAATAATGGCATATTTTTATTACATTAAAAAATGTTTTTCCTCACAAGCTGGTTCTAAGATTTCTTGAGGAATAGTGGGACGACTCCAGTACAGGGAGCCTCCTGACTCAAACCTGATCCTCTCCTCTGGACGACTCGCTGGGTAGTTCTAGTTACCCGTATGTCCTTCCCTCCCCCAAACAAGCACTTTCAAAGGTGATGGTGTGTATGTCCTAACTGCTGTATTCACCCACGGAGTCAACGAGCGTGGGCATTCCTACTTCCTCGTTCCCTTTCACTTTCCTTCATGACACAGTGGCGTGGCAGGAGTTCCTCCGCCACCCTCCTGGTCTGTTACAGTCGGACAGGGCGGGGTGGGGGGAGGCGGGCAGCATGGACAGCCACCACGGACAGTCAGGCTGAAGCCCCACAGACAGCCACCACAAGCAAGCAGGCTGAAGCCCCGTACACCAGAGGCCCTGGCGCCTGCTTCAGACTCACGCTGAGCACAGAAAGATGCTTCCAAAGGCAACACAGAAATGAGCGGTTGGCGTGCGGCCCACGCCAGAGACTGACCTCTGCAACACACACATGCTTCCGAGTCACGATTGAACCACTGCAGGGGACATTTTAACATGACATCAAGGGAGTGAATGTGTACAATATACATGGTAAATGCACATATGATACGGTGACAAATTTAGCACATAGCGTTCGCATTTCAGGTGTCAAAAACCAAACCAGCCCCAAGTTCCGTTCTACTGCATGAAAAGTACTAAAGAACAAAATTTCAGTCTTAAAATACATCTTAAAGTCAGTATTTTCCTTCAAGGAAAAAAAAGTACTATAAATAAATTACAATACAGTGAATTTGCCTGAACTCACTTCGTTTCTGTCTTCCAGCCTTTAAGTCAAATAAAACAGCATAAAAACTGTACATTCTTAACATGATAGTTGATCTTTTATAAAATAACCTGTCTTCAGAGATGTCGATTTCACAACAAGGAAAAACCAAGCCCTGTTGCCGTCACTATTATAAAATATATATGTATAGATATACGTGTTTTTTTTTTTTTTTTACAAAATGTGTATATTAATAGCTTTGCACAAATATTTTAAAGACAAATTCAGCTAGTCTAAGAACTTCATGAAAATAAAACAGGTGGATAAATACTTCATGTGCACAATGCACTCCATCAGACGTCGTCGGCTGGGAGAGGAGGTATGTTGATCCTTGGCCTTGTGAAGAATGCTATCTTCTCCCTGGGACCGGAGACAATTACAGGTCAGAAGCTGATATGAAGACACGGAAAGCTGGTGGCTCTCATATCAATCATGGCTTTTCTTATTCATACAACAAACTGAATTTAAGTCCCCAACAACACATGTGCTTGTATAGAGTCTCCAAATGTTAATTATGAAGAACCGTAAGAGCAGGGGTTTCTTCATCTCCAGTACCTAGAACAGTGCCTGGTGTATATTAGGTGCTCAGGAAATACCTGTCGTATTAACAAATGAATGAAAAAGTGAAAACTATGTGAATATTAAATGTATACAAAAATTAGGGCTAAAAGACACATTTTATTCGCCCTTAACAAGGAAGGACACACTGGCACATAGGCTACATGGATGAACCTCGAAAACCCTCAGCTGCAGGAAAGAAGCCAGATGCAAAAGTCCACGTAAGATATGATCCCATTCCTATGAAACAGGCAGAAAGGCATATCCCTAGAGACAGAGCTAGGGGAGGGAGAACGGGGAGTGACTGCTTAATGGGCATAGGGTTTACTTTTGGGGTGGTAAAAATGTTCTGGAACTAGACAGAGGGGTGGTTGTGCAACATTGTGAATGCGCCAAAGGCTGAACTGTTCACTTTAAAATGGGTCATTTTATGTTATGTGAATTTCAACTTAATTTTTTTTACAGACACAAAAGAATACTGATGCATCTGTAAAAATCCCCTCAGCAAAAACAAAAACAGACAAAACCAATCTATACTATTAGAATTCAAGGTGGTGGTTACTCTAGTGTGGGATCTGGGGGCACTGATAATGACCGATTCTTAGGACGAGTTTGTAACAATTCACTGGACCATGTGTGTATGATACGCAGCTTTCCTGCAGATACATTTTGCCTTAATCAAAAGTTAACTGAAAAAGCAAAGGTGGTCGGGTGCAGCGACTCATGCCTGTAATCCCAGAACTTTGGGCAGCTGAGGCAGGTGGATCGCTTGAGCTCAGGAGTTCGAGATCAGCCTGGGCAACACAGTGAGACCCCATCTCTACAAAAATGAGCAGGGCATGGTGGCATGTGCCTACAGTCCCAGCTACCTGGGAGGGTGAGGTGGGAGGATCACTTGACCCTGGGAGGTCAAGGCTGTAATGAGCCATGACTGAGCCACCACACTCCAGCCTGGCTGACAGAGTGAGACCCTGTCTGGGGGTGGGGGGACATATATGTATGTGTATGTATATCACTGTTATTTACAATAGCAAACATTTGAAGACGAGCAGCATGTTATAAAATATAGTGGTTGAGTAAACTATTAGATGAGACATTACAGTCAAACAAGATAGCACATTATATAGCAATATGGAATATTTTAATTTAAAAAATGCTAAATGCCAAACTGAACCCGCATTATGATTAGAAGTGGCATGAAAAAAAAACTGTAGGAAAAAAAGATCAGGATAAAAACATGAAAATACACTACTGGCTGCAGTGGATTCCTGTTTTGTTCTCAACTTCCCAGGGGTTTTACAGACTCACACGGCCAGACGCAGGGGCTCACGCCTGTAATCTCAGCACTTTGGGAGGCTGAGGCAGGTGGATCATTTGAGGTCAGGAGTTTGAGATCAGCCTGGGCAACATGGCAAAACCCAGTCTACTAACATTTAAAAATTAGCCGGGTATAGTAGTGCGCATCTGTAATCCCAGCTACTCGGGAGGTTGAGGCATGAGACTTGCTTGAGCCCAGGGGGCAGAGGGTGCAGTGAGACAAGATCGCACCACTGCACTCCAGCCTGGGTGACAGAGTGAGACTCTGTCTCAGAAGAAAAACAAAAACAGACTCACTGTACTTTTTTACCATGCCAAAGGCACGACAGTAAGGAGGAAGCAGGGCCGAGGGGCCGGCCTTGCCACGCCTCCGCCATACCTAAAGGTCTGCACTTGGATGGGCTCTTTGTGGCTCTGCCCACGCAGCTGGTAGATCTCCTTGGAGGCCTTCTTCAGCATCTTCTCAGCCGCCTGCTCATGACGGTAGTCAAGTTTGGTCTGTCTTGTCTGGAACAGCAACGTTGGACCAACAAGACGATTTTATTGATTTTTTTTTTTTTTTTTTTTTTTAAGGAAGAATGAGTAAGTTCACTGCCAACCCTGGAGCCCAGAAGAACCAACCACAGTCAGCGAGTGGTGACAGGAGGGAGTAAGGCCCACCTCACCCACACTCCCCCCAAGGAATTCCTCCCAGGAGACAGAGGCCAGGGGGTGGCTGGAGTCAGGCCTAGCGACTGGGGACCCAGAATGTTCCCCCAACAAGGTGGGGAGGGCCCGTGACCCCTCCTCCAGCACCCGCAGCCTCCAGATGCACGCAGAAGCCACACAGACGCCACCCTCGCAGCCCACAGAGGGAGAAGGGACTCCAAGAGCCCAGTGGTGGGGTATTTCAGGGACCACCTCTGTGTCTGGGAGGCTCCCTTCAGAGCCTGGAGCAGGGAGCAGTGAGGTGCAGGCGGGAGCTGGCCACAGGGGACCCCCACCTGCCGCTCGGCCTCCCGCAGCAGGCCACGGAGCCGCTCGTCCCGAAGCACCCAGGGTGGGAGGTCAGTCTGGCCACGGAGCTGGGCGTCCTCCAACCGCTGCCGCAGCTCACGGAGGGCGCAGAGCTCCTCATTCAGCTGCCTCTGCCGTGTTCTCGACGCCTGGAGATCCAGCTCCAAGTCCAGGGAGGTGCGGGCCATGAGCTCAGCCAGGGAAGACCTGCATGACTGCAAGAGACGCCAGCTGTGAGCCCTCACTCAGGCCTTCTAGAAGGTTCTTCCACAATTAATAGGAGACAGGTCAGGCACACGTATTTCTCTAAGCACGCCCAAGGTTAAAAAACACAGATGTGGGCAAGAGGAATGTAAATCTCTAGTTCAGTATCAAGGTTAGTAACAGCAAATTGTTTTTCTTTAATGATGACCTATGTATTGGCAGAAATGTGCAGCAACAGATGCTCTTATATGGGGCTGGCAGGATCAAAAATGGAACAATCTTTCTGAAGGGCCATTTGAGAATATATATATGTCTACAGCAAACTTGCATCTGAAAGGCATAACTGCTGACATGCAAAAGTGGTCCAATTAAGGTTTATGACAGAAAAAAAAAAGTAAGTCTATAACAGCAGGAAACGTTAAATAAATTACAAGGCCAGTATAAAATGTAGCCATTGTAACAAGTTGAAAAAAATATATGGACATGGAAAAATCTTAATGATCCACTGTACAAGGGGAAAGAAAGTACGTTATAAACCATGAGTGCTTGTTGTTTAAAAAATAGTATACACACTCCCACGCAAACACGCAGACACACACATGCAAGCTGTCCAAAGCTTCCCTCCCCATATAAGCCTCAAGTAAGCAAACATACCTAGGCTCAGGAAAGCCCTGACAGGGAAAAGACTCTTGTCTGCGGAACTGAGAGCAGTACTTCCCATCCAATGGGAAACAGAACCCTGAGACAGCAGTCACCGCAGCAAAACCACAAATCCATTCGCCAATCACCATGGGTCAGTGGCCTGAGTCACGGTATGCTTTTTACACACACAACGCTATTTTGCACATACACAGAATTTAAATGCAAATATGGGTTGTAACTTAACAAATATAAATTCTTTAAAAGCACTGCTGAATTCTCAGCAGAGCTTCATGGTTCTCAACCAGGAGAATCTGGCCCCCGGGAGGACAGCTGGCAATGTCTGTGGACATTTTGAGTGTCACAACTGCTGTGTATGTGATGGGGTGTTACTGGCATCTGGTGGGTGGAGCCCAGGGACACTGCTCAACATCCTAAAGTGCACGGGGCAGCCCCCACAGCAAAGAATGAGCCTGTCTGAAATGCCAGCAGTGGTGCTGCTGAGAGACACTTCTGAAGCCAAATTATGCACTTTTTTTTTTTTTTTTTGAGACGGAGTCTTGCTCTGTCTCCCAGGCTGGAGTGCAGTGGCATGACGTAAGCTCACTGCAACCTCTGCCTCCCGGGTTCATGCAATTCTCCTGCCTCAGCCTTCTGAGTAGCTGAGATTACAGGCACGTGCTGCCATGTCTGGCTAATTTTCATAATTTTAGTAGAGACGGGGTTTCACCATTTTGGACAGGCTGGTCTCGAACTCCTGACCTCAGGTGATCCGCCCGCCTCAGCCTCCCAAAGTGTTGGGATTATAGGCGTGAGCCACTGCACCCGGCCCAAATTATAAACTTTCTTATTCTTCCCAGTCAGCAGCCACTCTTGTATGTGGTGGAGCACAACTGCCACGTGGAAATTGGGGGTTTTTTGTGTGTCTGTCTCTCTTCCTCTCTACACACACACACACACACACACACACTATATATATATATATATATATATATATATATATATATATATATATATATATATATTATTCAAACGATCCCTGCCCAGAAAAGCAACATGTTGAAAAACTCAACTTTTCTAAACTATATATACTCTCCTGTCAAAAAAAGAGAAAACAGCCTATTATATAAAAATGGTTATTTATTATACTGAAGAATGTAAAGATCACAGATTATCTGAAATCATGATACTATCTTAAGAAATATTAGCAACATTACGACATTACATCTGTTAAGTAAACAAGAAATAGAAATACTACCTTTTCATTTACATGACCTTAAATGTTACCTTTTTAAGGCTTGTAAAATCACTCGCAGGGCAAGCACAGATTCCATATTTGTTTACAGGGCACATACCTGCTTATAGCGAAGGGTTCGTCTTTCCAAAGTATTTCGGACAAAGGGGGACTTCCGGGGCAGCGTTGAACTGTCGCTGTCACTACGATAAAGCTGCACAAAAAAGAATGATGTTCAGAAACAATTTCTCAGCAATGCACAGTTCATTGTGTGTGTGTAGTCAGAGTCTCAGAATGGATTCTTTTCATCCTCTTCACAGGCCCTCGAGTGCACTTATGATTATTGGTGCTTGTAGCAGGTCTTTGGGTTTCAATTTAAAGAAGAGTTTCTGCTAAAATGAAAAAAACAAAACAAAACAAAACAAAAACAAAGCAAACGAAACCCTCCCCCAGTTTCCAGGCTAACTGAGCCAACAAAATCTCTGTGTGATCGATACCAATGCCATTTTGTGCCCTGTACAGCCCCCATGAAGGCTAGCGCTGCCCTCAGCACGGTTCACTTTTCCTCAGTCTTTCTCATGTGCTGTATTTGTGGCTTTGGCAATAGCTGGGGAAAGTGACTTCCAAAAAAGAGACTCACTTCTGGTAGTAGGACAAGCCAACATTGCCAACTGCAGCTGTGCCCATCAAAGGACAGGGCGTGCTTTTAAACAGGAAGTAAAGAATGTCATCTTTATGGGAGCCAAGTCATTACAGCCTTCATTTTGGTGGCAGGGTCTCACCTCAGGATCAGTGTCAATCTGTGTGAAATCCAACATCCCTGCCTTCGTGGCCTTATTTTCCACGCCAGTAAACCTATTCAGGAAGTGCAGCGGCCTGGCAGCATACCTGCACGGCGTTCATACAAACATACAGAACAGCGAAGCATCCAGAAGCATCGCCAGTAAGTGCAGCTGTTACGCAGGCACACAGAGCATTTCCTCTGAGTAAGCAAAACACTACCTGCTTGCACCCTCCCCGCCTCAATAAGCAGCCCCGCCAGCCGACACGTTGGTGGCTCGGCAGGAGCCTGGAACAAGGAGGGCGGTGAACGTGGCCTTCCATCTAGAGCGTCCAGCCAAGCGCTTGAGCATCAGCCTCCACGGGGCTGAAGTGTGACGGGTGGGAGGGCCTGTACCGGACGCGGCGCCACCTGGGGCAGCTGCCAGCAGGGACACTTCAGACCAATGGGACAACAGCAGCGGGTCTCACCAACATGGCTGAGAGGCTGTTTTGGCCACCTAGGCCCCCTCCCACAGTGTTTGCCACATCTCCTTTGAGGGTCTGAGGCCCTTCCCTCTCCGAAGATCTGCCTTGGCTCTGCCCTCATGGAGCGAGCACCTCCAGGGCAGATGCCTTCTTCAACAGCCCCAATTCAGAGGTGCAGGAAGGGTCATGGTTCTCAACCAAATGGCCCCTCCAGGTCACTGTGTCATGAGCCATCATCCTTAAAAGCCCTTTCTGTACAAGTCCATGCTGGCACTATCACTCTGTCCTACCTTCATTGACCACACTGGCTCGCATCTTCCCTCTACCCACCTTGGGGTTCTCAGCCTTGTGTGACATGCTAGAACCATCTGGGTGCTTCCGGAAGTTCTGACGCCCAGGCCTTACCTGTGACCAATGGCAAATCTCTGGGGTGCTATGTGGGTACCAGGATCTGTTGAATCCCCCGACATGATTTGACTGCAAGGCACAGCCATGGCTGAGAACCGCTGAGCGCCTCCCACTCATCCACAGGTTGGGAAGTTACATGTGGGTGAGTGAGAACCCACTGCCCCTTTGCCAGGACCATCCACCCTCTGGCCCAGAAACCTGGCTGCCCCACAGGGCTCCAAGCCACTCAGGTTCCCGGCTCCTCCAGCTCAACCCATTCAAGAGGGCCCCTGCTTCCACTTGTTCCTTAGGCTGAGGTAGAAATGATTCGCCCTGCTTCCTGCCCCACAGGTCAATACATACACAACACTGAAAACTGGGGGAAGGGATGAATTTGAATCCTGAACAAATCCAGAATCAGATAAGCATGGTAGGACATGCGGGGAGATCACAACACCAATGTCATCACCGCATACCTATAAAGTTCATAGTTCATGGATTGGTATTATTGGTGCAAATACATATGCCTTTCAGTATGAACAGCAGAAAAAAAAAATCACAAAGGGGATGGAAGACAAAACATTCCAGACAGGTGACAAAGGGATTCCAACTTACTCTGCAAACATACTGGCTTCGTGCTCCAGGCGAGAATGTCTGGGAACGGACAATCGTGCCACTCCGAACAAAAGGCGACCCTCGGGCCCGGCGGCTGGGCCGCTCCTTCACGAGGCTGGCTGCTTCTTCCAGAAAGAGATCTTCCGTGTTGGTTTCCTTATCAACCTAGGGAGTGGTTCACTCATGACTATGGCTTCTTTCATAATGTGAGCAATAAACTTATGGGAACAACCATGTCTTTCACTTCTCCACTTGGGGTTTAGCTGGCGTTTCACATGTGGCACGTCCACAATGGAAAAGCTGATATCTCCCCAACCCCACCCTGGCCCCTCCTCTCACAGGGATCTCAACTTTCCATTTGTTCATGCAAAGAACGTTAGGGCCATCCCGGACTTCCGATCTCTTTTGCACACCCCATATCTGGTCCAAGAGCGATCCCTGCTGGCTCTGTGTTCAAGATCAAGGGGGTTTTGAGCACTTGTCAGCAACCTTTCACCTGAGTCGCCATTATCTCATGCCTGGATGAGTGCAGTAGGTGCCTCACCAGTCTTCCCAATTCCACACCTCTCTGCCCTTCGATCTATTCTCAACACAGCAACCAGGGACATCCCAGGAAAACTGGCCAAATGTGGAAACACCCCAAATGTCCATTGACAGATCAATGGATCAACAAGATGTGGTCTTATCCACACAAGGGAATAGCATTCAGCCATAAAAACCAACGGAGTGTTTATACACGCTAAAATGTAAATAAACCTTGAAAATATCGTGCTGAGTGAAAGAAGCCATGCGGCAAAGGCCACATAGTATATGATTCCACTTCTGGAAACATCCGGAAGAGGTAAATCCACACAGCTAGAAAGATTTTGGTGGCTGCAGGTGGCTAGGGGGAGGGGAATGGGAGTGACTGCTCAATGGGGACGGGTTTTACTCTGGGGTGATTGAAACGTCATGAAACTAGATAGAGGTGGCGGGTGAGCAACACTGTGGACCAAATGCCACTGATGCATACACTTTAAAATGCTTCCCTTTATGTGAACTTCAACTCAATAAATTTTAGAAAGCACTAACAAAAAAGCTACGGTCAGATCATGTTGCCACTGGGCTCAAAACCCACCAGCTTCTCATGCCCTCAGAGAAAAGGAAGGGTCCTGAGTGGGCCCCACAACACACTCCCTTCGTCCTCAGCACCGCCCCACAACACACACTGGCTGCTCCCACACCTGCCCATGCTTCTGCACAAAGCTCTGAGCTCCCTTCCTTGACGATCTCTACTCAAACACTGCCTTCTCAGTGAGGCCCTTCAGGGCCCTGTTTTTTAAAATATTGTGGGAAAAAAACACGCAACAAAAGTTACCATATTAACCATTTGTACAGGCACAGTTCAGTGGCGTCCATTCACACTGATGGGCAACAGATCTCCAGAACTTCTTTACCTTGTAAATCTGAGACTCTGTCCTCTCCACTAAACAACTCCCCATTCCCACTCCTGAGATAGAGCAGAGACCCCATTTTAGGGGCCTGCAGACCTCCCGAGCATGGAAATAAAGGAAAATCAATTTCTTTCAAGGGAAATTCCAGGTACCTCGCTATCCCTGAGATGTAAGTAAGTAACCTGATAAGCAAGAAGGTAATAGTAGCCTAAAACAATAGCCAAGGAAGTTAGAGTCTGGAGATGTTTGGTTGCCTAGAGAAACTAAAGACATCTTGGTCAGGTGCGGTGGCTCACGCCCGTAATCCCAGCACTTTGGGAGGCCAAGGCAGGTGGATCATTTGAGGCCAGGAGTTGGAGACCAGCCTGGCCAACGTGATGAAACCCCGTCTCTACTTAAAAAAAAAAAAAAAAATTCATCTGGGCATGGTGGTGGGCGCCTGTAATCCCAGCTACTTGGGAGGCTGAGCCATGAGAATTGCTTGAACCCAAGAGGCAGAGGTTGCAGTGAGCTGAGATCACGCCACTGCACTGCGGCCTGGGTGACAGAGCGAGACTCCATCTCAAAAAAAAAAAGAAAAGAAAAAAAGAAACCAAAGACATCTTAACATATGTCCCCGACTGTCTTTCAGAAACCCAGACCCCCACCAAAGGGACCCGCTGGCACAGATCTCAGATAAGGGGGAGCTGAGGACTGCACTCTGACCCTTGCTCTTTATTCTGAATCTCTTCCTGAGGGGTCTGGAGGGAGTCACACCTACAAGTCAGAGCTAACTATCTTTTCTGCTGACCCCAAATTTTTAGACAAAGCTTTGCCTCCTGAACCAACTGCAATCAGAAAATCTTTGAATCCATCTACGTCCTGTAAGCCCCCACATTAAGATATCCTATCCTTCTAGGCCAAAAGCAACGTGTAACCTCCATGGATTGGTTTAGGATTTTGCCTGTGACTGCCGCTTTCCTGAAATTTACCTCTGCCTTTAAAAACCCTTCCCTGCAAGGCATGGGGAGGCTGAGTCTTAAATGTGAGCTGCCCAAATCTCCTTGCTTGGCACCTGCAAATAAATGCCCTCTTTCCACCAGTGCAAAACACCTTCGTGCAGACACCTGGTTTTACTGCACCGGGCGAATGGACCCCAGTTCCGTTCTGTAACACATCCCCGCACCCCATCCAAGCTCCTGGCAGCCACCATTCTATTTTCTGCCCCTGTGAATTCGACTACTCCAGGAACCTCACGACGGTATTTGTCTTTTTGTGCTTTTCTATTCTCTTAGCCAGCCACCAGTAACTCATTAGCATATAAAAAGATTTTTTTCAGGCTGAGGCAGGAGAATGGCATGAACCCGGGAGGCGGAGCTTGCAGTGAGCCGAGATCGCGCCACTGCACTCCAGCCTGGGCGACAGATTTTCAGATTCTAAGGATTTTAGGAGTTGCATGCCAGGTAACATGCAACTCAAAGAGTTGAAGACCAAATAAATATTCACACTGGCTTATTCACTCAGCATGAGTCCTCAAAGCTCATCCATGTTGCAGCGTGACAGAATTTCCTTCCATTTTAAGGTTGAATAATATTCTATTGCATGGATAGGCCACGTTTTCTTTATCCACTCATCCATGATGGACACTTTAGTTGCTTCCACCTTTTGGCTACTGTGAATAATGCTGCTGCTATGAACATGGGTGTGCACATATTTCTTCAAGATCCTTTCAACCCTTCTGGATATACACCCAGATATACCCAGAAGCGGGACTGCGGGATCCTGTGGTGGTTCTATTTTTAATGCTTTGAAGAACCACCATAATGTTTTCCGTAGCAGTTGCACCCTTTTATCATCCTGATGTTTGTAAAATGTAAATATAAATTTACATTTCTAAATGTGAACCCTTTCTAAAACTGCAAACCTCTCTACAAGTGTTTGCCCGCTTCCCTGCCATTGCATTCTCCAGAAGCCGCCTTGCTCTCTGTGACATGAACGTATGATAGCAACGTCTCCTTTGGCGCCTCCCTCTCGAGGGTGGGAGTTTGTGTTCTTTTTTTTTTTTTTTTCCTACTCACCCGCTATACTAACTTTGTTGTATCTGTGATGCCCACACAGAAAGGGAGAATGCAAATGTGCTGAAGAACTAACAACTGTGGGATCCAGGTGAGGTGTACAGGTATTTGTTGCATTATTCTAGCAACTTTACTGCAGATTTCACTTTTTCAAAACTAAAAGTTGAGGGAAGGGGAAACACCAAAAAACCCTCCCACGGCCACTCGCCCTGGCTTGGGCTGCTGCTTTTTGAGATCTCAGAAAGTTGGACAAGGGCCATGACCAGCAGCCTGGTCCAAAACAACAACTAGGAACCTGCTGTGGGTCACAGCTTGGGAAGCTGCTGGGGGCAGATTTCACTTTGTGCTTCTGGGTGAGGGCAGGGGCGTGAGGGTGATAAAATACTTTTGTGAGCTGAACAGTGGGGAAACAAAGTTTCAAAACAGCATTGACAGTGCCTTCCCTGACCTCACAGGCACTATAAACATGAGACTTCTCCCCTAAAGACAGGGTGACAGTACAGCTAGGAGCAGATGAGCAGAAGGGGCAAAAGGACAGCACTATTCTACATTTCACAAAAGGGGAAGAGGAACTACAAATGTCCAAAACCTATGGGACTCACAAACCCTCCAGAGCCTCTTTGTCCCTGAAGGTGGGAATGGATCAGCGGTGCCTATTCAAGCCCTTTACACATCTCAGGCCATTCACTTCTTTTCCTCGGCTCACAGTAAACCCAGCCTTAGCTGTGGCCCCCAAATCCAACAGCAGTGCCCATTTTACACCACAACACCCGGGCCACTGCGTGTGTGTGTGCAGGTCAGCCACGTGGCTCTCCTCCCTGGGAGCCTCGGCTCTGCTTGCCTTTGGTGCATCTTCCCCCATCCCCTCACACTTCTCACGAAGAATTTGGGGGCACACAGCCTCTCCTTCCAGGGCAGTATACCTGGTACGTATGGCAAAATATTTGGGGTGAGGGGCTCCGGACAATCTCCTATGTTTTCTACTTACCTTAAGAGGCGAGGGCTGAAATTTCTCGGGGCTGTAAGGCCCTGCCTGAGCAGCAAATGGGTGGCCCAGGATGGAGTCGATACCCATGCAACAGGGCTCTGGGTACGGAGGGCTGGTCTGGGTGCAGTTGCTACAGCCGCTATCCACCGAGTCCGCTTGCCAACTCCTGAAGGCGGACATTGCAGAAGCCCAAATGGTCACCAAACGGGATGTATTTCATGCTACTCTTAGAGCACAGTAGTAGAGGTAATGCAATACAACCTATTTCTTTCCAATGATTGAAGACTGTTGCATCTCTCATAAAGTAAAAGGGCGCTTCTGTTTTCCAGGGAAGATGGCTCTTGAAGGACTGTACTTAAGAGGGGCTTTCTCTGTCACCAATGGCAGCCACTGAAGATCCCAGAAAACTGCACCACTCAGCCCCAAACCCCTCCCAACTCCTGTCCATCCCTGAACACAACACCTTCCCCTCTGCATGCACTATCGCTCCCCAAAATAAATTCCTCTGTAAACTAAACTCAGGGAAAGCCACTGGGAAGCAGCAGGAAGCCCTGGAAAGATGGCGCACTTTATGGAAAAATGCGGAAGTACAGCAATATGTACAGCACCTCCAGAGACGATGAACGCAAACCAGGGCACCAGGGGCACCCATTCACCGGAATCATTCATCTATCGCATGCAGGTCTCCACGGGGCCAAGGATTCACCAATAGGCTGCTTCACGTGAAGCAGAAAGGGACGCCGCATGACCCCATTTGTAGGAAGTGTCCAGACCGGCAAGTCCATAGACACAGAGGGCAGATTTGTAGTTGCAGGGAATCAGAGGAGAACCTGGGAGCGCATTTGGCTAGGGACAGGCAGAGAGTGTGTGATGAAAATAAAATGCTGTAAAATTGACTGTGCCCATTCAGTCCTAAAAACCACCTAACTGTGCACTTTAAACGGGTGAACTGCATGGGAGGTACATTATATCTCAATACAGGTGTTAAAAAAGAAAAAAATCCAACAACTTCAAGGGACCTTACTGTATCCAATCCTGGGAGAGGGCAGTGCTTCAACAGTCCCACTCTCGACAAGAAACTCCAGGACAGACAGAAGGAAAAGGTGAAAAGCACACGTGAGAGTCAGGAGAGAGACTTCGGGGAGCTGCCCTCGTCCACACCAGCACTCAATTTCCACCAGAATCGACTTCTGGGCAGTGGTGCCTAAGGATTGCCCAGCACCTTCTATGGAGGCATGGCTGAGGAAAGCAAGTGCACCTCAGAGACAGCCATGCTGCCTGGCACACTGGCTGTCTCCCCAGAGAAAATGTGCTCCCCCCTGACAGTTTTCACGAGCCTTCTGACCACAGGGCACCCATGCTCCTTTCCAGGGAGGGCATGAGCCGGAGCCTGCCCGCTGAGCTAGCCCTTACCGCTCGGATATGGCCTCGGCCTGCTCCTCCTTGCGCTCCATCTCCAGGACCTCCTCCTCCGTGTACTCCAGCTTGGCCCGCTCCTCGGCCAGTTCCCTCTCCACCGCCTGCAGCTGTGCCGTGGTTCTGGCCAGGAGCACCGTCACCGCATCCTGCAGGAAGAGGGGGTGCGTGAGGACAGCTCAGGCCAGCAGACCCTGCGCACACGGCAGGTGTCCACATGGCACAGGTAGGAGGCCACTCTGCTGCCCTTCCGTGAGAAGAAACTCACCCTACCTAGGTCTGTGGTGGAGGCATTCATGTGGCCTTCTCCTGCAGCTCTGAGGGCTCATATTTAAAACTAGCCAGTGTACCACCCATGACCATGAACACATTTGCATTAAAAAAACATTCGCATGCAATGGCCATATGGAAACTCTACTCCTTTACCCCACTATACTGACTTACGTCTACAAAGACACTTCTAAGAAATGACTTCCCCAAGACAAAGCCAGTCTCAGGGTCACGAAGGCAGCAGTGATCAGCTCCTTAGAGCAGGGCCAAGTACCGTCTTGCCGGAGATGGAGATGGTGTGTGCAGGGTCCCGGGCGGAGCTCTCTCCTGCACACCCAGCCTCCCGCGTCCTTGATGGTTCAGAGCTGGTGAACACCTGCACGGAATGCCAGCGCAGCTGCATCTCACTCAAACTGTCATAGTCAGCCAGGTTAATCTGAGCAATGCCCTGCAGGGGTATTAAAGAAATGCCAGAACAGGCACTGAATGATTTCGCCGTGATGACTAGAGTCCTTTAAAATATCCAGTTCAGGCAGGGCAGGTGGCTCATGCCTGTAATCCCAGGATTTTGGGAGGCCGAGGTGGGAGGATTGCTTGAGCCCAGGAGTTCGAGACCAGCCTGGGCAACAGAGCAAGACTCTGCCTCTACAAAAAAGTTAAAAATCAGCCGGGCATGATGATGTACAACTGTGGTCCCAGCTACTCAGAAGGCTGTGGTGAGCCAAAATCATACCACTGCATTCCAGCCTGGGCAACAGAGTGAGACCCTGTCTCAAAAAAATCCAGTTCACCCTTCAATCTTTGTGTGTGTGCGTGTGTGTGTGCGTGTGTGCGTGTGTGTGTGATGGAGTGTTGCTCCGTTGCCCAGGCTGGAGTGCAGTGGTGCGATCTCAGCTCACTGCAACCTCCACCTCCCTCCCTAGTTCGAGAGATTCCCTCGCCTCAGCCTCCCGAGTAGCTGGGATTACAAGTGTGCGCCACCACACCCGGCTAATTTTTGTATTTTTAGTAGAGATGGGGTTTCGCTATGTTGGCCAGGCTGGTCTCAAACTCCTGAGCTCAGGTGATCCACCCGCCTTGGCCTCCCAAAGTGCTGGGATTACAGGCATGAGCCACTGTGCCCAGGCTACCCTTCAATCTTAACCAAACAAGACATAAAAGATTTCATTCCTACTTAAAGGACTGCAGCACAATGAAAGCAACTGCAGAGGAGTCTAATGGGTGGCTCCCTGGTCGCCTGTTCCGCCCAATCAGAAAGTGCTGGGAAGGGATCAGAAAGGGCAAAAGAATGGGCAACCTGGAGTGCTGGGCCAGGCTCACAGCTCTACTGCAGTGATGAGGCAGATTCGCTCAGGAATTTCTGAAATAAGAAACGACTGCTGAACTCTACATGCCCTAATTGTGCCGCTGAGGGGACAGAACCAAGACAGAACACTCTGGCCATGGAAGGAATCCACCCTGGCTTCCAACCCTGGCATGGGCCTTGGATGGCTGGGATACTGAGGACAAACTGCGGATTCTCCTGAGGCCTCGCCCCGGGGTTGCCAGGTAACGTGCAGGGCGCCCAGGTGAATCTGCACTTCAAATAAACAACACAGGGTTTCCCTGTGAGTCTTAAACACCGCATGGGAAATACTTACACTTTAAAGAGCATCCATAATTTATTTGAAATTCGAATTTAGCTGACTGTCTTGTATTTCTATTTGCTAAATCTGTCAACCCTACTTTGTTCCCTGGACTGAAGATGGGGCTGACGCAAAGGCATCCCACAGGGTCGTGAGTACTAGTTGAGAGGACACATTTAGAGGACAAGGTGCTTGACAACATCACTGGTTGGATCATCCCTGTTTGTATTTCCAGCCACAGAAACACTGAAGAAGATCACAACTTCCAAGCAACCCACCACGGGAGAAAGGGAGGATGGCAGAGGGGAAAGGAGGGAGGGAACTAGAGATGGAGGCAGAAGAGAGAGAGGGAGGCCAAAAGGCAAAGACATACGAAACCTAAGAAAGCATCACAAAAGAGTACAAGAGAAAGAAGGGAAAGAAAGATACACACAAAAAAAAGACCGGCTGACTGAAACACGAAGGAAGGAAGGAGGACGGGGCGGGCGGAGCCTGGCGCCATACCAGCAGTTCTTCCTGCAGCTGCGGAGTCACTGAACACACGTATAACTGAAGTGACTTCAGTGTCAACGCGCTGGAATGCACGGGGATTCTGAACACTTCGTTAAACACCAGCGGCACTTGGAACTCCAGAGCCTTGGAGCAGTAAGTGTTGGGCGTGCCCGAGTCCAGTGGGGGCAAATAGACTCGGATGTGGCTGCAAACAGAACGGGGGAGGGAAGAGCGCGTGCAGGCGGCGCTCACAGATGGCGCAGTCCCAGAGCAGGCGCGACCTACACAATGCGCACAGACCCCCCACGTGCAGCCCCCTTTGGGCAGCTGTGGCTACAGTCTCAGAGTCCTTTGCAAAAAGTTCCTTTCTCAACTAAGCATAGAACGATGTACCCCAGGGATGGGGGAAGTCACTCACAAGGAGGATGACTTCCAAGCCAGGACTGAAGCAGCGGATGCTTCCAGGCCCTGCTGCTCCCCACCTTTTTGGGAATCGCCCCTCTGGTTTTTCTGCATGGCTCCCCCACTGCTTTCTCTGCCCATCACCCATGGGGTAGCCCGTATTTCCCACCCTCCCTGCCCCAAGTCTGGCACATGGGAGGGGCTGAGCCATCTGTGAGCACTGCAGAGGTCATTGGGGTGGCCGAACCCCAGCCGAGCCCCCAGCTGCTCACACTCAGGGATCCTGAGGCCTTTAGAAGACTCACCAAAGGGGCCCCACCCTGCGACTTGAACAGACCATTACAGGCATGGTCACCTGCTTGGGTAAGTGGGACCCTCCATCAGGCCCCCATCTGGGGCCACGGAGCTCAGAGAGGCAGCGCTCCCACGATCGAGGCCAAAGTCACCAGCTGCTCCCAATGCCTATTTCCTCCTCCCCGCTCAGTCAAGGATGCCCTGGTCCCAGCCAGAGGTCTCTCAAGATCACAGAGCAGAGCACGACGACATCAGCAACCCCATCCCCGGGCCAGGAGGATGCAGTCCTGTACGGCACAGGCAAGTGCTTCCTCCACGCCAACACGGCACACACTAGCTTGCCACCAGCACCGGCACCTTCACCAGCCTCAAATCATTCACTAGACTCTTTTGAAGACTTTACACTTCAGACACACACTCCCTGGTGCTTTCCTGGAAATTCAGGCTCCCAAACTGTCTTTTCCCTCCTCAGCCATGTGGCTGGCTGGCCACTGCCCTGGGGCCTGGCTTACACTTTGCAGTCTTCCTTCACCGCCAGCCCCGCCGGGTTCTTCAGCTGCAGCACGTGCACGAGGAGACACTCGCTGCCACTGTCGCGCCTAGGAAACCAGACACGAGTCATGGACGGCAGGTGCCCCCCAAGTAAAACCATCCTTCTGACTCAACTGCAGCAGTGGCCATCCACTGCCTGGGATTCTGCCCCACCCTATCTGCAGGAGACATCTGCACCTAGTGGGTAAAGCCCAGGTACAGCACAGTCCCCGTAACAAAGAATGACCAAATGCCAACCATGCCAGGTGGAGGAGCCCTGGACTGAAGTGACGAGAGTGAGCAAAGGAAATGGCTGGGACCCAAACACCCTGTTTTCCTCAGGGGCACCTCACAGTCACTGCCCTTATTGACACTGTAATTAGAAACCAAAAATTGTTGTCCTGCCAACCAGCGGATTACTTCCTTGACGGTGAGGGAGGGAGTCCGCTACCTGTGCTGCAGTGAGCAGAACCAACTCCTGGCAGACACGGGCGCAACTGTCCCCGAGAGCCACACTTTGCCTGCCGGAGCCCCCAGCTCCAGGAAGTGGCGGCTCTCAGCTGTGAATCTCCATGTTGGAAGACAACAGTGGAGCCACTTTTCCCTGTCACTCCTTCCTGCCACCTCTGTCCCCTCACCTCAGACCTCGGGTAACAAGGGTCCCTCCAGCCCTGTGTGTGCAGGTGGGAGCCACGGGTTGGGCCCAGTCTCCAGCCCAGCCCCAGGGGAAACAGGGTAGGGTCTGTACTCACAGGAGTCCCACGTGGATCTGGGGATCTCCGTTACTGGCCGTGTCTCCGTAGGCAGGCTCCTCGGCATCTTCGTTCCTGAACAGAGGGGTAAATGCAACCAACTTCATTCCTGAGGGAACCGGTCGCTACAGATTCTGCAGGAGCTCCCTCGTGCTGAGAGAGGGCTTTGTTAAGTTGTGACGTTAAGTCAATGAGGTCATCATGTGTCTGAAGGAACAGGGCGGGCCCCCAGAATCCATGAGGCATCTTACTGGGTACCTGCCTACAAACTGCTGGGTATTTTTGTTGTTTTATTTTGTTTTGTTTCTGAGATAGAGTCTGGCTCTGTTGCCCAGGCTGGAGTGCACTGGTGCAACCTCGGCTCACTGCAACCTCCACCTCCTGGGCTCAAGCGATTCTCCTGCCTCAGCTTCCCCAGTAGCTGGGATTACAGGCACCCACCACAACGCCCAGCTAATGTTTGTACTTTTAGTAGAGACAGGGTTTCACCATGTTGGCCAGGCTGGTCTCAAACTCCTGACCTCAGGTGATCAGCCCACCTCAGCCTCCCAAAGTGCTGGGATTACAGGCGTGAGCCGCCGCGCCCAGCCTATTTCTTATGTTGTTCCTGTTTTAGGAAAATAGACTTTGTGGCTGGGCACGATGGCTCATGCCTGTAATCCCAGCACTTTGGGAGGCTGAGGTGGGTGGATCACTTGAAGCCAGGAGTTTGAGACCAGTCTGGCCAACATGGTGAAACCCCATCTCTATTAAAAATACAAACAAAATTAGCCAAGTATGGTGGAGTAGATCTATAATCCCAACACTTTGGGAGGCAGAGGCGGGCCGATCGCTTAAGCCCAGGAGTTCAAGACCAGCCTGGGCAACATGATGAAACCCCATCTCTACTAAAAATACAAAAATTAGCCAGGCACGGTGGTGTGTGCTATAATCCCAGATATCTGTGGGGCTGAGGTGGGAGAACTGCTTAAGCCCAGGAGTTTGAGGCTGCAGTGAGCTATGATTGCACCACTGCACTCCAGCCTGGGCGACAGCGAGAGCCTGTCTCAAACAAACAAACAAAAAATAAATAAATAAAAGAAGAAAGTAACCTTGCACGCCTTTCAAAACCACATGTAATACTTGAGGAAATGTTCAAAAATTAACTTTAAGTGAACTGTCTTCTAGATACCGGAGACTTAAATTGTACAAAGAAATAATGACATCAAAGATGCCCGATCAAAATAAAGCATGGAATTCCAAAAGGCGCTGTGTCATTGTGAAACCATTCCTATAGCTACGAAAACAAGGAAGGGAGGGAGGGAAGAAATTCATTTCTAATGAATGAATGTCCTTTCCAGAAAAGCAGGGCTCTCCCATACATTGATTCTCCTTTTTGAGCTCCATCAGACTCAAGCCTTAGGCCCCCAGGGCCAGGGAGAAAGACTTCTTTCTAAAACCCAATCACCCAAAGGTGAAAGAAGCTAGAAAAATATCCTACCCCTGGAAAAATAAACAAAGTGTCAATGTATGAAAGTTTCAGTACGGAATCTTTTTGTGATTGCCAGTAACACAGGTGATTCTGCGTAGGGAGAAGGAAATAGTAAGACTAGCTTCAGACCTTTTGGTTAGAGGTTCAAACACCCCACTGTCGCTGGCTAGCGAATAATCCGACAGACATGCGGAGATGCGGCGTGCCCTCCTCTCCAACCTCTTGGCACTGTCTTCTCGAAGAGTCACTGCTGTAAGTAAGGGACACACACAGGGTCAGGAAATAACAGCACCGGGGACCGGGGTCCTTGACGCTGGAGCACACACTTCGTCAATGAGTGTTCCAGAGACTCGCTGGGACACACACACACGGAGACATGCTGTGCTCTAGTTGTTTTTCATATGGGAAAATTGAAGAAATGAACTTCTGCTACCTCTTGGATTCATAAATCTATTTCCACCCCCTTAATGAACACACAGAACATAAGATGACGATGAGAAGCCCCTCAAATGGCACTTTCTGAAAGCCGCGCACACAAACGAGACAGGAAAGCAGCATTAGCCCGATGGGAACAGCAGCGGCGCTCGCCAAGAGGTCATGGTTTTCACTGCCTTCTTTATGCTGTCGGGTATTTCCCATGTTTTATACAACAAATACTGCTTTTATACTCAGGAAAAAAACATTTTAATTATCCAAATAAACCCTAGAAAAATTAGCAACCTTCAAAGCAGAGGACACAGTTGAACCCACACTCATTCTCTGAAAACACCACCTGGGAGGCCTGCGGCCCCGGGGGAGGAAGCTGGGGCTCAAGCGTGGCTGTCTCAGTGACCGCAGGCAGGAGCCTTCCAGCCGCCCTTCTGGGTTAGCACGCTGCTATTCCTGCTATGCTTATTTTTATCTTTCACATCTATTTTATTCAAGAGCCAAAAATAGCCATTGAAATGTTTCCTTTTAACATTTCATCAGCCGTTTCTACCCATTTCCTCATAGCAATAAGTTCCTTTTAACAAAACCAATACAAACATGTATATCATCTTCCCGCGCTAAATGCAACTGTGAGCCCAGGAGTCTGTTTTGTGGAGGGGCACACTCGGCTGGAACACGGAATCAAATTGGAAGCCCCAGCTGGGCACTCCACCGTCACTCAAAGCCAGCTCCCGCTTCCATCTCCGCACTTTTCTTTGGCTAAGTTCTAGAAACGGAAAGGGTTGACCTTTGTGCCTTCCTAAACTGAGTCCACTGGTGACCATCTCTCCTTTCAACCAAATTATCATCCACGCCAATGAAATACAAACATGTTCAACAGCACGCAGAACACATGGGGCTGTGGCCTTTGGTCTCACAAGGTTAAGTGGAGGCCGAGTGAATCTTCCAAAGGTCTGCCATACCACATCTGGAGAATTCGCTGCTTCTCCCCCATCAGCCAGGGCTGGAAGCTGGCCTCCATCCTACGGTGGCCGGAGGCACTGCCTCTCAGACAGATCATGACTCCAGATGCCAGCTCTCCTCTTTATCCCTGCCACATGGAAGGACCCAAACACCTGGCCCTCAACTGCAAATGGAAGCCCCCCCAACCACTGCATCAACCCCCAGCAAAGGAAACCACCACTACCATTTGCATTCCCAGCCTTGACACGCGTGGTCCCCAGACTCAGCTGTAGATGCCTGCAGGGAAACAGCACCAGGTAATGAGCCTAAGCACCTGCAACCAACCCAGCCCAAGGCGCAAGTCTGGCCACGTTTCTCTCTCATCATTGCCATAGAAGTCAATACAGAGAGGAAAGAAATGAAGGAGCTAATCCTCGAAGCCCAGGCTGAGTCACTGGACCCACAGGGTGGGTGGAAGTAGGAACTGCCAGGAGGAAGTCCTGTCGGCAACTGCCCCGGCTGAGAAAAAGCACAGACTCCACGCTCCACACCCCGGACACCTGCCCTGGGGCTTCAAGGCACAGAGGTGGACCCTCAGGAGCAGTGCCAGGGAGACAAGGGTCAAATCTTCCCCATGTTCATGTGAAAATCTCTTTACTCCCTTTTCATCATTCAAGACAGACAGACACTAAGAGCCAAGGATGTGAACAGTGCTTGGTAAAAAGGAAGAAAATACAGTCAAAACCACAGCATAGCAGAGCTGCCAGGTGGCATATGACAGCAACGAACGCCATTACATTCCAGAAACAAACACATACAGGGAATGAACAGTGAAAGCTTCTAGGAAAGTTCTTAAACAGCTTGAATATTAACAATGAGATAACAATAAGGCCAATTGCCAACTTGTGTTGAAGCACAGCTATAAGATAACCGTCGTTGGCCACACCCCAGCCATCCTGAACACATCCATCCACAGCACAAACGTATGCCTGGGGCCTGAGCAACAACGCTGAGCAAGGGGACTCCCAAGGCCACTTACAGTGAGCACTTCTGTCGAGCCGCATGAGGAGATAAAAAAAAAAAAAAGCACAAAGTGAAAACACTGCAGAATTTAAGCCAACAACATTAAACAGAATATCAATATCATAAAAACATCAATATGAGCAAAGTCAAGATTTTTACAGGTTTTGATTAGCAAATACTAATGGGTAGATGAAAATAGCTAAGTATTTCATAATCATAACACATTTGACTTTTAAAATCCAGGGAAGACAAAACTGTAACAAAAACGTAAATAGTATGAAAAATCACAGTGTATTGCCCCACTCCTCTGACCTGCCTTCTGTTTCCTCCGATTGATTGAAAACACAAGGAAAAAATCATTCAGAGGCTGGTTTGCAAGTTTGGACAACTTTGATTTTTATCTTACAAAAATTTTGTCTTACTAAGACTTGCTGGGGGCCAAACTTAGACTGCAGTGTTCCCAGCACAGCTGATACATGATGGGGCAGGGGAGGCGAGGAGCCCCCCCTGTGTCCATGCCTGAAGCTGGCTACCCAACCCGGCCCTCTGGGGACACCCAGCAGGGTCAACTATTTCAAGTTTCTAAGGATACAAATAAACGTGTCCTTAGAACAACATAATACATATGTGTCCTTGAAACAATGTAATATATGTAACATATAAAACCATCACCAGATGGCAGTATCATAAAAAGCTACCGCTAGGCGGCAGTGTCACGCAAGAATCCACCACCGATGTCATATAAGAATCTACCACCAGATGGCAGTGTCACTCAGGAATTTATTGGCGGTGTCATATAAGAATCCGCCACCAGATGGCAGTGCCATACAAGAATTCATCACCAATGTCATATACGAATCCGCCACAAGATGGCAGTGTAATACAAGAAATAATCACGAATGACATATGGCTCCACCACGAGATGGCAGTGTCTACACACGTAAGCAAATACTTCCCAGTCCAAGAAGTTTCAACCATTATAGCATCTGCCACGGAAAGCAAAGGAAAAAATAAAGAAACCAGGATGTGAAATTAAGTCAGCGCTTCTCCCTCCCACTCTGTCTCTCCTCTGACCCAAAGTGGCCCTTGGGCCTTGTGCAGATTTTATGCCTAACTAGACTGACATTCTGGAATCTCAATCCCTTAAGGAGAAGGTGGTGGGAGAGAGGAGGGAGACTAAGAAAGAAGTCCTAATTGGATATTTCTTTTCTGACTGAACGGAATAAACATGGAGCAATCAACCTGTGGTTATAAAGAGGAACAAAGCTAATGAAGGATACCTGCATATATGGACTTCAGAAACAATGTATCTGGGGATACCAAAGTGTGTTTGCAAACACAGGGGCAGACACCAAAATAGAGATGCCAAAAAGCCCTGGGGCAGTCTCAGAACATGATGGCCTCTGGTTACGCACGTAAGTGCCAACAGACTACTATTTTATAGAGTGATCAACCTATCTATTGATCTACCAATCCATCTATCTCTTGGGTAACAGAATGGTGGCAAATGGAAGGGGTCACAAAGATCACTGCATTCAAGGGTGGAAAAGGTGAGACTCAGTCCAGGTATGTGTTCAAGGTCACACAGCTAGAAGTGGACAGGGCAGGGAACAAAAGCCTGGTCTCCCAGCTGCTAGTTTGAAGCTGTTTCCACTACACCACACTGGTTCTGCTCTCTAGTTTTATTTCTACCCCTTGCCGCATAAATACTCCATAGTACGTGACTAGGGTTTCTCAGCCTCAGCCCTCTTGACATTTGGGGCTGGACCATTCTCGAGGGGGAGGGGGTGCTGCCCTGTGCATGCCAGGAGCATCTCCCATCCCCTAGTTGTGACAACCAAAAATGTTTCCAGACATTGCCAAGTGTTCCCCAGGGGCAGGACGCAAAAACACCCCTGGCTGAGATCCACTATGCTGCACAAATTATCTAGTGTTTGCCTAAATGGAACATTTAAAACATTTTTGCCGTGCAAATAAAAGTCAATTAAATGGGCTGAACTTCAGGAACGGGAGACCTTGTTCTTGATCCTCTTTAAAACCAAAGGAAGATAAAGTTGCCATGGGTGGCTGAGAAAAGCACATGGGGTCAATATTCCCTTCAATAGCAGTTTGGTCTTCCAAGCAGGCTACAAGCTGAAAGACCCCAGCTCCGAGGAGGAGCTGAACCAACACCAACTGAATGGATGAGGCTCCACGGAGCTCCGTGTTTTTCCATTTGAAGAATCACCAGAGAAACCAAATCAGTAGAAATGACCGATACTTACAGGCATGTCTTTTGAAATTACACAATTATTTTCACTTCCACATTTGATAGACCTATGTTCTTGGAAACTATGAAAACTATAAAAGATAAAGAGATGTCAAAGCAACAAAAGAAGTCAAGATTTCCACTAGCTACAACCAGACACCTGTTGGCATAATGGTCTCAGGCGGGCACACACTGACGGTTCCATCTCGGCACGCACGCTGCAAAGGTCATGAAGGCCCTAATCCATCTCCAGCAGCCTCTGAATGTGGAAGCCTGTGTAGTTCTTACCCTAGTTTTCAACAATTAAGTATTTTTTGAAAACAAGCCAAATACCTAGGAAAGACAACTTTGTCAATTTCAATGATCTTTCCCCAACACAGATCAGAAAGAGCAGGTGTGTGCTCTTCCCGATCACATCAATATTCCTAAACGTAAAGCTCACCATGGACCTGGAAAGCCAGCCATCCTCACTCTGGACCCCACAGTTTCCGCCCTGCAGGTAACCCTCGCCCCGCAGGAGGCCACATCCGCACTTACTTCCACCCACGGGAGCGCTGGCTGGTGGGGGTCCTCGCTCGTGCGGCCCTTCCCCATCCCCGGGGACCCCGTGTGGCTGAAGGGCCGCCATGCCTGGTAAGTCTTCGTCCCCCATAGCCGAGGCGTGTGCCCGCAGTCTGTCTAGGGCGCCCAGGCCTGGCCCCTCACAGCTGTCCGCCAGCTGCGCCAGCGGCGAGTCCCGTGAGGCAGGGAGGAAGGGCGTGTCCAGGGGCGAGCTTGGGGGCGACAGCGAGGACAGCGAGGAGCGGGAGGACAGCGATGCCAGGGACTGGGGCGTGTCCAGGGACCGCCTCTGCTTGTGGAAGCCCGAGGGGCCTGGGGGCTCTGAAAAGGGAGCATCTCGCCCCAGAGAGTCGAAGGGAATGAGGTCGAAGCGTAGAAGCTGGCTGCCCTCAGCGTCGGGCTTCTCGTACTGCGGGAGGCCGTAGATGTCCGTGAAGCTGACCGAGCTCAGGGAGCCCCGGCTGGAGGCCAGAGACCCACGGCTGGAGGCTAGGGACCCGCGGCTGCTCCCCGAGGACACCGTCAGGGTGCTGGCACACAGGCTGAAATGAGACAGCATGGCCATCTGAGATGGCAGGGCAGCCACCCCTGCTCACCCTGTGAGCACGGAAAGGGTGGCAGAGAGCAGTGGGCAACAGCAGAGACCCGTGCCCAAGTCCCAGTCCCAGTCCTGGCTGGAACACATACTAGCCAGGTACACTTGGTCAAGCCATTCACCCCCTCTGGGCTCCCACTGGGGCTGGGGTGAGAACAGTTCCCACCTGGGGCATTGTTAGGAGGAATATCTGAGAAAATGACACATCTGAGGCCCTTGACATTGGCCATTCTTGAGCAGCCAAATCTTACTAGCTTAAAAAGTTCGTATGCTTTTAAAAAAAACCCAAAACAAAAATGCGCACGTGTATAGATGTACACTTCTGAAACTGTTAATTAGGTTACAAAATCCTTGAATACATCTGACTTCAGGCCTCTTATTTACCCTGAAGCCAAATGTGGTTCTCTCCATATTCCTTGAGTCATACAGTAGTAGCATGTTAAAAATATAATGTATCCATTCTGTGTTAACAACATTTCAGGTCAAGCTACAAGAAACGAGTTCATGTACCAGTCATTGGAACATGATGAACAAGTACAGTTTTCTCTTTGAAAGTAACCTACCTTTTTAACTGGGACTGGAGGTAGGATGTTAAGCGGGTGGCTTCTTCCAGCTGCATAAGTAGACAATTCCTTTTTTCCTGAAGCAGAATCCTGTAGGTAAGAAGACAGTCGATTAGTACATTTCAAAGACAGGGAGAATATTTTCATAACAAGACAGTCCACTATCAATTCCCTCCAGCTGAATTAGGTTGCAATCACCACCCATTCTAAAAGCACCCAGGTCACAAGGGCCAAGATCACAGAGACTGCTTTTGTCCCGTTTGAAAAATACATCCCTGGCACCCTGAGCAGTGCCTGCTACTCTGTGGAAGCGCCAGGCACAGTGCACGGGGGAGGGGATGCGTGAGAAGAGGAGTGGGCACAGGGATGGGTCAATGTGTGGGTGGGTGGCTGGATGGGTGGGTGGCTGGATGGGTGGGTGGGTGGCTGGATGGGTGGCTGGGTGGCTGGGTGGGTGGCTGGATGGGTGGCTGGGTTGGTGGATGGCTGGCTGGGTAGGTGGCTGGATGGGTGGCTGGATGGGTGGCTGGGTGGGTGGCTGGGTGGGTGGCTAGATGGCTGGCTGGGTGGGTGGCTGGGGATGGCTGCTTGGATGGATGGGAGGAGTGGTAAGTGAGCAGAAGGACAGATAACTAGCAGATGAGCTCAAACGCAGAGCACGCAGTCATCTGTTGAAATTCCTTGGAACAAATCAGATTCCCTCATACTAGGCCACCTTCTAGAGAAGAACAAATATAATTCTAAGATCTATACAGTTAAAACATTAGAAGCAAATGAAACAAAACAGCAGCCGTTGCCATCTCCAGGCCATGGGGTTGGAGGTATTTTTGTTTTCCTTCCTTCTACTTTTTTCTACTTAGTAATTTTGTAGAATAAAATTTATTCCTACTGCAGTAGGCCCACCGCCTAGAATCGAGCCTATTGTGGATAGGCACTCAATACACAGTTGTTGGACAACTCCATGAATAAATATGTTTGCCTCTAGAAGGAAACACTCCTGGTTTACAAATGGAAATGACACTGTGACGTGTGGCCACAGTAGGCCCCTTTAATACCTTCCTCTTTCCACCAACAGGGAAGGGGACATGCCGAAGGGGTTTAAAGAGCTTGGCTAGGTGGGAGTGAGAGGAAACCAGACACAGTGTCTGACAGCAGCCTGGGATTCAGAGAATCCCACCTGGCCAGTCACTCACAAGCTGTGTGGCCTTAGGCAAATGTCTCACCCTCTCTGAGCCCTTAGTTTCATTACCTGTAAAAATGGAGTCCACAATCTCCAGCTCAGGGAACTGATGCTGCATAGATAAAATAATGTACGGCAGATGACACGTGATTGACAAAGAGCTGCTATCACCCATAAAGGAAACAGATGCGCCACCAACTTAGGATAAGGAAGACAAACCAGTCTGAGTTTGTTTACAAGTTTCAACCACATGCCATAAATTCTGATGAGCCTTTGTTTCTCTTGATGCAAACAAAATTCCAAATGGTGCCATGCAGAGGTCAGCTGGCAAGAGAGTAACAAGCATCGTCCTAAATGGAGCCACGACACAACCCACTTTCAAGTTCAATATCATATATTGAAACCAATGGTTTCCAAAGCATGATCCAAAGACCCCTGGCGGATCCCCAAAACTCCTTCAGGGGTCCTATGAGGTCCCCTCCTTCCCAATGGCATATCGGTAAGCAGCTAGATGGTCTTCACGTGTTCACTCAAAATGACCCTATCTCAACAGGCCGAATGCACCAATGGCCAAAGCAGCTGCCTTCTAGCAAGCCAGACGCTAAAGAGATGGATAGCAAGGGCAAATAATACCACTCTTCTCACTATAGTTTTTTGTTTCAAAAAAGTTATCAGTCATAAAAATGTTACTAATATTAACACATAATAGGGTTTGTATTGTCTTTTTTTATTTATTGAGATGGGGCCTTGCTCTGTTGTGCAGGCTGGAGTGCAGTGGTGCGATCAGAGCTCACTGCCACCTCCACCTCCCGGGCTCAAGCCATCCTCCCACCTCAGGCTCCCAAGTAGCTGGGACCACAGGCATGTGCCACCATACCCAGCTAACTTTTGTATTTTTTGTAAAGATGAGGTTTTGTCATGTTGCCTAGGCTGGTCTCTAACTCCTGAACTAAAGTAATCCTCCTGCCTTGGCCTCCCAAAGTGCTGGGATTACAGGCATGAGCCACTGTGCCCGGCCTATTGTTATCTTTAATAAATAAATATTTTAAAAATTTCCCAGCGCTAACTTCTAAATTAGCAAATACTGACAGATAAAAATCCACATAAACACTGATAGGTCCCTGGGTGGGGAAAAATGAAAAACAAAACAAAACAGTTAGAAAAAAGAACTTTAAAAAAACCAACACAAACAAAAGCTCTTTGGGATCCTCAGCATTTTAACATCGGAAGGAGGTTCTGAGACCAAAATGTTTGAGAACAGCTGTAATAAACTCTTGAGTAGAATGTTCTAAGATTCCACTTACCTATGATATTTTAATTTTTAAGGAAAATGTTTTGATAGCTTGTACAAATGAAAGTAACGTTTAAAAAGCAATTCTGGGGCCGGGCGCGGTGGCTCACGCCTGTAATCCCAGCACTTTGGGAGGCCGAGGCGGGCGGATCACGAGGTCAGGAGATCGAGACCATCCTGGTTAACACGGTGAAACCCCGTCTCTACTAAAAATACAAAAAATTAGCCGGGCGTGGTGGCGGGCACCTGTAGTCCCAGCTACTCGGGAGGCTGAGGCAGGAGAATGGCGTGAACCCGGGAGTCGGGAGTCGGAGCTTGCAGTGAGCCAAGATCGTGCCACTGCACTCCAGCCTGGGCGACAGAGCGAGACTCCATCTCAAAAAAAAAAAGTTCCACTGAGGGGCTTATAGAAAGGCACACTGCTTTCTATGCACTGCCTCATTCCTTACTGGTCTTTGGATTCTATTCCTGCTTTACAGATGAAGAAACTCATATAAAGTAGCTTGCGTCTGCTACGCAAGCTCAAAGTTCGGTCAGGCTGGATTGACCCTAAAGCCAAGGCACACTACCAACAAACAGGCATTTCCTTTACTACTGAAAAACATTTCCCCAATTTTCTGTGATACTCACATCCTATCTGACGCTTATCAAGGGCGATATCCTCAAAAACCCCATCTTTTTCAGAAGATGGAGAGCCGAGAGTTTTCAAAGGGAGTTTAAAAGTGAGTTCAAAATACATCCTTCATTGAGCTTTGGAGCTGTAACTTGGAACCCACTCTCACAAGCACCGGGACACTATTAAGTCACAGAGGACTCCAGGGGCAGAGACGACACCAGCAGAGCGTATCCAGTGGCAAACAGTGACCAGCTCCAAGAAGCCATTTGTTGTAGGGAATTTACCCAAGCCCGGTCCAAGGCTACTAACTTTTTTCTTAATGCTTTTCAGAAATTCTAACCCAACCTGAATTCTATTAGCTCAAATCCCAAATTAATAGAATCTAAATTGAGTTCCTACTGAAAACTGGCTCCACTCTTGAGTGACCAGGGTAGAATTTCCAACCCATCGCTAAATCCGTCAGCGCATTCCAGCTCTGTTTTCACACATATGACATATAGATACATTCATATGTACGGCTCGGTTTTAGACTGTCTTTAGTCATGACTTATTTTCAGATTGTTTTATCTGTAGTGAAAAAAGTTTTAGATCAAATTCCCCCCTTCTATCCAATACAACACATTTGTCATTATACAAACAGGTGCATTTCGGAGCGCACAAGAGACAGCGCATCTGGATACAAGATCACACACAAGTGCCCATGACTGCCCACATTTGCAGTCTAATTTTATGCTGGTTATTCTGAAAGTTGCAGATGACTAAAAATGTAACTTCCTTACCAAACAGGGGCCACGCTGGCAATAACTGAGACATCTAAAAAACTGGCTGGAACATAAACTGCTAAAATAAGAGTCTTAGACATTTGCCTGACTTCTGTACTTATTTTTTCAACAAAAAGAAAAGGGGATACAGTTTCCTGGCAGAAAACTGGCCAGGGCCCAACTCCTAAAGCACATAGCCTTGTGTCTCCAATTCAAATGAAACGAACTTCAAAGAATATTTACCACTGCTATGAAAAGGAGTAGAAAAGTAAGCTAACAGATTAAGAAAATATAAAGTCTAATTTACTGTCTTTATTTACTTTACATAAAGTACTTTATTGTAAAGATGTCATTAAATTATGACAAAGGAAAACATGACTTCAGGTTCAGCAGAACAAAATTTTTGCTTTTTGATAGATCTTTCATTTTATAATCACCCCTATAATAAAAGCAGTCATCCTTGGAAAGAGAATTTCTCAGGATGGCAGGCATCTTGTAATAGAGCCGTGGGGTTCTCTGTTGAACATCAGCATCTTGTATAAATGCCTGCCACACACTAACATGAGCAAGCTAAAATAGCAAAGGATGTTGCAAGCGTTGACACGAGCCATCCGAGAGATTATCTAGGGTATGTGTCCTTCACCTCAAGCCTGCTCCCTCAGCCCAGGAGACGTGCACCAGCTCCCTCCAGAGATGCTGGCTCTGAGCAGCTGGGAGGCCGCCGCACGTATCATCTGCCGGGGCGGGAGGCCTGAAGGAGGTGCGCATCTCTCTCTTTCTCCCCCGGATGACACCCCCAGCCCGGCAAACGCCTCCCATTTGCTGCTGATGACACTGCAGGTGAGACAGGCAGACTGGGCCCAGCTCTACAGCTGGCACGGCTCAGCCTTAAGGCACCAACCTCACTCTCTCTCTGCACCTGGCCCACGCCGGGTCTCCTAATGCTGCCAGCCTGTGCTGGGGGAAGCCTCCTACCATGTGGCCTCATACTTGCAAACTGCAAACACCCCTCCAATGAAGGGAGGTGGAGTGGAGAAATGGGCCCTGCGTGTACCGGCACAGAAAGCCCAGAGCTACAAGAGCCCCACCCCCATGCGATGTGCGTGCAAGTGCTTAGCACATGTGGATGTGCTTTTCCGGCCAAGGTCATTTAGCAGCAGATTCAGGAAACACGCTTGGGGCGATTAGGTCCTGGTCGAGGGCTCTGAGTCCCAGGACTCAGCACCTGGGCTGGTCTCACGAGAGACCCCCATGGGAGTCAAAGCTGGTCCGGCTTTGCTGTCCCCACCCTTGAACCCAGGCATCGGGGCTAACACTGGCTCCATGGAGGGCTGCAGACTTGTACTCAGGGGCCACAGCACTCGTGTGTGCTGGATTTCCACATGGTGACAGCAGCCACAGTCAAAGGAGCGTGGGTGTGGGGCCCTGAGATGCAGGCGACATTTGTGGGGCCAAGTCCTCCCCCCTTCACAGAGAAGCAACAGGAACTCCCAGGCCCTCCTACGCAGAACACACATACAAGAATACCAGGGGTGGAACAGAAGGAAATGTTTAGCTGAAAACAAACGCAGCCGTGCAAGAGCTCTTTCACATTCAGATTCTCCTCGCGGTTGATTCCGGGTGAGGTGACAGGGCATGCCACCATCTCAGGCAAAATGAAATTCACCTGCCTAGGACTCTGAGCTCAACTCTCCAAACACCACCGCTTCCCTGAGGCTGCCGTGAGCCCCTCGTGCCAAGCCACAGACTTGTCTCCTATGAAGATGACCCATGAACATCAAGCATAAAGGACGCCCAACAATACAACCATCGTGAAACAGTAGGAGTAAGAGCATCTGAACAGATCGAATCATCCAAGCATCTATTAGAGTCTCTGTAGAGCTGCTCATGTGAGCTCAAGGGGGCAAGACTTTAACACGTGGGGGAGGGGCTGCTCTCCAAAAGCCCAGCTGATAGCCACAGAGAAACTGCTGTTAAGTGTGGAAGGCAGGCCCAGCCTTTGACACAATCTGCAGTCTCACACAGCAAATGGAAACCAGGACACACGGCACACGAGGAAAGGCTGAACGACTCAGTGCCACCGAATACCAAAGCCACTATGCTGGCTTTGCATGTCCTGCGTGGTGAAGGAGCCTCAGGACAGACGCACGACAGGTGGCCAGCTTCCCAATGCCAGAGAAGAGCAGGCTCTCCTGGCTAGAAATCAAAGTTGGAGAGGAAAGCAGTAGGTGGATACCCACCATGCTCACCACGTCAGGAACAGGGAATTCTTCCCCCATGCAACAGAGCTGCCCGGGCCGGAGCGGGACCACAGCCTGCTCAGGGCACTGTCCCACAAAGGCAGGTGGAAGCACCAAGCACCAACTTCAGGAAGGGTGGGGCGTGGGCGGAGATGGAGGTCACCCATCTTCCCTCACTCCTTCCCCCTTGTCAATCACCTCCTGCTTCGGAGCAGAGGCTCCAGAGACCCAGGGAGCAGAAGGCAGTGCCCCCCACCGCATGCCCCTCCTAGGCCAGGGAACATCCAGGCAGGAGAGGCTCTGAGTGATCATCAGGAACACCCTCCAGCCACACACAAGCCACCCCGTGGAGTTTTTCCAGCAGGCTTTCCGCTGGAGGTCGTGTCCCCGCTGACCCACCTCTCCGTGGCGCCCTGTGCGGAGGTGGCCCGTGCACGCCGCAGCTCCTCCTCTAGGCGCTCCCGCTCCTCCTCCAGCCGGGCCACATCTCCCGCAGAGCGGCGCTGTGCAATGATGAGCTGAAGCTCCTGCAGCAGGGCCTCCTTCTCCTTGATGAGCTGCAGCCGGTCCCTGTCAGCCTCGGCCGTGCTTGGCCAGGACTCATTGTCAAGCCGGGCCAGCTGCTGCTGGATGTTGGCGACTCTGCAAGAGAGACGGGGAGGAAAAAAGGACATCGGCGGACTGAAAACGCCGTCTTCACACCTTCTCCACGTCTCACACTGATTCTATAAACTCCTTTTGCCAAATAAGTAGTGAAATGATTACACCAAGTGACCCTTACACTTAAAAGGATATGGAAACAATGTCCTAAAAAATGGTGCAGAAGTCTTTTCCTGAAGCTCCCTTAGCCTGAGATTCGAGATGAAAATAACCCCATCGTGCCTGTTCCGAAGAACTGACAAAAAGGCCAGCAGCCCTCAACATGCCCATACTCGGCGGCTCAGACTCCTGGTTTCCTACATGAAACTGTCCCAGAGCAGGAGGGAGTCTGCTTGTTTCTTCTGCCCACCCTCATCAGTAGCTAAACAGCATGCTGGACCCCCAGAAGTGCTGCCGGCCTCCCGCCTCCTCAGCTGTGTCTAACCACTGTCAGCCGCTTTAGCAAAATAACAAAGGAGAAATGCACTCATCATCTGGCGTCCTGAAGGAAAGACCTTCGAAGCCCCATGCTCCGCGTCTTCTGGTTCTGTGTGCTCCTTCCTGCACCAGAGCCCCTGGCCATACATGAATTCAAAACACCTTGCGGAGAGCAAGTGGGCACTCGACAAAAGCTGAGTGCATTGAACAGTGAACAAACACGCCTGCAAATATGTGAGAGGAAGAGAGGCAGCCCTGTGAGCATGGATGCTGGTGAGAGATGATCTGGGTGGATGCAAAGCGCAACAATCCTCAAGGTGGAAAAACAGAGGCTCCTATCAGTTTCCATGCCTCGAAATTTCCAAGTGCTTGCTTGGCAAACAGACTGCATTACTTTTTGTGTCATGAGGTGCTGTTGAATGCAGATTAAGTGAAACAGATGTGGCCTGTATTTTTAAAGCATCCTTTAAAAGTAAGAGTAGAATGTTTTAAGCCCTTTAAGTAGGGTTAAAGATCAGGGATATGTTTCTAGGGAGAAACTAGGAATGGCAAACTCAACCTGAACCCCATGCTGTGGAGGACATAGTTGGCATACTCGCCCAAAAACAAAATCCAGAGGCTTCTCTGAGATCACAAAGAGCTGTGAGAACAGGGAAGTGGCAGGCACACGTGGCCCTATATCCTCCGAGGGAGATGCAGGGCAGAGGTGCTCCTGAGACTGCCTCCTCCTGTGCCCGCGGTCCACGGCACTAACCAAGGCTGGCTTCCCACCTGCTGGGTCTAGACCTCAGAAGCCTTCTCTACACTATGAGCCATGTGGATATCCCCAATTGACTAGCATTGCCACACATGTTAAAACCTGCCACCCAGCCTTGTGCCAAGTCAGGCTCCACCTAAACTAGACACGAGCACATGGACTCATGAGGATCGGGCATGACTCCCTCTCTAGCCACCAAACGAATCTGAAAGCCCACAGTTAAGGAAAGAAACGGGTACACAAGTTACAGTTTAAATGTATGCATTTTACTCAAGTCCACTTCAACAAGGTAAAGACACTAGTTGAATGTCAGTAGCTTTATTAGACAAGTTATTTTCTAACTTAAAACTAATGTCTGGAAAACGTGTTGGAAGATGGTGCCAAACCATGTCACCAGAAAAACTAATGACAGAGGCAGCTGAACAGGGCTAGGACTCCAACTGGGCTTAAGCATCCACCTACGTCTAATTAGTGTAATTAAAATTTATGGCAGTCATATATCCAAAGCCCAAGGAAAATACACTCCAAGCAAACCCACAAATAAGTCAGTGCTAAATCAGACATTATACCCAATGACATTTCTGGAACATTCTACAGTAGACCAAGACAAGTTAAGAAATAAATATAAAAGATGAAGAACAATCAGCAAATCTGTGTCCTCATACTTTTTTTCATTTCCATTTATCTGATCCACAGGAAAGTCTGAGCCCAGCTAAATTTTGCCCGACCATTTTATACTCATACTAATTACCATACATATAATATAAACAGAAGTATTTTACAGAACACTCCTTTTGAGTTTTCTGAGCCTTAAATATGAAGAGATCAAGATTCCATTTGAGTCTGCCAGCTCTAGGTTAGCTGCTAGCCTACAAGGATTCAAGCTGTTGAAGGTGGCGGAAGATCCAATTCCAGATAATCACAACCTTTCCAGGAAAATCTCAAGTAATATGCACTGTCAGGAAAAAAAGAATGAGGAAAAAAATGAATTATAGGAGGGAGGAGAGGCAAAGGGTGAGTTTCAAAAGACCTGTCTGCTGCAGGCATAAAGAAACAGAACAGCAGCCCAAATTAAACCATGTCCTGTCACTTCCCACAGCTGGCAGGAAAAATATGCAAGGACAAACGGCAAGGGACGACCTCTCCAGCAGAAACAAAATCTGCAACCCATCTGGAAATGTTTGGGCTGTGCTGAATGCTAGGCAAACATTTCTGTGCCTTCCAATTGTGGGGTTTAATAATAAAATTTCAAAACAATGCAACAATGCAAACAATCTCATCTTCATTTCAGAGCTATATATGAATCTAGAAGAAACTGGAACATATTGAAAAGTTCAATTTCTTTCTTTGTCCCCATGTTCTAGGTGTGAACATTTGGGGCCTGCTTCAGCAAGGTCGAGAGAGGCACATCTGTCTGTCTGTCTGTACTGGAAGCCAAAAGCACTAGGATTCCTTCAACAATCGATTGTTCTTATGTCCCCATGAGACAGACAAGACGGCTTTGCCTTTAAAACCGTATGACTTGTCTACCTTGCCGTGGGCCGGAAACGAGCCATCTGCAGGGAGTATCTTTAGTACGTTAGGTTTACTTGAAGAAACAGACTTCCTGCCTAAGGCTAAACACAGATGTACTGAGTTTCAATGCACCTTCTTCTACATCCACGCCAAACAGCTGATCCACTGGTTGGAGCCTCGCTCCTGTGAGTGCTGTTGTTCCAATTTTGGGTATTAAAGGAAAAACAATTTCCAGAAAGGCTTTTCTTTGAAATATCATTTCAGTGAAATTAAATACATGGAAGTAAAGCAAGGTCATGGTTAAAGTTTGCAAAACAAAATAACTTTCCCGAGTTTTTTGTAAAGAGAACTAATAGCAGCTTAAAATTAGAGAGGATTTTTTTTTTTTTCTGTGAGCCAACTATATTCTTCAGTGATTTTTATTTTTGAGGGGTAATGCATTTTATGGCCTATATAAAATCTCTCCCAAATGCCTTTAAAAGCCTTAAAATATATGCCCCCGTGTCCTGATAGTGAAGAAAGCAAATGTTCAATCAAGCATGCAGGTTTCTTATTTATTATGTGTTTCCCAAATTCTATTCCCTGAGCAGGTCTAATGTAGACAGACATAAAATATGAATCATTTTTCCCTTATGATTTTTGCTCAAACACTTTTCTGTTACAACCCAGGCACCATTAAACCATGCATTTATGCCGCAGAAACTATTTAGACTCTCACAATTCACATGAAAATCTTAAATACGATTTGCATTTTTATAGGAAAACAATGCACTTTCAATAATAAAAAGTTCTGAGGCATATCAAGAATAATCCCTAATTATTTGAATTTATACCAAAAATCTGCAGTCTACAATATCATTTCTCATGGTCCTAAAATCCTGCTGCTTTCTGGAATAGCAAGCAGAACTCTGGACAGCCCACGGTCCTATCCCATGGTGATGAGTCGTGAGGGATCCCAATGGCACATTCCAGGACGCGGGGTCAGCTTAGAGCCTCATACCTTCAGATTGCAATTACGGCTACAGGTTCGATACTCCTTACATTTTCTCTTAGTTTTCTTGTTGTAAATACCCATTTAAATAAAAAGCAAAGGTTAAAGAAAACAGCTGAGATGTAAGTCAGATGGACAATGAAATCACTTCAGCTGATTGAACTAAACCAGCGTCCATTCTACTCAACTCTTTATGTCAGAAGTTTGAGAAGTCTGAATCTAGAATATGTGGGATAAGAAAGGTCTACTAATACACCAATATCTCACCCCGTCCTCAGCTTCCCAGCCCTGACATCTTCTCCCTTTGCAACAGACAGATCTTCAGAGAGCAACTTCATCAAATAAAAAGCAGTGAGTCTACAGGCTTCTCCGTGTTGACCAGAATAGGGAAGACAGAGCCACAGTGGCAAAGATGCTTTTCCTTATTTCTCACAACTGTGCCCCACCCCTAAAACCCAGATAGGAAGTCATTTGAGAAATGAAAAAATCCAAGTGATTGATCAAATTCAACTGGAATCATAACACTACACTGATCCTCGACAACTGATGAACAGCAGGACTGATCCTGGCAACAAAAACTAAGAGGCAGAGAAACTGGATGGACCGAATGTTTTGTTCCTATCTGGACTGAGAGTGTTTCTATGGTAACAGCTACAGTTTGTGCACAGTTCTGGAACAAGCGCCCTTAAGTTAAAAATAAGGAGCCATCTGCGTCATCGGGATTGCTTCAAGAAGACTTGCTCTTTCAACTTCACTTTTAAAATTTCTGAAATTTTAAAATCAATAGTGTGAATATTCCTATCATTAGGTCTGCCTTGGGAATCCGAAGAGGCGCTCCTGAGGCAAGGTGCAAGCAGTCCTTTTGGTACGCTTCACAGGACCCACAGTTAAAAACACAAAACTAGTCATCATGATAGTGGTCGTTTGGCCAGAGAATTCTCTAGAAATCACATCACCACTCAGAATTATGAGTTCCACTTCCACAAACTTCCTTTAAATCTGAATATATATGAAATCCAGCTGAGTGGGGTGGCTCACACCTGTAATCCCAGTACTTTGGAAGGCTGAGGTGGGTGGATCACTTGAGGTCAGGAGTTCGAGACCAGCCTTGGCCAACATGGTGAAACCCCGTCTCTACTAAAAATACAAAAATTAGCCAGGCATGGTGGCACGTGCCTGTAATCCCAGCTACTCAGGAGGCTGAGACACAAGAATCGCTTAAACCCAGGAGGCAGAGGTTGTAGTGAGTCAAGATCACGCCACTGTACTCCAGCACTCCAGCACTCCAGCACTCCAGCCTGGGTGACAGAGCGAGACCCTGTCTTCAAAAAAAAAAAAAAAAAAAGGAAAGAAAAAAAATCTGAATGTATATATATATATGAAATCCCTCATTGTCCAGAATTCGGCATTTTTGACAATTTCCCACATCTTAAAAATAATCTCAAATATATATGTGCAAGGAAAGACGTCCAAAATGCCTAAGGCATAAAATCCTCCACTGTTCAGAAGTGGCAAAGCACAGGAGGTTCTGCAGAGGATATACATGATGGTTTACTTTGTGTGTCAACTTGCCTGGGCTAAAGCTTGCCCAGATAGCTGGTACAAACATTATCTCTGAGTGTGTCTGGGAAGGAATTTCTGGAAGAGATAAGCATTTGAATCAGTGGACTGAGCAAAGAAGATCCACCCTCACCAATGTGGGTGGGCACCATCCAATTCATTGAGGGACTGAATAGAGCAAAAGGGTGGAGGAAGGGTGAATTCTGTCTGTCTTCTTGAGCTGGGACATCCACCTTCTGCCCTCAGACACCAAAGCTCCTGGTTCTCAGGCCTTCAGACTCTGGGACTTACACTATGACCACCCACCCACCCACCCCACTCCACACCCCACCCCACCCCCAGTTCTCAGGCCTTCAGACTTGGACTGAATGAGACCACTGGCTTTCCTGGGTCTCCGGCTTGCAGATGGTGGGACTTCCTGGCCTCCATAATTGCGTGAGCCAATTCCTATAATAAAATAATCTCTCTCCCTTCTCTTCCCTACCCCTACTCTTGTTGGTTCTGTTTCTCTGCAGAACCTAATACAGTAGGGAAGGTAAGCTTGCAGGGTGAAATGATTTCAGGAATGAGAGCTGGGAGATTAATGTCCAACGGCGAAGTAGCAGAACGAAAAGACGACACTGAATTGTGGCACTAATCTAATAGAAGTTCACCTGGGCAAGAGGAAAGGGCACATGATGTCCCTTAGGCTTGGAATGAGGGAGCAGGGAAGAACGCATTATTCTTTGCTAACACTGCCACTAAGAGCAACGTGTTCTTTTTCATGCTTTGGTGGGTTGATGGGGGTACATGATGCCTTCCTGCTCATGGCACACCACTTCTCCAGGGACGCTCACAGGGATATCAGAGACATTATCTCCCAGCCTGATCAAGGGGGCCGAGGAAGAGACCATGGACGGGACCTCAAAGCCACCATGCTTTGCCTGTGGTACTCAGCACCTGGCTCCTGGAATGTTAATGTTGAGTTCTTGCCAGAGAACCACTTGCCACTGCTCTCTCCCCAAGTCTGTATCGTTCTACTCTCGTGCCTCACTTAGAGGCAGTCCATCAGAACACTCGGAAAACACCATTGTAATGAAATCGCTCATCTGGTGCTGGGGAGACCTGATAACATCAACCCTTCCTAGCCTTCCATCTGTCTACAGGGATGGGGCAGAGGGGAGCCAAGACTATCCTGACAACGCTACAAGGTATGTAAAGTCTAGGGCCTTGCCCAGGCTGCTAAGGGTTATGTGACCTACAGCTGAGTAGTTCACATGGCAGGCATGCACTTACTGGTCAAGCCTTAGCTACAGTAACCAATGTGGAATGACTGGAGGCAGAAACAATCACACCAAGGGGACTGGAGACGTGCACCGCCGCATCTGGGAACCAGAGCCCGGAGGGAGCTGCAATCAATGACTCAGCGAACTGCAATCTCCACTGCGGACTCCACCGACAAGAACACTTCATGGATGTTTCTCAGCAGCTTCAAGTCCACTGAAAACACCAAACTCATGGTCAAAACCAAGATCTGCCTTTCAAATGACCCTCCACTTTACTGTGAGCCTCTGGAAACCCTGTTTAGGGTCATCCTTCTCCTTTAATTCCAGGGAGAGCACCATCTCAGTCACACTTCCCCCAGGCCAGTCCAATTTAAGAAAGGGGATGTGCTGATGGCAACAATTTAGGACTGCCAGCTTGTTATTTTGCCAAGTAAAGACTTTTGGAAAAAACCAATTCACATCAATGATCATCATTAGTTAATTAAGAGAAAGATGTTTTAACAGAAAAAAATATATATGAAAAAATGTATATTAAACACGTATTATAAATATAATATATAAAAATATACAATAAATATGTATTAAATATATATAAAACATATATTAATTATATATATTTATATGTATGTATGTACATATGTATGTATCTCTGAGAATGAGAGGCTTCTTTGACTGGAAAGCAGCGAGTTGGCTTTAGGAACACCTGCCGCTGGCCCTCCTTTTTCCCATGCACTGTGGACTAAGGACACCTCAGGCTGGGCTTGGGAAGCAGAGGCCTGCCTGTCGGCCAACGGTACCACCCCCTTTTCGTTCCTTCACAGCCACTGGGCCCGTGGACATAAGTGTCTTCTCAGGTGTACTTCCTCTTCTTGTTTCCTCCAGCCCCAGCCATCCCCTCTCGGACCTTTTACTACACCCCTCTGGCCAGTCTCGTCCTCGCCAGGCCTTTGATTGGACTTCCTCAGGCTCAGTCCTGGCATCTCCTCTTTTCTCCCTGTGTTCCATCTCCCAAGGTGAGCCCAGCTGCTCGGTGACTTCATCTCTATGCCATCTGGGTTCCTCAAATGGCCCTCCTCCACATACCACCATCTGAATGGCTCACACTTAATCTTTCCAACTCAAACGTCCCAGCATGCCCAGCAATTCTGACCCCTCTTCGGGGCATCGTGGCCCCCATGCCGTGGCCTGCCTCCCTGCTCATGCATCCTCCATTCCAGCCTGGCTGGCCTTTGCTCTGCAATTCCAGGCCAGTCCAGCTGCTGCAGAGTGACACCTTACCCCCACTCCTGACCCCCACTCTTACCTGAGAAAGCCCATCCCCAATGGACGGCGACTGGAATCCCAGCACTCCTTCAGGACCCAACTCCAATGCCATTTTCTCCAACCCCCAAGGAGAGGATTAATTATGGAGTTCAAAGGCTAGTAGCCCTTTTGAATGTCCATGAAGGCCCAGAACTGTTAGTCTAGCTCGGTGTGTTGACGTATCACACCTTGAACATAGTCCTTGAAAGGGAGAGACAGTTCCTTGCCTACCTCAGATCCCTAAAGGCACCCATGTCTTGAAGCCCTTTCCCTTCTCAAGTCAAGGCGAGAGACCCCAAGGCTCACACCTGGATGGAGGTTTGAGGAAGGGACCCAGGAGCAGAGCAGTTGGCCTGGAGCTGACCTGGCCCCGGGACTGCCCTGGCTTGCCCCGTCCCAGGGGCAAAGGCCAAATAGCAAATGCAACCACACGGGACCCTCATTTACTCATTCAATAAATATTCACCAAGTATGTAGCTGCTGGGCTTACAGCAATGACCTACAATCCCTGCACTCATGAGGGTTATTTACATTTTCACAGGGAGAGACAGGCAGTAAGAAAAGTAAACACTGGTTAGGTAATAACATTTGCTCAGCCAATCAGGGGGACCGGGGTGAGGACAGGGTGGTGAGGTTTTATTCAGGATGGTCAAGGAAACCTCTCTTAACAAGGTGATCAAAAGGAGAGGTCATGTGACAATTTGGAGAAAAGCCACCCCATTCCAGACAGAGAAGACAGAACAGGCCAAGGGCACTGTATGAGTTTGCTCTTTTCTGCCCCAAATTACCACAAGCTTAATGGCTTAAAGCAACACCTATTATTCCCTTACAGTTCTAGAGGGCAGAAGTCGAAAATGGGTCTACAGGGCTGCGTTCTTTCTGGAGGTTCCAGGGGAAAATCTGTTTCTTTGCACCTTCCAGCTTCTAGGGGCTGCCCGTGCTCCTTGGCTCCTGGCCCCACACTATTCTGATCTCTGATTCCAACCTCACATCTCCTTCTCTACTGCCGACCGTCCTGTCTCTCTCTTATGAGGACTCTTGTGATGACACTGAGCCCACCTGGATCATATAGGCTCATTTCCCCATCATCTCAGGATCCCTAATTTAATTACATCCACGAAGTCCCTTTTGCCATGGAAAGCCACATCTTCACAGGCTGTGGAGATCAGGATGCAGACACCTTGACGGACCATCATTCTGCCAGCTGCAGATGCTAGGTCAGGAGTTGGCTCGGTGGGACTGAGGCCCGGTGGGAGGCCCGAGGGGCTGCTCAGTGCAGGCGTGCTTGTACATCTGAGGAACATCGAGGGGCCGATTGGCTGGAGCAGGGTGAGTGGGGAGCAGGCTGATGCCTGTGAGTCAGCAGGCGACCTGCTCATGTAGGCCCCTTGTTGTCCATGCATCGTGAAGATTCAGGAGCAAGACAGGAAGAAGCCCCAGGGCGAGGTTTCTGGACCTTGGCACCGCGGCCATGCTGAGCCGGGTAAGTCTTTGCTGCGGGGGCCATCCTGTACACAACAGGATGTCAAGCAGCCTCCCTGGCCCCTGCCCTAGAGTTGGGACACCTAAACATGTCTGCAGACACTGCTGGAGGTCTCCTGGAGGGTGAAGGCCTTGCTCCCTGTGTGGAGCCCCACTATGCTAGTGGGAAAAGGACAGGCAGCACCTGTGCAGGCCCACCCAGGTGGAGTTTAAAAGAAATCTCTGATTTTTAAATGCTCCAACACAGCCCACAGAGGCACTTCTGACATGCCGCTACTGTCAGTGGAAGGTGGACCTTCCTCTGTAGCTGTGGTGCGTTTCCTAACAAGGTTCTGGCCATCTTGAAATAATATGGTATTTTATTCAAAAGAACTGATGAAGTACCATGCCTGCCCCTTGAACAATTTTCTTAAATACTCGACTTTTCACCCAAATGTATTATCCCAACATTTAGAAGGTTACTCACCATATACTGGCACCATCTCTAGAAAACAAAGAAATCACTTGCTATGTTTGGTAAATGTCACAACCAAACACGTAACAATCATGTTCCTAAGTGTAGCAAATTCCAGCACCCACACTCCGCAGTTTCACCAGAAACAGGCAAGAGCAGACGAATACTCAGAAGAGACAATCGCTCCTCACAAACTCTTGCAGGCTACAGAGAAGGAATATGCATGATAATGAAGAATCACCACACAGACAACTGGTATTGCCAAATGAACTTGGCACTGTTCTGTGGGGAAATTTAAAGCCCACCACGAGTCCATCCTAAAAAGCCAAGAGGCACTGGTTAGAAAACCTCCTAGAAAACAGAAGGCCCATGTCCGTTTAAGTTGGCCCTGGAGCACTGAATCATATGATGTGCTTTTGTTGCTATTTTTACATTTTTTAAAAAGCCAACAAAGTAGCTTTCCAGACGTCCATGAATGGTACAGTGTGCTGAGCAGGCCTAACTGTTTAGCTTCCAGAAAGAACTCCCTCACCCCACCCGACATTCTGCTATTCTGCTCTCCCCGCCCCCCATGACAATATTTCATTTGTGACTCAAGTAACTTTTTAAAAAAGATATGCTTGATACTCTTCTGAAGCACTTATTTGGAAATAATTTGGCTTTAAGACTCTTTCCAGAAGGCACAAACTAGAGAAAGTCCCTAAAAAGAGAATACAAAAGTCAGAGAGGAGAAGAATATTGAAAACGGGAGCCCTGCACAGCTGAGGAGACACGTGACGCCCTAAAATACTATGCCATGCGAGGGTTCGGAAGCCTCTCAGCTTTGTGCATGTCAGAGGATGAAGACTGGAAGGGAGGGAGGGAAGTGAGGAAAGAGAAACACAAGTGCACAAAGTGGGTCAAGCTGCAATTTGCAGGAGGCCAATGGTTTACGACACAGGACAACATAAATGGAATGAAATCAATTAGGTACTGCTCACCTGTTGACCTAATGCTTATTGAATGTCTTATAACCAAGATACATGGCTTTGCCCATTAGCTTATGGAGTTAGAAGCCACACATATAAAAGATCAAGTGGTTTCACTTATGACACCCTCTGGAACTGATGCTCGTCTATTGGAAGGAGGGAAGGGAAGGAGGGGTAGAGGTTCTGAACCACCGGGGATGACAAAGCCAAAAAAGTTTCTATTCTTATGGAATCACGTCTGTATAACTGTTTGTAATATTGCAAATTTCACATTTTAAATGCACTTGAAATGTTGTCATATGTATGTATTAAGCTACACGTAAATGAAGATCCTTGACTTGGTATTCTATCAAACGCTGTTCTCCGATGAGACGTGACCAATCACACACAGGAACTATGCCACGCTTCCTTCCACAGGAGAAAGTAAGTAAGTAAGCAGAAGGCGAGGTTGGAAAAAAGTGCTTCTTACCTCTTTCTGGCTTCTTCATATTGCCAATTAAGTCTGACTCGGTCTACAAGTCTTGTTTTATCATCAAAGACAAACTTTCCGGAACAGAAGAGAGAAAAAAAGAAAGGAAACGCATATTAAAAACATATTTCCAAAATAGCAACTTCACTTAAACTTTCGGCAGCAATGAGAAATATTCTTCATCTCTTTCACTTTCAATCTGTGCAAGGTCTGGAAGGAAACACTGAATAACCCTTTGCGGCCACCCCTGGCTGGGGAGGGGGGAGGGGGAAGGGAAGACTCTTGCTTGCCTAAACTGGTAGGGTTTTTTGTTTTTTTTTACAGCAGCAGCATATCTATCTATTCTGTAATTCCAAACAACAACCACAAATTAGGTTTTAAAAGAAGTAGGAAATTACTTAGTAAAAGTTGATACAAAGGCAAAAACCAGTCACCCGATTTTGTGCAGTACATTCTCTAATTCCTCAGTAAACGTAAAATAATGATGTTCTACTCAGAAGCTCCACGGTCTGAGGAAGCTGGACTAGCTGTGTGACGGATGGGCTGGTGGACGCCTTCTGATGCCACGAGGTGTGTTAAAGAACCAAGGGCAAGCCAGGCGCGGTGGCTCACGCCTGTAATCCCAGCACTTTGGGAGTCTGAGGCGGGCGGATTACGAGGTCAGGAGATCGAGACCATCCTGGCTAACACGGTGAAACCCCGCCTCTACTAAAAATACAAAAAATTAGTCGGGCGTAGTGGCAGGCGCCTGTAGTCGCAGCTACTCGGGAGGCTGAGGCAGGAGAATGGCATGAACCCAGGAGGCGGAGCTTGCAGTGAGCCGAGACTGAGCCACTGCACTTCAGCCTGGGCGACAGAGCAAGACTCCGTCTCAAAAAAAAAAAAAAAAAAAGAACCAAGGGCAAAAGGAAAGCAAGCAAGGTCTCAAAAAGCCAGAGCTCGGGGAGTACCAATATAGAGTTAGCCTAAATGCGGTGCTCTGTGACGAGTAGATATACTTAAATATTTTTGTACCAGTTACATTGATGACAATAAAATCCTACACAAAACAAAAAAAGACATGTACAGGAAGTAACTGTAGTACATTTTGGTTAATTCCTCATTCCTGCAAATATTCACACAACTCCAGTTTCAATAAATCAGCTCCATCTGTTGATCTGACCTTACTAGATCACATATTATGGCCACCAAGTCTTTACATTTTTGAAATAACTTCCCATCAACAAGTATCTGAAAATATTCAACTTGAATGATTAGCAGTGAATTTATCGACACGAGTTTTGATCTATGTTGATGAAAAATGTCTTCGCAAATTTATTGCCTTGAATGGCAAGATGAAAAAGTGCCTTACAAGGGACTGAGCATTCTCCAACCAGAATGACAATTGTTCATGGTTTCTTTTTTTGAGACAGGGTCTCGCACTATTGCTCAGACTAGAGTGCAGTGGCACAATCACAGCTCACTGCAGCCTCAACCCCTTGGGCTCAAGCGATCCTCCTGCCTCAGCCTCCCAAGTAGCTGGGACTACAGGCATGAGCCACCACGCCCAGGTGGTTGCCCAGCCATGTTGCCCAGACTGGTCTTCAACTCATGGGCTCAAGCAATCTGGCCACCTCTGGCCACCTCAGCCTCCCAAAGTGCTAGGATTACAAGCATGAGCCACTGTGCCTGGCCACAATTATACATGTTTAAACGGCCTCATCCAATGCTCCTCTCCAGCTTCCTCAGTATAAATATATTTAAGTGGCAGTGCCACAGCTCCAAAAGCTGTCCACAGTGGAGATGAGCTACTTGCCATTTCAGTCCCCTCTTTATTAGTGACCCTGCAATCAACTCATCAAGATCAGTAAACATCATCTCTCAAACCTCTTCTCAAAGCTGTATGCACCTCTCTCTAAGCTTTGTTTCTGTACTCTTCTTTGAGAATTAAATGGACATTTTAGTGAAAAGAAAAGACAGCCAAATGGATCCAAGAGACTCCTGCTTCAGAGTTCCTATGCAGCGCTACAGCGTGTGCAACCCTGTGGCTGCAAATCTCCAGTCTCAAAAAGCACATCTGACATACAGCAATATCCACCCCACAAAACAGACTCAACACAAGCACAAAGTGAGGTAGGCAGACTTCTAAGAAGGCCCCTAATGACCAACACCTCCTGGGATTCTCCCCGTGTGAAATTCCCTCCCCCTGAGAATAAACTGGGTCTATAACTTGACTCTAACCAATAGAACAGAACAAAGGTGATGGGAAGTCATTTCTGTGAATAGGTTACAAAAGACTGTGACTTCCATCTTGCTAGCAGACTCTCAGCTGGTACACTTTGACGAAGCAGGCTGCCGTGCTGGAGCAGCCCATGTGGCAAGGAACTGAAGCCCTCAGTCCAGCAACCTGTGAGGAACTGAATCCTGCCAACAATCACATGAGCTTAAGAGTGGCCCCTCCCCCAGGTGAGCTTTTGGATGAGACCACAGTCCTGGCTGACACCTTGATTGCAGGGAAGTTCCTGAGAGACCCTGGAGCAGAAGACCCAGCCCAGTCTCCTGGACCACATCAAGCATGAGATAATAAAGGAGTGTTGTTGTAAGAGGCTAGGTTTTGGGGAAATCTGTTATGCAGCAATGGTTAGCTAATACAGTCATAGCCTTTTGATCTATTTTTCTATAACATGATGTGGTTTCTTAGAAAGTACAGGGGTTTAGGGATGAGAAATGTTTCAAAACCAGACCTGCCTCTCCTCAGCTACAAGACCTTAGGTAACCTGGCATCTCGGTCTCCTGCACATCACACAGGATGGGAACAACTACTTAAACTGAGATAACAGCTATGAGATTGCTGACCTAGGGTCAGCCCCGGTAAACTTCAGGAGCTTATCAACAATGAGCAGTGACTGCTCAAGTAGCATAACCAGCCACCACTCCTCACCTGACATTTTTAGAAGGGTTGACCTAAATCACTGGAGAACCTTCTATCTTAACTGTTTCTCTCAAACTAAATTCTAATTCTAACCTTACAATAAGCAGCAATGAATTATTCACGAATTCAATGAGTCTTACACTTGTTTCCTTCTCTCGCTCCAAAATCTTTACGCAAAAATGCCAAACATTTTTGAATTACAGATTCTCCTCTGTGTGTTACAGATGGCGACCATATTCTTTCATCCAAAGAAGATGCCTAGTCAAAAACGGCCAAGTGTACGTTTGGAACAACGCAGGCAAATTTGAAAATAGGACTGTTCCAGGACACCCAAGACATAAAGGGCCGTGATTTCCTACATTATACTCCACTCGAAGAGGCACTAGTTGCTAAGATTTCAAAATATTAATTAGCTAATTATTTAAAACCCAGAGTTTTCCATCAATTGTTTTTTCCTCCTTTTGTTGCTTTCCTTTTATTTATTTAATTTCGGGGGAGGGGTGGCACTGTGCATTCCATTGATACCTCATCTTTACTTAATAATCCTTAAAAAAAAAAAAAGAAGCTCTTTAAACTGTTTTTCCATTTGGTAACAAATTAATGTCAAGCTTCACTCAATGATATTACAATACTAGCGTCTTTGAATATCCACCATCCTGCTTCAAATGGTGATTTTCCCAACTTTGTTTTTGTGGCTAACTCAAGGCTTCGCTAATTAACAAAGGAGGCATTATGACATTCTTCCAAGTCTCAAACAAAAATGACTTTTAGTTCAATTCAATTTCCTGACATTCTTTTAGAAGAGTAAGAAACAGCAATAAAGTAACACCCAAGGTGGCACAGCTATAAAGCCTTTGGAAATCAGTGGTCTAAGGCAGGAATCAGTAACTATGGCCCTGGGGCCAAATCCAGCCCACTGGCTGTTCCGTAAGTGAACGTTTGAGCAGCTCGAGGCCCCAGTCTTACATGCTTGCAAGGCATCTCTGTTATGGCTGCATGTACACTACAATGACAGGGTGGGGCAGTTCCAGCAGAACTACCTGCAAAGCCTAAAATAGTGACTATATTTACTATCTGGCCCTTCACAGAAAAAGCGTGGGGACTCATGCTCTAAAAAGTGATATGTCTGTCAAAAGAACAGTGAAACTCAACTCTCACAAGGAGTATGTCATTTATAAGAGTCCAAATCATAAGGGCAGCAGTAATAAGCAATTCAATTGTATCACACAGCTGGATGTGAGACACAACACTTTTTCTTCAAACTTAATGGCACAAAAGTGAAGGCATTTCTTAAGTGAACATGGAAAATTACACCAAACCAGTGATGGCAACACTGAAGCAGCCCTCCCCTCTCCCGGTGCATTTCTCCCCCTGGGCGCGCATATACCTCCCCGATGATATCAGTCTGGGAGCCGGCATCGCAGAACTGCTGGGGTACACCAGCATCGCCAGGCACGCCTACATGGTGAGGGAAGTCCACTAGAGAGTCGGTAACGGAGCAGCTGTTCTTGAAGCTATCGGTCAGCTTGGCCAGGCTCTGGAACACAATGAGACAAGCTCTTTGAACGGAGATGGTGATGTGTCTCTTCCCTCCAGAAGTGGTTCTCTCATTTGTTTTAGGTCTGCTGCATTATTTATTACTGAACAGTTGCCCCACCTCACCCCCATGCTCGTTAGATTTCACATAAATGCCCTTCATCACAGGCACCTCTAATAAAATTCTTAGTCATTTAAATCACATCGCAACTAAGTCCCCCTGGCAGCATGTGAATAAAATAGAGGACAATTATGGTACCATTTTTACTGGTTCTTAAACCTTCATGTTTCCTAAAGAAAAAAATAAGTATTTCTATCGAAAATGTAAATGAGCCTGACAGAGATGAATGCTGCCTTGAGATTGTTACAGAGGAAAAACAGGGAAGGGGAAAACAGCTCCCAGACAATGCTTACGTATTTCTTTTTCAGTTCTTTGAGTTGCTGTTTTAGCTTACGTATTTTTATAAACCTCATTTCTCAGTCATAATTCTACATGGTCAAAAGTAATCTCATATGTATGTTGGTTTGCCAAAAATTAGAGTTAGTATGCATTCTGGCACATGAAATCTCTCTGTGTGGCAGTTTTAAGCAGAAATCAGAATTCTGATTTTTTTTTTTTTTTTTTTTTTTTTTGAGAGAGGGTCTCACTCTATCACTCAGGCTGGAGTGCAGTGGCACAATCATAGCTCACCGTAGCCTCGACCTCCTTGGCTCAGGTGATCCTCCGACCTCAGCTTCCTGAGTACTTGGGACTACAGGTATGCCACCACACCCAGCTAAACTTTTGTTTGTTTGTTTGTTTTTGTAGAGACCAGGTCTCACTATGTTGCCTGGGCTTTTCTCAAAGTTCTGGGCTCAAGCTATCCTCCTGCCTCAGCCCCCCAAAGTGCTGAGATTATAAGCATGAGCCACTGCACCCAGCCAGAAATCAGATTTTTGACCATTTCTTTTAGACTTCTGAATATATTCACTTTCAGCAAATTTTACTACAGACACCAGAACCAAAAATGCCCAAGTGCAGTAGAACTCACAAAACTGGCTTGAGATTGAGATAAGGCCTTCTTGGGAGGGGCCAATATTGTTAAGTTCACATAAGAAAGGCAAAACAACTTATTTAACCTGGATAGAAGAGGACTCTGCCTGTGCCTCTTCCTGGAGCTTCTCAGAGTTTGAGAGGCTATGGAGACGTCAAAGAAGGTGCTCGAGCCTGAAGCTTCTTCCAGAAATTCTATCTGTTGCCTCCACGGTGGGAATTCAAGCAAGGCAAATGAGTGGCTGGCCCTGGTGCTGCACACGGTGGCCTCAGAGAGGCCGGGGCAGGCAGCCCTGCTTGGCCTCATGGCGTAAAGCCTCTGTGTCTCCACCATGGAACACCACATGGTTCAGCCTGCGGTATTGACGATGGGTAACAAACATGGGGCATCTTGTTTGATGTCAGCTGAGCAGAGACCTCAATAAATGGTAGCTGTTCTCAGTGCTACCTGTGTGCCAAAAAAAAAAAAAATCTAACAATTAACCATTTACTTATCACAACCTGGAGAGGTCATCTGAAAATAGATTCCTAGGCCCTACCTCCAGAGATTCTAATTCAGTGAGTCTAGGGTGGGGCCTGGTAATCTGCATCTTAACAAGCACCATGAGGACTCTCCGCAAGTCCCTCATGGCCTTGACCTTAGAAGGCACTACCCAGGCAGGGTAGTTTTTTTGTGCATCTGTCTCATTTTGCCTATGAGTTTGAGCTTTGCTTGTTCTGTCCTGTGGGTCTTATACTCTACAGAATCTAGACACATGCCAGCAGGCAGTAGGTGCTCACTTAGGGTAGCAGATGAAAAATAAAAGCTGTAACCAAAAGCACTGAATGCATTCCAGCACTTTACGTCATGAGGTCAAGCAGCGCTCCCCTGCCTTGGCCTCTCTGAGGCCACCATGTGCAGCACTAGGGCCAGCCACTCAGATGTCTTGCTTGAGTTTCCCACCATGGAGGCAGCTTTTTGCATTTGCAAAAGTTCAACTTTTTCTAAAAATAACAGAAACTACAAAAGCTCAAGGGGAAAAAAACATAAAGCAGTATAAAGCTACAATGATCCCAGCTATATATAATACAAATACACCCACATAGTAAAATACTATGCAACCATCTCAAGGAAAGAAGCAGCTCTTTGTGTACAGATATGGGGAAAGGTAGGGGATATTGCTGTTAAGTGAGGAAGCTAGTGCGGAACAGTATCACAGTCCTGGCTTTGCGTGAGGGCGGCTAAACATGTATTCTCTTTTTGTGTGCCCACATGAATGCTGGAAGGGTAGGCAAAAAGGTAATAAAGGCAGTCAGGGGCAGTAGGAGGATGGGGCGATAGCGAGACTTCTTATCATAGACCTTTGGAATTATCTTGATTATTGAACAATATAAATGTATCACCCATTGCTGTGGGTTGAATTATGTTCCCCCAGGAGATATGTTCAAGTCCTAACCCCAGGAACCTGTGAGTGTGACCTTATTTGGAAATAGTCTTTACAGATGTAATCTAGTTAAGATGAGGTCATACTGGATTAGGGTGGGTCGTTATCCAATGGCTGGTGTCCTTACAGGAACAGGAAATTCAGACAAAGAGACAGTCATGTGACCATGGAGGCAGCAATCAGAGTGGCTCATGCCTGTAATCCCAGCACTTTGGGAGGCCGAGACGGGAGGATCGCTCGAGGCCAGGAGTTTGAGACCAGCATGGCCAACACGGTGAGACCCTGTCTCTACTAAAAATATAAAAATTAGCCAGGCATGATGGTGCGCACCTGTGGTCCCAGCTACTCTAGAAGCTGAGGTGAGAGGATGGCTTGAGCCTGGGAGGTCAAGGCTACAGTGAGCCATTTTTGTGCTATTGTACTCAAGCCTAGGTGACAGAGATCCTGTCTCCAAAAAAAAAAAGAAAAGTATACAGGAGGACTGTGCAGGTTATATGCAAATACTACACCATTTTATATAAGGGACTTGACCATCCAATGATTTTGGTATCCTGAGGGATGGGGGTGTGTCTTGGAACCAATCCCCCAAGGATACAGAGGGATGACTATATACGTACTTAAATACAGTGGGGGGTGCGTATGTATGTATGCATGTGTGTGTGTGTGTGTATTATATACACATATATGTTATATATACAATAACTATATAACATGTAATACATAAGTATATTAAAAACATCTTAAAATAAAACACATGAGCAGGCAGGCAGCTTACATGCATCAGGTCCCGCCTCTCCTTCTCGCCTGTGCAAATGGCCTTCTTGATGGTCCGGAGCTCACTCATGATAGCCTGCGCCTCATCCAGTTTGTAGCTGGTGTGAGTACTTGACATCTTCCGATCAATCCTAGTTAAAACAGAAAAATCAATGTCATTTCACATGAGATCCTAGCATTCCATTAAACATACAACTACGAAAACCCAAAAGCTTCATAGAGAGGTGGAAACAGTTAAAGTAATGTTTTGGCTAAGAAAAAGAAAGACCCCACGGAAGCGTCCCTCCTTCTGGTCGATACAACACCCTTTGCTCAGGAGCACCCTGGGCAGGTGAAGACGTCCGAGACAGGATGCCCACGTCCTCCGCTAATGATTGCGCAACAAGATTGCTTGCTTGAGTAATTTCCCGAGACTGTAAATTCCTCTCTCTGAAAAGAGGACATGTTTTGTTTATCTCCAGGTTAGTGGTCAAAATCTTTGTTAAATAAACATATGAATGAGATCTGTGTACAGGGAGAATATATGGGACACAGCAAGAAGTAGTGAGCTTTCGATAATGGTGCTTTGTACAAAAGCTGGAAACCTTTTCTGTCTCCTATAACTCTGATTTCATTCTGGTTCTAATTTATTACTCACTCTTTCTCCTACCAAGTCCTCAATTCTTTCCTTCAATCCAAACACTCATCCAGGGAAAATGGCAATGTCCCTCCCTCCCTCCTTCCTCCCCTTCCTCCCACCTTTCCTCCAAGCTTCCATCCTCCCAGCCAGCTCCTGTACACACCAGGCCTGGGTCTGGGGCTGGACGCAGAGCACAGAACAAAACAAGACTTGGTTCTGCCTTCAAAGGGAGGTGGCCTCTGGAGCATGTCCTTTGTCACATCCCCTACACCTGAGGCTCCAGCATGGGAAGCCCTAAGGCTAAGGAACTTGAGAAATTTTGGTCCAGAGTGGAATGAATTCCTTCTCTGGAAAGCAACTGGCTTCTTTCAGGTTCCGAGTCTCCCAGTTCACAGGTTCTGGTTCTAACATTTCCCTCCATGTTATCCTGAAAACCTGGATCATTAACTGCCAGCCCCAACTCCCTTGCTTACCGCTCACAGGAACCTCTGGCATGCTGGTGGGTGCGAGTGGCACCCAGCTCTGCCACTCACTGGCTGTGGGACCTGGGTGAGTCACTTCCCCTCTTTCCACCTGCTTCTTCCTGTCTCAAATGGGGACACTAAAAATATTTCTCCCATGGGATGGGCATGAGATTTAATGAGAAAATGCAAGGTAAGAGCTTGCTTGGCAGGAGGCCTGGCATATGGTGTTTGCGGTGACTGTTATTATCAGGATAACACAGAATCTCCTTACTCATGGGAGAAAAAGTAAATAACTTGCCAACTCTGGTGTTTTATTATCATTAACAAATTCCTTGCCAAATATGTCACAACTCAAGCAAAACTCGGCACCAGAGTCAACCTGAGCTATCAGCATCCATGGCCTAGGAAGAGGGCAAACAACACAAGCAGGAAGCCATTGACTCCCTTTGAATAGGGCTCTGGGGCTCGGCAGCATTGCTGTGATTGCCATCAGCTACAAATAAAATATTTATAAACACTAGTCCTGAGTTCTGCCCCGAGGAGAGCAGATAGAGGCACACCGTGCATGGTGAATAATGACACTCCTAAATGCCAACGTGTCCTGACCCTGCAGGCACTTCCATAATGGCTGTTACAGACTTGTAGGTTTCTCAAATACACATTGCCTTGTCTGTTCCTACAAAGCAGAAGTCTTTATTTATACATCTTTATTAAAAGGTACACGTATCTTTAACTATAGAGTATTCCATGCCAAAAGTTAAAATAAGTGAGCATGAACTAAAGTTTGAGCTGTGGGCATATTTTTTCTTTTTATTCTGCTCTCATTAAATCCCTTCTTTCACAAAACAGTTCATCCAAATGATCAAGGTGGTAAACTTTAACAGTCTACATCACCTGAGGGTCCTCGGGAGATTTGGCAATAAAATAGAAAAAGTTCCCAGCACAGTACCAGCAGGCCAGTTGGTGGCTACTAAAACGTGGGAGCCAATAGCAAGAATGGTGACAGTAGGCATATAAACCCATTGTACATTTTCAAAACTCTTTTGTTTGTCCCTCAAAACCAGCCCCACTTCCATCAAAATGGCTGGCCTTCTCACTCACTGCTCGTAACTCACTGGGATATTCATGGAAGGGCTACCTTATACTTTCTTAGCTGTCATAGCTTCACAACACCTCCATTTTTTCAATTGTGATCCATTTTCATCCAACAAAAACTTCAAAGGACAGTAAATGTCTTCTTTTACTTCTGTAAAATTCATTTATTTGAGAGCACACTCTCTCTCTCTAAAACTTCCCTAAAAAACTTTGGTCCAATGTAGATGATGTGCTCAATGATTTGGTATTTTTTAAAAATATTGATGTATTCCAGTTCGTTTAAAAAATCATAAGATCTGTGACTGCCAAAGAACTGCCTTATTCTGGTCTTAATTTTAATTAAGAGTGCAAGACAGTGCCTTTACCATACATCACAAATAAAATGATAGAAAAGGTAACTGCTCAAGGAGACTAAACAAGGACATGAGTTATTATGCAGTATGAAATCAAAATTCAGTGCACAGACTCACAGTCTTTACTTTTGCACCCTCTACATTTTGCATTCAGCTTCAGGGACGTTAAGTGATTTGCTGAGGGTCACACAGCCAGTAACAGGCAAAGTGAAGTTCACAGCCAAGGCCCCCCACACCAGGACTTGTCTGCTCCATCACCAGGTTCGCAATATATTCAAAGTCAAGGCCTCTAAATGCCCATTGTGTCAAACCTGAAGGCCACCCATATAACCAGTCAAATGTCATCCCAAAGTAAACTGGTGCTCTTTATGGTGTGCTTTTGAAAGAAATGGGCTGGAGAGAAAAGAAGAAGATACAGCTTCAGATGAGGAACCTAGTACAATGGAAAAGGCATTTTAGAGATGTTTATTGTCAACCTCTACCTCCTGCCACCCTAAAATTTCCATATTGGTTGTTCAATTTAAGATGTCAAGAGAACTGCACTAGGAAAAATAAGAGTAAAACCACATAACTTCTTAACCCCACATCTTGAAGGAAAGAGCTGCCAGCCCTCTAAAGATATTCTGTGTTAATACCACAGATTACAACCCAGAAGAATGGAAAGGTTTGTTACAACTTCTACATTTTCTATCAGCAGCTCTGGCAGACGGCCTTGGGTGAACCTCAGAAAGCTTCCGGCGGCTTTCTATCAACAGCAAGACCTGTGTGGAACACCAGACCTGTCCCACAACCAGGAACAATCCTCTTTTTGTTTCCAGCCCATTTCTGTACGTTTCGCTGTTGTTATCTGAGCATTGCCGAGGTTTTCGCGTGGGCTGTTCCTTAGGTGCTACGCTAATGGGAGATTGTTACTTTAAGCCTGTTCTACTGAACAATCCCACTCTTTCTTGAAACTACTAAATCCCTTCAGACAGAAAATGCTAATTCTAATATGCAGTAATGCTTCATTCTGGTATTGCATGCTTAGAAGGATGTAGTGGCTCATATTTAAGGAGACAAATGGGTTTCACCCCATTTGGGAAGTTAATCAAGAAATCAAAAGTCTTGAAGCAGAGGCTCACCTAGTGGCTAAGAATGTACCTCATGGAAACTAGTTAGTGGAACATCTGGTGAGCATCCCTTTCTGTGATTTGAATAGCAGTGATAATAGGACTTCTTAAAACCCAGGCCAAAACAATATCACACAAAATGCAGAAGAGAATGCTGTGCTAGAGGACAGTTGGCAAGAAGGTGACTGGACAATGTCTAGAGGCCTCCCTGAGTTCCTCCAGCCCAGGGACAAAAGTTTTGGCCAAGGAAACATCTGCCCTCACTCAGAGTGTCCCAGTGTCCGAGAAAGAAGTGGACCCTGTGATGGCTACTAGCGGGCAGGAACAGCAACCTCAGCCACTCCCCCCAGCACCCGGGCAATCTGCATTCACTCCCAAGCCCCACCCTGTGCTGAGAACTGGCTGGGTCCTCAGGATGAAGCGGCGAACAAAGCCAAGTCCTTGTCTTCGTGCAGCACGATTCGAGCCAAGGAGACAGACAATGAAAAGTACATCCTTAGGTCAGGCAGTCACAAATGTTTTCAAAAAAAAATGAAGCAGTTTGGGGATAGAGTGTGACAGAGTACATTTTTAGATGGATGGTTAAGCCAGGATCTCTCGAGATGTCACTAAGCAAAGGCCCACGGAAGTGGGGGAGCAGGCATGTGAGAATCTGGGGGAAAGAGCATTCCAAGCAGAGGGAGCTCCAAGTACCCACGGTAAAGGCAGGACATCCCTTTCAAAGGTGAAACTAGAGGTAAATGAGGCAGGGCCGGGGGCCAGCCTATGTAGAGTCTGGCTTGTGTTGTAGGTGAGAGAGAGCCACAGAAGGACCACAAGGAGAGCACTAGCTGTGGAAGAACCCCATGGCTACTGTGTGAGGATGGAGACTCACATTAGTGCTTGGCCCAGAGCCGTGGTGGTGGAAGCTGTGAGAAGGATCAGAGGCCGGGTGTAGAAACAGCACACCATGGACAAGGTGGCCAGGCAGTGTTACCCAAAAGCATCTTCTGCCATCAAGCCAGTGCTCAGGGACATTATAGGTATCATGGCAGGAAAAGGCTCTAATAACACGAGCAGGAAACTCAGGGAAGGGCAATGTTAAATGAGCTTCCCAGCTGCAGGACCACTCAGAATCTAACATAAGGGGCCGGGTGCAGTGGCTCACGCCTGTAATCTCAGCACTGTGGGAGGCCGAGACGGGCAGATGGCTTGAGTCCAGAAGTTCGAGACCAGCCTGGGCAACATGGTGAAACCCCGTCTCTACTAAAAAAATATAAAAATTAGCTGGGCATGGTGGTGTGCACCTGTAGTCCTAGCTACTCAGGAGGCTGAGGCATGAGAATCGCTTGAACCCGGGAGGCAGAGGTTGCAGTGAGCCAAGATCGTGCCACTGCACTCCAGCCTGGGCCACAGAGTGAGACTCCATCTCAAAAAAAAAAAAAAAAAAAAAAAATCTAACACAAGGTACATTCTAGAGCTCCAGGCAGGAGCTGGAGAGGGGAATTTGCCCACATCTGTTGGTGCACTTGGTCCGTTCACGCACATCACCCAGTTGGGAAACATTGCACGTGTCCTGGTCCTGAGTCTTCCCTTTGCCTCTGGACACTAGTAGTAAGTTACAGTAAGGTAATTTTTCCAAAACGTTTCAGAAACTTTAGGGCAACAGAGTCCAGGGGACCTTTCACTGGAAAAGCTCAATTTTTCTCTAAACTTTAATTAGTCATTGTAAATGGTGCTCCTATTTTCTGAAGACTTTTATAAAAGGCCTCAAGAAAAATGCAAATTGAAACTACACTGAGATACTATCTCTCACCTATGAGACTGGCAAAAATGCAAATGCTTATCAACACATCCTGTTGGCAAAGTCACAGGAAACGAGAACACTCATATGTTAGTGGTAGGAAGGCAAAATGGTGCAACCCCTCAGCAAAGGAATTTGGCCATATCTAATACAAGCTGAGTATCCCTAATCTGAAAATCTGAAATCCAAAGTGCTTCAAAATCTGAAACTTTTTAAGCATTGACATGACACCCAAAGAAAATGACCAGTGAAGCATTTCAGGTTTCAGATTTTTGGATGAGGGATATTGAACCAGTAAGTATAATGCAAATATTCCAAACCAAAAAAAAAAAAAAAAAAAAAAAAAAAAAAAAAAAAACTGAAATTCAAAACACTTCTGGTCCTAAGCATTTCAGATAAGAAATACAACCTATAATACAACAAATACATTCACCCTTTAACCTACCAAGCCCGCTTTCAGGAACTTATCCTGGAAGATACACATCCATAACTTAGGTAAAAAGCTGACAAGAAATGTTATTAATATAAATCAAAGCATTGGGCTAACAAGGCCAGAACCTACTGATCATCTTCACACCGCAAAAAGAAACAAGCACAGAGTGGTGCCTCCTGATGGAAGTAACACCACCACCTAAAAACATTCTTACTAAAAAAAGAAAAGAAATCCAACTTGAATCAGATCAAGCCTCTCAAACTATTACGCCCATTTGCATAAATAACAAGAGACAGAGGAACACGTTCAATGACATCATGTGAATTTCAGCAGCAAAACCCAACATTAGGGAAATTCTATAGGACAACCAAATTACTTTCTCCAACAAATAAGCTGTCAGGGGAAAAAAAGGAGGGAGAGTAGAAAAGAAAAGACGTAAGAGACACATCAACCAAAGGCACTCTGTGGCCCAAACTGGACCCAAACACCTGAAGAAATGCAAGAGCTCACTGGACACAAGATGCCTAGTAAATGGGGTACAGGGATTAGAGTTATTTTCAAAAGGAGTCCATAACTTTAGGAGACATATTTATGGATTAAATGGGATTCTGGCATTTGCTTCAATAAGGCCGTGAGAGCTTAGCAGATGGGGTGGGGTCACCACCGAAACAAGATTGGCAATTGTGCAGGTTAAATGGGGTGAGGGGTACAGGAAGGTTTCAGTATACTATTCTCTCTGCTTTTGTGTTTGATATTTTCCATCATTAAAAGCTTACATGTGTACACTTCACATAGATACACATAAAACACACATCTGTGTACATATTCTATCATTAACCCAGCGAACATATCTGTGGCCAATTCCTCTCTACAACAATCAACAACATATATAGATTTAAAGTAAAATACAAAAGGTTCTTTTTTCCTTACTTGGACCCAAGTGTAATGATGAATTTCCTTGCTAGCCAGGAAATTCACCAAGATAAACAAGGCAAGCTTAAAATGTTATAAGCAGCCAAACTCCTAGTGAGGTGCTCTGGAAAAGAATACACTGGATATTCTGGGAAGCAAGAACAGCAGGAAATTTTCTGGAGGAAAATCTCAGGCCACTGCCTTAAGCAATGTTGGTGATAAAATCAGAGATGCTTCATGTTTAGGTATAACAGCTCACCTGCTATCTGTACGTATAGTCAGGATTTCCCAGTAGAGATGGGGTAATCACATTTTCAATGCTTGAAAAGGCCTTCTAAAATTTCTCAATTAAAAAAATATACATTTGCATGATTCAATCCAAACCTAAACACCCAATGTTCAATACCAGAAAAATAATGAGGCTGTTTTCATCTCATAAGCTGTGGAACTCAGAGAAAGGCTACCAGATTATCTTCCACTTACAAAAATATTTTAAGAGTGGCACGGGTGCCTGGGTTTTCTCTTCTTCCTGTGAGGCTGTGTCTGTCCCAGAATAAAGTAAACATGCACAGTAACAACGCAGCGTCAGACAGAGCCAAGGCAACGTGCCCATTAAACAACAGCTCTGGGCAGCTCCCTCCTGAAAGCTAACTTGCCCCTGGTCAGGCATGAGGTGGGGTGGGCCCCTCAGGACCAAGGCCAGGTCCAGAGCCTTCCCCAGGCCACTCCTTGGCCTCCAGGGGGAGGGCGGGTATTCTCATGAGCTCAGGCAGACAGGAGGAGCCTCCCCTTGGCAAGTGGCAAGTTTACAATTGCTGTTCCCAAGCGTGGGATCTTGATAATGAAAGCAGAAAGACAATCCAAACAGCACTGGCCCGCCTCTCTTCCAGGAGCACAACTTGCGCTCCGTTTTGGCCGCAGGTGTTAAGTTAAAATTCTCGTTATTCTGGCTCCTGCTTCTCTGTCTAATGCCCCTAGGGAAACAGAGGCTGCCTTTTCCTATTCTTGAAACCACTGCAACTACAAAAGATGAATTCACATCCTAGCCATGCTAAGGAGAAGGGGGTTTTCTCAGTCAGCAGTACGTTTCAGTTTCTAAATCAGTCCATCTACAGCTGACACTGCTATATGGCCTTTGTCTTCAAATAAGGAAATGGAGTTCACCAGAACGATGGAGCCAAGGCAAAGCAACGGGCGCTGAGCCCAGCAACCCACTACAGAAACCATGGCCATGAGGGAAGTGCCAGACGTGGCTCCCTGCTGATGCTCAGGGATCCTGAGCAAACTCAGACTCTTCCTGAACCCCAGTCACCTTCCTCAGAGCTGCAAATGAGAATGACATTAACTGCAACCTCCGGCACACACAATGACTAACATTAAAACCACCTACTGGGCCGGGCGTGGTGGCTCATGCCTGTAATCCCAGCACTTTGGGAGGCTGAGGCAGGCGGATCACCTGAGGTCAGGAGTTCGAGACCAGCCTGACCAACATGGTGAAACCCGGTCTCTACTAAAAATATAAAAATTAGCTGGGCATGGTGGCGTGTGCCTGTAATCCCAGCTACTTGGGAGGCTAAGACAGGAGAACTGCTTGAACCCAGGAAATGGAGGTTACAGCGAGCCAAGATTGCACCACTGCACTCCAGCCTGGGTGACAAAGACTCCCCATCTCAAAAAAAAACCAAAAAAAAACAAACAACTACATATTGTCCAGAGACACTGTATCACAATGAGAGACAGCTACAGTGTGGCCTAATGAAGGTAGAAAATTCACCTCAAATCCAACTAGGTAGTCCTAATAACTTTTGGTGACCTGTCACAAATCAAATGATTTGTTTCTGCTTATTCTTTATCCACCACCTTAGCCAAAGTGACACAGGATGACACTGCCACAGCACACACAGTCGCATCTGAGGAGGTGTTGGAGTATCTGGAGGCTGGCTGGAGTGGGGGGCTAAAAGGACAAAACACACGTCGGTGCATTTGGAAAGCACTCTGGCCTATGCACCGCATGAATGACAAAACCAGCAGCCGGTTAGTTGGAAAAGAAGCTTGATTTGCTTAAGACAAAACTAAAGAAGAGGCCGGGAACGGTGGCTCATGCCTGTAATCCCAGCACTCTGGGAGGCCGAGGCGGGCAGATCGCCTGAGGTCAGGAGTTGGAAACCAGCCTGGCAAATGTGGCAAAACCCCATCTCTACTAAAATACAAAAATTAGCCAGGCGTGGTGGCGGGCACCTGTAATCCCAGTTACTGGGGAGACTGAGGCACGAGAATCACTTGAACCTGGGAGGGGGAGGTTGCAGTGAGCCAAGATCACACCACTGCACTCCAGCCTGGGCGACGAGAGCAAGACTCTGTCTTAAAAAAAAAAAAAAAAAAAGCTAAAGAAGAAGCTGTGCTAATACTAACTAGGGTTAATAAAAGGAAGCTCTGACTGTAGATCCAAAATGCACACAAACACATAGCTGGGTAATGGTAGATAATTACATCTGTACCTCACATTCCTTTATTACCTCCCCATAAAGAGCAGTGCTGCAGTCACGTGTGTCACCTCATGCATCTGCATGCAGGATGAAAGACGGCAACATGGTGCCCACCTGCGTCAGTAACAGTAACCACACAGAGTTGGACTAATTGTTTCGGGCTGGGCATGTACCAGGTGCTGGTGCTGTCCTCAGTATAACTGAGCACAGTGATTGCTGTTATGGACTGTGTGTTTGTGTGTCCTCCAAATTCTTATGTTGCAGCCTTACCCTCTAATGTGATGGCATTTGAAGGTGGGGCCTTTGGGAGGTGATTAGGGTTAGATGAGGTCACAGGGTGGGACCCCATGATGGGATTAGGAAAAGGAAGAGAGAACAGAGTTTTTGCTCTCTTAGCCATGAGAGGAAACTGCGACAAGATGGTCATCTGCATATCAGGAATCGGGCCCTCACCAGGAACCAAATATTGGACCTCCAGCCTCCAGAACTGTGAGAAACAAATATCTGCTATTCAAGTCACCCAGTCTATGGTATTTGTCATAGCAGCCCGAGCTGCCTAAAACAATCACCATTTGCAGATGAGAAAAGTAGGTGCAGAAGGCGTGCGGCACATGCGCAAGTTCAGCAAGGAAAGCCAGTGAATGGAGAGAACGGCTCAGCAAACCTTCAGACCCACACCAGCACCATTTCTCAAACACCACCTTTAGTTCATGAAACCTGCAGACTCGATACAGCTCACTAATTGTAAACAATTCATCCCCAATCTCTTAGTAGGGATAACGTTCTTATTGTAAAAATGAGAACAGGAGGAAGACCTACAGACTGGAATGTCCAAAGGAGCTTTCCGTGATGATGGAAATCTGTCACCTATGGTGTTCAATACAGTAGCCACCAGCACGGTGGTTCTCCACTGGGAGCAAATGTGTACTTTAGGGGACACTTGGCAATGTCTAGAAACATTATTGGTTGTCACAATACAGGTGGAAGGTGCTACTGGCATCTAGCGGGTAAAGAGTAAAGACAACATTCTTTGTGTTTTTGTTTGTTTGTTTGTTTTTGAGAGACAGTCTCGCTCTGTCGCCCAAGCTGGAGTGCAATGGCGCAATCTCGGCTCACTGCAACTTCGGCCTCCCAGGTTCAAGCGATTCTCCCTGCCTCAGCCTCCCGAATAGCTGGGATGACAGGTGCCCGCCAAGCGATTCTTGTGCCTCAGCCTCCCGAGTAGCTGGGATTACAGGCATGCACCACCACGCCTGGCTAATGTTTGTCTTTTTAGTAGAGATGGGGTTTCACCATGTTGGCCAGGCTGGTCTTGAACTCCTGACCTCAGGTGATCTGCCCGCCTTGGCCTCCCAAAGTGTTGGGATTACAGGCGTGAGCCACCAGGCCTGGCCAAGACAAGACAATTCTACAGTGCATAGGATAGTCCCCCCAAGACAAGAATGATCCAGCCCCAAATCCCACTAGTGCTAAGTGGTGGAGAAAACCTGCACTAGCCACATGTCACTACTGAGTACTTCTGATGTGACTACTGAGACTGGGAAACTAAACTTTTAATTTTCTTTTACTTTAAATGTCAATTTTAGAACAAAAAATTTAAAAGACTAAAACTAAGAAAAAGTCAAATTTAAATGTAACTAGCCATGAGTGTCTTGCACAGCTATAGTAAACGTGCATAAACATAAAAATAAAGGTCTTGTTTCCCAAGTATTTCCATTTAAAGCAACGAAATATCTTCAAGGAAAAGAGAGATTCTGAAGTTAGCATTGGAAAATCATGAGCATAAATAAAGGCATGAAAGTGAAGGGCATGAAGCTTTGGGACAAGTGTCCAGGCAACTCACTCTTGCAGGGTCTCCACCCCCTTTTCTTTGTACTGCAGTTCCTGCTTCATCTGGGTCAGCTCTCGTTTTAATCTGGAAAGCTAAAGACAAATCACATTTTTTTTCCCAAAAACCAGCTGTGAAGAATGATTTCTACAGTTGTTATTAGCACTGTCATCTGAGTTTCTACTCAGCTTGCAGTTCATAAGATCATCTATTCTCACTACAAACTTCCATTCACATGCATAAGAAGCAGCCTTTCTAGAAGACCTGCTGTGCTTAGATACAAAAATCCCAGATTGTTGACAGACTCTTACGCAAGTGGGGAACCAGCAACTATTTGCATTTTCAAGGTTTCCACATTACAGCTGGCAACTTCTGTAACGCATTCTTCATCTTTCCTTCTACCCACTCCTCTCAGACCCCGCACATGAAACTTTGTGTCCAGAAGCGAGCTCTCTGACTACCTGAAACTCAATGGCTCCTGGAGTGCTTCTTTAAACAGATTCTGGGACCCGCTCCAGGCCCACGTCAAAACTCAGGGGCTAGGCCTGGAAGCTCGCACTTGGAACAAGCTCCCAGGTATTTTTCTTAGCTGTGCTAAAATTTGAGAACCACTGCACTAAAAGATACACCCTGATTCAGGGAATGACACACCAAGAGAGGAGCAGGCTTCATTGCCAAGATGTTTCTTGTGCTTTGTCCCAAATGCAACAAAAGTGTTTCCCTTCCCAGACAACCAAGACAAGGGTCTGAAGAGACGAAACATGGTAGCACATAGATAATTCAGGGGTCACCAGGGAAGAGCATCAGAACCCTCAGAACTCTTCCAGTCTAACACTGCTAGCGATCCCTCCAGGAGGAGTCAACCAGAGTAGAACACCAGCGGCCTAGGCTATAAGGCCCCAGGCTTCCGTCCACCTGGTTGTAAAAACAGCGGTTTTACTCACCCTATCCCGACGACTTGCTATTTCTGCTTTAATTTGGTGTGGGTCATACTTTGTATTTGTTGAATATCCAGAGAATGCTAAATAGAAAGAAAATATTTTATTTTATAATGGATCCTTCAAAATACATACACACAAGGAACTTCTGATTTACTGCATTAAAGGACTCTAAATCTCTGATTTACAAGTGGTCACTGGCTCCTAAAGAATTGACATTTAACATCCTCAAATCTTCCTGATGTTTGATATTTGCATCAGGACTTTCTATAGGATCCCATATAATAAAATACATGGCTGTAGGTCAATCAAAACTCTGTTTAGTTCTACTATAAAACTACTACAGTTAAACACCATATAGACACAGCGGGGGTACGGGGTGAGGGGGAAGAGGTGTGATTATGACATAGGAAACTGTACTTAATACGTGAATAGTACTTGCAGTATGAACCTACTTTTACTTTCTTTTAAAACACACACACACAGACGTCACTGGAAAGATAGAACCAAAAAGTTAACTGCAGTTATTCTCAATGGCTGCATTAAAAATGATTTTATTTTTATTTTCTTCACACTTATATTCTCCGGATGAACAATTTTTGACACAAGAAAGGAAAAAAACATTAGAAATTTGTAAAATAAAAAAGATTTCTAGTAATACGTCAGGATCTGGCAGGCTTGAGAAAAAAGATGGGCCCCCAAGTTGTTTGTCCCAGAAACTGAAGTGAGGCACTCGTGCTTTTACTCTAATAATTTGTTTTGATGAATGTTTAGCTAAAAGACATCACATACCTCAATGCTTTCCTAAACAGTGCAGTGTATATGATTTAAAGTCTTTTTACAGACATGGCATCATTATCGTGAGTAACCAATACCTAGGGATGAGTAAGAGCCACAGAGCTGTTTACACGCTAGGCACAGTCAGCAAATTTCTGTGCACACAGAGAGCTGCAAGCTTTTTCCAGTGTTACGGAAGCTGGAGCAGCGAGTGGCTATTCCTAATTTCTACCACCCCATCCACCGCTCTGCGGTGCTTTTTCTTGATGCTTCTGCCTCCTTTCTTTAGGTTTCTGAAGGCATGGGCTCTATACCACTGCTGCATGGCTTCCCTTCTTCTGCTTAGCTAGTGGAATGCTGGTCTGTCTTCATCTGTGAACCACCCCACTCTGGTGCCCTCTGCCTCCCAGCTATTGTCATTAACATCACCTGCTCAGAAGACACATCTGCAGGGACGGAGTCCTTTCTTTAACGCCTTTGATCTGAGAATCAAAGGCTGGCTGTCATTCAGATAACTCAGGTGCCAACAATGAGAAACCAATTCAAAATCATTTGTGGACTATGTACTGCAGAGGATGGCTCAACACCATTGAGTAGCTTCAACAGCACAATTACTTCAAACCTCAATTAGAACCACATCCAAAGTTCACTTGAGCAGTTGGATCTCCTATTTTAATAACAGTTCTATGGAAAATCTACTATTTAAGTCCCATTCAGTCAGAATTTCAAACAACAGAATCTACTGGAAATAAACAACTGGAAGAGCTAAATGTTTGCCAACTTTATCTCCAATTTTCTTATACTTAGACTCATGATCTCTCAAAGACATGGAGTAAAATATTTTACAAACAATTCTTTCTTAGACAAGACTGCCTATTTCCAAATCCTACATCTTCCATCTTGCCTGACTCTTTGGTTTCATTTAAAATCAGTAATGAAAGCAACATCTCCAACAATGTCCTTAAAAGGCAGAAATAACTTATAGAAAACATCTCCATATTAAACTCCTGGGACTTTAAGTTTCCCAGATCTGAGCTTAAAGGCCTTCTTTCACTTGGGATAGAGATAATATGCAAATGAGGCTATGAGGTTAGGGCTTGCTGAATCCTGGCTTACAACACTACAACACATGTGTCAACTTGTCAACTTGCAGTGGGAGGAACACAAGCCCAAGAGTTATCACCTGGGATCTTTCCCATTAAGGGTAGAAAGTAAGCCTACCACCAAAGTTCAACAAAGTTCACTGCAATGCTAAACATTAGTACCGGTCAGGCGCCGTGGCTCACGCCTCTAATTCCAGCACTTTGGGAGGCCGAGCCAGGCGGATTACGAGGTCAAGAGATCGAGACCATCCTGGCCAAAATGGTGAAACCCCATCTCTACTAAAATTACAAAAATTAGCTGGGTGTGGTGGCAGGTGCCTGTAATCCCAGCTACTCAAGGAGGCTGAGGCAGGAGGATTGCTTGAACCCAGGAGGCGGAGGTTGCAGTGAGCCGAGATCACGCCACTGCACTCCAGCCTGGCGACAGAGCAAGACTCTGTCTCAAAAAAAAAAAAAAAAAAATCTGTACCAATCTTCCTCTGTCTATGCAGTTTCATAAGGAAAATTAGCAAAGAGACTTGAAATACGCAGGGGAGGTGTCTTGGATACTGTTGGACATCTACACGGCAACCTTCCCCCATTTCTCCTTCCTAAGTACCAGAACCCCGGAAGTGTTGGGTAGCTACCTCTCCCCAAGAGACTCAGCATGTATCCACTCCTAGAGGGGGAAACTGACAAACCAATGACTCCACTGAGTCACTGAATCCACCTATGGGGAATCCCACCCCACCTCCAGAGGACTCCGCTATGTGACAATGAATTTTCTTATTGTCTAGGCCCATGAGAATTATTCTTCTCTGCTGCAGCTGAAACCATCATAAGTGACAGAATACCTTTTAATTATGTGGATCCCATTCATGTTACTTTTGCTATGGTCTCTATAAAATTATAAAATTCCAGGACTGGGATAAGGGAAAAGTCTACTCAAGTAACTAACACAGTGAATACATTTTATCTTCAAATACTAAGGATGGTTGTGAACACTGGCATAACTTTTAATAATGTAATTAAATTTATAAATAAAATTCTCAGTTCCTCAGATCTGCCAATAAGACTACTAGAACCATTTACAGAGTCCAAGAACAGATCAGGACTCCAGACCTCATAATAGCGTGTACTACACAACACTTCTTTTCTTTTGGAGACAGGGTCTCACTCTGTCACCCAAACCAGAGCACAGTGGTGTGATCTCAGCTCACTGCAAACTCCACCTCCTGGGTTCAAGCGATCCTCCTGCCTCAGCCTCCCAAGTAGCTGGGATTACAGGCGCCGCCACCACACCCGGCTAATTTTTTGTATTTTTAGTAGAGATGGGGTTTTGCCACGTTGGCCAGACTGGTCTGGAACTCCAGACCTCAAGTGATCCACCTGCCTCAGCCTCCCAAAGTGCTGGGATTACAGGAGTGAGCCACCGTGCCCGGCCTTCCACAACATTTATAAACGGAGTATCTTCCTCTATTAAGACATGTCTCCAATCTCGAGGTTTATGCTAAAGACCAGACTTTCACCTCTGAAGCTTTCTTCTCTCTTGAAGAGTTAAGTGGGCAGAGCTATTAAATAGCATATGGAGTCTGCTCAGGCATACAACATTGCCTCAGATAATATAATAACAAGGTTATAGCCTAGCTGGACCACAGCAATGTAAATTATTATACCTTGCTATTACAGGGTGCCTTTCACATTTATTTAATCTATTCTCATAAAATCTTTGTGAAGGTGAAATGATACTTATGTGTCCTTGCCCATTTTATAGATTAAAAGACTGAGTCTGTAGTGACTTGATCTATAATACATTATGCCATCATTCATAGAGGGCTTCATGTCTAGAATCTGGGCTCCGGTGGGTCAGCTGCCAAAGATCCTTTAATTGGGCTAGCTTTCCCAGAAGAAGAAACGGTCCTCCAGCTCCCCAGTGCCCACCACCCAACAGGTGAACTTGACCTGTGTATTTAGGACTCAAAATGCTGCAAACCCCAGTACTTAACTCTGGATTTCAGTTTGACAGATTACTGAAAGGGGAAATGTGTGTGTCCATGAGTCTGTTTGTCTTTGTCTCTCTTATGTACAGGCGTCTTCTGAGCTATGGGTACCTAAGGTCACCCCAGAGACAAGACATGCTTTAAAAGACCAGCAGTCCTTCTTCAAAGACATCCTCTGGAGCAGGTTGCTCCTTAGGACCAGGTGTAGGCCTCCAGGGATCAGCACTGTCAGGAGTTGCTCAAGGGAGCCAAGAATGACTCTGGGCAAAAGGCCGACAAGCCCTGACAGGTTCCAGGTTGACAGGTACTATCTACCAGAGAGGCACATGGAGAAATACGCAAGGCCAACAAAGCGGGCAGGATGGGTTTTTTTTAAGGCAATATAAGCAAAAGACCAAAAACAATCAAGTAAGGCCACCTGGGGGTGATCTACAGAAGTAACCCAAGAAGCCACCAAATCCTAACCAGGAATTCTCCCTCCAGGACAGACTAGGGGATTATTTCTCAGGAAACACATGTGCTTTGCTGCAACCTCCAAAATCTGGCTTGCTGACTAATACATGGGAAAAATGCTCCATGATCCTTTTTTCTCCTGCCTGCTCCAACATGCGTGTGTGAAGGAAAACAAAAGGTTGAATTGGAATGGATTGCCTGTAGCCCTGTTCCTAACCAAAGACAGCAAATGAGAAATCCTTCAACAGCGAGAGCCCCAATGAGGCCGGGTGCGGTGGCTCATATCTGTAATCCCAGCACTTTGGGAGGTAGAGGCGGGCAGATCTCTTGAGTCCAGGAGTCTGAGACCAGCCTGGGCAACATGGCAAAACCCCATCTCTACAAAAAGTACCAAAATTAGCTAGGTATGGTGGCGCACATCTGGAGTTTCAGCTACTCAAGAGGCTGAGGTAGGAGAATCGCCTGAGCCCGGGAGGTTGAGGCTGCAGTGAGCCAAGATCACACTACCACACTCCAGCCTGGGCAACAGAGCAAGATCCTGTCTCAACAACAACAACAACAAAAAAACAAAAAAACAAAAAAAAAAAAACAGAGCACCAATGGAAGAGTCATTGTGAGACAGGCTTGGAGCCTCAGAAGGAATGCTGGCAAGGCTGATGGCTGATAAGGTCAAGCTTCACCACCACCTAATCCAAGAACTCAGGGTGGATCAGCACTTTCTCACCAGAGATAACGCTGCCTCTTTCCTAGCCACCCAGAAAGACTTTCAATGTAGACTTTGAGTAACTCCTAGGAACTAGGATAATAAACAAAGTCATATTCCTGCTGCTACAAGGGCCATTCACACTCTGTCTAGCCCAGTGGATTTCAACCCTGGGGATCACCTGGGAAGCTTAAAAAAAAAAGCCTGGTCCCACCCAAGGCCAGTTCTATCAAAATCTCTTGGGGTGAGGTCCAAGCAGCAAGTTTTTAAAGATTCTAGCTTGCAGCCAGGTCTGAGAACTATGGGTATAGACCAGGAATTAGCAAACTTTTTCTCTAATGGGCCAGACCCTAAATATTTTTGACTTTGTGGGCCATACAATCTGTCTCAAATACTCAATTCTGCCACTGTAGCTGCTACAGACAATAGGTTACTAAATGGACATGGCTGTGTTCCAATAAAACTTTATTTACAAACACCCACAGTGGATAGGATCCAGCCCACAGGCTTGACATAGTTTGCAGACCTGAGGTTTAGACTATTATCCTACCCCATGCAAGAATTTCTTCCAAAAGATCCTGCAAATGGTCATATATAGTTCATCTGAATGTGCCTGGGGCTAGAGTTTCTCAGGAAGAATAAAGGAATAACTCCAGGAAAAAATGTGTCTGAGATAATGAACGTATTCAGTGTTAAAAGGCAGGCAAATAGAAGAACATGTTGCAATAAAGAAAGTAGAAGAAAACTCTACAAAATGGAGCTGTAGAAAAAGTAGCAGGTGTGTCTCAGAGAGAATGAGTCCATTGTTGAGCAGTTTCACCCCAGTGTTCTACGAAGCATAAATGAGGCCTGGGCATCACCAGGCAGCTAGCACAGAAGCTCATTGAAATCAAGCAGGGTTGGGTTCCTACTCTCATGCAGACAAGTGTGCAAAGCATCCAGCCAAATATCTGAATTTGCTTTCAGGTCAAGGCACGGATGTTCTTAGATACCAGATGGCCCAATACTGACACAAAATCTTTCCTCTCCAATGCATGAAGTTTTCTTCTGGTGATTTCCATAGCTCGAGGGAAATGTGTGAGGGGTATAGGTGAGATGCACTTCTCCTCCCTACCTTCTGCTCCCACATTAGAAATGGCTGTTCCAGTTAATTCCTCTGTTCACACATTATTGCCTCATCTTTCCCAACAAGCAACCATTAGGAATAAAACGTGTTCCCGGCTGGGCGCAGTGGCTCACGCCTGTAATCCCAGCACTTTGGGAGGCTGAGGCAGGCAGATCACGAGGTCAAGAGATAGGGACCATCCTGGCCAACATGGTGAAACCCTGTTACTAAAAATACAAAAATTAGCTGGGCATGGTGGCATGCGCCAGTAGTCCCAGCTGCTCAGGAGGCTGAGGCAGGAGAATTGCTTTAACCCGGGACACAGAGGCTGCAGTGAGCCAAGATCGCGCCACTGCACTCCAGCTTGGGGACAGAGCGAGACTCCGTCTCGAAAAACAAAACAAAACAAAACAAACAAACAACAAAAAAAACATGTTCCCGCCATTTAGTATATATCAACAGCAGGTGCTAACTGTCGAAAAATAAATGAACAGTTTAGTGATCTTACATGGGCCATGGAAAAGTCAAGATCTAGAAAGTGCTCTGCCTTCCACTTGCCCCCTTTATTGCTGCAAAATTTCCCGACAACTTGTCAATTTATAACTAGTCTTTATTTTCAGATAACCTGAAAGTTGGATGGGGGAGGGGTTCCACAAACACCATCAGCTGTTCTGAGTGGCCTCTTCCATGTCTAGGAAACCGTACAGAGCACTGAAGGCCACCAACACAAACAGATCTGGGCTTAAATCCAACTTCTACCATCTGCTGGGTATGTAATCCTGAAGAAATAATTTAGCCTCCCTGATATTCAGTTTCTCATGTGAACAATAAAGAAAACAGCACGTGCTTGACAACACTGTGATCACAACAATGCACAGAAAACACCAGCTCATTGGATATCGGTTCCTTTCACTTCAAGTCATTACCCATGAAGAAAGAAGTGGGAATTAAGTCCAGATGTTATTCTGTTCACAGTATCAGAAAAAGGAGACGCCTCCTGCTTTAGATGACTGGCACTGAGGGAGATCTGGGCAGTGAGACCCGTGTGGCTACACAGCCAACGTGTGCTATGGAAACTGCCACCAGCAGCTCCCAACATGGGCCCAGGCCCTCTGGCATGGCTGTAGAAGCCATCTGTTAGATCATGGTCAAGCCAACAAAATCACTGCATTGGACTTTATCCTGTGGCCAGAAAGAATTCATCTGAGTCCACTCTAGCAGGGTTTTCCTTGTTGTACCTGGTAGTTCGGGTTAAATGGCAGATTGAGAGAGCTTGGTGGGAGCCCTAGGGACAGCAGCAAGTTGATAAAACACTTGGATCAACTCCTAGATTCCGTTCAGAGTTGGCTTTTTCCCTGATGAGCTGACAGGCCCCAGGAAGACCCACTGGCATCTCCAGCCCTTTCACGAAAACAGGCAGGCCCACTTTTGGCCTCGAAGGCAACCTACACAAGTGGAGGGAGAGATCGTATCCACACAGAGACATCCAGCAGGTCAGGAAATGGAATCTGGTGAGCACCTTAGAACCTCAAGTCAACAACAGAGTCATCAGCTTCCTCTACTGAAGGAACAGATACCACTTCAAAAAGAGCCTCTTGAGTGTATCTTTTTAAACGAGCATTAATAAAATCCCATAGGGCACAAAAAGAAATGTAATTGAGTAGAATTCCCTATTTGCCCAAACATCAAAGAAGTGAAAAGCCCATGGAAATACAAAACCTGATCCTGCAGGATCCTTAGCAACTCAGGATGCTGAAGTACTGAATACTCTTAACCTACAGCTTGGCACTGCATTGGGGTTCCCCGTTCACTGCCCCTCAGAGTGGGTGTGGAATCAGACAGGATGTTCTAATGTCTGCATCATTGAGGGCATCCAGTCCAGGGTCCCCACAGTCACTGCAGCTGACATCCTGGCTGCACTGGTGGTAGCCAGTACATAATACACACTTTCTCTAGACTCAGTTTTTCTTTCTTTCTTTTTTAATAGAGACAGGGTCCTGCTAGGTTGCCCAGGCTGGTTTTGAATTCCCGGTCTCAAGTGATCCTCCTGCCTCGGCCTCCCAAAGTGTTGGGATTACAGGTGTAAGCCACTGTACCTGGTCTCAATTTTTCTTTTCAATCACTGGCAAGAAACATCCTGCCAAGTTTTTCTGATATGTATTTCTTCCATTTCATTCTTTGAAAGACTGATTTGAGAGCCTCTTTGGAGACCTAACCAAACGCAAGCATGTAAAAGATAAGGTACCCAAAGACTGCTGGAAAGAAACACACTATTAGGTTGGATTATAAGAATAGCCAATATTCAGCCCTTTTCTAGATACAAAAACAGCAATTTTATACCATTCAACCCAACTTCTACCAAGCAGCTTTCTGAAATGTTTAGAATTGCTAACTATATAATCTCAGAACAGGTTATAGGCCAATGCTTCAGCTAGGGAGACATCAAGGCACCAAGCCCATGGGCTTCTGGTCATCAAAAAGACTGGCCAGGCACGGTGGCTCACACCTATAATCCCAGCACTTTGGGAGGCCGAGGCAGGTGGATCACCTGAGGTCAGGAGTTCCACACCAGCCTGGCCAACATGGCAAAATCCCGTGTCTACTAAAAATACAAAAATTATCTGGGCATGGTGGCGGACACCTGTAGTCCCAGCTCCTCAGGAGGCTTAGGCAGGAGAATCGCTTGAACCCGGGAGGTGGAGGTTGCAGTGAGCCAGTGAGCCAAGATCGTGCCACTGCACTCCAGCCTGGGCGACAGAGCAAGACTCCATCTCAAAAAAAAAAAAAACCAGTATTCTAGGCCATAAAAGTAATCTCAATAGATTTCAAAAGACTGAAATGTTACATAGTCTCTGACCACAATGGAACTAAGTTAGAAATCAACAACAACATGACATCTTTAAAAAGTCCTGCTGACTTACTTCTAAACAACCCATGGGTCAAAAACCACCAAAAAAAAAGGAGAAATTATTTTGAACTGAAAGAAAATACAGCATATCAAAATTTATGAGATGCAGTTAAAGTAGTACTTAGAGGAGAATCCTTATCTTTAATGGCTATATGAGGAAGTAAGAAAGATCTAAAACCAGTGATCTAAATTTCCACTTTAGGAAGCTAGAAAAGGAAGAACAAATTAAAGCCAAACTAAGTAGAAGGAAAGAAATAATAAAGAAGAAAAACCAGTAAGATAGAAACAGACAAGAAATGGGAGAACAGGGCAAAAGCCAGTGTATTGTAAAGATAGATAAAAATCAATAAAAGTTTAGCTATACTGATTAAGAAGACACAAATTATTAATATCAGCAATTAAAGAGAGGACATCACTTCAAAGCCTACAGACATTAAAAGGCTAATAAGGGAATTCTACAAACAACTTCATAGACTTGACAGCTTAGATCACTGGGCAGCAAACTCCCTGTGGGCCAAATCTAGGTTGCTACCTGTTTTGATACTTCTACTGGAACATAGCTAGGCACATCTGTCTACATGTTGTTTCTGGATGCTTTTGCAATATAACTACAGGGTAGAATCGTTGGCACTGAGATCATATGGTCGACAAAGTCTAAAATGTTTACTATCTGACTCTTCATAGAAAAGTTTGCCGACTTTTAGATTAGATGAAATAAGACAATTCTCTGAAACACACAAATGCCAAAACTGATTCAAGAAGAAACAAAAAATCTGGATACCTCTCTATTAAAAGTATTGGATTTGTAGTTAAAAACATTCCACAAAGAACTCCAGGTCCAGGTGGCTCTTTTGGTGAATTCTATGAAATAGTTAAGAAAGCACTAATACCAATCCTACACAAACTCTTTGAGAAAACAGAAGAGGAAGGAACATTTCCCAATTCATTCTATGAGGCCAGTATATTACCCTCATACCAAAATCAGAGAAAGATATTCCAAGAAAAGATGACTGTGAAGATAAGAAACCAGCCTCTAAAACTCCACACATAGCTGACCTATCACAATCTGATGGGAAGTTAAAAACAAAACAAAGCCCTCAAAAAAACCAACCAGGTATGTGCCACTATCTGCAGAGATGGAGATAAGATGGCTTGGAAGCAACACATCAGTAAAACTGAGTTCCCTGTTTCCCTCAAGACACACGGAAATAGAAATATCTTCAATTCCTATTGCAGAGGGAATACCCCACTCCTGGCCATAGCTTCTAAGGCTTCTGCCCCGTCAACAGTTGCCGCAATAAAACAGAGCACAAAACGTGTGGCCCCTTAGCCTTACCTCCATTCTGACTTGCAACACAGAATAAAGCTATAGCTGTGTGTTTAATATCTGCCATGGCAACATGGCACTAATATCACAGGAAAGGCCCCAAGTCTCAAACAGACAGGTTTTTATAAAATTCAACCCAGTGGTACCAACTTTCATCCATTCTTTCCAAGCTCACGAGTGCCCAGGCCAGTCACAGTCATGCACATCTGTTGGGGTCTGTTGAGGGTGAAAGTCTGCTGGGAAGGAACTGGCTCATGTGGTGACTGACCGTGTCCACAGCAAAATGCTTTGGGTTCTGAGAGTGGACCTGGTTTCTTCAACACCAAGCACTTGCTGAGTACTAATGAAATGAAGCCCCCCACTCTGGCAGCCTCCAAAACTAGAGAGAGGTCCCTTTAGAGAACAGCAAGCTGTACATGGTCATCTCACCTGAGGGGCAGAAGGAGAGTCCTCCGATTCTCTGGGTTCTATGGTGTTCCTCCTCCTTCCCTGTACTGCGTACTAAAGCCTACAGCCCAAGAGGAGAACTCTACAAAGAGACAGGGGGCTTGACATGGCTGAGGTCTCCTGAGTCTTCCCACTCAGAATGAATGAAGCCACTGTGTGGATTTCCCAAGAGATCATCCCAGACAAGCAGTGTTAACTGCAGAGATTTCTGAGGGAAGCCCTCTTCAAAACTGACATGCATGAGACAGGCAGCTGGTACACATCCCTACCTGAAATTTTGTTTTCTTGTTTATTTTTTACCTTCCCCACCTGAATGTGAGCTCAAGGGCAGAGACCTTTCCTTTCTTAGTCACCACCAACCATAACCCAGTGTCTGGGCACAAAGTAAGCATTTGATAAATCCTTGCTACAGGAGTGGCTGCCAGGTGCCCACCTGATTTCAGTGCCAAATACTGATGACCTAACAGTATGCGATTAGAACCTTTATGAAGCTATCTTGCCCAGGGAAGGTTCAGTGTTTGCAGGTAACCTAGCAGAGAGATGGCTTTTAAAGTCACAATGGCTTTTAACAGGAGATAAGTCAACTCACAGCTGGCGTACGAGCGGCTGTCATCCTCACACATTTTGTGCAGCTGCTGGTATTCCTCCTGGGCCAGCTCGAACCGCTGCTGCTTAATCTGGTAGATTTCTTTCTTGGCATTGAGAGCCTCCTGAGCTACAATTAAATATTCCTTCAACATGCGCTCTTGCTCTCGCCTCCACTGTTCTCTTGGATCCTCAATCTGGGTAAGTTCTGAAATTTAAAAAGGTAAAAACATAAGTGACTTAAAAGTAAAATCCTTAGGTTGACCAAGAGTCATGCAGTGATGTCACTCATCAATGTGAAAATTAATTAGTTACCAGGATGCATATTATGGAAGATTTTATATCACAAACCTTTCCAAAATGTGGAACAGTTTCCATTTTTATATCCACAGTGCAGATGAGAAGGAAACTCTACAGATATGAAACAGTCCATTGGAGGAGGGAAGACAATACAAGACAATGTTTTTACCAACAAAGACCACACTCTAAATAAGCATGGGAGGAGATGAACCCACAAGAGCTCAGAACTGTGACACTAATTGCTATTTATGACCTTCTCCTCATTGACTCCTTCTGTGTGAGATGATGGAAACTCTTCTGTGCCCCTGGCCTGGCTAGCCCCCTTCTCCTTTCATTTTCCAGACTAGACTGTGTAGTCTTTTCCCATTCCTCACCGACTTCCTTGTCTCCTCCCACCATAGCTTCCCTCATGTGCACTCCTGCTTCCTCCCCGTCCAGCTCTCCAAGGGCCTGTGCCTAACTCCAGCTCCAGCCTCTCTCCCCGGCTCCAAACTTTCATTCCCCCCTGCCTCCTGGATGCACCTCCACATGGATGGACCCAAAGTCATTCCCAGCCATTCATCCAAAGCAGCCCTCATTCTCCACACCACCTTTCACCACCAAGAGCAAAACCAAACGAAACATCACACAGCACACGCCTGCTTCTCCTGTCTTCCGCAATCTCCTGTCTTCCCCTTGTGGGGAGCCGCATCATCTGGATCTAACTGCGGAGCCAGCCTGGGAGTGCAACCTGGGACTCATCCTCAAAGAATCCCACTCCTCTTCCTCCCGAAACATTCGGTGGGTTATGAAGAACTGGAGGTTCCTGCCCCTGGATATGATCATCACTGGCGACACGCCCTTGTCTCTGTCTCTCCTTACTTCAGTCAGACTCTCTGGGCCTTCTGGTCTCATCCCACCAAAACCCATCCTCAGGGCACTCTCCAAAGTGACCTTCCTAACTGGGATGCAATGCTTTCACACAGAAACCTCTTTGAAAGCACAAAGTCCAATCTCCTTAGCCTGATACAGGAGTCCCAAAACTCACTTATCAGCCTCATCTCTATTTTCCGTCTTTTTCCCCAAAAACATTGTCTACACAGACTGAACTTCTGCGAAGTCCCCAAATATGCTTGGCTGGCCCCCCGGTGCCTTTGCCATGCTGACTCAGACCTCTTCTGTCACAGGAAGGCCTGCCGTCTTCCCAGGCACGCTGCAAAGGCACCTTTTCTTCTGAAGCCTTCTCTGATCCTCTAGGCACATGCGTCTCTCCCCTGCTTACGCGGGCTGCCCTTCTTCCCCCTTAACACTGAGCACATGAGTGTTTTTATATCTTTTCTGTTTCCCATCTAAACTATGGCCTCTAGATGGCAGGGGCACAGCCTCAGTCACCTTTATACTCTCAGGACCTTTCACTTAGTGCATACAACAGAGTGGTTTGTATAAACCATATACAAAGGAATAAAATTCCATAAAAAGGAATAAAGTTCTGATGCTCGCTATGACATGGAAGAAACTCAAAAAACAGCTAAGTGAAAGATGCCGGGCACAAAAGGCCACATAGCATCTGATTCCATGTCTATGAAATACCCAGAACAGGAGACTCCACAGAGACCGAAAGCAGACTAGGGGTCACCGGGACATAGGGGAAGGGGAATGGGGAATGACTGCTTAATGGAGATGAGATTTCCCTTTGGGGTGAGGAAAATGTTCTGGAACAAGATAGAGGTGATGGCTGTGCAAGACTGCAAATGCACCAAATGCTACCAAACTATTCACTTTAAAAATGGTTCGTTTTACGTTCCGTGAAGTACACCTCAAAATGGTTAAAATGGTAAATTTTACATTATGTCTGTTTTGACACACACACACACACACACACACACACACACACACACGGTGTGCTTGCTAGAATGTTTCCAGGTAAGTTCTCCTTGGAAATGCCTTCCCTGTCTGCTCTCCTGTCAATATCCTTTGCTCACCCCTTTTCACACCATCCTAGAAAGCCCCTCCTAGAAAGCCTCTCCAAGCCATAAAAGCTCACAGGAGGAGATTTACAAACCAAAACAAATGCAAAATCAGAGTCCTGCTCTTGTCTCAGAGATGAGATTCAGTGGGCGTGGGGCATCCGTACCACCAAGCCCTGGGAAGGACGAAGCGTGTTAACGAAGCCACGGGCATGTGCCCAGGTCCACAGCATGGTGGCCCTGTGAAGTGAGCAGCTCTTACGTGTTACCAGCTGCCGCTTAGACTATCAGCTGGGAAGCCTAGCTCAAAAGGCCACATTTACCCAAACACACACAGCCGTGAAGTGCCAGGCTGGCAGAGAGCCACTGGGGCCTCTCAGCTTCTCTTCTGCCAGGTACTTTCCCTGTCCAAAAAGCAGTGGGTCCACCTAGAAGTCCTCCTGCCACCCGGACCTGCCTGGGAGGGCAGCAGGGCCATAACGGTAGGTATCCCCTGTCTCCAATCACCACTGCTCAATCTCTGGATAAGAGCTGCAATCGTGCCCAAGGACGAGTGCCAGGCACCAAAAACCCCACTGCCCCGAGATCTGAGATGGGGGACTCAGATCTTGGGTGCCAGCAACTGACAATGTAGGAATCAGCCCTGAAGACACCAATCTGAGTTGACTGCACAGTGGGGACATGAGGAGTCATGGCACTGGACTAGAAAAGTGCCTCAAAATCACTCAGGTGGGGGGCACCATGCACCTTCAGACCCTGCAGCCGCCCCGCACTTCACCAACCAAAGGACAGAAAGTAAGCCAAGGGGAAGCCATGCTTCATATCCTGGTAGTGAAATGACAATGACAGAGCCACTGAGGGAAGCCAGAATGAAAATGAGAGAGAGTGAAAAATGGATTCCCAGCTGGGACCCCATCGAAGAAAGCTGACGAAGAGACAGCCAAGATTAAGGGGCAAAGAACAGATCTAGAACAGGGTTCCTATATCCTGGCACCATTGACATTTGGGATCGCCTCATTATCTGGTGAGGGGGGGCTGTCCTGTGCATTGTAGGGTGTTAAGCAGCATCCCTGGTCTACACCCACTGAATGCCAGCAGCACCTCTCCCAGGCACAGCCACTGAAAATGCTTCCAGACAATGCCAAGTGTCCCTGAGGGATAAAATCACCCAGGATGAGAAGCACTGCTCTAGACAGTTCTACAAAGGAGGCTGGCATGGTCAAAGACCCATTGTTTTTGCTATGGTCTCTATACCATTACACACACACACACACACACACACACACACCCCCCGAAAAGGTTTGGTGTATGAAAGCTAAAGTTAAATGTATAAGACGAAATGAAGTGAACATAATCACTTGGGCACTTATTCCAATAACTTGTCAGTTCCACTCTGCAACAAATAATTTTTTCATTATGAGAGGTATCTCTATTTCCAGACTGCCTGGGAAATTTATTCCTTGTAATAGTTATTAAAACCCTCCATTAAACATATTATATGCAGTCCCTAGCAAGACACAAGCAAGGTACAGCTACAGAACTGCTTCACTTTGTGAAGAACTGAGCTAATGGAAACTTCGCATTACATTTATAAAACCCAATTTAATGCTGCATTGGAAGGTAACGATTGTTAAACTCTACAAAAAGTTTTTGGCATCTTTGATATAATGCCACAGATTTTGCACACTACTTACTATTTATGTGGTCCATGTAATAAACTCCAATTTGTTTATCATATACGGTTTCCCATCCTAAAGGAAGTTCGTCCCCAACACAATCGGCAAAGGTCAATGGCTTTGTTATCCTGCAAAATAAAATTATGAAAACAAATTTGAAAGTCAGGTCAGTTTTGTATAAGTTTGCTTTATCTTATCTAATTGACTGCTTTTGCTCCAAATATTTGGTTGGAAAATTAATTCACCAGCTTTGCCTAAATAACTGCATTAGTACACTTGCAATCAGAAGCATTACTATCTCAAAGTGCAACTTTAAATGTGAGCAAAAAGAGATATTCGGTTACTAACAAAACAGGTAAAGCAAGCATCTTCTTCCAAGCAGTATGTTTAATGAGGTGACGACAATGGAATGTAGCTCTTCCAGAAAAATCAGAGAGCACCTATGCTCTGTTCTCATTCCCTGAGAAATGTTCCCCTCACAACTTTCAGTTTCCATACATTACACATGAACATTGGCTTAAATCTATATAAAATGCATTTGCAATATTTTCATCTACCACTGGTCATGAGTTTAATAAACATCAACCATTGGCCAAATGCAAAGAGCCAAGCAAGGTAACAATACAATGATACCCACGCCCTCCCCCCTACTAAATGCTTCCTGTATTTCTTATACAGTAGGAATCAGAAATTTCAGAGTCCTTTTTTATTTTTCTGGAGAAAAACAATAAAAGCACTTTGTCTACAGGCATCTCTCCCTGAAGAAAATCTGATTGAGGAAATTTGGGCTTGACAAGAGAGATAAAGTAAAGAATTTTCAGATGGATTTTTAAAAGTAGACCTCCCCCCTCCCCGATCCCCCATGATCACATTGATTGACAAGACAGTGTTAGGACTGCAGCTGTCATATAAAACGAGACACACCTATAATTGTCTGAGTCTGGGCAGCTATCTCTTGGGCTGTCTCTATAAATGCACACTGACTGCTATGCATGGGAATCCGATCACCTACATTTCACTAAGTCAATCCTCCCACTTCTTCTGTCCCTAGACCTGAGAAAGTGACACAACCACAGCCAAGCCCCATGAGACCAGTATGAATTTTGAACACGTAATTTCCCCAAACTGGTTTGACAACAAGGCTGTCTCTCCCCAGGGGCATTCAGAAATTGATAAACACCATCAGAACAACACTAGTTTTAATCTTCATTCTAAACACATGGTTTTAAGAAGTTAGAAACAATATAAAAACAGAAATATACAGAAGGTGAAATATGCCATATATATCCTCCCAAACACGACTCACTCAAAAAATCACATCACAAGATGAGCCTACTGTATGTAGTTTGTCCCATCCTGGAACTGATGTCTGCAGCACAATGCCTTTACCAGTCAGGAACGTAATGCCGTATCGAGGGTCCCAGTCAAGCAGGTAACAGCAGACTGTTGTGCATGATTTGCATCCTGAATGGGACCCAACCACAGCAAAAAAGAAAATCCTACTTTAACACAAACTGAGTTCTGAGCAAATTGCTGCTAGTCTAACGTAATGATATTCACAAATAAGCCTCTAGAGAAAAATGCCCATGCACAGGTACATTCTAAGCACATTTACATACACGATCTCATTTAATCAACAAATACTGGCCAGGTGCAGTGGCTCACACCTGTAATCCCAGCACTTGGGAGGCCAAGGTGGGAGGACTGCTTGAGCCCAGGAGTTCAAGACCAGCCTGAGTAACACAGTGAGACTCCATCTCTACCAAAAATAAAAAAAAATTAGCTAGGCCCATGCCTTAGTCCCAGATACTCGGGAGGCTGAGGTGGGAGGATTGCTTGAGCCCAGAAGTTCGAGGCTGCAGCGAGCCATGACTGCACCACTTGCACTCTAGCCTAGGTGACAAGACAAGATCCTATTTCCAAAAATAGACAAAGTAAACAAATATAGTTGAGAAACCCATCCTTATAGCACTGCAGAGCCAAATTCTGGCACGATTTTCAATAACAGCATTGAGAATGTCTAGATGTATTTTCCTAATTATCATTCCAAAATATTTATGGGCCAGGGATTTCATAGTTTTCTCTTGTATAGCATATCCTATCTATCATGAATACTCTAAACTTTACCAATATCAAATGATGCTTTTCTCCCAAGAAAGTTATTGGTGAGTAACATTACTTCAGTCATAAATAAATCACTTCAGAGGAGTTATTCAGTTCCAGAATCTATTTGATCACATCTTTTTTAAAAAAGGCTGGTCAAGTGAAGCAGTGGGAGAGGAGAAGAAACAAAGAAATCTGTAATTGGTTGTGATCAATTAGTTGTAAACACCACTGCACTTAGATCAGCCAAAGGAGAGACGAATAAATCTTGGCTCCTCTTTCATCGTCAGAGGGGAAGTATCTGGAGGTGTGGAAAACTGGCGTTTTTTGGTGGTAACTTTTCAGCAAGGAGTGTTTTCTGGCTCTTGCTGGCTAAAAAGCATGGTTCCTGCATGTCAGGATGAGGCCGAGGCCACCCAGGAGCGATCTCAGCCTCATCTGGGGACAATCAGCACCCTCAGCCAGGTGGTCGGCTTCATCCTGGACAATCCCATGATCCCTCATCCTGCCAATGATCATCCTCCCACTTGGGTGGAGACACTGATGTCCAAAGAGTCTTCCCCAAGCACAGTGGCTCTCCATGCAGAAATGCACAGCATTGAGCTGGGCGTGGTGGCTCACACCTGTAAACCCAGCACTTCGGGAGGCCAAGGCGGGCAGATCACCTGAGGTCAGGAGTTGAAGACCAGCCTGGCCAACATGGCAAAACCCAGTCTCTACTAAAAATACAAAAATTAGCTGGGTGTGGTGGCGTGCACCTGCAGTCCCAGCTACTCGAGAGGCTGAGACATAAGAATCGCTTGAACCCGGGAGGCAAAGGTTGCAGTGAGGAGAGGTTGTGCCACTGCACTCCAGCCTGGGTGACAGAGCAAGACTCCATCCTCAAAAAAAGAAAAAAAGAAGAAATTCACAGCACTGAGTTTGCCAGAGCAAACCTCCTGGGCTGGTGTGAAAAGTCCTCCCCAAGCCAAGCCCATACAAAGCTTCTGGCTCTTTCTGCTTCAACTCCCTACCACCGCCCCTCTGCACCCCCCACCCCCTCCCCAACACACACACAATCTCTTGTCCAGGCAAATGAGTTTGTTTACCCGCCTTCCAAAACATCACACTCATTCCAGTCTAAGCAATCTGTTCTCGGTCTTTCCTGGACCTGTGGAGAGGCTTCCTCTTCCCCTCTCGTACCCCAATCCCATCAGCCCTGCAAAGGCCAGCTTGACCCTATACAAATCATCACCGCCAAACACCCACGGTCTCCACTGCCTGGGAGCCACATCCATTCTCAGTCACTGGACACAAAACACCGCTCGTCATGTTTCTGACATTTGTACACATCCTCCACATAAATGAAGGTTAGCTGTTTAGTCTCCTCACTCAACCACACTCCAGCAGGGATCTTGGAGGGAAAAGAAGCTTTTGAAGCTGAGAATGATCCTAAAGCACATCGGCTTTACTCCTAAGAGAGTCCTTCATGTCCTCTCTCAGAAGCCAAGGCCATGGTGACTCCACATATCCGTACCTGCAATTTCCAACACACCCTTAAACTGACCCTCAATGCCAGATTCACACTTCTCAGTATTTCCCAAGGAATCCAGAATCCAGACCTTCGCATGGGAAAAAGTTCAGTTCGCAGAGCATCTTCACGTCTGTCCACATCACATGGGCAATTTTTACATTTTATTGCACGGTTTACAGTCATTGATAGAGACACAGAATTATCTCACGGTAGAGCCAAGGTGGGCCAGAGACGGAGGAACCAGCTTTGTGGGCCTCAAAGCAGCCAGGCTTACATCTGGTTTAATGCATTTTGTTTGTACTATTTCATCAAAATAAAAGGATAGAAAAAATGAAAATGCTAGTGCTGGCATAGGCGCTGTATGAACTGTATACAGTTAAGAGGAAAGTAGAAATTGCTGGGTATGTGGAAAGGCTAAACCCTTAGCCACAGGACTAAGTTGAATCCAAAAAGAAATTTAATGCAGGCGAAAAAGAGTCAGAAATATGTCAAGGACTATGTGTAAAATATAAAGCAGAATTGGAGATGTTCAAATATTTTCGGTTCTTCAGGAAAGGAGCCCTGGGCTATCCCCTTCCCCAAATGCACTAAAGTCTTTCAGCTTTCCCATGCTCATTCACATGTATGCGAAAGCAGGGGAATGGCAATACCGCAGTTTACTCCCCTCACAATAAAACAGAAGAGAAAAATTAAAAGTGGAAAGCGGCACACTATCACAAGGAGGAGCATAGAGAAATCAGTGGTCTATTACCAAGTGGAAGGAGACAGGAAATCTACAAACAAAACAGGAGAGCTCAAACCACCCAACTGAGGCCATTTAGCTTCAAATGAAAAAGAACCTGACGCCTCAACATCTCCCAGATTCTCCTCTATTACAGCATCATCCAATGACTTAAACTCTCAAAGACATCAGGAATTTATTTATGCCTAATTTTAATTCTCCAAGCTATTTTCACACCTACCAAAGATGTAGGGCTTCTAATCTTGTGGTTAAAGTGTCACCAGGGGGAATATTTTCTATTTTTGTAAATGTCATTTTGTTTTCCCCAGAGACAGGGTCTCACTCTGTCGCCCAGGCTGGAGTGCAGTGGCACAATCACAGATCACTGCAGCCTCAACCTCCCAGGCTCAAGTGATCCTCCCACCTCAGCCTCCTGAGTAGCTGGGACCACAAGCAAGTGCCACCACACCCAGCTATTTTTCTTTCTTTTTTTTTTTTTTTTTTTTTTTTTTTTTTTTTTTTTTTTGGTAGAGACAGAGTCTCACTATGCTGCTCAGGCTAGTCTCACACTCCTGGGCTCAAGTGATCCTCCCACCTTGACCTCCCAAACTGCTGGGATTACAGGCATGAGCCACCACGCCCCAACTGATTTTCATCATATTTGATTTTACTAGTTAAAATGCTGAGAAGACAATTGAAAATAAAGGTAGAGCTAAAAAGAAAAAGCACTTTGTTCTAAGATCCCTGTTTCTCTGAGTATGGTACTCCCCCATCCCCAGTTCTAGTCAGTTTCAACTGTGATGGGGTTCCCAACATTGACAGCAGTCCCAAAGTAGAGTATTCTGAAATAGTCAGGGCCAGTAGATCAGCTGGCTAGGGCAGCTTCTCATTTCTGACCTTAGAATCCTTTTTAATACATGGAAATAATATTAGATAATAGAATTTGAGCAAATAGATTAGCAATTCAATTGTGTCTTCTTAAAAACATCACTAAGCCTTTTAATAACTTTAAAGACCAATTTTTTTTTCTGAGAATCGTAAAAAGCGTCCTTATTAACTACCCAGTGGGGTATTACTGGTGTCCAAGTAGGGCCACAGATGGGCAGGGGATATCAAAAGGAGAGAGGTGGCTGAGAAAGAGAGGAAGATGGGGTGCAGGATAGCAGCGCGCACACACTAGTATTTCCTCTGAGGTTCTGTCTTCACCCACAGGGATGCCATCTCAGGTTCTGGAGTTCTCATCTCCCCAAAAACTTGATGCTAGATTCTCCCCCACCCAATCCTTCCCAGTCTCCACAGACAGACTGGGGGAATTTTTGTTTCCATCACAAAAAATTTAGGAGACACTTAAATGGGAGAGAAATGTCCATTGACACCACCACACAAAGGCAACCACTATTCCTATATTAGTATGTTTTTCTCCACCTTTTTTTGATGAGTTGTTTTTATCTGGTATTTTCTGACGTACTCATGATCACACAGTATGTGCAATTATCTATCCTACCTTTTCCACTTAACTTTGTAACATGTTTACTTAATTCGTACCTTGAGGCTCTCCAAAACTTACTTGAGCTAGCCTACCCCTATAGCGTAAGAATTCTGTCCCCCTTGTCATAAATTATTTGTAAACATCACATGGAATAGCTGAATAGCTCAAGCTCCTTGAGAACAATTACCCCATCTCAATCACCTTTGATTTGGTCCAAGACAGGGCATGAAGCTGGTGTTCAATAATTCCTGCTGAATAAATAACTTGCATTTGTACAAATCCTTCACTAAAGGGATTAATGGAATTTACCTAAGCACTCTCCTACTATTGACATCTACATTATTTCCAAATTTTCACTAATATAAATATGCATGAGAGCCACTCATGCTTGGGAAATAGTTCAGCAATTTCCCAAACACTTAAACATAGAGTTATAACCATATGATGCGGCAATTCTACTTCTAAGTATATACACAAGATAAATGAAAACATACGTTCACACAAAAACTTGCACATGAATGTTCATAGCAGCACTATTCATAATAGCCAAAAGGTGGAAACAGCTAACAGCCATCAACTGCTGAATGGATAAATAAAACATGGTCTAGCCATACGATGGAATAGTATTCAGACATAAAAAGGAATGCAGGAATAGACGCAATTGTTGGGGCACTGACCCCCACGAACTTTCAAAATCCATGTATAACTTTTCACTCTCCAAAAACTTAATTACTAACAGCCTACTACTGACCAGAAATCTTACTGATTACATAAACAGTTGATTAACACATATTTTGACATTATACACCATATTCTTACAATAAAATAAGATAAAGAAAATTTATTAAGAAAATCACAAGGAAGAGAAAATATATTTACTATTCATTAAGTGGAAGTAGATCATCATAAAGGTCTTCATCTTAGTCTTCATACTGAGTAGGCCGGCATGGACGTGGAATGGTTGGTCTTGCCGATTCGGGGGTGACAGAGGCAGGAGAATAAGTGGACCCATGCAGTTCAAACCCATGTTGTTTAAGGGTCAACTGTATTGATACATGCTACAACACAGATGAACCCTGAAGTCAATGTGCTGGGTGAAAGAGGCCGGACACAGAGGCCACACATTGTGAGGTTCCATCTAAAGGAAATATCCAGAATAGGCAAACCCAGAGAGACAGAAAGTGGATCAGTGGTGACCAGGGGCTGGGGGAAAGAGGGAATGGGAGTGACTGTTAACGAGCACAGGGTTTCCTTTTAGTGGGAAGAAAATGTTCTGGAATTAGATAGGGTGATGGCTGTACAACCTTGGGAATATACTAAAAACCACTGCTGTACACTTTGAAATGGTGACTATTATGGCACATGTGAAATATATCTCAATTTTATATTAATGATAGAAGGAATATCTGTGTCTATAAAGCTCATAAGCCGTACTTATAATTATTCTTTGAAAAAATTCTCAGAATTAAATTTCAAGGTCAAAGGATATGAAGTTTTACCCCTATATCTTAAATTTGATGCAAAAATTCAGATCATAATGTCTACATGGAATATAACCACTCAAGATCCAGAAGCCTTGGATTCACATTTTAGCTTCTTTTTCTCTCTTCTTTGTCCTACATTTTTTCCATAGCTCATATCATACTAGATATAATGTCATAAACTTATTGCATTTCAGTTGGGTATTGCCTCACGTCTTTTAGCTCTGTCGGCGTCACTTATTTACCAGGCACCCTGGGTCATCCACTTAGGTACGTCCCAGCTTTCTGCTCTTTACTGTAAGTAAGAGAGAGGAGCTGACAGTAAATATTTGAGAGATGTTGCCAAAGCGCTCTCCCATCGCCTCACATGCTCACCTGCAAAGAAAGAAGTGGTCTTTTTCACCACCTTCTGGGGATAAGTTTAATGCATTCAGCCCCAGGCTCCAGATGAATCCACATGGCCTAAGCGGGCTGACCTTCAGGGAACAAGCTGGTAGGGAGACAGCGGAGGTTTGACAGCGCTTTTGGAAGGTGGGGGACTTCCTGGGCCAGCTGCCACTGTCTCTTCATCCCACCCCCGCAACAGCATCAACCCCAGAGTCACTCACTTTCTCTGCCCTCAGCCACCACCCAGAGAGCTGCCAGATGCAGATCGTGCCCTTCACAAACCACATTTCTTGGTTCAGCAGAGCACACGAATACACACTGCTGGTCATTCCAGGGCCAGAGAGGGGAGAGAAGAAAGAAGGCACGGCCCAGCTTTTGTTCCCTTTTCGCCTACTGTATCCTGCTGGGTCCCTTGAGAGATGGCACCTGGGCCATGTAGCTTTAAACAACACAAATGGATTCCCTTACAGTTCTCAACATTAGAAGTCTAAAATGGGTCCAGGGGCCTGCATTCCTTCTGGAGGTTCTGGGGAGAATCTGTTCCTGTACCCTTTCCACCTCCTACAGGCCTCCTGTAGTCCTTGGCTAGTAGCCCCTTCCTTCCTCCATTCTCAAAGGCAGCATGGCCAGATGAGTCTTTCTCAGGATGCCATCTTTCTGGTTCTCTCTATTCTGTCTCCTTCTTCCACTCATAAGGACCCTTGTGATGACACTGGGCCTGCCCAGATCATCCGGGACCATCTTCCCTGGGCAGGATCCTTAAAGTCATCACAGCTACAAAGTCCCTTTTGCCACGCATGTCAACATATTCACAGGTTCCAGGGCTTAGCGACATGCACATCTTGGAAGCCATTGTTCTGCTGACCACAAGACAGCAGCTGGGGAGACTGCAGGGCCAGAGAGAGCGAGCAAGGCAGTCGGTGGCAGACCCATGCCCCGAAGCCCACACCTTCCCTGGACCAAACTGTAGGAAACTACAGGTGGGTAGCAGAAGGTGGAACAGTGAGAAGGGATGAGCGCTGCTGATCCCTCACACATTCTCTCCATCAAAAGGAGGCCAGGGCAATGCTCTGGCACTTGTGCTACACCTTCCAGTCTCAGGGAACAAGAAGATCTTTATATTTCCAATTCACGTTTGTTAAAATGCTCTTCAGAGAGGACACTATTAATCTCGGCTTCAGTTCCAACCCAATCCTCAGGAAATCCTAATGACTTCCTCCACCTTTTCTAAGCTACCTGGCTCACAGTGAGTTTCAAAGCCCGCCGGAACTTGGACACCAGCCCGCTTGTGGTTACTTAGGTGGTGAATTTGACCCTGTTTGCTGTGCTAGTTGCTTCTCCAAGCTTTTGGTGGCAAGCATTTACACTCAGAGCCACGGCTCTCCCGTAGCAGAGAACGGGTCCCTGAGCTCCCTGAAATTAGAAAGAAAAATTGATAAGCACAGTACATGGCATTCATCAGATTCCCAGGGATGTTGATCACCCCAAAAAAACGAAGCTCAGAAGTTCTTTTAGAGAGACTCCTCGTTCCTCTGTCAAAGTTTAAAATAGTAGTGAATGTGCCACAAACCTGTCACACTAATCCTGAAAAGCCATTTGGAATAATCATTTAAAATCTGTGTTTTTGCCCAAGGTATTTATTTAGAATATGCATAGGAATTGAACTGGCTCTTGTCTTCAAGTCCAATTCTATAAGTCTAGAATGTAGGGCAATGAGTAATTACACCTAGAACTCAATCTAAACGTTGCAACCATGTATTAATATAGTGTGAGTGTCCCGACTGTTAGTGATAGAGCCTCGGAACTAATCATTCTTAAATAACATTTGTAATTTCCTTGTGGAAATGTGAAGTCCTCTTAAGAATCAAAAAAAAAAAAATTATACATTGTCAGTCTTTTTATTGTCTCTAACACAAAACTATCATAATTAATGGACAAATTCCCAGACTAATATAAAAAGCAAACAGCTCCTCAAATGTATTTCAAGGAAAAAAGGGATGTTTAGAGGCTTTATGAATGGCAGTAAATCCGTAAGACACTTGACCATGGATGCCTGTAGGTGTTTTTTTGCGGGGGAGGTGGGGAATGACCACAGAGAATCAGATGCAGGTAAACCCCTGTGCCTGAGGAGTGCAAAGCTGCATTGACAGAAGACCGCCAGCCTCAGAGTCTTCAATCTGAAACACGAAGAGCACACCACCAAGATCTGTCTCACTGCTTCAGTGGTGACAAGGTGTAGCACTGTCCTCTAGCCCTCAACCATGTCCATCTCACTGAGACTTTTCTACCTTGCCATGAGCCTCCCAGGACACAATTCCCCTCATTGGCACCTACACCTTCCTGAACGTCCACCTGAAAAGCCAGGTTCCAGCATGTTCTCCAGGGCATAGCTTTTCACAGTGAAGCAATGGGCCAGCCAGCCTGAGAGAGCTGGGGGAGCCTGTTCACAGCCAACTCGCCTGAGTTTGAAGGTCAGTGTTACTGATATCCCAGCAGGGATATCACTCAGGTCATAAAACCCCAGTGAGAAATATGCCAGATGCATCTTTTAATTGTCACAATGAAACGGTACTACCCCATCAGTGAAGCCAATACTTAAAGGCTGCCTCCTATGAGTCGGTATTTGTTACCCAAAGCAATGGAGCAGCAACAGTGCTACATATCCACCAAACCCCTGCTTCCTCTTCCTCTTGGGCCCACAGAGAGATCACACTTCACAGTCTCTCTCCCTTGCAGCTGGGTGGCACCATGTGACTGGGCTCTAGACAATGGAATGTGGGCAGAAGCAATGTACACCCCTTCCAAGGCTTGTCCCAGAAGCTTCTGGCAGGATTCCCCATGCCTTCTCTCTTCCCTTGCCTGTGGGCCCAAAGCAAAGAACCCACTGGAGGACAGCAAAGCCTCAAAAAATGGGCAAGCCACACCACAGAAGCAGCCTGGGTCCACCCTCCACGCCCCAACCAATACTAAACTTACATGAGTGAGAAACTTCTATTCTGCTAAGCAATAAGACTTTGGAGCTGTTAGTATAGTTAGCTGGCTAACCCACTTGGAGATCTGGACAAAGGAAGGAAATAATCAGAATTTGTGAAAAGTCTGAATATTTCATCTCATTTGATGACATGAGCATCTTTAGTGATTCACAAAAAAGTTATCCAAGTATAGACATGTTTTGGAGAGAACTGGTTTGTCCTTCCCCACTATGGAGTCCTGCGGGGCAGGGGTAAGAAAGACCACTGCCCACATTTCCATTACGGACAGTGCTTCTTGCTTTATAGCATAGTCATCATTTGACAGGCTACCTCCCCTAACAGTCTGTGAGTTCCTTGGAAGAAAGGATTCACCTTTCTAAGCCAGAGCCCTCAAACACAAGAGTCCTTCATTAAAGTGCATGATAAATTAATCCGGCCAATTTCAGGAACTGATACCATAGAAAAACCAGTTTGGAGCCAATTAACACTTAAGAAAGAACTGGAAGGGGACAGAAGGGCATTTTAACTTGACTGAGATCACAAGGCCTAGATTATAAGAAATGCAGGACTCGGGAGGCCAGAGCACTACAGGGTCATTCCTCACTCGGACAGCTCTTTTTTTAGACAGATCTATCCTTGGAAGGAAGGTGACTTTCATCAGCTACCAGAGCTTGATGCAACATCCCTGAGTACCTCCCCTAGGTCTTTTGTTCTGAGTTTGCACTGACCATGCCACCTTCTGATCTACAATCTGGTTTCCTGAATGTGGGTCTGCCCACCAGAAAGGGAGTGTCCAGAGAAGATAAAGAGACAAGATCTTAGCAAGATGTTCTATCCTCCAGCAAAGAATAAACTGTTCTAGGAAAATCAGTCCAGGAGGTATTCAAGAAAACCAGCAAACCCCTGGGGCTCTGCAGCCCCAGTGATCCTACCGGTTCTCAGGCATGTTCAGGCATTGGTGCAATGGAAGTCCAAACACCTGAAAAATGCCACCCAGTAATGACTGAATACATCTAAGGTCCCTCGGTACATATTTTATTGAATCACAGACATAGATGGGAACAATTATTTAAAACTTTAAGGGAGAAAAACTTCAAACTGAGGAAACTATACTTTAAGTACTTCCTAGAGGTTGAGCATAGGCAAATGACTCAGTCTCACTGTGCCTCCATTTTCTCCGTTTTACTATAAGGTGATGAGGCAGAAGGCCTGAGACTATTATCAAGGTTTCTGGAATGTATTACATTCTCCAGTAATGCCTGTTTTCCTTCCATTTTATTTTTTTCCTCTAAAGACTGGAAGAATGTCGCTATTATTTTGATTTAGCAGCATAATACTGTATGAAAGGAACATAATCTAAAAGCAAGCTGACCTGAGGCCAAAATTCGAGTCTACCACCCAAAGGAAACCAAACCCAGAGGGGCGCCCAACCGCAGCCATCATCTGAGTGCCCCCCAGCAAGGGTCCCTCTGAGACAGAATAACAGAGAAAAGGAATTTCTCAACAAGCCTATCAAGAGCACACTCCTGAGCTGATGTGAAAACACTTTGTTCACCTCCATATATAAGTTCTAGGGATACAATTTACAGTAAATAAAATAGAGACAGACTTTAGCCCAGCTGGTACAAAGAATTCTCTGGGGCAGCACTGTCCAATGGAATCAGAATGAGAGCCCACATATTAATGCAAAACTTCTTAAACGAGTAAAAAGAAACAGGCGAAATGAATTTTAAAACATGTTTTATTTAACCCACTATACTGCAAATACTATCATTTTTACACGTAATGACTACAAAAATTACAAATGGAATGCTTTTCATTCTTTATTTCAATGGAGTCTTTGAAACCCGGTGTGTTTTACAGGTTAAGCCCATTTCATTTTAGGACTGACCCGATTCAAGTGCTCATTTGCGTGTGGCTGTGGCTACTGCACTGGATATCACAACGTCACACTCTCATCTAAATTCTACAGTAATTTGAGTCTGCAAATGATCACAGGTGCACAGGTGCATCACTTAAGAAAGACCTGGCCTGAGTTGCCATCCTCCACAAGCCACTAGTGGGGATTTTGAAGGAACCACACTTCTAAGACCACAAAACCGCATACAGGGAACTCCTGGCTTCCCTCCAACCCCCTCATATCCATCCGCATTCCCAGTAACCCATGGGAACTGCTATCCCCAAACCTGGATTGTTCTTTCCCTTTGCCAAGTTTCCCCTCACCCCGCCCCTTTCCTGTTCAAATGCTAATGCTTCTTCTAAGATGTGGCCCAGATTCCTCAGGTCCAGACCCAGCCCAGCCCAGCCCAGCCAGAAGCAAGCTGGCCTTTCTTTGGCCAGCCTCAGCACTTGATCTCTTCTGTGGCAGTTCTTAAAACTCTAAGTAGAATGCGGTCATTAATAAACATTGCATCTCCCCGAGTACTAGTTCCTTCAGGGCAAGGCTGGCATCCCCTCCAATGCTGACCTGACCCCCACAGGGCTCCAGGACTTGCCCAGGAGGTGCTCCACTGCATATACAGGATGAGTCGGAATTACTTGATCAATGCTGAATGGAGTCTGCCACCCAAAACAGGTTGTCTGTGGCAGCTCTAGAGCTGATTGTAGATGGTACTGGTCTGGACAGGAAATGCTCATGAGTAGGTGTGCAGATTGGAAGCTGGAGAGACTGGATCAGAGGGAGAATGGGCTGCAGTGTGACAGATGCATGGCTTCCTCTTCAGGGACTGGGCAGAACAGGTGCTCGGGAGCTGTTTACCAGAGTGATCGGAAACTCGGGCTTGTCGCATTAAGAATGGCATCATGGCTGCAAAGCACTAACAGGGGGAGCCAATGCAGGCTAGAGGACCTCATTAGGGGACTCCCAAGTCAGCTCTGAGCCTTCATTCTACAGCTGCTTACAAATCCCTAGACCCACCCCACGCACGCACAGACCAGCCCTCAGTACCCAGCCCCCTCCCATGGACCCAAATGGGTCCTCCTCACTGGCTCCAGACCAGGCTTTCAGGCATGATGGCCCAGAAACCAGGAAGAACCCCAGGCCACTGCAGTTCCCTCGTCAAGGAGGGCAGAGAAATGATACCATCCAGGAGTCTGACTTCTGAAACATGCCTTTCCCTAAGAGAAACCAGGCAGTGGTAGTCAGGCAAGTGGGACTGGGGACAGCAGGGGACAATGGGCGTGTTCTACAACCTAATTGTGATGACAGTCACACAGCTGTATAATTGACTAAAATTCATAGGACTGTACTAAAATGGGTGCATTTTATGATATGGAAATTACACCTCACTAAAGCTGTTTTTAAAATACACACACACACACTGACGTTCTTATTGAATACTTCATTTACAGTGGGGAAAAAAGAATTTAAGGATTCCAAGTCACATGAAATACTTGGGAGAAGAAAAAAACACAAGACTTGGATGCTATCACTAGCTTCGCTGTCATCTCACTCACTTGAAGCTGTTAGATGCATCTGGAGATTTTTATGTGTAAATTCCAAGTCATGGCTGGTGGATGTTCCAGAATATCTTCCATCTGGACACATGTTGAAACATTCCCGAAACTAATTACTTCCAATCCTTTGTGTTCATTCATCCCATTACTCTCTATATCAGGGCTCTCACACTATAGTCACAACCTATCAGTGAGCAGTGAAATTGAGTGAGTAGGTCCCTGGCAGTATTTTATTTTAAAAAGAAAATATTAAAGCACATCATACTTCCTAGGGGCAGTACAGTATGTACATGTCATTAATTTTTCTTCTGGTTGTGTATGTAATTAAAATAGGCTCCTTATTTTTGGTAACCGTCCACAGTACTTGGACAGGCAAAGCTGCAGGACATATGTATACATAGATACATCATGTAAATACTGGAGCACTGAATGTGCAGGGCCACTGCACGGGACGGTGCCAGGTGTGCAAACTAACACTGCAGCCACACAGCAAAGCCCAGCACTGTGCTCAACCAAACACTTAATCATCACGATAGCGTGAGGAGGTGGGCCCACTATCACCATCCCATGTTACCTAGGAGGAAGCTGAGCTCAGGGACACACACCTGAGAAGTGGTGAGACCAGGATGTGGGCAAGGGCAGTCAAGGACTTGGAAGCCACGCCAGAGGCAGCCAGCTCCCTGCACTTCCACACGGAACTCAGAGAACCGATTCCAAGCAAACTTCAAGGGTTCCAAGAGCTCTTTATAGGAATAAGTGTAATGTGAACCGTATTCCACTTTTAAATACTTTCTTATCTCCTTTACCCTCTTGACAAATTTCTAACGATGATTACTCTGGTGAGAGTATAGTTAGAGAAGCAAACGATCAGCCTTTTACTTTTAATATTGCCAAAATTTTAGATGGGAGTCTTAACACAGTCCTTTCAAAATAAAATACAGTATTATAATATTTTGGTCCTTAATTTACTACTGAATACAACAGGAAGAGATATTTTAAAATTAAAAAGGAGAAGTTTTAAGGAAGGATTTGGGAAATAAAGAAACAAATAGTAACAATGGACGGAAGAAGTAAATTCAACCGAATTGGGCAAGGAAAACTACACTGGCCAAGGAGAGCGAAGGGGCTGAACAATAACATTCTTTAGAAATGGCATCACAGGGAAGGCGACCCAGGATGCGTCTCGGCCATCCGTTCAGACGACAAGCGGCACACAGGGGTAAAGATGTCAGTCCTTCGGGCTCTATAGTATCAATTAAAGCTTTTCCAATACTGCCAAGATCAAGTCCCCTCCCCACTCTGGTTTGTATTGGAGCCCAGCTGCAGAAAGTCCTGCACCAGGATTCTAAGAGTAAGAACAAAAGGATTTTATCACCTGCCTTTTTTGGCATTAATTAACACCCCACACCCCGAAGGAAAAAAACAACAACAACAACAACAACTTTCAGCAGTCACTTAACTCGTTTTCTTTGGGGCATGAGAATTCCACTATTTATAGATGCATCGCTGCATATATCACCAACTGAATCCATGAACAAAAGCACGGGGGGAAATGCCAAGCATCTGTGACCTCCAGTCATCCAGCCTGCGCATATTAATTGTGTGCCAGGAAAGGATGCAGAGGAGAGCAGCCGCCCCAGGCAGTGGTTCTTTTTAAGTCTTGGATCTCTTTGGGAATCTGAGACAAGCCATCGATGTCCTGCCTGGAAAGATGTGTCTACATGTACACCCAAGATGCTGCCTCAAAGATACACAAAATGCTACCAGTCTGGGAACTCCAGTTTCAGGAACCCTGTTCCCAAAGCTCCAGGCACAGGGGAAGAGCCACCCAGGCAAACAAGCGCAGCTCGTGGGGATGGGTGGGTTTTAGAAGCACTGGGTTCAAGGCCCAACAGGAGCAGCAAGGCCGCTTCTAACCTGCCTGGGGAGGGGAGGAATGGGGGACGCTGGAGCCATGATGGGCAAGTCCCAGATGGACTGGGACCTGCCCTAGGTTGGGTGAGGGTGGGTGTGGTGAAAGGAAGCCTCCTGAAGAAAGCCTGGGCCACCCTGATAAGGAGATGGGTTCTGCAGATGGCAGGACGCCACTGGGAAGTGAAGCAGGGCCTGTCATCAGCAGATCTGCTTTGTCGAAAGAGGCTGCAGGGAACAGCGGGGAGGGAGGCTGAGGTGTGGGCAGAAGGGAGCCCGCTGTCTGAGCAAGGCAGGAACAAGGGGGCCTGAGCAAGCACTGGGCCAGGACAGTCCTTCTTGACTCCACAAGGAGGCCACTGACTGGGAGCTTGGCCATCATCTCCGCTCCATACCATCGCAAGAGGGACGGCAATGCCAGAGCTCACTTTGTAACCATTTCTGCCCGTTTCCGTGACCTTGATGGTTTCCCTGTTAAGCGGCATCAGGAAAACATGGAGTGTGACGTCTTCTGCAGTGTCTCTGCATTAACGCATGCCCATTAAAGTGGTAACTTATGATGAGTGTGAAGATTTCTACCATGCTAGGCTCCCCTTCAAGAAGGCAGGACTGGGGTCCCTGTCGCCTTTATCACAGACTCCTAGCAGGGGCCTGACACACAGGTATGTCAAATGAACAGGTAGGGAAGTCCAGGTGTTCCTGAGCTGGACTCGAGACGTCCTGAGGATATAGGAAGCCCCCTCTAAAATAACAGGCACTGGCCAGGCACAGTGGCTCACGCCTGTAATCCCAGCACTTTGGGAGGCTGAGGCAGGTGGATCACCTGAGGTCACGAGTTCGAGACCAGCCTGGCCAACATGGTGAAACCCTGTCTCTACTAAAAATATAAAAATTAACTGGGTGTGGTGTCGAGTGTCTGTAATCCCAGCTACTCAGGAGGCTGACGCAGGAGGATCACTTGAACTTGCGAGGCAGAGGTTGCAGTGAGCCGAGATCGCACCATTGCACTGCAGCCTGGGTGACAAGAGCAAAACTCCGTCTCAAAAAAACAAATAAATATATAAATATAAAATAAAAGAACAGGCACTGATGGAGGACTCTGTCATTTTGCTCAATATTGGCTCACAAGAATCATTAACAACAACAACAACAGAATCCTCAGAGCAGGACTGTGGGCAACAACACTTGATCCAAAACACGCAGAGGCCAGACCTATCAGCAACCACCTGAGGCAGCTTAGTAGGGAGCCCCAAATTCTCCTTTAGAAGAGAAAAGAAGTAAAGTTCTTCACCTGCAGGAGCACAGGAAATACTCCACATAAAAACAATTATTCCAAACTCTATACTACATGGAACCAAGCCAGTGTATGTCACCATATGCCCCTGCCACTGTGGCAGAAATTTCTGGATCCTTGAGCATCCGAAAGGCTATTACCATCCACACTGAGCCTCTCCAGTACCACCACTGAAATGTGCCTGCGGCCTCAGGGAAGCGGTGCATTCTCGGCCTGGCTCACACACGCTGGGCCAAGTCCACCTGAGGCTGACTGTGTGTGCTGGGCAAGAGTGAGCCCCTCGGAGGACACACACTGGGCCGTCTGCAAAGGTTCCTCCAATCTTTACACCACCACTAGGAAGCCTGCAGAACCAACCTTCAGCCACACAAACTCGGAGGCCTGTGGCTGTGCCCTGAGCTCCTTCTCTTAGCCGATGCACGTGACCATGAGGCAGGAATAGAAGCCCCACCTCGAGCCCTGGCTAGGCAGAGCTGAGCTTCGGCTGGGCAGGACAGCTGGCCAGTCAAAACAAAAGCACAACACCCAGATGTCTCCAAGACTGAAAGCAACACTGAGAACAAGTAAGTTGCCATTTTTCTGAACTACATTTGCTCTCTCAAACTTGTCCATGCACATCCCCAAAACTGAGCCAGCAGCTGAGGGTTCAGCACTGTCATCCAAGAGAACTGTCAGGTAAATCAGGCCTGCTTAATTATGTTCAGAACTGCCTGGCCACCCATATCGCTGGAACATTGCTTATCAGGACTCCACAGTGAGTTCCTTTTGCTGACGCAAACTTCGCGTGCCCGAGGTCGGCTTTGTGATGGCAGAGGGGGCATGTCAGAAGGAAGGGGTGACTGCCAAGTCCAGAAACCAAGGGAGGCCAAAGGGCCATGCTCACCTGGCTTTCACACATGATGGTCTAGAAACCCAATCTCAGAGAACAAGGCTGCAAGGGCAAAGGCCCTTTGTTTTTGCATCTTGCAAAAACTAGTCCAGTGCTCTACACTCAGAAATGACCTTAACTCAGTCTTCTCACTCCAGGCATCCACAGTCCCCTTTCCCTGGAGAGGCAGCCTCACCACAAGCCCAGGCAACCCTGATCCCAAGATGCTGCTTAGCTCTGAATTTTCACTGAAGGGCAAGTGTCTCCAGACGCCCCCACCAGACTCTGCACACCACAAAGTCAAGGATCATAGAGGTCCTGTCTCCCAGGACCTAGCTGGGATCCTGGAGCGCGCTATGCTCAGATGAATAGATGAGTGGGGGGATAGAGAGAGAAAGGATGGAGGGAGGGATGGAAGGATGGACTAAAGGATGAATGGAAGCAGGGATGAATGGAGGCAGGGATGGCTGACTGGACAAAGGGATGGGGGGACGGAGGGAGGGAGGGATGGGCAGATGGATGCAAAAATGAGGGAGCTTGTTCTGGAGAAAACGCCAAGGGTGTGGCTGGACAGTCACTCCATAGAGAGGTTACCCGTGATGTTAATCAGCCATCTTAGCAGAAGCCAGGAAGAAAGATGGGCTTACACCAGCAGAGACACTGCCAGTTTGAACTACAAGGACAGAGAAACTGGAAGTGAATGAAACAAGGCTGTTGGATTTCTTGGATTCTATAGGATGCGACCATAGATATATTCAGATGAGAACACAGACTATTCTTCAAGAAAATCAAAGAATCACCCTGAAGGCAATTCAAAGACCATCCGGGCTGCCACTCCCACACAGGGCTAGGGGACAAGGCCGTTTCGTCCTCAGTTTCAGAGGGTGGGGGCCTCACACAGTCAAAGAAGGGCACCTAACAGAGCTGTGAGGGTGATGCTGCCACCCCAGTGGGCCTGGAAAGCGGGGCATCTAGCCAGGGGATTATTCTGGAGCCTTAAGATCTCATGGAATTTGTCTTGCTAGGTTTTGTACTGGCTTGGGACCTGCTTTCTTTCCTACTTCTCCCCTTTGGAACAGGAATGTCTGTCCTATAGCTGCCCCACCATTGTATTTTGGAAGCACACGTCTGGTTTTACAGGTTCATGGCTGGAAAGAAATTTTGCCCCAGGATGAATCATACCTCAAGTCTCACCCATACCTGATTTAGACGAGATCTGGATGAGGCTTTGGACTTTAGAGTTGACGCTGGAATGAGTTAAGACTTTTGGGGCTGTTGGGATGGAATGAATATATTTTGTATGTGAGAAGGATGTGAGTTTTGCGGGGCCAGGGGTGGAATGCTATGGACTGAACTGGGTACCCTCAAAATTCATGTTGAAACCTGAACCCCAAAGCATTTGTAGATAAGGCCTGTTAAGGGATGATAAAGGTTAAATGAGGTCATATGAGTGGAGGGCCCTAATCCCATAGGGCTGGTGCACTTATAGAAAGCGGAGACACCCAAGTGCACTCGCTCGCTCTCTCTCTCTCTTCCCCCTCTCTCTCTCTCTCGGCGCCGCCCCCCTCCCCGGCCCCCATCCACTTTTGAGAGAACACAGTGAGCAGGTGGCCATCTGCAAGCCAGAAAGAGTCCACACCAGAAACCAACCAACCAAGATGGAACTGGATCTGGGACTTCCAGCCTCCAGAACCACAAGAAAACAAATGCATGTCGCTGAAGCCCCCAGCCTGTGGTACTCTTACGGCAGCCCAACCACACACAGACAGACAGCCCGGCTCCAGTGTCAAGAACAGTGGGAGAACCCGGTGCCCTCAGGGGAAGGAGTGTGGCGGAAACAAAGGAGCAGGCAGAGGCAGTGGACAACCGTTCACTAGAGTATTTTCCCCAAGCAGCACATACTTTAAGGTCTAAAATCTTTTAAGACTTTGGCACCCTTCACAGTCCACTAATTACACTAGCGCAGGGATTCTCAACTACCATTTTGCCTCCGGGGGATACTTGACAATGTCTGGAGATACTTTTGTTTGTTATAACTAACTACAGAAGAGAAGAGTTCCTGGCATCGGGTGGGTGGTGGCCAGGGATGCTGCTCAATATCCTCCAATGCTCAGGGCGGCCCCTACAAAAACAATTACCCAGCCCCAAGTGCTAATAGTATCACCTTTGATCATTCTCTAAAATACGTGAGGAGCTTCACATATAAACAGGTACATCACAGTGCTACTTATAATAGCAGAAAAAAAAGGAGACAAGCCAATGTCCAATGCTCAGGATGTGATCCAACAAACTACTGCATAGCAACAATCATCGAGAGTTAGTCCTTGAATACCTGGCTACATGTGAGGCTCTCGTTAGGTGCTGTGGATGGAGAAAAAAAAAACACAAAACCAGAACTCCTGTGTTGGTGAGGTCTACCTGGGATAATTTTCAAAATATGCTAAATAAGACACTGTAATAACCTGGGAGTACTTTGGCTAAATCGTTAGGAGAAAGGGTGGCTATAAAATTATTTGAAGTCCGGGCACGGTGGCTCATGCCTGTAATCCCAACACTTTGGGAGGTCGAGGCAGGCAGATTGCTTGAGCTCAGGCATTCAAGACCAGCCTGGGCGACATGGCGAAACTTCATCTCTACAAAAATTAGCCAGGCATGGTGGCGTACATCTGTGATCCCAGCTACTCAGGAGGCTAAGATGGGAGGATCACTTTCAGCCTGGGAGGCGAAGGTTGCAGTGAGCTGAAATTGCGCTACTGTACTCCAGACTGGGTGACAGAGTAAGACTCGGTCTCAAAAAAAAAAAAAAAAAAATTACTTGATATATAATCACATTTTGGTTTCTTTCTTTACAAAAAGAAAAAAGACTAGAGAAGACACCCCAATACAGCTGTAATTGTCAGTAGGGAAGTGGGTGGAATTGTGGTGTGTGTACAAAACTAAAAGCCATTTTTTAAAAGGAAGCTTTTACCCAGAATCTAACATAGCCTCCTCTTCCCATGATCCCTAAGGACAAGTGCAGCCATCACTGAATTTTTTTGAGTTCTGCTCCTCTCTGCCTTAGAGAGGGGCAAGCCAGGTGGCGAGAGCTGGAACCACATGACTCCAAGGCTGCCCAGGGCCACCTGCACTGCAGAAGTGTTCTGCCTGGTTTGCTGTGTTGGCCCTAGGGTGCTCTACCAAAACCTCAACGGGCTGCCAACATTAAAACTCAGATTTCATTTCAAAACCCAGAATGTCTAACTCCCTTGAAAATCAGAAGCGGACAGGTACAGTGGCTCCCTCCAGCACTGTGGGACGCCAAGGCAGGAGGATCACTTGAGCCCAGGAGTTCGAGACCAGTCTGGGCAACATAGGGAGACCCCATCTTCCTTAAATTGTTTTAAATTAAAAAAAGAAAATCAGAAGGGTTGGCACATAGGGATTACAGTGCCCAAAGACGGTAACTGGCTAAAGCTGACTAGAGCCATCCCTTTAGAAGGGGCTGCTCGCTAGTTCACCACAGTCCCCACCACTCCCTGTTACCCCTCTGACAGCTTGCCATCTGGTTGTAGGCCCAACCCCAGTGGGCATTTGTCTGTAATGACCATGCCAAGGCACAGAGGTGGGCAGTCTTCCTGGCAAACAGATGGTATGTACAGAGAGCTCCTGCTAGGCAAGGCATGCATGAAGCTTGGTCTAAATGATGCTCACAAGCCTCGGGCATGTAATCTTGGCTAAGGATGAGAGGGCTTGGGGACCGCACCCTAGGAAAAGCACTGTGAAAAAACTGCAAAGTGCTATTCATTTGTTTAAATATTCACTGCAGGAAAGCTATTTGAGATGCTCAGTGCCAGGAGTTAACCTCAAGGAATTCAGCTCACCGGGGGACCAAATACATAACAAATTACCACTACACAACAGATTCACTCAAAGGCAGGGACACAGCCATGGGAGCTGAGAGGAGAAAGCTACTCGACACAAATACAAATTATTTTATGGTCAGCAGAACATCAAACCTTAGCCCCAGCCTCACTACCCACGCCCCACTCCCACTCCCATTCCATAAAAATAATACCGTGGCATTTATAGCTATTCCACCTCTTTCCCCTTTACAAACCCCATTTCTAGTTTCCAAGGTCATTAAGGGGTTGAAATGATCAACAAACATTCACTGGTTATTGTGAGCAAGATGGAGTCCCATAGCCAGTGAATCTCCACCCTGGCCAGGGGCCATTTCGATGGGGACTTAACTGGTCTGTGGTGGAACACAGGCAGCAGTATTTCTGAAATGCTACATTCGAACTGGAAGCCCAGGTTTAGAACCACTTGTATGACTGATGCTCACAGGTAAATATTCATCTGTCCCCCACGTGCCTGGCATCTAAATGGACAAGGAAGATTCCAGGTGAGCAGGGTCAGAAGTGTGATATTGTGGCAAATGAAGAAATATATTTGCTTCTGCTCCAGGGTCCTGGCACACAGCTCCTAAAACCCTTGGAATTTCCTGAGCAATAGGGGTGCTAGGTACATCTTTTGTTCTGATATTTCGTCTTTGACCCTGGAATCCTGACACAGAGCTCCTAATCCCTTGGGATTTCCTGAGTGATGGGAGGTCTTTTTTAATTAGGTGATTCTTGGTGGGCTCCTGGATGGGGGCTGGGCACCAGAAAGACCAAGCCATGATTGGAGGCTTGGAGAGAGGGAGAAAGGCGGAGACTGAGTTAATAATCAATCATGCCTACGTGATGAAACCTCCACAAAAATCCCTTTAAAGTGCCGGGTTCAGAGAGCTCCCGGGTTGGCAGACGCATCCGTGTGCATCCCAACTCCATAGGGACAGAAGCTCCTGTGCTCAGGAGCCTTCCAGGCCTCTGTGTGTTTCTTCATCTGGCTGTTCGTCTGTATCCTTTATCATACTTTTTACTCACGCAATAAACTGGGGAACGTGTCTCCCTGAGCTTTGTAAGCAGTCCTCACAAATTAATCAAAACCAAGGAGGGGGTTGTGGAGATCCTGATTCATAGCTGGTCAGTCAGAAGTAGGGGTGACAGTCTACTACTTGTGACTGGCATTTGAAGTGGGTGGCAGTCTTGTGGAACTTAACCTGTGGGATCTGACTCTAACTCTAGGTAGACGGTATCAGAAGTGAGTTGAATTAGAGGATGCCAGTTGGTATCCACTGGAGAATTGCTTGGTGTGTGAGGAAAATGCCCACATATCTGGTTGACTTGGGGTGAAGCCTTTATTGTTTGTTTTTTCCTATACTGTAAACAGGAACCATATATGGAGGGCACATGATGAGTAATTTTCACCAGCATCTGTTTTTCAAACTAGGAATTCCACCTTGAATGATGAAAGTGTCTTCAGAACTGTCATCAAATAATTACTCATCCACCCAGCTGTGGAAGACTGGGCACTGCCATTTGCCAAGTGCAGGAAAAGCTCTGAGAAACAGGATAACTGAGGGCAACCCCTGACACGATAAAGTCTGGCAGAGAAGAGAGAAAAGAAAAATGCCAGCCAAATACATAAACTAAGTACATTTCACCGTGATGTGCTTCTGCATGGAGTAAACAGTAAAATGCAACAATTACACCAGACCCAGCCTCTCCTTTTTTGGAGGGAGGCGATGGTTTTGAAATAGTAATCAATCTTTAAAACTGGTATACAGAGCATGTGCTAATGTGTGACATGTATGGCTGACGAAGAGACTGAAACAGATTTTCCTTTGCCTTCTTCTCTGTAACACTGAATATGATGTACATAAGATAATCCTATAGAAAATGCACAGCAAAAAAATGTTTTGCTAAAAAAAAAATAAATAAATAAATAAAAATAAAAAAGCTTTTGCCCTGACATGGAATTTAAGAAAACACATGCATTTATATGGAACTGAAGCCCTTTGAAGCACTATTTTTTCTTCTCTTTTCCCACATATCAATATCTGGTCTCAGTAATCCCTATGTTCTTCCCAACGTTTGTACATAAGTAACTCATTTTAGACCAGCAGGAGACAAGGGTGGGGAAAGAGGGTCCAGGTTGTGGACTGGTGCAGAAGGTGACAGGAAGGAAGAGCGACTCACGTGGAATACGGTAGGCTCTCCCGCCCCTATGGACCCAGAAGCAACAAGGGAACCACCAGGGTGGATCCCAGATCCATGGATGGGGTTTCCTCATAAGAGATTCCTGTGGGGCAGAAAACCCTGGGGACCCTCTCTCTCCTGCCCCCATGCTCAGCTTCCTATCAGATGGAGAACTTCTTTCATTAGAAAGCTCCACCAACAGCCCCGGAACCATCCCACTTTCTCAGTTTTGAGCCCAGCCCTCAGCCATCCTTTGGAATTAAGGGTACTTTGGGTGGGGGCAAAGCAGGCTAAAGATACTGTTCTTCATGGTAGAAAACCTCAATATGCCACATTGCCATGATTAAAGGGACATTTCAAACAAGTACTGAGAGTGCTCTCCCGACCAGACGAGTCCCCACAGAACTAAGCATTGCACCGTTCAAGGGCTTACGCATGAATGCCAGGGTGCCCTTCAGGTGGACAAAGTGTCACCTCCTGAGAGGTCTGACAACATGACAAGTCTTGATGGCACCTCGAGGGGCTGGGCCACCCTGTCACATGAACCATCAGGACAAAGGGCAGCCTACTGCACATTTCACAAATGCTCTGCAAGGGCATTCCGGGAACAGGGAGCAGGAAGCTGATGGCAGCTGATTCTCTACAGAGCCACTGGATTCTCTTTTTTTTTTCTTTTTTCAAAATTTCCCTTTGAACATAGGATTCTCTTTTTGATGTCACCTGTTCAGTCAGGTCACCGGTTACCTTAACAACTGCTTTGCCATGTATTAGTTTTACGTTTGCTCCCTTTGGGGTGGGGATGTATTATCAGAATCACCTGAGTGGCTTGAGGGACAGGGGCTATGTTTAAGAAAGCTTCCCAGGTGTGTTGTAAGAAGCCCCAAGGAATGAATCGCTGGTCCCATTCTTGAGCCTGGTTGCTAATGGAACCCACTGGGAGCACTTTTCAAAAAAGGATGCCACTTGAAATTCATTTATGTGCTGGGCGCGGTGGCTCACGCCTGTAATCCCAGCACTTTGGGAGGCTGAGGCGGGCGGATCACAAGGTCAGGAGATCGAGACCATCCTGGCTAACATGGTGAAACCCCGTCTCTACTAAAAATACAAAAAATTAGCCAGGCGTGGTGGCGGGCACCTGTAGGCCCAGCTACTCGGGAGGCTGAGGCAGGAGAATGGCGTGAACCCGGGAGGCGGAGCTTGCAGTGAGCCCAGATCGTGCCACTGCACTCCAGCCTGGGCGACAGAGTGAGACTCCGTCTCAAAAAAAAAAAAAAAAAAAGAAAGAAATTCATTTATGTGATAGGTATCTAGTCATGTTCTCGTCACATTTATAACATTTATATATTCTAGTCTGAATATATAAAGAACTCTTAAAACTCAGAAACAAAAAGATAAACTAATTTTCAAATGGGCATGGGACTTGAATAGATATTTTTCAAAATAAAAAGATATACAAATGGCCAACAGCACATGAACAGATGCCCAACTTCATCAGTCATTGGGAAATGCACATTAAAAAACCACAGTGATATGCCACTTCACACCTACGAGGTTAGCCATTTTTTAAAAAGCCAAAAAAAAAAAAAACATGCAAAATAACTAGTGTTGGCAAGGACATGGAAAAGCTGGAACCCTCCTATACTTTTGCCAGTGGGAAAGTAAAACAGTGCAGCCACAGCCGGGCGCAGTGGCTCACACCTGTAAGCCCATCTCTTTGGGAGGCCGAGGTGGGCAGATTACGAGGTCAGGAGATCGAGACCATCCTGGCTAACACAGTGAAACCCCGTCTCTACTAAAAATACAAAAAATTAGCCGGGCGTGGTGGCAGGCGCCTGTAGTCCCAGCTACTCGAGAGGCTGAGGCAGGAAAATGGCGTGAACCCGGGAGGCAGAGCTTGCAGTGAGCCGAGATCACACCACTGCACTCCAGCCTGGGCAACAGAGCGAGACTCCATCTCAAAAAAAAAACAAAAAACAAAAAACAAAAACAAGAAAAGGTGCAGCCACTCTAGAAAACAGCCTGGCAGTTCCTCAGAAACTTACACATAGAATTACCATATGACCCAGCAATCCAACACCTAGGTATATACCCTAAAAACCTGAAAACAGGGACACAAATACTTCTACCTGTATTTCATAGTAGCACTTAACAATAGCCAAAAGGAGGGAAACAACCTAAATGTCCACCAAATGATGAACGGATAAACAAAATGTAAACGTAGCCTAGCCATACAATGAAATATTACTTGGCCATAAAATGGAATGAAGTTTAGCCAACAGTGGTGGCATGGAACTGTAGTCTCAGCTACTCAGGAGGCTGAGGCGAGAAGATTGCTTGAGCCTGGGAGGTCAAGGCTGCAGTGAGCTGTGATTTACACCACTGCACTCCAGCCTGGGTAACAGAGTGAGACTCTGTCTCAAGAAAAAAAAAAAAAAGTAATGAAATATTTGACACGTTACAATATAACATGGATGAATCTTGAAAACATTGCGCTAAGTGAAAGAAGCCACAGAAGGGCATATATTCTATAATTCTATTAACATGAATTGTTTAATAAAACAATGTCTCGCCACCTCTGATCACTATTATTAATGCCTGATTTCTGAAATACCTGTAAGAACAGAACTCTCTACAATAAACAGAACTGGAACATCATAGGCTTGAAGCCACAGGTATCATTTCTATCTTGAGATCGATCTCGCTCCTCAGATTTCCTGCATGAATAGGCAAATCCATAAAGACAGAAGGTAGAATAGTGAGTAACTGCCTGAGGCTGGGGATAAGGAGAAATGGGCAGCTGAGGCTGGGGATAAGGAGAAATGGGCAGCGACGGCTTAATGGGTACACAGTCTTCTTTTGGGGTGATGAAAATGTCTTGGAACTAGATAAAGGTAGTGGTTGCACAACACTGTGACAATACCAAATGCCACTGAATTGTACACTTTAAAATAGTTAGTGTTTAATGTTTAATTTCATATTCCTTTTTTTTTTTTTTTTTGGAGACAGGGTGTCTGACTCTGTCACCCAGGCTGGAGTGCAGTGGTGAGATCGTGGCTCACTACAACCTCTGCCTCCCAGGTTCAAGTGATTCTCCCACCTCAGCCTCCTGAGTAGCTGGGACTACAGGCACATGCCACCAAGCCCGGCTAATTTTTGTGTTTAGTAGAGATGGGGTTTCACCATGTTTAATTTTATGTCATGTTAATTTTACCTTGATTTTTTTAATGGAGGAAAGACGGACGTCAGGGGGCTTCCTGGGCCCTGCTGATCAGAACCTCCTAGGATGGCACAAACACAAATATATAGCTCCCAGGTTAATCTAAAATGCAGCTAGGATTGAAAAGCACCAGGTTAGGATACTGTATACATGTATACACAACCTTCAATATAAAAGTGGGGGCCGGGTGGAGTGGCTCATGCCTGTAATCCCAGCACTTTGGGAGGCTGAGGTAGGCAGATCATTTGAGGCCAGGAGTTCAAGACCAGCCTGGGCAACATAGCGAAACCCCATCTCTACTAAAAATACAAAAAATTAGCTGGGCGTGGTCACGCATGCCTGTAATCCCAAGTACTCAGGAGGCTGGGGCATGAGAATCACTGGGACCTGGGAGCGGAGGTTGCAGTGAGCCAAGATCGTGCCACTGCACTCCAGCCTGGGTGACACAGCCAGACTCTGTCTCAAATATATATATCTCATATATATATGAGATATATATATATAAGCACTTCTGTGGCCAACACCTCAGGGTTTCACCTGCTGCTACACTCATCATGGATAAAGTGTATAACATTCCTGCCTGCTCCCTCTTCCTAGAAAAGAAAATGTGCATTTTAAAACAATGTAAGTAGATGTGCGACATTCAGAAAATGAAGGTAATGGCTACATCACAGATATGAGGCACTCAGGAGCAACATAACCAGAACAGTGAGTGGATTCATAATCATGCCCCCAGAATGATGGACACAGTTTAGTCCGCATAGTCTTCAAACAAACCACAGAGTGGTGGTCACAAATCAGCAGACCACTGTGTGCTCATTAAGAACACCAAATAAGGTCAAATATGAATGGGCTCTTAGGAGTACCAACAAGACCAGATGGGCAGGTAAACTTCAGTTGGAGCCATGGGCAGCTCAACAAAAGAAAGAACAATCTAACCTGGAGCTGGCTACCATCTGTGGTTAGAGATGTTATTCAGCAGGAAGGACTCGGCCACATGACTGCAGATGGGCCAATGTTTTTTATTCGTGTGGGAAATCTAAGGAGTAAGACCGACCTCAAAATAGAAATGATGCCTGTGGCTTCAAGCCTATCATGTTCCGATTCTTTTCATTGTCGAGAGTTCTTATAGGCATTCCAGAAATCAGGTGTGAGTAACAGTGGTCAGAGATGGTAAGACATTGTTTTATTAAACACCTCCGCTGGAGTAGAGGTAGTTACTATGAAGGATCGCTGTACATACAATTCATTTGCTCATTTATAAACAAACTATGCTGCAATTGACGCCTTTTCCCAGCACCTTCTTTTTCTTGCTTCTGGAGAGTTCTTACTTTGATCCCATCTTTTGATCCCAGTAAGCATAAGACCTAATTAGTAACAGATTCATGGCCTAACAGTCATACTTTTGTTTCATCTTTACTTTCATAGCAAGTCATGGGAGGAAAAAAAGAACTGAAGAACATCAGTTTCTTTAAAACCCATTCATTAATATGAGAACTATAACTTTAATGTAGGGCTGTCTTTTTGGTGAGAAAAAAAACCCAACCACTTCTTACACCTCCCAGCTTTGCAAACATTACCGGCCAACCACTTCACAAAACCAATTCCAGTAACTCCTGTGCTTGAGGTACCATTATGTCATTGGTTTGCTTCATGGAAAATTTCCTGATTTTCATTTATTTCAGTAGTTTGGAACATGCCAAGATACTCACTTTCTTTAACTATGGGTGGAGAGGTAAAGCAACCCAACACCAGTTAGACATAAAAAAGACTATGGAGAAGAGAGGAAAGACCCAGAGGCATGCTTGCTTTTTCTGCTACACAATCGATACCGAAGACCCTCTGAGGAATCCAAGCTGTCTGTGAACTTCCTATGGGTTTGGAGAGCGTTCTTCCACAAACTAATCGCGCGGGTCAGAGGTGAAAGAAACAGCTTAGCTTTGGCTCCCCACCACCTGGTTGGGATTAATCCACATGGTTTTATAACTCCAAAAATGAGACAAAAGTAGCATTTGTGCTTGAAGTGAAATGATAGGGTGTTATTTTCACTGATGCAGAAAAGGGATGACCACCCCAACAGATGAGAGAAGGGCTACTAACCACTCCTAAATAAATGGGAAGAAGGTGGTATGTTTCTCTACTTTATATAACAAGAGAAAAACTGGCCCACCTTAAGAAAATGCAGACTTTGGATTCCATCAAATATTTACTGAGCTGGCACTAGGTTTAGAGCTGAGACACTGACAATGACTCAGGAAAAACAAGTATTTTATCAGTCATGTGTTTACGTAAAACTTCAGTGTCATCTATCTTTTAAAAGGAGCTGAGTAGCAAATAGCACAACAAAGAGAATTATCTCTATTAGTAATTCTAAAGCATAATAAGGACATGTGTTCCTTTTCAAAAATTGAAAGTAAGTCTATCTAAAGCCTTGAGGTAAAGCTGAGGGCCGGGAGTTGTTCAAACAGGAATTATTGGTTCTGGCCATTGCAGTCGCATTTTAAATGCAAGAGCTACTCTGTCCTTCGCCTGTAACTACATGTGAATGCAAGAAGCTATTCTTGGTAATCCTTGACATTTTTGTCAATATGCCACGTCCATGGTGACATTTTGGAGGTTTATGATATGCGTTCAGTGGGGTGGTTTTCAGAGCCTTGGCTTTTACTATTGAGAATAACAAGGTGACAATCTTGGGTTAACCCGGCCAGGTCAATCACAGAATGATGTATCTGGAATGCCTTTTGAATCCGTATTATCTACGGCAAACCAAACAGTGTCACAGTGCTCCTGAAGAAAACGTACAATGTTCCCCTGGGGGAAAAGTGTTAAAAGCGCTGTAGAGTTGGCCACCGTGGACTTCAAGCCCTACCATTTTAGATCCACACCATCCCAGCCGTTAGAAAGCAAACGATCACCACTTCTTTTTTTTAAATAATAATAAAATATCAGTTTCTAAACTGATTAAAGCATTACACAGGCATTCCAAAAGCACATATGAATATTCTTTGAGACGGAGTCTCACTCTGTCATCCAGGCTGGAGTGCAGTGGCATGATCTTGGCTCACTGCAACCTCTGCCTCCCGGGTTCAAGCGATTCTCCTGCCTCAGCCTCCCGAGTAGCTGGGATTACAGGTGTGCACCACCATATCCAGCTAATTTTTGTATTGTTAGTAGAGATGGGGTTTCACCATGTTGGCCAGTCTGGTCTCGAACTCCTGATCTCAGGTGATCTGCCTGCCTCAGCCTCCAAAAGTGCTGGGATTACAGGCATGAGCCACCGCGCCCGGCCAAAGACGCTGTCTTTTAGGACACAGCCCCACTGCTAAAATAACAGGCACATCATGCATGCCCTGCACACTTCCTGTTCCACGGAATTCCTTATAGCCCCAGCAGCAAAACTGAGAAGCAGTCTGGGAAAAAACCCCAGCTCCTCTGCTGATCCACCCATGACAGCCTTGATATCCACTTTGGCAGAACCCTTTACTCCTCAAGCCAGCAAGGATTCTGAGGGAGGGTCTCAGGAGCTGGGGTGAAGCAGAGAGAGGACCAAATCGCAGGGTCCAGGTCCTCAGGAAGCCACCCCACTGCCTCCTCCTTGGCCTGAGCCACCACTGCTCAGCCCTGGGGGCAGCTGCCATCTCCTAAACCAGTCTCCTTGCTTCAGCTCCTGCCCTCCTAGTCCCCCACAGCAGTCAGAGCGACCTCAATGAAATGTTAAGTCTCCCAACAGAATAGCTCCCAACAGAATTGCTGAGTCACACCTGGAGTCCCTGCAGTGGCTCATGAGGTGCTGCCACCACCGCCTGACCCCATCATCCTCCTCCTGGCCCATTGCTCTCATCTTAGCACCTGTAGCTCCTTCTCCCTGAAAGCCTCTGACCCTAGACACCTCAGGTTCCCTCCTCCCCTCCTGCAGGCACCTGAAAAATAAGGCCTCTCCAGCCGCTCTCCACAAAACGGTCACCCACCCAGCCACACAGTCCCACCAACCTCACCCTGCCAGTTTGCACCTTGTAATGTGGTGACACGCTCAGTGATTGCTATTTGCCACCACTGCAGCGGAAGACCCACAAGGGCAAGGGCCAACGAGAACAGCTCGCTGCTGGAGGCCTGGAGCAGGTGTGAGCCAGAGCCCCAGCTCTGCTGACTCAGGGCAGCTCACTCTCTATGGGGGGGCCACACTGCACGGCAGGTGTGGACGACACCCCTGGGCTCCACCCGCTAGGTGCCAGCAGGACGCACCCCATCCCCCCCAAGTGGGGACAGCAAAAAATGTCTCCAGACAGTGCAAATGTCCCAAGGGGCACAGTCACACCTGCCTGAGAGTTACCACTATTTTAGTGGCATTTGTGAACCTAAGGATGGGAAGATCTTTTACAGCCTTGGGCACATGCTGCCAGCAATACACTGAAGCCAACTCTGTATGAACTGTTCACTGTCTTCTGCTGCCTCTTTCTAACTAGCTTCACCCACTTTCCCATCTCCCACCACTGGTCCGTGACCCCACAAAAGCAAGGACTTTCCCAGGCATCCACATGGACAAGCTGCCCATGCCACCCTTGACTCTGAGCTCTGAGAGTTTCCATCCGAGACCCAAACAGCACAGAAATTTGGGCAAACTTCATTTTGTTCCAAAAGTAAGTTCACCCGCACATTTAAATATACATCCAAAAGCTGTCGGTACACATATGACAACTGCCTCCCAGGTTTTGTACGAGGGTGCTGAGACGTGGCTGAAGATCTTGATCTTGAATCAACTTGTCCAATTCTTTTTTTTTTTTTTTTGAGACAAGGTATTGCTCTGTCACCCAGGCTGGAGTACAATGGCGATCATAGCTCACCACAGCCTCAAACTCCTGGATCAAGCAATCCTCCCGAGTAGCTGGGACTACAGGCATGTGCCACCACGCCCAGATAGTTTTTAATATTTTGTAGAGATAGGGTCTCCCTGTGTAGCCCAGGCTGGTCTCAAATTCCTGGGCTCAAGCAATCCTCCCGCCTCAGCCTCCCAAAGTGCTGGGATTACAGGCATGAGCCACGACACCCAGCCAACTTCTATTCTTAACATCTGTCCAGTATTAAGTGACTGCTAGCTATGAAACAAAGTCTAATCATATAATGTGAATTTTTTTAAGTCTCTAGCATCACTGAGTGCTACAATTTCCAAGTTCCAGAATACTATGACATCACACCTAGAAATCAGTATAATTCTATACACACTCAGAGTATTTTCAGATTTGTGGCCAAGCTAATGCAACGATAATGAAAGTGTGTGACACAAAAGCATTGGCTGTACAGTCATGCACTGCTTGATGATGAGGATATGTTCTGAGAAACGCATTGTCAGCCAATGCTGTCACTGTACAAACATCACACAGCGGGCTTACACAAACCTAGCTGGCACAGCCTACTACACACCTAGGCTATGCAGTAGAGTCTAGTGCTCCTAGGATACAAATCTGTACTGAATACTATAGGCAATACAGTAACACAATAGTATTTGTGTGTCTAAACATAGCTAAACATAAAAAAGGTACAGTAAAAATATGGCATCACAATGTTAAGGGACGACCAGTGTATATGCAGTCCATCATTTCGGTGCAAGACTGTATTAGTAAACGAGAATGACATCGGCCAGGCACAGTGGCTCACGCCTGTAATTCCAGCACTTTGGGAGGCCGAGGTGGGCAAATCATGAGGTCAGGAGTTCGAGACCAGCCTGGCCAACATGGTGAAACCCCGTCTCTACTAAAGATACAAAAAATTAGCCTGGCGTGGTGGCGTGCGCCTGTAATCCCAGCTACTTGGGAGGCTGAGGCAGGAGAATCGCTTGAACCCGGGAGGCAGAGGTTGCAATGAGCCAAGATCGCACCACTGCACTCCAGCCTGGGCGACAGGGTGAGACTCAGTCTCAAAAAAAAAAAAAAAAAAGAATGACAAATGACATCAATCATGGGGTGGTAAACTGCACATGGGTCAATTCCAGCCTGCCTCCTGTCTTTGTAAATAAAGTTTTATTGGAACACAGCCAGGCCTGTTTGTTTCTGTATTGTCTATGGCTGCTTCTGCACTACAGCAGCAGGGTCGGGCAGTTGCAACAGAATCTCCATGGCCTTCATTCACAAGTCCTACGGGTTTAAAAAAAAAAAAAATAATAGAAAGAGAGAGAATCCTATGGCTTTCAAAGCCTGAGATATTTACTATCTGGCCCTTGACAGAAAAATCTCAATGGCTCTCCTCTAATCTGTTATCTCTCTTTAGTAACATTTCACTTCCAGCAACTTCGCTTCCCCAGCCACAAAATCATGAGAATGCAAAGAACAGTTGCTTAGTGAGGAAAAACAGTTATCATAAACTCTGAGCCCTTGTCTTTACACTGCTGAGCCTCCAGTGCTACCCAACTACAAGGAAAATAAGGAGGCAACTCAGAAGCAGAAGTGGAATCATGGAGAGAGGGATTTTTTTTTTATTTTATTGATTTATTTATTTTTTCGAGACAGGGTGTCACTCTATTGCCCAGGCTGGAGTGCAGTGGCACGATCTTGGCTCACTGGAGCCACTACTTCCCAAACTCAAGCAATCCTCTCACCTCAGCCTCCCAAGTAGCTGGGTCTTCAGGGACATGCTCAGCTATTGTTTGTATTTTTTGTAGAGACAGGGTTTTGCCATGTTGCCCAGGCTGGTCTCAAACTCCTGGGCTCAAGTGATCCACCCGCCTCAGCCTCCCAAAGTGCTGGGATTACAGGCATGAGCCACTGCACCCAGCTAAGGGAGGGAATTTTGATAAGCAGAAGACTAAATATGCTGAGGTATCCCAAAGCTGAAGGAGTATGTAATATGACCACAAGGACAAAGAACATGTGAGTGCCTGTTCTGCAGCAGACACTCACCTAAGATCCTTACCTAATCTTAGAGCCTTCAAAACAACCCAGAGGGCAAATGCTTTGCCCCCATTTTATGGAAGAAGAAACTGAAGCTCAGAGAGCCCAAATAACCTGCCTTAGGAGACACAGCAAATAGCAGTCCCGAGTCAGACTCAAAGCTGTCCATGTCTGAAATCAGGGCTACCCACACCTAGGTAGTCCCTGCAGTTAGTGGTACAGTAAGTAGTAAGTCCTCACTAACGTTTTCAATAGTTCCATGGAAACTATAACTTTAAGTGAAACAACACATAAGGAAACCAATTTGACCACAGGCTAATTGGTATTAACTAGAGTTAAATTCCTACAGCCTATTTCTGGTCACAAAAACATCACCAAACTTCTAAATAAAGACTCCTAAACACTTCTAATATTAAACATTGAAATAAACATGTGAAAGAAAAAATGTTAATATTTAAAGGCCAAGTATCAATTGGTCATTTATTCACAAAATTCACTTGACTCCAAATACTGCCAGGTAACCAGATATCACTCAACTTTATAAAACAAATAGTGGTACTAATGAGTCACCCTATTAGATAAATGCCTCAATGAAAAAGTTAGTTGCCTTAGTGAAAAACCCACTATATTTTTAATTTAGTAATGATTAGCGGGTTATTACATGGTGGTATCCTCCCCTTACAGTTGGCAAGACTCCTGGGCAATGTTAACATGTGGCTTCTTGGCAAGTTTCCCTGGAAATTGTATGGACATTTCGAGAAGCCCGAAAAAGCTTTTTGCGTGGTTAGAGGCTGCCAAGTCTAATCTACATAGTCTGGTTTCTCCAACTACCAAATCAAGGTAACCACCTGAATTTAAAAACAGATTTGCTTTAAAAATTGTTTGTAAACGCCCAGGTGCAATGGCTCATGTCTGTAATCCCAGCACTTTGGGAGGCTGAGGCAGGCAGATCATTTGAGGTCAGGAGTTCCAGACCAGCCTGCCCAACATGGTGAAACTCCGTCTCTACTAAAACTACAAAAATTAGTCAGGCATGGTGGCATGCGCCTGTAGTTCCAGCTACTCGGGAGGCTGAGACAGAAGAATCGCTTGAACCCGGAAGGCAGAAGCTGCAGTGAGCCAAGACCATGCCACTGCACTCCAGCCTGGGTGACAGAGTGAGACTCCGTCTAAAAACAAGCAAACAAACAAAACAATGTTTGTAAACAACTTTATTGAGGTATAATCTGCATATCATAAACTCTCCCATTTTACATGTAAGATTCAATGTTTTTTATAAATTTACTGACTTATGCAACACACAAACCAATTTCAGTACGTTTCCATTACCCCAAAGACATCCCTTGTGCCCAACTGCAGTCACCACACTCTTCACCCCCAGCCCCAGGCAACCACTAATCCACTTTCGATCTCCATGGATTTGCCTTCTCTGGACACTCTGCAAAAATCAAATCATATAATTATGTTGTGTCCACATCTGCTTCCTTCACTTAGTGTCACATTTTTGAGGTTCATCCACAGCTCCCCTTTTCATGTGAAACCTATCTAGTACTTGTGTATCCAGTGGCTGCACACCACAGTCTAAAGCTGGGTTGGATATGAGGGAGGGGAAGAAGTGGAGAAAGCACGGAAGGTTCTCCCTGAATCACTGTTGAATTAATCCTTTATGATACACCTACGCTAGTGATGGTGAATATGTGAGCGTGCATTCATTCAACAATACAGAGTGAGTGCATGGCAGACATCTCTGGGGGTGTCTGCTCATTTCAAACCAAGCCTCCATTATTCTGGGAACCACAGCTGGGTTTCCAGAGAGCTCTAATCCTCCTGAAAGCATATGCAAGCTTCTGTGTGCTGGTACCTTTTTCTGAACGCAGAATCCCTACCTTGTGTCAGATTTCCCAGGGTCCATGATTCCAAAATCCTTTAGAATCCCTGCACTCTACCATGAAGCCTTGGAGCAAATCTAACAAGGCTGTCAACTGCACAAAAGAATACTCACCAAACAAAGATGAAGGACAAACTTAGAAATATTAGGTTGAACCATACAAATATCAAGAGTTTAATAGTTCTAAAAAACCACTGGAACTGAAAAAGAACATTACTGGAAAAAATGGTAAAATTCAAATGTCTAGAGTTTGGTTAATAGTAATGTTATCAAGGCTGGCTTCTTAGGTTTGACAAAGAAACATCACCACAGAATATACTACGGTGATATTAGATGTTAACAACAGGGAAACCATCTAATCTTTGCAACTTTTCTGTAACTCTAAAATATTCCAAAATAAAAATATATTAAAACAAACAAATTAACAAAAAAATTGGGTTTTATTCATTCCATGCCTAGAACTATCTCCTAAGACAAACATGAAAAACAAAACTACAGAGAAAATAACTGCACATAGGGACCATTATAATTTTAGTACTTATATAATCATAAATATCAGAGTGAAAAAGACAGGAATATTTAATAAGTGAGGGGACAGCAGCTCAGTGGCAGTCTAAACCTCTCATCTTATGCCAATCATGAAAACTATGGGGCGGCAAGGAACAGAAAACACACGAGTGAGAATGCCTTAGCTGGCTGCAAATAACAGAAATTCTAATTCGACTGGCTCTAAAGGATAAGATGATGCTGTTACCACGTTTAGCGTAAGAAAAGGTACTGAAGGCAGACAGCTACCAAAGCTTAATTCATCCATCCACCCACCTCATCAAAGACAGACTTTCCACTCCACCACCCTCAGCTTCTCAGCCAGCTCCCTCCTAGTTTTGGGGGCATCAGTGTGGCTGCCCACCTCCAGGTTTCCATGGAGACAGAGCATCAATTAGCAGAAGTTCCTTCCACGTAGGTCTATGGGGACAAGGAGCCTTCTCCCCAACCATGCCTGTCTCATACCTCCCCTCACAGCTCATTGACCAGGTCTGAGTCATGTGCTCCTGCCTCAGCCAATTGCAGGCCCGGATGCTGTATGATTGGCTTAGAGCAATCTCAGGCACTATTGATATTAGGGGCTGGATCATTCATTGCTGTGGTGGGGTCGATCCTGTGCATTGTAGGATGTTCAGCACCATCCTTGACCTCTACCCACTGGATGCCAGCAGAACCTACCCCCAGGTGTTAACAATCAAAAATCTCTCCAAATGTTTCCGAATGCTCTGGGTGTAGGGAGAAGGAAGAGGGAATCCTCAGTTGAGACCCACTGGCTTAGGGCAATCAGGACATCACCAGGAAGTACAGACAAGGTCGTAACTCCAGAGCCGAGAGAAGGTGTGGCCACCCCAATAAAATGGGTGCTCTGACAGCTTACAAGGAGGGACTGCTCTTGAGAACATCAGAATAGTGTACATGAGGAAAAGTCAGTGAAATACAGCAATACAGAATGATCATTATAAATCAATAAAACCTGTCTCTACATGCATAATTTCATTCAGCAAACATTTATTGAGGGCCTACTATATGCTAAGTACTATATAGACAAAACACAATAAAATCTAAATGAGATTATTTAAATTTATTTTTCAATTATAAATAACTAGATCTCTGCTTGGTTCCTTCATTCTCAATCTCTTTTTCACTTTTTATTTTGGAATAATTACAGATTCATAGGAAGTTGCAAAGAAATATACAGGGAGGTCCCTGTGAAATGTCCCGAATAGGCAAATCTATAGGGATGAAAAGCAGATTAGCGGTTGCCAGGGGCTGGGGGTATGGGGGCTGACTGCTAATGAACACAGCGTTTCTTTATGGAGTATTCAGAACTACATAGGGGTGACGGTTGCACAATCTAGTGAATATAACAAAACCCACTAAATTGTACACTTTTATTTATTTTTATTTATTTTTCATTTTTTTGAGATGGAGTTTCACTCTGTCGCCCAGGCTGGAGTGCAGTGGTGCGATCTCAGCTCACTGCAGCCTCCACCTCCCGGGTTCAAGTGATTCTCCTGCCTCAGCCTTCCGAATAGCTGGGGTTACAGGTGCCCACCACCATGCCCAGCTAATTTTTCTTGTTTTTTTAGTAGGGACAGGGTTTCACCACGTTGGCCAGGCTGGTTGCAAACTCCTGACCTCAAGTGATCCGCCCGCCTCAGCCTCCCAAAGTGCTAGGATTACAGGCATGAGCCACCGTGCCCAAGGTAAATTTTATAGTATCTCAATTTTTTAAAAATGGAAATAATGTTTAAGGTAAATCTAGTTGACCCCATACTCCAAGGCCTCCCCCATGCTGGGGACAGGCACCCGTCCACAGGACAGAGCTCTAAGTGGCAGAAAGAACAAGTCTCCTGCAGTGACTATGTGGTCTCCTGGCCGAGCTCCGGGCCGCCTGGAAACACCATACCCAAGCTGGTAGATGCCCTCTTTCCTGGAGCACGGAGCCTCGGGCAGAGGAGCTACTTGGGGCACCTCCGCCTGCCTCAAAGATCCACCCACTGCCACTGTGGGGCTGGTGATCCCAGGCTTGGTGCAGCCATCTCCCCCGTTCATTCTCAACATCAACATCCCTCCCTCCTCCCCATGCTCTCTCTCAGTCCCTTCAGTTTTAAAGAAATGAAAAGAGAACCCTCCAGATGAAAAATGCTGGAGATCCCACAGCTCCATAAGCGGCCTTTCGAGATGTCCTTGCTCTGTATTTGTAGAATTTCTGAGCAAAGGCAGAAGCACTCCACTCCTCTCACCCCTCCTTCCTCCGAACCAAAGGGAGAACCGAATGGCTCGGGGCACTGAATGGCTCGGAGCATCTTAGGCAGCCTGATCTCTCCCTCCACACACAAACGCGCACACACATACACACACACACATTCAAAAGGCCAGGCCAGCTCTCCAGGTTGCTGCAGAACACCAGTGTGAACAGATGCATTTTCTTCTGTTTCACTGCATATATGTATACTCTTGACAGTCAGTAAATGCCTATCAATTGAGAGTATTCTAAGAATTGAAGAATACACTCATAGTAATATATGTTCCCAGTTTCATATACTGGTTCAGGGTTTTTCACATAAATATGTTTGAAATTTGTTCATGGAAACACAGAAATCAGGTCTCTGTTGCATAGTATCTCAGGAACTGACAACAGGCTTGAAACAAATTCAGCAGCTAAAGATGAAGCATTGTAACCAGGTGGATGGAGGTAGCTCAGACAGTTCTCAGCCAAGGGATACTGCCCGCCCCGGGGGCCATTTGGTAATGTCTGGAGACATTTTCGAGACATCTGAGGGTGGGGAGTTTGCTACTAATATCTCAATCTAGTGGTAACAGACCAGGGACGCTACTAAACGTCATATGCTACATATGACAGCCCTAACAACAAGGAATTACCCCACCGCCAGGGTTACTTTAGACCAGAGTTGAGAAACCCTGGTCTAAAGTAACACGTTCAGGATTGCTTGAGCCCAGGAGCTGGAGGCTGTAGTGAGCTATAATCATGCCACTGCACTACACAGCCTGGGCAACGGAGCAAGACCCTGTCTCCAAAAATAAAATAAAACAAAAATAACACTTTCTTGGTTTGGACACCTTTTAGGACACTGCCCATCAGCAATACAGTAACTTGAACAGCTTAACATGTTTCTCTATGTAACGGAGTTACTGAACACACAAAACCACCACCACCAATGAAAGCTTCTGAGTGGGGTTAATAGAAGGATTTTCGGTTGGCCCCAGTGAGTCCCGGCTCCTCCTTAGGTGCCAGTAAGATTCCTCAGCAGCCCTCCTGATTTCACCTGCCTTCATTCAAGCATTAGCTAAGTCCTCTACACCATGTTTCCTTCACAATGTCTCTGACACAATCCCTGCCTTTTCTAGCCCGAGTGCCCCTGATCGCTCTAGCTCAGGCCTGTGATCACCTGAGAAAACCTCCACTAGTTTCCAACTGGCCTCTTCTCTCAGAAAGCCTACCTCTCCCCACCCCCACATTTAGCTAGCTCATCAAATATGTTTTTGGTACAGCACATCTGATGCGAGTCCCAATGTGAGTGACTCTCCATGCTTGCACAAGAAACGAGGACCCTCTGGGGGTATTGTGAGAAGCCAGGGAGAGAAAAAAGATGTAAAATGCTTCGCACAGTACCTGCCTAAGCATGTAATAAATGTCAGCCGCTGCTGTGTTTGTTATGCAGACACCAAGCTGACCAGATGCTTCCATTCTCACTGAGATAACAATGCATGTGGGGGTGTTAGTTTCCTACCGATGCTGTAACAAATTGCCACAAACCGATGCTGTAACAAATTGCCACAAACCGAGTGGCTTAAAACAACACAAATTTATTATCTTACAGTTCTGGAGGTCAGAAGTCCAGAATCAGTTTCTCTTGGCAAAAATCAAGGTGTCAGCAGGTCTGCGTTCCATCTGCAGGCTCTAGGGAACAGTCCATTTCCTTGTCTTTTCCAGCTTCTAGAGACCGCCTGCATTCCTTGGCTCATGGCCACTTGACTCCAACCTCTGCTTCCGTTGTTACATCTCCATCTCTGACTCTGACCTCACCCTCCTCCCTCCCTCTAGTAAGGATGCCTATGATGACATCGGGCCCACCCACATAATCCAGGATCATCTCCTTATCTCAAGATCCTTAACTTAATCACATCTGCAAAGTCTCTTTTGCCATGGAAGGTTACTTATTAACAGGCTTCAGGGACTACAACGTGGACATCTTTGAGGGGCCACTATACCACAGGAAGGATTAAATATCAAACAATAATGAATGCAAGATCAAAATAACTAATGAGTATAGCAAAGTGCAAGGGGCACGCACAGTTACCTAGCCACAGTTACCTAGCCAAGGCACAGTCAAGAACAGGCAGGGGACCTGGCTCAACTCCGAAGTCGAACAGATGTTGACCTCACTGCCTATAGGAAGTGAGGCTACTAAGTCAATCTCCCCTGGCCTCAGTTTTATCACATGATCGCCTACACCTCATGCAGCCATCATGGGCTTTCGATGAAAACATTCATGCAATTCAACCTGAAAAAGCTGATACAGGAAAAAAGAAAGAAAACATCCATGCAAAAGCCTAGTGCATTCCGCATGTATCTGTCACAATCACAGAGCCAAGGGATCCCCGCAGGGAGAAACCAGCAGGCAGGAACAGCATGGTGAGGCCTCGTGGAAAAGGACACGAGCACAAGGTAAGCCCCACGGCAGCCTGTCTGGTGTTGCTCAACACTGGAGTCCCAAACCCTGGAAGAGTGCCTTAGACTCAGAAATTGTGCAACAAACAGTTGTTGAATGAATGAATAAATGAATGAACAGAGGCAGGATGCTTAAAAATTGTGTGGATTGGGCAGCTGGGTGGCATTCTGGAAAGAGCACCCAAACGGGGGTCAGAAGACCCAGCTCAAGTCCCTTGCCCTTCTAGCAGCCGGCAGAACATACCCATTGGCTGTGGCTGTCAAGTAGAAAAAGGAATTTGAACAAGATGATCCTAGCTCTTCCAGCCCCAAAGCTGTGGGACCCTGAGCTACATGCTCTGGCCTGAGTCTTACCTCCCTTACATGACAGCTCTGGGTCACTCGAGTTGACTCATTCCCTCATTTATTCCGAACACACCCAGCACTTCCTCAAGGCCAGCACTTTTCTCCTGTTCCCCTTATCTTGCCCAGATCTTGCTTTTTTTTCCAAAGAAGAAAGAAAAATCCCACACCAAAAAAACAAAAACCAAACTACAAAGTTAACTTATCATTTCTATGGCTGGTAGTTTCCCTGCATGAGTCTTGTGTGGTTTACATTAGTGTCACACTAATACATTAACTGAATATATTAACTCAGAGTACCTTGACCACTTTATGAAAAGGTATTTACTGGCTGGACGCGGTGGCTCACGCCTGTAATCCCAGCACTTTGGGAGGCTGAGGCGGGCCTCACCTCAGGCGGATCACCTGAGGTCAGGAGTTCAAAACCAGCCTGGCCAACATGGCGAAACCCTGTTTCTACTAAAAATACAAAAACTAGCCAGGTGTGGTGGTACACGCCTGTAATCCCAGCTACTTGGAAGGCTGAGGCAGGAGAATTGCCTGAACCCAAGAAGGGGAGGTTGCAGTAAGCCGAGATCGCACCACTGTACTCCAGCCTGGGCAAGAGTGAGACTCCATTTAAAAAAAAAAAGAAAAGAAAAGAAAAGGTATTTACCATTGGGCAGAAAATATGGGAAGAACACTTTTGCCTCTTTTGTAAAGATTCACTGTCTTTAACAGTTATGTTTACGTGTGCGTCTTCCAGGGTTGTGTGGGTATTACCCTATAGATGGACTGAGTGGATCATCCTATAGATGATCTTGCTTTTCTACTGCTGGAAAAGCACTAGAACCCCTCACCCAGAAGGATGGGCAAGGAAAAAGACAACCCCAGGCTCAAGTGAGCCCACCTTTTCTCTGAAGTGATCATTATCCGAGAAACTGAATCAATCCTGGGATGCCTTGCAACTATTGTTATCTTCATTTTATGTGTCTGTGTGCCACCTCCCAGACCAGCTTGGTTTCCACATACTGTCCCTGCACACAGAAGGCCAAGACTCTCCACAAATATTTCTTCACTTTATTAAACAGGGATAACTGAACTCAGTAGAATTTAACTTTGCTTTTATTCCATCAGATTTGTTTTATTGAATTTATGGGAAAGATAGACACCATTAGCAAAAGGATCTGGAATGGAAGTCAAGAAGCCTACCGTAGGCTCACCAGATGACCATGAACATGTTCCTGACCCATGGGCTCCTGAAGTAGAACCTAACTAGAGATGGTGATACGTGTTATTTCCACTTCCCAAATCAGAGTGAAAGGAAGGAGAAGGAAACTTGGAGATTTCCAAACATCCAGGAGCTATTTTTGGAAATGAATTACTTTTCCTTTCACTTTTCTTTAAAAAATAAATAAATGAATAAATAAATAAACAAATAAATGGAAGGAAAGGAAAAGACCAAAAAATGTTAGACCAAAAAATGAGGATTGATGATCTAAATGGAAGCAAGAGCCGCTTCTTCCAGGGACTGACCCCTTACAGCCTTAAAAACAAGATGCTCCCCCATGTTCATACAAACACTATCTATAACCTTAAAAAAAGAAAAAGGGAGAAATCATTACCTGTTTATCAGAAAGCTCAACCAGGACAGTTTATATAGTCCAAAAATAGACTCTGTGGGATGAATATAGTAAACCTCCTATTAGTTAATACTGAATAACTAAATAAAGGTTCCAAGAAGGTAGCAATGATGTTATTTGGCTGTTAAATGGGGATCCAACCTAGCAAATTCCAGAGCTATGGATTGTTTTCCTCTTAAAGCAAAAGCATCTTCAGAAGACTTTTAAGATACCACAGAATTCCTCCATGAAGCACAGGTCAAATCCCATCTGGTGAACAAATGGGTCCCCAAAAGCTTATGCCATGACATGATCTTGCTCTTCCGCCATCCGCATGATTATTTATACTTTGATCTCAAATATGGTATCGTCCACCATACTTAAGCTGCCCAGAGCTGGCATTTCCAGTACCGTACAACTCCACCTGAGCTACAGGAAATGGAACATGAGGTTTCAAACACTCAGTCCATCTATAGGATAATACCCAAATAACCCTGCAAGACACACACGTAAACACAACTGTCAAAGACAGTGAATCTTTACAAAGGGGGCAAAAATGTTCTTCCCATATTTTCTGCCCAATGGTAAATACCTTTTCATAAGGTGGTCAAGTTATTCTGAGTTAATATATTCAGTTAAGATATTAGTGTGCCACTAATGTAAACCACACAAGACTCATGTAAGGAAACTACCAGCCATAGAAATAAGTTAACTTTGTAGTTTGTTTTTTCGTTTCTTTTTTTTTTTGGTGTGGGGTTTTGTTTCGTTTTTTGAGACAAGGTCTCACTCTGTCACCCAGGCTGGAGTGCAGTGGCATGACCACGGCTCACTGCAGCCTGGATCTCCCCAGCTCAAGCAATCCTCCCATTTCAGCCTCCTGAGTAGCTGGGACTATAGGCGCACGCTACCCCGCCCACGTAATTATTTTATTTGTTTGTAGAGACAGAGTCTCCCTATGTTGCCCAGGTTCGTCTCGAACTCCTGGACTCAAGCAATCTTGCCCCCTGGGCCTCCCAAAGTGCTGGGATTACAGGCATGAACCACCACGCCTGGCCTAACTTTGTAGTTTTTAACCAAGTTCTTGGGTATGATTCCCAGTAAACTAACTATGAAAATTATATGTACAGTATCAATCTATAGAAATAGTGAATTTAAAGTGAAGGTAGGTTTTTTCGTTTGTTTTTTGAGACAGAGTCTCTCTCTGTCACCCAGGCTGAAGTGCAGTGGCGCGATCTCGGCTCACTGCAACCTCCACCTCCAGGGTTCAAGTGATTCTGCTGCCTCAGCCTCCCAAGTAGCTAAGACTACAGGCGCACACCACTACGTCCGGCTAATTTTTGTGTTTTTAGTAGAGACAGGGTTTCACCACGTTGGCCAGGCTGGTCTTGAACTGACCTCAAGTGATCCACCCACCTCAGCCTCCCAAAGTGCTGGGATTACAGGCATGAGCAACCACGCCCAGCCAACCAAAGGTAGGCTTATAATCAAACTAAAAAATTGTTTTTAAAATATTGAGATTGTGTATACATCTGTAGCCACATCCGTAAAGACGTCTCCTTGTATCTTCTTTGTTGTAACTTTAAAAAGCAGTTACAATAATTTCACCAACAGGCTCTGAGCCGGCACTATCAAATGTTAAACACAACACTGAATGGAATTACTATAAAACTCAAGAAGAGATTTTGTTTACAATCCTTGGACCATATTTTATGCTATACAGTTTTTACTAAAGTTTATATGAAATTATGTTTAAAGTCAACAACAATTTTCACTTAACCTACTACATTCATTTATTCCACCACAATTTCATTTTCTTAAAGAGAAAAAAAAAGCTATTATGTATTTGCCTTTCTCCTGTCAGGTCTCTATGTGGAAGCTGTTTGGTGAAAGTCCTCGTATTTCTTGAATACCATTTTCCTGTGTGACTCAAAAGCAACTCAAAAAGGGTTTTAACTGTCAGATGCGCATGGAGAAAACACTGCCCTCTGACATGCAGTTCTTCCCATATAATAAAAGTTAATTACAACTTTAAAGGGTAACCCGCCACCTATAAAACTCGGCCAGGTTCTGTTTTGAAAGAGGAAGAAGAATGACTATTACAGCCTTCAGCCGACTCCACTTAAATGTTTGTGGCTTGCTGAACATTCCATACATATTTCGGGCAAGGTATTATGGGAGCTGAAGTTCAAGCTGTCCCCTGCTGAATTTTCACTCACTATAAAAACAACGTCTCATAAAAGTACACACGTTTTTACTTTACAAAAAAAAGGTAAAATATCCACTTTTGTTGACTCAATTGACAATTTTAGCATCAGAACGGAGACTTTTTAAAAACCTTTAAGTGATTGTCTGAAAAGTAACAAATCGATTTCTGGAAAAAAGGAATATAGGAAATGTGTCTGAAATACATGGAAAACAAGATTCTCCAAGCTGATTTCTGTATGGTCCATTCACGTTTGTCACAGGTTACACCATTAAAAAGAAAATCCTCACATTGATATCTTTCAGCATGAATCTCCACTCCAATATAACCACAACTGTTTTATATTACCCTTGGAAAGTGAGCCTTAGCCTTTTCTAAGCAAAACACTATTTTAATTGGTTCATTTTCCAGTTGTTTGGGTTTTTAACATACATATGGTATAAAAGGGCACTGCATTCCAAGCAGTTCTACCAATTCCAGAACCATCCAAGGGTTGATCAAACAGCTGGGGCTCTAGCCTTTGGTTAAAATTATAACATGATCTCACCTGATTTTCAAAATAACTAGGCATCTTTTTAACCCATAAAATTGTACTAGGATTGATATAGGTTTCTGAGCCCAGAGGTTTGCAATGTTCAGCGAGAATGTTAGGGAATCACGATCTTTTTGTTTTGCTTTCTTTTGTTTTCCCCTGCTTGAACTCAGAGAAATCTTCAAACAATTCAGCAGCTTCTCTCCTCAAAAGTTTATTTTCAGACGCCAGTGCCATGCAGGCCGCCTTCCCTGTGCAGGTAGGAGGAAGCAGGCACAATGTCACCACACTGGGCCTTTGCAAGTCTTCAAATCACTGGGAAGCCTGTGGTGTTTCCTTTTTGGCACTCAGGCCCTGGAAGGAGAGTTGCTCTAGAGAGGACAAGACATCAGATAACCTGTGGAAACACTTGATGTCCACAGAAATCCCAATTCCACACAAAATACATCTCTGTAAAAGCAGTTGAACAATCGAAACCCGTAGACAATCGAGCAAAAAGTTAAGGAAGAGCTTCGTTACATGGAATTAATTAAATGAAATCTGATAGTGCTTTTACAAGAATCAGTTTTTACTTGATTGGGTTTTTATACGTGAATAAGACAGCTTTGTACCCCATGCATATCTTTCACAAAAAGGAAACTTAAAATACAATTCTTGTTTTTCGTTTATTCCAAAAGCATATGGGACTAATCATATTGCATTCTGGCTGCAGTACAGAAGGCTATTTCAAACAGTTTTAACTCACGAGTTTTAAGGCGCTAAAGAGCAACTAGAGTTTGGGAACAGACTTCTCCAACTCCAAAAGGGTTGGGAATCCCTCAAGGGCCCGTCTGACATCAGGTTTTGGATGGAAACCAGCCTGAACCCGCCAGACAGGGAACCCGCACCCCAAAGCTGGGGCGCACGTTTGTGATCCAAGGTGACAGCTCATCTCGCCACCGCGGGGCTGGGGACACCTGCAGAACCAGGGCCGGGGCAGTGGGCCGCAGACGCCCGGGACCGGGATGGGCGAGGCTGCCGCAGAGAAAGGAAAAGAGGGCCATCTGTCAGCCCCAGGAGAGGAAATTCCAGGAGCCCAGTTCCCAGGCGCCGGACAGCGGGTGACGTGAGGGAACCGAATGAGAGGGTCCGCCCAGCGGCGGGGGACCTGTAGGCGGCCGGCCTCGGCGCTCAGAGGGCTCGAGGCCTGGAGAAGGGGCACCTCCATTCTTGGTCAGAGCCCTGGGAGTCGGGGTATTGGGAGGGTGGATCCTCTCCCGGACCCCCGGAACCAAAGATCTTCACCCAGCCCCGAGGGCCTCCTGGTGTCTCCGATCCTCTCCCTGGGCCCAAGGGATGGGGGCGCCTCGATCGTAGCCTGGACCGGAGCACTCCAGGGAGTCCCCTGGTTCCGGGGATGGAGGCGCTCCGAGCTCTGCCCGGGCCCGGGGGCTCTCGGCGGCGGCCCCGCGCTGGGCGGGGCGTGTCCCCAGCGCATCCGCGGTGGCGCCGGCCGGCGGCCCGGGTCGTAGCGCCCGCGCCGGGTCTGGCGCCCCCAGCCGGCCCGCTTACCGGTCGCGGGGGTCGATCCACGACGTCTGGCGCGTGTTGTGGTCAATGTAAAAGACGCGACCGTCGTAGTCTCGCGCCTCCTCCCAGCCGGCGGGCAGCGGCAGCTCGGCGCTCTCCCGGGCCCGCGGCGGCGGCGCGGAAGGAGCTGGGGGCGTGGGGACCGCGGCGGGGGGCGCCGGCGGCGCGGTTCCCGCTGGGGCTGCGCAGAAGGCGGCGGCTCCCGCGGGGCCTCGCGCGGCTGTCCCCGCCGTCGCCGCCGGCCGCCGCTCAGCCAAGGCATGACGGCGCGGGCCCCGCCGCCGCCCGGCCGCCCCGCGCGCGCCGCCTCCTCCGCCAGCACTAAGGCCCGGCGCCCGGGGCGCGGGGGCGGCCGCGGGGAGCCGCCCGCCGCTCCTGGCGCATCCTCCGCCCGGCGCCCGTGCACCGGCGTCCGCCCGCCCGCCCTAGCAAGCCGCTGCCCGCGCCGCCCACTCCGTTCAGGTAGCCCGGGTGGCCGCCGCGCGCGAAGTCACAGCCCGGGAGCCGCCGCCGCCGCCGCCGCCGCTGCCGGCCGCCCCTCCGTTCCCGCGGCGCGCCCGGCCATCTTCGTTCCTCGGCGCGGCCCGGGCGAGCAGGGGCAGGGCGTTCGCAGGCCCCGCCTCCGGCCGTCCCGCCCCGTTCTCACCCAGGCCCCGCGGCTCCTCCCACGCCGGCGGCTCCACCCACGCCGGCTGCTCCTCCCGAATCTCCCACGGAGGCTCCCGCTCCTCCCGCCGCCTCTGCTTTTCCACCCACTCCCGCTGCTCCGCCTCCCCCGGCCCCGCGTCCTCCGCGCCTCTCCGTCGCCGGCTGCTCCGCCCCCAGTCTCCCTCGGGGTCCTCCTCGGCGCTCGGCTCCTCGACCCCACCCCCACCCCTCCGCTTGCTCCTCCCCCTCCGCCGTCCTCCCTCTCCGCGCGCTCCTCGCTCTCTCCCTCCCGCTCCGCCACCTTCCTCCGGCCTCGGGAAACCGCATGGAGGCCAGGATGGGCGCCGCCGCGTCAGTCCGCCCCCGGGCCCCCGCGTAGAGGAAGGCGGGCGGGGAGGACGACGCCCTACCCGGACTGCGGGCGCGGCCTGCCTGGGGTGACTCCTCGGGCGCAAACAATTCCCGAGAGAGCGGGCAGTGCCCTCCCTTCACCCGCTCCCGGGCTCTGGCTGTCTGGAGACCCTCTGCGCACTTGGCGGGAGGCTGCGCCCTCGGTCTCCCACACAACCCGTCTGGTCCCGCGAAGGTGGGAAAAGCCCCTGAAGGCGGGGCCGAGGGAGCTGAGGAGCTGGGGGAGCCCGCGGCCGGTCCTCTCGGGCGGCGCAGGGAGGACGCCTCTGGAAGCGGGCAGCTGGGCAGGTGGCCACTTTGCGTCCCCGCCAGGACAGCCCTAGAAGGGCTAACCTGGGGGCCCACACTAGGCGGGAGTTCCTTGACCTTCCCTGAGCGCTTCATCCGGTTTGTGGGGTCTGATCGTTTGAGCGGAGACCCAAGTAGACCATTGCTGGGGAGGAAGCCGGGTCAACTCCTAAAACTTTCAGCCTAGACGGGAACTTCTGTTTCACTGGCTCCCAGCTGGGGAAGCTGAAGCTCCAGAGTTGGGGCTGTGTCTTGCTCTAAATCTCCCACCTACTTCGTGCCCCAGACCCACAGCCGCAACACGTTATGCCAGGAAATGCAGGACAGTATCAGGGAGATTTTTAAACAGTTACAGTGATACAAAAATATCTGGTAGAGCCTGATTGAAATCCAGATACACAGGGGAAGAGACTGGAGGAAAATGTCCTGAAATGCTCACAAGAGTTTGCATTCCTTTGGCGGGATTTTTAAAAATGATTTGCCTTCCAATTTTTTGTAAAATGGTAATATTACTTTTATGAGGGGAAAGGTTGTTTTAAAAAAGAAGAATGGGCCGGGCGCGGTGGCTCACGCTTGTAATCCTAGCACTTTGGGAGGCCCAGGCGGGCGGATCACGAGGTCAGGAGTTCGAGACGAGCCTGGCCAGCATGGTGAAATCCCCGTCTCTACTAAAAATACAAAAATTAGCCGGGCATGGTGGCGCACGCCTGTAATCCCAGCTACTCGGGAGGCTGAGGCAGGAGAACTGCTTGAACCTGGGAGGTTGCAGTGAGCTGAGATCGCGCCACTGCACTCCAGCCTGGACGACAGAGTGAGACTCCATCTCAACAACAACAAAAAAAAAATTAGAAGAATGTGGGGCCGGGCTCGGTGGCTCACACCTTTAATCCCAACACTTTGGGAGGCTGAGGTGGGAGGATCACTTGAGCCAGGGAGGTCGAGGCTGCAGTGAGCCGTGTTTGCACGATTGCACTCCAGGCTGGGCGATGGAACAGAGACCCTGTCTCAAAAAAAAAAAAAAAAAAAAAAAAAGAAGAAGAAGAAGAAGAAGAATGTGAAGTTGTGAAGGTATAGCGACGTCCAAAAAACTATCCAAGGAAGGTCTTTCCTCTCCCTCCTCCTACTACAACACAGAAACTTTCTTGCTCCCCAAGTATCTATCTACCCCTACCTGAATGTTCTATGTGAGAAATTCCACCGCATGAGTCCTTTTAAACATGTGTGATTATTACATGTCCAAGGGAAAGAGTGGGAGGGTCAAAAAAGCACATATTTTGTGATGTCGCATGTGCCAGGGAATGCCCCAAGTGCTGAGTGTCCCTGCTCTGACATCTTCCCTTCCGATTGGCATGATTTATCGCCAGTGGGGCTGCCACTGCCTTCTTACCTTACCACCCAACATGGCCGTTCTGAAGCTGCATTTCCACCCTCCCTGTCACCTGGTCCTTTTAGAATCTCACAAATCTGGACACAAATCTATCACTCGAAAGTACTTTGAATGGGGCTGGGGCGTATTGGAGTGAAACCGACTTCTGCAGAGAGAGAGTGGAAAGAGGAGAACACATACACCACACATCAAAGGACTCAGAAGGAAAGGCAAGATGAAAAAAGCATCAGGTAGAGCAAGGAGTGGGGGAAACTGCATCCAATTAGGAGCTCAAAGAGGCCAGCGCCGAGGAGTCTTCACTGAAGGTGAAAGATTTCTACCCGTTCAGGCGGGCAGCAAATAGTGGACCTCCCACGCGCAGACACTGTGCTGCGTGTAGGCATGCTGCAGGGAAGAGGATAGTCTGTGCTTCAGCTTGCACTCCCTTGGGGACTAAACATAGAAATAGGCCCTTGTAATACAATTGTCACTTGTCAACAAATGAAGCCAGGGTGCCAACCTCAATTTGGGGACTCGTGGGAGGCTTTGTGAGACCAAAGGGAAGGTGCCTCAGATGAGGAAACTGAGGCTCAGATGTTCAGATTCCCAAGTTCTGAGCTCTTGCCCCTTGGCACATGGAGCTGCTGTCATGAAATTGTTTACTTGTATAGCAGATGCTGGGGCGGGCTCCCTTCTTTTGGAGTATTGTGAAGATGACCCTTCATTAACACAGATGTCTGAGAGATTACACCCAGCCCCAGGAGCTGACCGTCCAGTTTCCTTGCCTTGGTGACACAAACTCGAATGCCCTTGACACCCCAGAGCTCCCCATGGGATCCCCCATGGGATCAGGCTGAGGCTGTACTTCTCTGGAAATCATAGCTTTGCCAGCTCCTCCCCTGCCCGGTCCCGCCTCCCTTACTCGTGTAAGCATGCCTCCAATCAGCCGCTCACTCGAGAACCCCCGTCTCAGGCACCCTTTCTAAAGAGCCTGACCTAAGATAGGCTCCTGCACACTTACTGTCATCTAAGCACTTAGCAAATACGAGCTCATTTAATCACCAAAACATCTAGAGGCATTCCTACTTTCATTTGCACATTAATAGAGGCAAAAGAAGTGTGACACAGCATGCCAGAGAAGAGAGATTGGAGACCCTCACTGAGAAAACTTCATCCACATGCCCAGCCACTGCCTCTGGACACTCTCTGCCTGAGAGAACAGAAGTGGGGCTATTGCATTTGTCTTCCTAAAAGGAGCTGAACCAGAGAGGAAGAGGCCAGCGCTTGGGGTGACCAAGACCTCTTTATTACACCATTAGTCCTTTTCCACTTGTGTGCAATGTTAGCCCCAGGCGTTTGCTGATGGTCCCTAAAGACTTGTGAATGGAGATGGAAAGGAAGAGAAATTGGTAGGGGTGTGAAGGGACTCTTGACTTCCCAGCTTTGCCATAAATTGGGATCGATCTCTCTCTCTCTCTCTCTCTCTCTCTGTCTCTCTCTCTCTTTGTGTGTGTGTGTGTGCGTGTGTGTGCGTGTGTGTGTGTGTGAATTGTTAGAATAAGGCCTGTCTTTCTTACAGTCAAGTGGGGCTTTCCACATCGGACTAAAAACCACACACACACACAAAACACTGCAGGGCGAAGGAGTCTTGAGTCCTAACTGAATGCACAATTCTACATTCTTTATTTCCTCCGCATTAAAACCACAGCCGGGCCAACAGCAAAAGCACGAACATTGTGTAGTGCTCCATCCTCCCACCAAGACTTCACATGGAAAAGCAGCTCAGGAAAAATCCACTTAGTCTCTGGGGAAAGGAGATGCAAATGCTTTTGTTCTCCTCCCAGACCCTCTGGGAAATCCCCTTTCTGAAGCTGTTACAATGCACTGATCTCTAACTTGCAGAATACTTTCCTTAAAATGATGGTTAAGGAGTAACTCCAACAAGGACAGAGTCTGAAGATTTTTACTATCAGATTCTGCCTTCTCTCCCCAGCCCTCGCCTAAAGGATAAGCTTTATTTGTAAAAAGGAAAGTGCAAAATTGGATCCATACACATTCAGTACTTGATAAGCGTCTAGAAAAGGAAAATCTGTAAAGGCTACAATCATCAAGTGTAAAATGAGAAAAATAAACACCGCCAGAGAAGTCTTGCCTACCTTGTATAAACAATCAAGTGTTCTAGGAAGCGACACATTGGGTAATTCTACACATTGTGCTAAGAGGAAAACGGAAATGGGCCGGATTAGGTCTGAAGAAGAAATGGTTCATTGTTTGGCATTCTTTAAATGCTAGAATAATTACTCAATTATGGGTGTTTCTCATATATTTAAATAATGCAAATCCACAAGCACTGGAGGAGATTAGATGTTGTTCTTGTTCATTCCTGTCTTGCTGGTTTAGGGGCATCAAAGGAAGGGTAAATTGCAAAGATCCCTAAGGGGACCCTCCCCAGGCTCAGGAGTTGGAATGGGGACAGGGTGAGGTTATTTCTTGGTGTTTTATTTCATGGCTTTATGTAAAGACGTAAACTTTAGACACTTATTTGACTTGTATTAAAAAAAGTCACTGTTTAGATTTCGTGTGTGGACGGGGGGCACTTTTCTCAACTGGGACTTCCTTGATTTGTGTAGATGCGTCCATTTTGAAAATTCAGGTTTTTCTCATGTCCTAATCTTCCACTCCAAAGACAGGCAGGGTATTCCCAAAGCGTCCACTGTGTGGATAAACCTGCCAGTCTGCGTTTGGTTCATTTTAGCGCTTAATTCCCGTGTCTGGATGCGCATCACAAAACAACATCATCCTTGGAATCAGTGAATGGCTGTCATGCTTTAAGCACGTTGCATTTGTGCCTGGGTGATTAAAATTCAGATTTTTTAAAAATGTAGACCAATTTCTCTCCCAAACTTAGAAAACTCAGAGCCACTCACTTCCTTCGTCTCCAGGTCTCCTCTTCCAGCCTTACACTTTTACTTATTTTCCTCCCCTTCCCATGGGTTCTGTTCCACAAAATGTGAAGGGGCCAATTCAAAATGTATTCTAAGCACACCATAATTTTAGGAAGAGGCAGCAGCCGTGAGCCAGCACACTACAAGATACTTCCTCCTGGCTGGCTTCTCTCTTATTTAGGATTAGAGCTCTGGTCCCCTGTGTATTTGGAAAAACAGATCCTTAAAACTACAGACCTCTGCTTTATGAGCCAGGCAGAGCAGCTCAGAAGTCTCAGGCTTGCAGAGACAAGAAGGAAAATTTATCTCACTCAGAAATGAGCAATCTTTGTTTTTCATTTGGTGACACTAGCATTAAAATTAGCCTCTCTTGTAACATGAATGGAACCATTTCTGGACACAGGTAACCAAGATGATTGTTATATAATCAGTGACTCAACTGGGGGGGCGGGTGATGGTGTCCCCCAGGGGACATTTGGCAATGCCTGGAGACATGTTTGCTTGGCACAACTGGGAGACTGGGGTTCCTGGCATTTAGTGGGTAAGGCCAGAGATGCTGGCACACATCCTGCAGTGCCCACAACAGCCCAGCACCAGAGAATGATCTGCCCCAAATGACACCAGTGCTGAGGTCAAAAAAACCCTATGAGATATGTATAATGTATTGTTATTATTTTTTTGAGACAGGGCCTCACTCTGTTATCCAGGCTGGAGTGCAGTGCTGCGATCACGGCTCTCTGCAGCCTCCAACTCCCAGGCTCAAGTGATTCTCCCACCTCAGTCTCCTGAGTAGCTGGGACTACGGGCATGCACCACCACACCCGGTTTATATATATATTTGTAGAAAAGGAGTCTCACTATGTTGCCCAGGCTTGTCTCAAACTCCTGGGCTCAAATGTGTAATTTATGAGAACATTTATACTGCCCAAACTTTATAGTGGGAAAACAAGGCTCAGAGAATGTAAGTAACTAGCCTGGTATGACCTGGCCAGTGCTAAAATGCATCAGCCCTAAGACTAAAGCCCAGCTATCCCATCTGACCTCCTGTATTCATCAGGGATGTATAGACAAATAGCTCCAATATATATATATCCAAACTCTCTCTCTCTCTCTCTCTCTCTCTCTCACACACACACACACACACACAGAGAGAGAGAGAGAGAGAGAGAGAGAAAGAGGCAGACAGAGAGAGATATTTATCATAAAGAATTGGCTCATGGAATTATGGAGGCTGACAAATCCCAGGATCTGCAGTTGGCAAGCTGGAGAGCTGATGATGGCACAGTTCCAGTCCAAGTCTGACAACCTGAAAACCAGGAGAGCTGATGGTGTCAGTTCCAGTCTGAAAGTGAGCAGGCTTGAGATCCAAGAGGAGCCAATGTTTCAGTTTGAGTCCAGAGGCAGGAAAAGCCCAACATTCCAGCTCAAGCAGTCACACAGCAAGAGCACCCTCCTACCCAGCCTTTGTGGTCCAGCCAGGCCTTCAACTGATTGGGCAAGGCCCACCGACACTGAGAAGGCAGTCTACAATTCAAATGTGGATGTCATCCAGAAACACCCTTACACACACACAACCAGAGTAATGTTTGACCAAATATCTGGGCACCCCGTGGCCCAGTGGCCCAGTCAAGTTGACACATGAAATTAACCATCACACCTCCTGACTTTATAACTAGTTGTTCTTTGTTTCTATGACTCTTTCTTTCTTTCTCTCTCTTTTTTTTTTCAGGTAGTGTCTCACTTTGTCACCTAGGCTGGAGTGCAGTGACGCAAACATGGCTCACTGCAGCCTCAATCTCCCGGGCTCAAGCAATCCTCCCCGCTCAGCTTCCAGAGTAGCTGAGACCACAGGCACAAGCCACCATGCTCGGCTAATATTCTAACTTTTTGTAGAAATGGGGTCTCACTATGTTGCCCAGGCTGGTCTCAAACTCCTGGACTCAAGAGATCTGCCCACCTTGGCCTCCCAATGTGCTGGGATTCCAGGCGTGAGCCACTGCACCTGGCCTGTTTCTAGGACTCTTTCTGCTCACAGTGTGGCTCGTGGACCAGCAGCGGCAGCATCACGGGGGAACTCATTGAAATGTCCACCCCAGGGCTGTTAGTTTAAGAAGCATCATATTACACCCCATGGAAGAGGATGGTGTGGGGGTGTAGGCATCTACAAAAACTTACTTTACAATATCGATTCACAGAGCCATCTGGGTAGTATTTGCCTTACTTCACCTCATAATCAAGAGGGGTTTATTTATCATTTAAGAGGTGCCAAGCCCTATGGCAATCCCTGAGCAAAGTGTAATCACAAGCCACTTTCACACTTGCTCTGCATGATAAGCACATTGAAGAGCCTGGATCTGTTTGTGACTCAGCTTTAGGCTTGCACAGTAATATACAGTTCAACTTCCCTGGCCCAGAAGTAGAAATGGAGAAGAAGCCAGCTGCAGGCCAACCACACTGTAACAGAGCTTGATTTTTGCCTTAGCTTACTATGCGTCTCCCCTGCCTGATGTCCCAACCCAGGGTCAGCTACATAGTTTGTGCTCTACGTTTTGCAGTGCAAAATGAAAACGCAGGACCCCTTGTTCCAAAAAAAAAAAAATCTCAAGAATTTCCAGATGGTAACAGTGGACCACTACAATAAGCACAAGCCCTTTGGAGCACAGTACCCTGTACAATTGCACAGGCAGCAGCCTTTGAAGCCGGCTCTGTCCATACCTTTCACTTCTAGTCAGGTGACCTTTGAAAATTCCAAAGAAACAACAATTTTCAGTGACAGCAGAGGAGATTGTTTTTGAGAATGGGACTCTGTCCCTGCAAATCAAACTACTTGCTGCCCAAGCCTTCTCTGCCAGCCCAGGTACTTCCCCGAGGTCAGCATGACCCCGTTGGCAGGAAGAACCTCCACTGCTCTTGACTCTCTTGGGTCCCTGGTGCTGGGGGTTGAATTGTGCTCCCCCACCCAAAAAAAGGATACGCTGAGGGCCTAGCCCTGGGTACATGTGGATGTGGCTTTATTTGGAAATGGGGTATTTGTAGATGCAGTTACTTAAGATGAGGTCATACTGGAGTAGGGTGGGCCTTTAATCTAATATGACTGGTGTCATATCATAAGGGAGGGCAGAAGGAACGCAGACACCAGGGTCATGTAAAAATGGAGGCAGAGATTGGAGTAATGAGGCCACAAGGCAACGAATGCCAAGGATTTCTGGCAAGCACCAGAAGCTGGGAGAGAGGCATGGAACAGATTCTACCCTGGAGCCTTCGGAGAGAGAGTGGCCCTGCCTCACACCTGCATTCCAGGCTTCTGGCCTCCAGAACTGTGAGAGAATCCATTTGTGTAGGTTTAAGCCATCAGTTTGTGGTCCTTTGTTACAGTGGCGCTAGGAAACTAACATGCCTGGAACCTTGCCCCCAGGCTCCTGCTGCTGCTTCAGTAGGGAACAGAGTCTATAGAACTCTGTTCACAGGGTCCCAATCAGTGCTGGGAAATCACAGGAAACAGAAGCCTGCCATGAAAGCCCCCAGAGATCCCACCAAACCCAGGAGCCCCAGGCATGACATGCTGGACCTCTCAAGTACATGCCGTAAACTGTAGCAGCCATATCCAGTGTAGACCAGAGGCAAACCACAAATGCCCACATTGGCCATGAGTTGCCCAAAGTTCAGATTTACCTTGGATCCCTGGCTATCCAACTTGCAGATGAGCAAAGTGGCTCTTTATAGAAGCATTCCAGATAATCCTAAAGGAGTGATGAAATTAGAGTTAGAATGAACAAATAGAACTTACAAGGGTTGACTAGATCTCAGCTTTGAGCATTACTGGCTGCTAACATCACAAAAAAGAAAGATGGCTAGACCCACTCTATGGTACTTTATTATAGACAGAACAGACTAAGACACCAGGATTTCTCACAGTAGCACGTCATGTCTCTCTTTTTTTTTTTTTTTGACAGAGTTTTTGCTCTGTTACCCGGGCTGGAATGCAATGGCGCAATCTCGGCTCACTGCAAACTCCGCCTCCTGGGTTCAAGCGATTCTCCCACCTCAGCCTCCCAAGTAGCTGGGATTATAGGCACCCGCCACCACGCCCAGCTAATTTTTGTAGTTTTAGTAGAGACGGGGTTTCACCATGTTGGCCAGGCTGGTCTCAAACTCCTGACCTCAGGTGATCTGCCCTCCTCGGCCTCCAAAAGTGCTGGGATTACAGGCATGAGCCAATAACCCCTACTGAATTTGTATTTGTGCTTACTTGTTAATATCTCTTCTCCCCTACTCGACTAGAACAGTGGTTCTCAACGAGGTGATTTTGCCCCCCAGAGACATTTGGCAATATCTGAGATATTTTTGATTGTCAAGACTATGGAGAGGGAAGAGGCGGTGCTGCTGGCATCTAGTGGGTAGAGGACACTGATTATAGGCTGCTAAACCTCATTCAAGGCACTGGACAACAAAGACTTACCAGCCTAAAACGTCAATAGCACCAAGGCTGAGAAATCCTGGGCAAGAAGCAACAGGAGGAAAAGAGCCATGTTTCATTCTCCACTGTCTATCTGCAAAGAGCAGGTAATCCAGATATATTTCTTAAATGAATAAAGGATTATCTTGTTAATCGCTAACATCACACCTTCTTGTCAATAAATGACCTCAAAATCGGTGACCACGGCTCAGACAAGGCCATTTTTTGAGGTATCCAAAATTGAATATTATTTGGAGTATTCATAAAAAGATATCTTCCTGCTGTCATCACAAAAAGAGAGACACCAGACATGCTGTGCCTTTAGGGAAGAAAACACCACCACCTACAAGAAAATCCTTCCCCAAAACCCAAATCTGATTAAAGCCTCTAGAAAGATTCCACAGATTCCAAAGGCCTTCATTAGCAAATAGAAAGGACATTTATCTATCTATCTTAGGATTCCTTTAAGCGCAAAGGTCTTTAGAGCTGGAGGGAAAAATACACATCTTAAGAACCAGATAAATACAAAATCTCAAGTGATCTATGCTGTCAGCCTACAAATGTCCAGGTGTATGTAGAAGAATCAATAACGTGTGTGACTTAAAACTAAGGGTTAGGAGCCTCGAGAGCAACTCCCGTAAATTATGTCATCAGGGACATAGCAATTATGAGTAGGGTTCAAGTACCCCATTAGGGTCATTGACAAGAATTTAGTCAGGGTGCAGCCCAAATCTTGGGTGTGTATACCGGCTCAGTCACTAGGATGGTAACGGTCAGCTGTAAGAGGGTGAATCTTTCAGCTCCAGGAGGATTTAGGGAAAGTACAGCAACTCTTAAGAGAATCAAAACTGTAGGATTCATATTCGGAATGCAGAAAGAATCTGTGCGTATTTGATGTTCCATGTATTCATAAAGTTTAAAAGAATTTCTAAGCTTTGGAAATCACTGTAAAATGTATAATTGAGTAATCTTGTGATCTTAGTTGAAAACTATTTTTTTTCTTGTCACTGACTGGAGGCTCATGAAAACTAAATTATATACAGTGTTGGAACATTCTAAGAGAACTTAAGTTTCACCATGTCAATTTAATTCATTAAATTTAAAAGAGTTATTTGTAAACTTGGGAATGTATTTGTTTATTGAGACAACTGAAGCAATTAAGAAGGGAATTGAGTGTAGTCTGTTACAAGTTTTAAATATATTTTAAAATGCATGAAGGTGTTTAAATTTGTAAATAGGGTCAAGTATTTTCCAAAGGCCTCTTAAAAGTGGTTGCTATTATTTGCTGGACTTAAAATAGAATTTAAAAAGAAAAGAGAATAATAAGATTTCTAGACTGAACTTAGAAGGTTAAAGGAAAACTAGGCATTAGAACTCGTAACTCAAATAAATTGACTGTGAAATTTGTAAACCTGAATAAATCCCTTTTTGTGCACACACAACACTCTTGAAGGCTATGATCAACACTTCCGAAAGGTCATACAATGTCCAGATGAATGTGCTCGTGTAAAAAAATTACAAACTTATCTTTGCAATCCTATGTCAATAATGGCAAACCATATTGAAATACCATATTATTTACCAGATAAATTCCACCCTAACTCAGAAAGCTTACTCACCTCTCCAGAGTCTGCTTGAAGCTGATAAGATCTGATATGATGCAAGTTGCCTTCCTGCTAAGGGGCTTGTGTTTTCGTTTTTGCACAATCTCAATCTAACTTTCTGCCCTTGTTTTACATTCTCTCCCATTTATAGATTTGTGTGTGTGTGTCTGTGTATTTGTGTGTGATTTGGTTGTCATCTCAATAAGCTATTTCATCACTAACCAACTGATTTATGCTCCTTATAAAGGATCAGTTTAACTCTGTCACTTTAGCTAGAAGTGTTGATAGAAGGTCCTAATAATGCTGTTTGCAGCCATATGTGCTTTGGAAGTTACCGAGCTCTGACCGGGTGAATTCCACTGTGGTCTGATTGTGGCCAACAACAAAATGAGTCAACCATTCTCTGTGGTCCACAGAGCAGCACCATCAGCATCCTCATTAAAAATGGGGATTCTCGGCCGGGCGCAGTGGCTCACATCTGTAATCCCAGCACTTTGGGAGGCCGAGGCAGGCGGATCACGAGGTCAAGAGATCGAGACCATCCTGGCCAACATGGTGAAACCCTGTCTCTACTAAAAATACAAAAATTAGCTGGGCATGGTGGCACGCACCTGTAGTCCCAGCTACTTAGGAGGCTGAGGCAGGAGAATCGCTTGAACCTGGGATGCAGAGGTTGCAGTGAGCCAAGATCGTGTCACTGCACTCCAGCCTGGCGGCAAAGCGAGACTCAGTCTCAAAAAAAAAAAAAAAAAAAAAATGCGGGGAGTATTCTCAGGCCACACCCTGGACCTACAAAATCAGAATCTGCTCTTTAACAAGCTCCTCAGAATCAGAACCTGCTCTTTAACAAGCTCCTCAGGTGATTCCCATGCACATTAAGTTGAAGAAGCATTGATGAAGAAGGGGAGAAATGGGTGGGGCTAATAAAAAGAAGCATCAATCTAGACAAAAGTTCAGGTAACAGTAATCACTGTTTCAGTGATGTGTTGCTTGAGTTTTATGCTCAACAGAGTGCACAGTAGCATTTATTTATTTTTATTTTATTCTATTTTTGAGATGGGGTCTTGTTCTGTCACCTAGGCTGGAGTGCAGTGGCACAAACATGGCTCACTGCAGCCTCAACCTCCTGGGATGAAGCTGTCATCTCACCTCAGCCTCCCATGTAGCTGGGATCACAGGCACGTGCCATCATGCCTGGCTAATTTTTTGTAGAGACAGGATCTCACTTTGTCATCCAAGCTGGTTTTGAACTCCTGGGCTCAAGCAGTCCTCCCACTTCGGCCTCCCACAGTTTTTGGATTACAGGTGTAAGCCACTATACTCAGCCTTATTTTATGTGTGTGCGCATGTGTGTGTGTGTGTATGTTTTTGAAACGGAGTCTCGCTCTGTCGCCCAGGCTGAAGTGCAGTGGCATGATCTTGGCTCACTACAACCTCCACCTCCCGGGTTCAAGCAATTCTCTGCCTCAGCCTCCTGAGTAGCTGGGATTACAGGCACCCACCACCACACCTGGTTAATTTTTTGGATTTTTTTTAGTAGAGACGGGGTTTCACATCTTGGCAAGGCTGGTCTTGAACTCCTGACCTCATGACCCTCCTGCCTCAGCCTCCCAAAGTGCTGGGATTATAGGCATGAGCCACCGTGCCCACCTGCCCACCTGCCTGCCTTCCTTCCTTCCTTCCTCCCTCTCTCTTTTCTTTTCACCTTTGTTTGTTTGTTTTGTTTTGTTTTGAGGTGGAGTCTCGCTCTGTCGCCCAGGCTGGAGTGCAGTGGCGCAATCTTGGCTCACTGCAAGCTCCACCTCCCAGGTTCACACCATTCTCCTACCTCAGCCTCCCGAGTAGCTGGGACTACAGGCGCCCGCCACCACGCCCGGCTTTTTTTTTTTTTTTTTTTTTTTTTTTTTTGTATTTTTTAGTAGAGACGGGGTTTCACCGTGTTAGCCAGAATGGTCTTGATCTCCTGACCTCGTGATCTGCCCGCCTCGGCCTCCCAAAGTGCTGGGATTACAGGCGTGAGCCACCGTGTCCCGCCTCTCTCTGTCTTTTTTGAGACAGCATCTCACTATTTATGGTTGCCCAGGCTGGCCATAAACTCCTGGACTCAAGTGATTCTCCCACCTCAGCCTCCTGAGTAGCTGGGACTACAGGCGCATGCCACTGTGCCCAACTCTTGATTTTTTTCTAACTAGTTATAAACATAAAAATATTGTTTTCACACTATGCTTTTTTTCACAGTATTTTTTAAATCTAACTAAATGGTGATTTTTTTTTTAAAGGTTCCAAATGTTGGCAAGGGCACCGGAAAGCAGGAATTCCAGGGAATGTGAAGTGGTGCGTTTTTGAGGGCTGGCAATGGGGCCTCACATATATATCAAACACCTTACAAATGTTCGTACTCTTTGACCATTCCTAGGCATTTATCCAAGGAAAATAACCAGAGATGTGCATAAACATTAATGGGCAAGGATATTCATCATAGCATTATTTATAGTATTGAAAAATTGGAAACAGACTCCAACTTGCAGTTCTGGCAACTGGGCAGATTGGGTAATACATCCCCTACCCTCCATATTTCTCCAAACACATAGGCATGCTGTATAAAATAGAATACCAATATCAAATACGCAGACAAGCTAGGAAGAAAAATCCCTTTCCTCAGTCAGAAGGGGGTTGTATCCCTACTTAGACACTCACTGTTAAGGGCTGAGGTTTTCATTCCAGCACGAAAGTAAAAGACATGATGTTGACCCCATAAGACAGGAAGCTAGGCGGAACTGAGACTCCTGCATAAAGCTGGGACATGGACTGACCACCTCCTTCATGAAAGGGAGGAGTAGGCAAACTTCTCATCCTCCCAGGGAAGTAGCAAGGAAGCTTTTTTTTGGAGATGGAGTCTTGCTGTGTCACCCAGGCTGGAGTGCACTGGCGCCATCTTGGCTCACTGCAACCTCCGCCTCCCCAGTTCAAGCAATTCTCCTGCCTCAGCCTCCCGAGTATCTGGGATTACAGGCACCCGTCACCACGCCCGGCTAATTTTTGTATTTTTAGTAGAGACGACGTTTCACCACATTGGCCAGGCTGGTCTCGAACTCCTGACCTCTGGTGATCCGCCCTCCTCAGCCTCCCAAAGTGCTGGGATTACAGGTGTGAGCCACCGTGCCTGGCCAAGGAAGCTTGTTTCTTGTAGATACTCCAAGGGAGGGAATGGAAAACAATCTTAGAAGAAAACAGAATCTCAAGTCCATGCATGGAGTTGTGGAGTGTGAATGCACACCATCCTTGTGGCATGGAAATTCCAGACGAGAAATTAGTGGAAAAACGGGCCCCAGTCCAGTCCCTGGAGTATCTGGCAGAAACAAACGTAATCTACTTGAGAATTAGTAGCCTGAGAAATTAAGATAATAAAACTTAAATACTAAAACTTGGTTGTAGTAACCAGTTATTTTAAATTCTTTTGGAGTTGATGAGACATGAATTCTCAGAGTAGATAAACAAAAACAAATCCACACCTGTACGTGTCATATTAAAACTTCAAAACACAAAAGTTAAGAGAAAAATTTAACAAGAAGAGAGGGAAAAGAATCACCTACAAAGGAAAATGAAGTCATTTGATAATAAGAATCGCACCAGTAACAAAAGAAGCAGGAATGCAACGAATAATATCTTCCACCAGCTGAAAGAAAACACCTGATAATTTAAAACTCTATAACCAGATAAACTAATGTTTAAGAACTTAAGAAACAGGCCGGGTGCAGTGGCTCCAGTCAAGTGTAATCCCAGGACTTTGGGAGGCTGAGGCAGGCAGATCACTTGAGGTCAGGAGTTCAAGACTAGCTAGGACAACATGGCAAAACCCCATCTCTACTAAAAGTACAAAAATTAGCCGGGCATGATGACAGGCGCCTGTAATCCCAGCTACTCAGGAGGCTGAGGCAGGAGAATCACTTGAACCCGGGAGGTTGAGGTTGCAGTGAGCCGAGATTGCACCACTGTACTCCAGCCTGGGTGACAAAGCAAGACTCTGTCTCAAAAAAAAAAAAAAAAAAAAAAAAGAACTTAATAAATAGGCAAAATCTATATTTAAAAACAACAACAACAACTTAAGGCACTACTAGAAGACTCAAAGGAAGTCTTGACCAGAGGGAAGAGCTTGAATAGGAAATCACCAAATTAATCTACTAATTTTATAAAATCCCAAATAGTATAACAATATATTTTTACCAATAGATAAGCTATCTTAAAAATGGAAAACACAGTGAAAGAGTCAGAAAACATTGCAAAAAAGAAGACTAAGTGGAAAAGGCAGGACTTGGTCTGTTTGATACTGAAAGACACTGTAAAGCTGGCATAATTGAAAAAGTGCATTACTGAAGCATTAGTAAGCAGATAGGCTAATGAAGAAGGGAACTGAAATGAGTACACAGCATAAGAAATTAGCACATGATAAAGTGGGGGTGCGAATGTGTGGGGAAAATGGCACGATTCAATCAATAACATTGACCTGGCTGGGTGTGGTGGCTCACGCCTGTAATCCCAGCACTTTGGGAGGCCGAGGCGGGCAGATCATGAGGTCAAGAGATCGAGACCATCCTGGCCAACATGGTGAAACCCCATCTCTACTAAAAATACAAAAATTAGTGGGCATGGTGGTAGGTGCCTGTAATCCCAGCTACTTGGGAGGCTGAGGCAGGACAGTTGCTTGAACCCGGGAGGCAGAGGTTACAGTGAGCCGAGATCGCGCCACTGCACTCCAGCCTGGGCGACAAAGCCAGACTCTGTCTCAAAAAAAAAAAAAAAAACAAAACAAAAACAAAAACCATTGAGCAACTCTGCTGCAGCCACCTGGAGAAAATCTGTGCTGAATTCTCTGGCAGGGACTGGTATCCATCGTCACTGGAATCCATTCTCCCCTTCTTGCAGGACACATGGATACATTTGGTGGCCCCATTTGTGGTTGGGGGTGGCTATAATGTTAAAGTTGTCCATGGAGTGTGGGTAGAAGTAAGAGGTGTGGATTCTGGCCCAGGACTTAAGACATCCTAGAGGTGTGTGTCCTTCATGCTCTCTTTCCTCTTGCCACTTGCTGCTACCCACAGATGGAGGCAGCCCACCATCAAGCTAGAGACAAGGACAACATCCTAGGGGGTGGACCGGAAACAAGAGGAAACCTGAATCCCCAAATGACTCTTTGGAACCAAGTCACCCAGTGATCTCGAGTGTCTACCTCGGTCACTTGGTGAGATTTGTAGTTTAAGTCACTGAATTATTATTATTATTGTTATTTTTTGAGATGGAGTCTCACTCTGTCACCCAGGCTGGAGTGCAGTGGTGTGATCTCGGCTCACTGCAACTTCCACCTCCCAGGTTCAAGCGATTCTCCTGCCTCCGCCTCCCGAGTAGCTGGGATTACAGGCATGTGCCACGATGCGCGGCTAATTTTTGTATTTTTAGTAGGGACAGGGTTTCACCATGTTGGCCGGGCTGGCCTCGAATCCCTGACCTCAGGTGATCCACCTGCCTCGGCCTCCTGAAGTGCCAGGATTACAGGTGTGAGCCACCACACCCGGCCAAGTCACTGAATTTTATGAATCTCCTTTCTAAAACAGACTAGCTTTTACTCTGTCTCATACAGATCCCAAACTCACATCTCAACTAAATAAACTCTAGATGGATCAAAATCTAAATGCAAGCAAACAAAGTAAGTATGGGGGATTTTGGTGTTTTTTTTTGTTTCCTTTTGTTTTGTTTTATTCGAGACAGGGTCTTGCTCTGTTGCACAGGCTGGAGTACAGTAGTGTGATCATGGTTCACTGCAGCCTCAATCTCCCAGTCTAGACCAATCCTCCTGCATCAGCCTCCATAGTAGCTGGGACTACAGATGTGCGCCACCATGCCCAGCTAATTTTCTTATCTTTTGTACAGACGGAGTGTTGCTATGTTGCCCAGTCTGGTCTCAAACTCCTGGGCTCAAGCCATCTTCCCACCTCAGCCTCCCAAAGTGCTGGGATTGCGGGCGTGAGCCACTATGCCCCGTTATGTGGGGAAATTACTATACAATTTTTAAATTAGAAACAAATTTTATGTTTATATCTTACTTGTACAACTTGATGATTTGATATATGTGTACATTGTGAAATAATTCCCACAATCAAGCTAATTAAATATCTACCCCGTCCCATAGTTATGTTTTTTTCTTTGTGGTGAGAACACTTAGGATCTACCCTGTTAGCAAATTTCAAGTACACAGTGCAATATTGTCACCTATAGTCACTGTGCAATACATGACATCTCTGGAATGTATTCATCTGGTGAAACTGAAAGTTTGCACCCCTTGACGCACGTCTCTCCATTTTGCCCTCCCCCAGTCCCTGGAAACCCCCGTTCTCTTTGGCATCATGGAAACGCTGGCCTCATAACACAGCCCAGAGCTGGCTGCCTGCCTCCACTGCAGTGTGGCTCCTGTTAGCACAGTTCACTTCACCTTCTGCGCATTCCTATGAAGTCAGACACTGCGAAAGGGCTGAGATTGTCCCCTCTTGCCAGGGAACGAGGTAGCCTGTGCTGGTTCCATGCACACATCTGACCAAAGATCGCAGGGCTCGGTTCAGAGACACAGACTGTGTGTTCTTCACAGCAGAAAGCAGTAGCTCTGCAAGCTCCTGGGTTGGTCCCCACCATCCCGATTCCCATGGGCCACGCAGAGGGCCAGGTGCTCGCCTGCAGCTGTGCAGGTTGCGCCGCAGGAGGGGAGCCCTGAATTGGGAGCTGGAGCTTTCCTTGAGGTGACTTCATGACCTGCCGTCCTCCCCTCCATAGACATGACCTGGAATGTCACTCGCTGCCCAGGGGCTGAGGGAAAAGCTCTCTTGGGCTGTAACGCTGGAAGGTAAGCCCTTATCTCCTGGGAGGGGACAGAGAAGGCTTTAGGATGTGGGAATGCCTCTGCAGAGGGAGACGATCTCTATCTTTACTAGATGCTATCTGTAGCTCCCAAGACTGGTGGCTCTCCAATCAGCACTGACCAGAGCTTCTCAGGGCCCTTTGCTCCCAGCAACCAGACTCTGTGGGAATGCTGAGACATCTAGGGAGAATGGTCACCCAACACTTTTGTTTGCCATTTCAGGCCTGGGGTGCTGAGATGTCGCCCACTGTTGCCAGCCATTCGTACTGAAACAGCCCTCGTTGGTTGCCCCCAACCTGCTCCTGCTTTTAGAAATATAGTCGTCCATCTCTCTGTATCCACAGGGTGGTGGGAGATGGGTTCCTGGATGCCCCACAGATCCCCAAATCCAAGGATGCTCAAGTCCATGATATGAAATGGTGTAATATTTGCATATAAGCTAGGCACATCCCCTGTACACTTTAAATCATCTCTAGATTATGTATACTATTTAATACAATGTAGATGCTATGTAAATAGTTGTTGTACTGTATCGTTTGGGGAATAATGACAAGAAAAGGTCCGTGTATGTTCAGCACAGATGCAACCGTCTGAGGTCTAACTACACAGTACACATCAGCCACAGTGGAACATTGTGGACCGCAGGAGGGTGAGGCAGGAGGCAGGGGGATTGCTTGAGGCCAGGAGTTCAAGACCAGCTTGGGCAACATGGTGAGACCTCATCAACAGCACCACCACCACCGCCACCACCACAACAACAACAAACCAATGAAACATTTTTTGGAACTTTTGTTTGAATTTTTTCAATCCCTGGTTGATTGAATCTGGGGATATGGAATCGGTGGATAGGGAGGGCCCCACACAGCCCCTTTGTTAAACTCACCTTAAATTACTCAGTTTGCACGTGCCACGTGCTTGCTGTAGAGATCCTCTCCGGATTAAGAATATATTTTTAAAAACTACAAATCAATGGGAAAAAGACAAACCTAACGGGATGAGAAGCAAAGGCTCTGGGTAGGAAATTCACAAAGACAAAACCTTGCTAGCCAATAAGCATAAAAAGATGCTTGACCTCAGAGAGGCCAAAGCCGAGTCTCATACCCCACAGTAGTGGCGAGAATGTGAGGAAATGGGATCTCATTCGCTACTGGCAGAACTGAAATCCGAGGCATTATGGAATGCGATTTGGCAGTATCCTGGAAACTGCAGAGGCTCAGCCATTCCTCCGCTAGGAGTGCCAAACGCCGCACGTCTCCATTCAATCCTGCTCTCCGCGCGCCCCCTGGTGGCACTAGTCCGCACCTGCCCCATCCCAAGCGCATTGATTCCCAATGATTGGAAACAACCAAGTGTTTGTCAATAGGAGAATGTGTTAGTAAAGTATATTATATTTATAAATTATATAGTAGGACAGCAAAAATCAGCTAGGTCTAAGTCAACATAGGTAAATCTCTAAATCATAATGTTAAGTGAATAAAGGATATGCTCTTGTGAGTATGTGTGAAACTTTAAAACTCAGAACAATACTGTATTGTTTAGGAAACATTCTTTTGTAGTTAAAGTCTGTGATCAGGGATAGGGAGGATAAACACAACCTTCAGATTAGAGGTTACATGTGGGATGGAAGGATAGGAATCAACTGGATAGAGGAACCATTCAACTCTACCTGTAAACTATTGTTTCTTAAAAATGTCTGAAGCAAAGATGGCAACAAATTAACACATATTAAAATGGAATAGTGATTCACTGGGTGGCTGTAATATTCTCATATATATATATATATATATATACATATATATATATATATATATGTAGAGAGAGAGAGATGGAGTCTCGCTCTGTCGCTAGGCTGGAGTGCAATGGCGCAATCTCGGCTCACTGCAACCTCCAACTCCCTGGTTCAAGCAATTCTCCTGCCTCAGCCTCCTTAGTAGCTGGGATTACAGGCACGCGCCACCACAGCCAGCTAATTTTTTTTTTTTTTAGTAGAGACAGGGTTTCACCATGTTGGCCAGGATGGTCTCGATCTCCTGACCTTGTGATCCGCCCACCTCGGCCTCCCAAAGTGTTGGGATTACAGGCGTGAGCCACCACGCCCAGCCGACAACACTTTTTTAAAAAAATTTGTCCCCCTCCATACAATTGGTTTTTAAATTTTTTTTATTTTTGTGGGTATATAGGCACCTAGCCTCTTCTCTGTATATTTTATATATGGGAAATCTTTTATAATTTAAGGACAGTTAAAACAGCCTAAATGACTAATTTAAATCAGTGCAACAAGTCACAGTGCATCAACAGGATGGAATACAGTGCACCTTTTAGAAATCACCATATCAAAGAATTTAGGGATACTGGGAAAACGCTCAAGATACATTCAATGTGAAAGGATAGATTAGAAAACAATTGTTAAGTGAAATAAGCCAGGTACAGAAAGACAGACTTTGAATGTTCTCACTTATTTGTGGGAGATAAAAATCAAAACAATTGAACTCATGGTCACAGAGAGTAGAAGGATGGTTACCAGAGCCTGGCAAGGGTAGTGGGTGGGGAGTGGGATGGTTAACGGGTACAAAACTATAATTATTAATAGAATGAATAAGATCCAGTATTCGATAGCACAACAGGGTGACTACAGTCAACAATAATGTATTGTAGGTTAAAAATAACTAAAAGAGGCCGAGCGCGGTGGCTCACACCTGTAATCCCAGCACTTTGGGAGGCCGAGGAGGGTGGATCATGAGGTCAGGAGTTTGAGACCAGCCTGGCCAATATGGTGAAACCCCATCTCTACTAAAAATATAAAAATTAGCTGGTTGTGGTGGTGTGCGCCTGTAGTCCCAGCTGCTCGGGAGACTGAGGCAGGAGAATCGCTTGAACCGGGGAGGTGGAGCTTGCAGTGAGCCGAGATCTGTCTGCCACTGCACTCCAGCCTGGGTGGCAGAGTGAGACTCCGTCTCAAAAAACAAAAACAAAAACAAACAAACAAAAAAACACAAAAGGAATATAATTAGATTGCTTGTAACATAAAGAAATGATAAATGCTTGAGGGGATGGATTCCCCCATTACCACAATGTGATTATCATGCATTGCATGCCTGTATCAAAATATCTCTTGTACCCCATAAATATATACACCTACTATATACCCACAAAAATAAAAAATATTTAAAAACCAATTGTATGGAGGGGGACACATTTTTTAAAAAACAGTGTTGTTGGCCAGGCGTGGTGGCTCATGCCTGTAATCCCAGCACTTTGGGAGGCCGAGGCAGGCGGATCACAAGGTCAGGAGATCGAGACTATCCTGGCTAACACGGTGAAACCCTGTCTCTACTAAAAAAATACAAAAAATTAGCCGGGCGTGTTGGCGGGTGCCTGTAGTCCCAGCTACTCGGGAGGCTGAGGCAGGAGAATGGCGTGAACCCAGGAGGCGGAGCTTGCAGTGAGCCGAGATCGCGCCACTGCACTCCAGCCTGGGCGACAGAGTGAGACTCTGCCTCAAAAAAAAAAAAAAAAGTGTTGTTTTTCTCTTTCCCGACATAAAGATAAACATAAAGATAAATAGATAAATGTCAGATCCTTAACCTTGGCTATACCTGAGTAGTGCCACGACTGGTGACTTTTTTTTCTCCTATTCTGTATACCAATTTTACAAATAAATCTATAGTCATTCTTTCAAAAAAAAACCCAATATAATGAATAACACCTGTGCAAGTAACATGTCAAAATAAACAACTGAGCAATTAACAGCAGTAGTGTTCAATTTCAGGCCAAATATTGTACTCTCAAACTATTTGATGGGCTTATACCGTCACCTGGCGGAAAGCATGCTTTATGACTGCAACGTAATTTATAAAATCCAAATGTGTTATTTGTAATTTTTATTATTAAAAATTAATACATGCGCAGTATAGAAATTTCAGAGACTCCATAAAAGTACAAAGAACATGCAGAAGCGGGGCGAGCTGAGGTGGGTGCAGAGAATCGGATTCCCCAGGGCACAGTGAAGCTGGTACCCTGCGCCCAAGAGGACGTCCCCGTGATGCTCTCTGCTGTGTGAGCCCGGGAGGTGGCGGACACAAGCACCCCTGTCCCGGCAGGAAACCCCCCGGCTCAACACAGGAGGAACCTTGAGCCCTGAATCAACTCAGCGGGCCCAGAACCGCCAGCTGCAGCCAGTCGGTCCGGTGGTGTCTGGTTGTCCCGGGGGCCGGTTGTGTGCGGAAAAGAGGCGATGGGTGGCTGGTGCAGGCTGATGGTAGTGAGCAGCCTGTTCTCCCGGCCACCGCTGAGGCGGCAGCAGGGCTCAGCCAGGACAGCCTGGCTCCCTGGCCTCCCCGGACTGCCCCGGCCGAGTCTCGGGCCCAGCTCTGCTGGAGGACACAGAACTGGACCCCGCCAGGGCCGCCCACTCCCAGCCCCTGGGCCTAGGGGCTGTCTACAAGTGGTAACTTCATTTCCTCCACTTCCATTCATCCCTGTCAAATAAATGAATAAATAAATAAAGTTCGTGGGTACATAGTAGGTGTATATAGTAGGAAAGTACAGAAGAAGTCTGAAACTAGCAGAGGCTAGTTCATGAAGTTTAAGGAAAGAAGCCGTCTCCATAACATAAAAGTGCTGACGGAGAGATCGCAGCAAGTTCTCCAGAAGACCTAGCTGAAATCACGGATGGAAGCCGGGCTGGGTATCCTTTGGCATTCACGCCCCGGGGCTCCATGTCCTGTGAGAGGGGATCTGGCTCCCGGGGTCTATGGCAAGACCATCGTCCCCAGAACGTGCAGAAGCAGGCCGAGCTGAAGGGGAGGGCAGAGAATCGGATTCCCCAGGGCACAGTGAAGCTGGTACCACGCACCCACGAGGACGCCCCTACCATAGACTTCCAGGCTGCTCCAAAGCTCGCTCAGCGCCCACTGCCCCTGGGCCGCCACCCCCGCCTCCGGGAGGAAGGGCCCCAGGCCGGTAGCTCTGCAGCCGCGGGCGCAGTCAGAGCCGCTCTGCTCTCACAGCGCTGCGGTGCCGCGGGGCCCTGTCCCAGCTGCCTCCTTCCGCGGGCTCAGCTGTCTCCACGAAAACCCACGACTGTTCCGAGTGGCATCTGGAACAGTGAGTCCTTTCCGTTGGATTGGCCCAGATGCATCAGAGGAATCGCTCTCTATGGCGGCTATAGCTTTATGAAATGGACTTCTTCAACAATAAGACTTGAAAGGGGAGATGATCCGTGGAGCCATGGGCTGCAGAATGCATGTTGTGCTCGCAGGCCTGAAAACAATGTGAATCTCCCTGGAGCTCTCCCTCAGAGCTCTTGGGTGACCAGGTGCCTTGTCAATGGGTAGTAGCATTTGAAAAGGAATCTTTTTTCTGAGCAGTACTTCTCAACAGTGGGCTTAAAACACTCGGTAAACCAGTAAACCATGCTCTAGACAGACGTGCTGTCATCCGGGCTTTGTTCCATTTCTAGAGCACAGGCAGAGTAGATTTAGCATCATTCTTAAGGGCCTTAGGATTTTTGGAACGGCAAATGAGTGTCGGCTTCAATTTAAAGTCACCAGCTGCATTAGCCCCTGACAAGAGGCAGCCTGTCCTTTGAAGCTGTGAAGCCTCTCCAGGTATGAAAGTCCTAGTAGCATCTTCTTCCAATATAAGCCCATTCGTCTACATTGAAAATGTGTTGTTGAGTGTGGCCACCTTCATCCGTGGTCTCAGCTAGGTCTTCTGGAGCACTTGCTGCTGCACCCTGCACTTTTATGTTATGGAGACGGCTTCTTTCCTTAAGCTTCATGAACTAGCCTCTGCTAGCTTCAAACTTCTTCAGTAGTTTCCTACTATATACACCTACTATGTACTCGCAATCATTGTTTATGTATTATTTACTTATTTATTTTTTGAGACAGTCTTGCTCTGTCACCCCCGCCAGAGTGCAATGGCACAATCTCGGCTCACTGCAACCTCTGCCTCCCGGGTTCAAGTGATTCTCCTGACTCAGCCTCCCGAGTAGCTGGGATTACAGGTGCCTGCCACCATGCCCGCCTAATTTTTGAATTTTTAGTAGAGACGGGGTTTCACCATGTTGGCCAGGCTGGTCTCGAACTTCTGGCCTAAGGTGATCTGCCCACCTCGGCCTCCCAAAGTGTTGGGATTACAGGCATGAGCCACCGTGCCCGGCCACAAACTTTTTTTTTTTTAAATTTTAAAAAGCAAACAATTGTATGGGGTGGCACATTTTGCTTTAAAAACATGTCATTTCCTGTTTCCAGCACACATCTGTGAACATGAAGATAATTTCAGAGTGTTAATCTTGGTTATACCTGAGTAGTGCCACAACAGGTGATTTAGAGTTTTATCCTATTCTGTATACCAACTTTGCAATAAATATATAGTAATTCTTTCATAAAAATTAACAATATAATGAATAATTTGCTTGTGCAAGTAACATGTCAAAATAAACAACTGAGCAATGAACAGCAATAGTGTTCAATTTCAGGACAAATACTGTACTCGGAAGGGCTTATGCTGCCACCTTGCAGAAGAATGCTTTATGAATGTAGAGTAATTTATAAAATCCAGATGTGTTCATTATTTATAACTTTTATTAAAAATTCATACATGCTCAGTATAGAACAAAGAATCCATAAAAGTACAAAGAAAGAAAAAATTACCCATAATTTCACTTTACCATTGACTCAAGATTCTGAGTTCCTAGGTAGGAGAGATACACAAATCAGGGTATAATAGTTCTCTCAGTATAAAGTCAGCTTTTCTGCTATTTAGGTGCTAATCTTGGACATGGTTCTTATACTTGATTCTTGCTTTGTTTACCTAAAATCAAGTTTCTTCATTTATACAAATATCTAGTAGTTTGACCCTTTGACCCTGTTCAGATATTCAGATATCTTGGTTGCTTTAATTTCTTTTCTTTTTTTTTTTTTTTTTTTTTTGAGACAGAGTTTTGCTCTCGTTGCCCAGGCTAGAGTGCAATGGCTCCATCTCAGGCTCACCGCAACCTCCACCTCCTGGGTTCAAGCAATTCTTCTGCCTCAGCCTCCCAAGTAGCTGGGATTACAGGCACCCATCACCACATCCGGCTAATTTTGTAATTTTAGTAGAAATGGGGTTTCTCCATGTTGCTCAGGCTGGTCTCGAACTCCCGGCCTCAGGTGATCCACTTGCCTCGGCCTCCCAAAGTGCTGGGATTACAGGCGAGAGCCACCACGCCTGGCCAGTTCTTTTCTTTTCTATTAAAAATAAATGTTGCCATGAACATCTCACACACACACACACACATACACACACACACACACACACACCCACAGACATACCTTGGATATATTGCAGGTTCAGTTCCAGACCACCAAAATAATGCAAATATCTCTATAACCTGAGTCGCATATTTTTTTTGGTTTTCCAATGCATATAAACATTATGTTTACTCTATATTGTAGTCTTCAGTGTGCAATAGTATTATGCCTTAAAAAAATGTAGTATCCTAAATTAAAATTACTATATTGCAGGCCGGGCGAGGTGGCTCATGCCTGTGATCCCGCCACTTTGGGAGGCCTAGGCGGGAGGATTGCTTGAGCTCAGGAATTCAAGACCAGCCTGGACAACATGGCAATACCCCATCTCTACAAAAAATACAAAAATTAGCCAGGCGTGGTGGTGCACACCTGTAGTCCCAACTATTCTGGAGGCTGAGGTGGGAGGATCGCTTGCGCCCGGGTGGTTGAGGCTTCAGTGAGCCGTGATAGTGCCACTGCACTCCAGGAGTCTGGGCGAGAGTGAGACCTAGTCTCAAAAAACAAAAAACACTTTATTGCTAAAAAATGCTAAGGATCATGTGAGCATTTAGTGAGTTGTAATCATTTTGCTGGTGGAGGGTCTTGCCTTTATGTCGCTGGCTGCTGACTGATCAGGGTGGTGATTGCTGAAGGCTGGGTTGGCTATGGCAATTTCTTAAAATAACACAGCAAGGAAGTTTGCTGCATCAATTGGCTCTACCTTTCACAAAAGATTTCTCTGTAGCATGCGATGCTTTTTGATAGCATTTTACTCACATTAGAACTTCTTTCAAAAGTAGAGTCAATCTTTTCAAGCCCTGTTACTGGTTTATCAACTAGGTTGACATAATATTCTAATCCTTTGTGCAAGTAACATGTCAAAATAAACACCTAGTCAATTAACAGCAGTAATGTTCAATGTCAGACCAAATACTGTGTTCTGAGACAATTTTTGCTATTTTGACGTGCTTATGCTGTCACCTGGTGGAGAAATGGAAGAATCCCACTAATTTATCAACTAAGTTTATGGAATATTCTAATCTTTTGTTGTCATTTCAATAATGTTCACAACATCTTCACCAGGAGGAGATTGTGTCTTAAGAAACTACTTTCTTTGCTCATCCATAAGAAGCAACTCCTGATCCAGGGACAATGGCTCACACCTGTAATTCCAACACTTTGGGAGGCCAAGGCAGGAAGGTCTCTTAAGCAGGAGTTCGAGACCAGCATGGACAACAAAGTGAGACCCCCATCTCTGCAAAAAAAAAAATAAACTATTAGCCGGGCATGGTGGCACATGACTGTAGTCTCAGCTACTCGGGAGGCTGAGGCTATAGTGAGCCGAGATCACACCACTGCACTCCAGCCTGGGTGACAGAGTGAGACCCTGTTTAAAAAAATTAAAATAAAAGTAGTACTTGGATATTGTTTTTAAAAAGAAAGAAAAAGCTCAATCAATGCATGGAGTATGAACAAGTAAATAAAAATCACCTATAATTTCATCATAGTTAACATTTTAGCCCATTTCCACCCCATCTTTATCCAGCTCATATTTTTCAAGCTGGAATCTTCTTTTATATGCATTTTGGTTTTTGTTGTTCTTTGCTCTGTATTTTTCCCATTTTATTATGAACCTTTTTTTTTTTTGAGACAGGGTCTCACTTTTTCACTCAGGCTGGAGTGAAGTGGCGTGATCATAGCTCCTTGCAGCCGTTAACTCCGGGGCTCAATAGACCCTCCTCCCTCAGCTTCTTGAGTATTTGGGACCACAGGCATGCAACACCACATCCAACTAATTTTTGTAAAAATTTTTAGTAGAAACAAGGTCTCCTTATGTTGCCCAGGCTGGTCTTGAACTCCTGGGCTCCATCGATCCTCCCGCCTCAGCCTCCCAAAGTGTTGGGATTACAGGCGTGAGCCACTGTGTCCAGCCAAAAACTTTCCCATATTAAACAAGGTTGAAAAAATTTTAGCGAACAACTCAAATACCACCCAGATTCTCTCATTAACATTCTACTGTATTTTCCTTTTTCTTTTTATTCATTTTTCTGCTCTGATAAGAGGCAGATTACTATAGTCTTTTTCATGTACCTATTCATTTGTTCATCCCTCTATCCATCCATCAATCCATCTTATTCTTTCATACATTTCATAGTAAATTGCAGACATCAGTACACATCCCCCTAAGTTTTCAGCAAGTATGCCACTAACTAGAGATTGATATGTGTTTACACTGGTTTTCTTTGGATATAAACTTTACACTTAATAAACTGTAACAATCTTAATACATGCAGGTTTTGCTCATTTTTTGCATTTGCCGATTTTCATAAACATTTTGCTTAGCATCACATTAAGCCAACAAATTAATCTCAGAAGGTGGAACAACTTTGCAAAATTTAATTTCCCCATCTGGGACTGGGGACATGTCTCCATGGCTTCTTTTGGCTCTTACTAAGGTTGAGCAGTTTGCAACATACAGGGTCTTGCACATTTCATATTAAGCTTATTGCTAGATATTTGGGAGTTTATTGCTTTTTTGTGTGAAAGTACTCTGTTTCAATTCTAATTTCAAACTGGCTCATTGTGTAGGAACACGAAAAGATTGTTGATGTTTGTGTATTTAGTATCCAGCTATATAATTGAACTTTCTGTTGTAGTGTAATAACTTTTCTTGGACTTTTTTTAGGTATAGGGTCAACTTAGCTGAACAAAGATTCACACACCCTTCTAGGATAATTATACCTCTTTTCTCTGTCTCCTGACTTACAGCACCCTGGCTAGAACTTCCAGAACAATCTAGCTGGGCGTGGTGGTGTACGCCTGTAATCCCAGCTATTCAGGAGGCTGAGGCAGGAGAATCGCTTGAACCTGGGAGGCAGAGGCTGCAGTGAGCCAAGATCACGCCATTGCATTCTAGCCTGGGCAACAGACTGAGACTCCGTCTCAAAAAAAAAAAAAAAAAAAAAAAAAAAAGGAACTTCCAGAGCAATCTTACGTAACTTTGGTAATGACAAGTTTTCAAGTCTGGTTCCCTATTTTCAGGGAATTCTTCTAATGTAGTGATTCACAAGTGTGGGAAGACCAGGGTCAGTGAAGGGGGTGCTTTGCTGGGGGGAGGGTGGATTTGAACAAGGCCCCACAGGCGATCCTGAAATGGCCCCCACCACTCCAAGGTTAGAAAAAACTGTACTAATCCTTCATCGTTAAAGATATATTTAAGTGTTCGTTTAAGATAGACAGCATTGAATGAAGTGTCTTTTGTTTTTTTAGTTTACAAAGGGTGCTTATCGGAAATTAATGTGGAACTCTCTCGCTCTTTCTCTCTTTATATATATATATATATATACCAGTTTTACTGAGGTATAATCCACATACTGTACAACTCGCCTGTGTAAAGCATACAATGCAGTGGTTTTTAGTACATTCACAAGGTTGTGCGACCATTGTCACCATCAATTTCAGAACATTTTTGTCCCTCCTAAAACGACCCCTGTGCCCATGAGCAGTCACTCCCCATTCCCCTCTTCCCAGCCCCTGCCCACCATTCATCTACTTTCTGTTTCTATGAATTTCTCTACTCTGGACATTTCATATAAATGGAATTGTACAATTTGTGGCCTTTTGTGTCTGACTTTTTTCACTCGACATCATGTTTTCAAGGTTCATCCACATCGTGTTTGCAAGGTAGTGGTAGGAAAACAAAAGCTGTTTCCCGATTTCTTCCCACCAAGTTCAGCTGTTTCAATGATCCTATGACGAAGATTGTGCCACAAGGAATAGCCTTGTGGATGTGACAGTTACCATCCACGGGCCCACTGTGTCCTAGTGGAACTCCATTCAGAGCCTGGGTTTGATGACCTTATGGGATTTCTTCTGGACCTTTCAGTGAGGACTCTATCACTACACGGTCCGTCGCATCTGGCTTACTCACAGCTACCCAAACCCCACCTCGGCTGTAGTAGCCAGGAAGTTGAAGGCCTGAAGTGCATTTACCAGCCAAGGTTTCAGCATCTCGTCACACACTGCCTCAGTAGCTTACGAACAACATGAGAGGCCTCCGTGAGCACGGGAAGTTGCCCAACGGAGAAGTGCAGGTGTCCCCTCCGGTCACCGCATTTGCTTGTCCTCTGTTTCCCAGTAACCCCCACATCCCGGCACTGCTGCCCCTCCATCTCTCTTCCTCTCTCCCCACGGCTCTGCCATGCCCCTGATTTGGGCCATCACCACCTCTCCTTGGAATTGCTGTCCCACCTGTCACCAGCCTCTGCCTCCAGCTTGGCAAGGCTGCCTGACAAGAATGACCGCCAAGGCCTCTGGTGCCTGATCCAATCTTGCCCACCTCTTGAGGCCAGATTCCTTCCAGGTTAATGGGGGCAGAAAGAGAACTGTGAGCTCCCGTCTGTGGGGATCTCACTCATGCACAGGTTGAGAGCCAGAGTGGCATTCATGAGCAGAAACTTCTTTTCCTGGTGTAGGTCTGTGAACAATCCCTCAGGGCACTTTCATCAACATGTCATCGTCACCAGAATCCATAGTTGACATTAGGGTTCATCCTTGGTGTTGTACATTCTATGGATTTGGACAAACGTACAATGATATGTGTTCATCATTATGGTAGCATACAGATAGTTTCACTGCCCTAAAAATCCTCTGCAATCCCCTCTTCATCTTTCCTTCTTCTCTAGCCCCTGGAAACCACCGATTGTTTTACTGTCTCCATAGTTTTGCCGTTTCCAGAGGGTCACACTGTTGAACTCTTACCGTCCGTAGCCTTTCAGATGGGCTTCTTTCACTGGGAAATATGCATTTAGGGTTCCTCCATGTCTTGTCATGGCTTGATAGCTCATTTCTTTTTGTGCTGAAAAATATCCAATTGTCTTAATGTATCACATTGTTTATCCACTCATCTACCAAAGGACATCTTTGTTACTTCCAAGTTTTGGCAATTATGAGTAAAGCTGCTATAATCATCTGTGCGCAGGTTTTTCTGTGGACGTGAATTCTCAGCTCATTTGGATAAAAACCAAGGAACACAATTGTGGGATCATAAGGGTCTGTCTCTTCTAATTCAAAATGATCCCAATCTCTGGTTTTAATGGAAGGTGTGGGTAATTAATTAGATGTTTTCTCTGAAGGTAGGTTTAGGAATGATGGAACCAGATACAGATACCAAACCCTGGAAGAGACAATACTAAAGAGAATTTAAAATAATTAAAAGTGAAGAAATACTCTTTTTAAAAACTTGATCAGGCCAGGCGCAGTGGCTCATGCCTGTAATCCCAGCACTTTGGGAGGCCGAGGCAGGCGGATCACCTGAGGTCAGAAGTTCAAGACCAGCCTGGCCAACATGGCTGAACCCAATCTCTATTAAAAATACAAAAAATAGCCGGGTGTGGTGGTGTGTGCCTGTAATCCAAGCTATTCGGGAGGCTGAGGCAGGGAGAGTTGCTTGAACCCAGGAGGCAGAGATTGCAGTGAGCCGAGATGGCACCACTGCAATCCAGCCTGGGTGACAGAGCGAGACTCTGTCTCAAAGAAAAAAAGAAAAGGAAAAAAAAAAACAAACCGTGATAGATGACTCTAATGTCTAATAACTCCGTATCCCAAACTGTTTACCTTTTGGAAATAAAATTGCTAAAATGCATGCCTTTTATAACCAGCAAGAATTCTCCCAAGCCTGCATACCTGTCTCAATCTGCTGGTTCTCCCACCTGGCTCTGTATTGGCAGCAGGTTTTCTATTGGGCCTATTTTGATGGTAGGTATTCATCTGCGTTAGTTAAGGGTGAACAATAGCAGCCCAGTTACCAAGTAACCCGATTTAATAAGCAGCTGCATTCTGGTTGGTTGACAAAGGACTGAACTAATGGTTGCAGACCAGCTGGCACGAACTGCGGCGAATCCGTCAAGATGTCAATCTAACGAGCCAGTCCTGTTGTGACCGAGAGACAGTTTCCCCAGAATAACTTGGGCCTGGAGAGCAGGATGAAAAGCAGGGCGATCTGGCTGATTCAAAATGTGGGGCTCTTGGCCTCTGTGGCTGGCCGCGTCTGTTCCCTGGCATGCCTCAGTGGCCTGCCAAGTGCATGCCTCAGTGGCCTGTGTGTGCATGCCTCAGTGGCCGACTTTCTCCTCGGGTTTACTCGAGAGTGAGAAGTACATGCTGGGCCTTTGGGAAGCATGTGTGACTCGAGACACAGGTGCCAGTGTGTGCCAGCCCAAAGAACCTGGCTGCCAAACTCCAGGTGGCTCGTGTCCTCACGTGCGTGGCCGGGGCTGTGGGTTCTCTCGGGCTTGTGGCGGTCATCCTGGGACTGATGTGGCTGAGATGCTGGGGCCGAGGAGGAAGTTCTTGGGAGAGAAGTGTCAACATTGCTGGGGGAGCTCTGGTTTTTCTGGCCGGACTCACTACTTGAGCGTCCGTGTCCTACGTTGCCCATATTACCGTGTGGAGGTTCTAAAGCTCAGAGTTCCCACCCAACAAGCCCCGGGGGGATGCGGCAATGCCATGTCCAGCGGCTGGATGGGTGGATTTCTCCTTTCCACTGGAGGCCTTCTTTTGATCACCACACAGCTTTATGCCAACACACTGGCTGCAAAACCAACACCTTTTCCTTCATACCCGGACTTTTCAAGAAAAGTGACTTTTGGTAAAGTAGAATTTGTTTAAAAATGGACCAATCAGAAAGGCAACAGTGAAAGTGGAGAAACCATCTCATTTTGGTTTTCTGCTGAGAAATGATGGAAGCTTGGTTTGCTAGGTGAAGTGGATGGGTCCAAGCTACCTGACGGAGAGAAAACCAACAGTATTTGCTAATAGATTTGACGATGGGGGGAGGGTACAGGAAAGTATATCAGATCTGTGGAACCACCTGTTTCTGAAACTACTACTTGGACAGCCTGATTTATTTTTTAAGCTAGTTTGAGTTGGTTTTCTCTAACTTTCCATTTAAATTTCGTTAAAGGATACAAAATGACAGCTAGATTGGAGAAATAAATTCTAGTGTTCTATACCAACTGTTAGATGACTAGAGTTAAAAATAATAAATAGTTTTGAATAGCTGAATTCAAGAGACTGAGGCAGGAGGATTACATGCGCCCAGGAATTTGAGGCTGCTATGAATTGTGATTGTGCCACAGCACTCAGCCTGGGCGACAGTGAGACACTGTCTCTAAAATAAATAAATAAATAAAATAATTAGAAAATGAAATTAAAATTAGAAATATATAGCTAAAAGGAGGATATTGAATGTTTTCAACACAAAGAAATGATAAATGTTTGAGATTACGGATACACTACTCACCCTGATCTGATTGCTGTACATTCTATGTATTGACATATCACTATGCACCCCAAGAATATGTACAATTATTATTTGTCAATTAAAAAATAAAATAGAAATAAAAATGGACCACTAACCTCAAACTTTTTTTTTTTTTTTTTTTTTTGAGATGGGGTCTCGCTCTGTTGCCCAGGCTGGAGTGCGGTGGTGCAATCTCGGCTCACTGCAAGCTCTGCCTCCTGGGTTCTTGCCATTCTCCTGCCTCAGCCTCCTGAGTAGCTGGGACTACAGGTGCCCGCCACCACGCCCAGCTTATTTTTTGTATTTCTAGTAGAGACGGGGTTTCACCATGTTAGCCAGGATGGTCTTGATCTCCTGACCTCATGATCTGCCCGCCTTGGCCTCCCAAAGTGCTGGGATTACAGGTGTGAGCCACCACGCCCGGCCACCTCAAGCTTTTTTAAGAGTGTTTCCAGCCAGGTGCAGTGGCTCACGCCTGTAATCCCAGCACTTTGGGAGGCTGAGGCAGGAGGATCACTTTAGCCCAGCAGTTCAGGACCAGCCTGCGCAACAAAGGGAAACCCTGTCTCTACAAAAAACCAAAAAATCAGCCAGCTGTGGTGGTGTACGCTGTAGCCCGAGCTACTCCAGAGGCTGAGGTGGGAGGATGCTTGGGCCCTCAAGGTAGAGGGTGCAGTGAGCTATTACTGTGCCACTGCACTCCAGCTTGGGCAACAAAGTGAGACCTTGTTATTGCAGGAATTAAGGGACAGTAGAGACCAATGGGTGGGACAGGAGGATTTATTAGGTGCGCACCGGCCCAGCAGATTAACATCCAAAGGCTGAGCCCCGAACAAAGACAGGGCTTCACTTTTATACATGCATCCAGAAGGGGGTTGGCCAGTTTGATAGCACAAAACCTGTAGGGCAGGCAAGCAAGCTTACAGAAGCAGAACAAAGGCAGTTTGTTAAACAGTGACAGGCCTTGCAACTTAAAACATATCTTGTGACCTTGCCGTGCCACACAGAAGGGAAAAACAGGAACTTACAAAACTTGCAAAAATAATTACGAGAACAGAACAAGGAACAAAAAAATTGTTTTTCTTTTTATATCTTCTGCTTCATTGTCTCTTAAAAAAGAAAACAAGATCTGATATACTTTCCTCTACCCTCCCCCGTCATCAAATCTATTAGCAAGTACTGTTGGTTTGCTCTCCCTGTTTCCAATGGAGAATGTTTCCAATGCAGAATGGAGACAAGCAATTGTTTTGCTTGTCTTCCAGAAATTGAGTTTCTTTCTCTCCTCTCCCCTTTCTTTGTTTTTCCTGCCACAGACTGGCCTAATTGTAATCTGTTGTTGCTTGCTATTAAGTGTCAATTAAAAAGTTTCTTTGAGGCCAGGTGCCACAAGGCCTGTAATCCCAGCACTTTGGGAGGCCGAGGCTTAAGCTCAGGAGTTCGAGACCAGCCTGGGCAACAATATAAAAAATTAGCCAGACGTTGTGGTGTGCGCCTGTGGTCCCAGCTCCTCTGGAGGCTGAGGTGGGAGGATTGCTTGAGCCCAGGGGGCAGAGGTTGCAGTGAACCAGGATTGCACCACTGCACTCCAGCCTGAGTGACAGACACTATCTCAGAAAAAAAAAAAAAAGTTTCCTTGAAGGAGTGAATTTATGCTCAATTTTCCCACTTGAAAATCAAATATCACACCCTATGAGAAGTCAGTTTGTCCCGTGCCTGAAAATGTTGACATGCTGTCATTAATGTGGGAGGTAAAGAGGTGATATTGAAAACAACCAGTGCTGTCAGAACACTAAGACATGGGAAGGAGCAAGAATGTAATGCCTTCTTTGTAGCAGTCTTGAAATAAAATATTTATAGCAAAGTAATCACTGATGAGTTAATTTTTAAATTACTAATAATTCATCCACGTGTTCAAAATGAGTGCGCTTTAGGTAGAAGCAGGAAGACGCTCGTTAGGAATGTTTCCCAGCAGCTGGTCCCTGCACCAAGAGTGTCAGCATTCACCGGGGACTTGCCAGAAATGCAAATTCCCAACTCAGACTTACTGAAAACTCCAGCTATATTTAGTTGGTGATATAGTTTCAATATTTGTTCCTGCCCAAATCTCCTATGGAAATGTAATCCCCAATATTGGAGGTGGGGCCTGGTGGGAGGAGTTCAGATCATGGGGGCAGATCCCTTATGAATGGCTTGGGCCGTCCCCTTGGTGATGAGTGAGCTGTCGCTCTGAGTTCACATATGATCCGGTGGTTTAAAAGTGTGTGCACCGCCCCCCACGCCACACTCTTTTTCTCGCTTGCTCCTGCTTTCACCATGTGAGCTGCCTGCTCCTCCTTCACTTTCTGCTATGAATAAAACCTCCCTGAGGCCTCCCCAGAAGCCAAGCAAATGCCGACACCATTTTTCCTGTACAGCCTGCAGAACCATGAGCCAATTAAACCTCTTTTCTTTATAAACTACCCAGTCTCAGGTATTTTCTTTGTAGCAATGCAAGAACAGCCTAATGCATATGGCTTCGGATCTGAGGGTGATGTTCATACCAATTCCCGCCAAGGGTATGAAGGGTCACGCTTCTTAAGGAAGAGCAAGGGCTGCTGCTGTGAAATGGGAAATGAGTTCCAGTACGGGGGGACTCTGAGTGGCAGCTCTATGCATTGCCAGTAAGGTCTGGAATCAGCCCGGCAGCCATGGAGGCCCATTTCATGGCCTTCATCTTGCCTCCCTATAGCAGTGACTGAGCTTCTTGCCCTGGCTTCTTTCCTGAGGCTCCTTTTCTGGCCCAGTTGCAGGCCTGGTTTGTGGGGTAAAGAGAGTGACCCCACAGAACTATGCTAGCTCAACAGAAGCCAACCTTTGTGACCTCAGCCACACCTCCCAGTCCTTGTTCTACCGGGGCCGGGCCTTCTTGTTTCTTCCCAGTGGGGCGGCCACTCACATCCCAGAATGCCTTGCAGCTCTTTCTACCTACAATGCCAATCAAGCTGAGTAGCAGGTAAACTAAGGAAAAGCAGAAATCTAATTAGCTAGATTGTCCTTAGAAAATTCATGTTGGAGGCCGGGTGCAGTGGCTTATGCCTGTAATCCCAGAACTTTTGGAGGGCTTATCTCAGGGAGCACTTCTGTGTCAGAGCAGAGAGCACCTGCACACATGGTATATTTCTTTTATTTTCTTTTTCTTTTTTTTTTTTCTGTCGCCTAGGCTGGAGTGCAGTGGCATGATCTCGGCTCACTGCAGCCTCCGCCTCCCGGGTTCAAGTGATTCTCCTGCCTCAGCCTCCCCAGTAGCTGGGATTACAGGTGCCCACCACCATGCCCAGCTAATTTTTCATATTTTTAGTAGAGACGGGGTTTCGCCATGTTGCCCAGGCTGGTCTTGAACTCCTGAGCCCAGGCAATCCACCTGCCTCAGTCTCCAAAAGGGCTAGGATTACAGGCGTGAGCCACCGGTGCCCAGCCTGATTGAGGCCTTTTAAACACCTGTGTTCAAACAAGAGCTGTGGGCAATCAGGATGCGCAGTAGATGGTGTGTGTCTCTTAATATGTTATGCCACAGATCTTGGTGGCATCTCTCATGTGAAAGACATTAATGTTTGGTGAAGGAATTCATCAGCGAGTGAATGAGCTAGAGTTATCTGTCCCCGGAGTTGGCCTTAAGTATGATTTTGGGTTGTAATCAACTAAGGGCCTTAGAAGTTACTCTGGGAGCTAGTTAATCCACCCTTCAAGTCTGGGAGAAACTTGAGCCACAGCTCATGAAAGCCATACCTGCTGCGTGGGACCCCGGGAGCAGTTGCCTACATTTGCATAAACAAGACCTACGCTCCTAATACAAGTTACAAAACAAAACTACTTGTTGTATTAGTACAACAAAAGAGAAGAAATATTTAATGCTTCCCTGACAACTATAAATGCTGAGTGGAAAAAGTATCACTCTGCATGGGTTAAAAGTCTAAGAATGAATTAGATTTAACATACCCCCCAGCAATCCTACTGTAAGACACCTAACCAAGAGAAATGGAAACCTGCATTCATGCATAAACCTAAATGCAAACGTACATAGTAGCTTTATTCATAATTGCACCATACTGGAAACAACCCCATGCAACTAAAACTGCTCTAAACATTCCTCAAAGTGCAAAACTGAACTTGAACAAAGGAAAAGATATACTATGTACCATGTACCAGATGTACCGTGCTCTCCAATAAGGAGACTCAATATTATAAATGAGTAAATTATCCCTAAGTTAACATATAAACTTGACACGATCCTAATAAAAACATTAAGAGATTTTCCCCCCAGACTGGAGCAAGACAAGTTGATTACAAAATTTATATGGAAAAATAAGCAGAAATAATTAAGAAAATCCTAGGGGTGGAGCGGGAATAAGATACCAAATAACATACATATTATTTTAAAATAAGTCTCTGTGATAGCTAATTTTAGGTGTCAACTCAACTGCACTGAGGAATACATAGAGAGTTGGTAAAGCATTATTTCTGAGTGTCTTTGAAGATGTTTCCAGAGAGACTGGCGTGTGAGTCAGCAGACTGGGTAGGAAAGATCTATGTGGGCAGGTACCATCCAATCAGCTGGGGCCCCAAACAGAACAAAAAAGACAGAGGAAAAACAAATTGTTTCTGTGTCTCTCTGTCTCTGTCTCTCTCCTTCTGTCTCTCCTGTGTGGGACACCCTTCTTCCCCTGCCCTTAAACATCAGAACTGCAGGTTTTCTGGCCTTTGGACTCCGAGATTTACATCAGCACCCCACCCCACTTATGTCAGCCTTTGGTCTTGGACTGAGAGTTACAGCTTAACCTAGTTCTGAAGCTTCTGATCTTGGGCAGTCACGCTACTGACATCCCAAGGTCTCCAGCTTGCAGACGGCCTGTATAACCATGTGAGCCAATTCCCCTAATAAATCTCTTCCCACATATCTGTTGGTATGTATATCTTTTATTGGTTCTGTCTCTCTGGAGAACCCTAACACAGTCTCTAAAACTTAAAACACTGTACTATGGGTACATGAATATACAAAGAGCGCTAAAGGAGTCAAACAGAATGTCCAGAAATTAGCCCAATATCTATGGAAATTTAGTGTATGAAGAAGATAGCATCTCAGTGGCTCACATCTGTAATCCTAGCACTTTGGGAGGCCGAGGTGGGTGGATCACCTGAGGCTAGGAGTTTGAGGCCAGCCTGGCCAACAAGGCAAAACCCTATCTCTACCAAAAACATAAAAATTAGCCAGGCATGGTGGTGCACGCCTGTAGTCCCAGGTACTTGGGAGGCTGAGGCAGGAGAATCACTTGAACCCGGGAGAGAGAGGTTGCAGTGAGCTGAGATTGCGCCACTGCACTCCAGCCTGGGTGACAGAGTGGGACTGTCTCAAAAAAAAAAAAAAAAAAAAAAAAGATTTATCCTGTATGTCAAGACAAATTCCAAATGAATACAGTAAAAACAAAACCATTCAAGTAATGGGGGAAAAAAATGAAGAAATACCTTTATCACATGAGAGTGGAAAAAACAGTCACCCCTCAGTATCCGTAGGGGATTTGTTCCAGGACCTCCCCTGGATACCAAAATCTGCAGATGTCAAATCCCTGATGTAAAATGGTGTAATATTTACATATAACTTAGGCACATCCTTCTGTATAGATGAAACCATCTCTAGATTACTTATAATACCTAATATAATGTAAATGCTATGTAAATAGTTGTTATAATGTATTTTTCAGGAAATAATGACAAGAAAAATAAGTCTATACATGTTCAGTATAGATGCAATTATTTTTCAATTTTTGTTTTTTGGAGACAAGAGTTTCACTCTGTTACCCAGGCTAGAGTACAGTGGTGTGATCTCAGTTCACCACAACCTCTGCCTCCCAGGTTCAAGGGATTCTCCTGCCTCATTCTCCTGAGCAGCTGGGATTATAGGTGTGTGCCACCATGCCCAGCTAATTTTTGTATTTTTAGTAGAGATGAGGTTTCACCATGTTGGCCAGGCCGGTCTCGAATTCCTGGCCTCAAGTGACCTGCCCGCCTTGGCCTTCCAAAGTGCTGGGATTACAGGCGTGAACCACCACATCCATCCTCAAATATTTTTGATCCATGGTTGGTTGCATGCATGGATGGGGAACCCACAGATATGGAGGGCCAACTGTACACTTAAACTATGATTCAAATACCAGAAGCAATAAAATAAAGATTGGTAAATTTTACAGTAGGTAACCTTTACCCGCCCCCCCACCCCGCTTAAATCTGCATAACAAAAGATCCATAAACAAAGTGCAAAACAAAAGATAAATTAAGAAAAGTATTTGTAACTGAGAGCACAAAGGGCTCTATAATATATTAAGAGCTCTTAAAAATCAAGCATACCAACAACTCAATAGAGGAATGGGTTAGAAACATGAGTAGGTATTGTAGCAGGCAGCTTGTGACATGGCCCTCAGAGGTCTTCACCTTCCTCACATTCACATCCTTCATTCCTTCTCATCGAGCGCAGGCTGGTTTAGCCACTCACTTCTAATGAATAGAAAGCAGCAAGAATGATGGGAGATGACTTCTGTGGTTAGGTTACAAAATGACTGCGGGCCAGGTGTAGTGGCTTATGCCTATAATCCCAGCACTTTGGGAAGCTGAGGCAGAATTGCTTGAGCCCAGGAGCTCAAGACCAGTATGGACAACAAAGTGAGACCCTGTCTCCACACACACACAAAATTTTTTTAATTAGCTGGGCATGGTTCTATGGGCCTGTAGTCTCAGCTCTTTGGGAGGCTGAGCTGGGAGGATTGCTTGAGCCCTGGGAGATTGAGGCTGCAGTGACCCATGACACAGTGAGACCCTGTCCCTTCCTTCTTGTTAGTACTCTCCTCCTTGCCAGCACTCTCTCTGGCCATCTCTCTTACTGCTCTGGTGAAGCCAGCTGCCATGCTGGGAGAAGTTCTGTGGAGATCCCTGTATGGCAAGAAACAAGAATCTGTTCCATCGCTTGCGAGGAACTAAGTGAATAAATCCTGCCAGCAACAATGTGTGCAAGCAATGGAGTGGATTCTCCCCCTCTGAGCCTTCAGATGAGACCACAGAGCAGCTTGGCATTTTGACTGCAGCTATGTGAGACAATGTGAAGCAGAAGCTGTGCCTAAACTCCTGATCCATAGAAGCTGTGAGATAATAATTGGGTGTTGCTTTAAGCCATTAAGTGCTAGGTTAATTTGTTACACAGCGATAGATAACTGACAGAGAACATTAAAAAAAAAAAGACCTGAAACATTTCAAAAAATGTTCAACCTCACTAATAAAAGAAATACATGGCTGAGTGTGGTGCCTCACACCTGTAATCCCAGCCCTCTGGGAGGCCGAGGCAAAAGGATTGCTTGAGCCCAGGAGTTTGAGACCAGCCTGGGCAATAGTGAGACCTCATTTCTGAAAAACAAAACAACTCCCCCCTCCACCCCGCCCAGAAATACACACTAAAAATGATGCTGAGATACCATTTCTCACCTACTATGTTGAAAAAAATTCAAAAGTTTTACAATATATTCTTTTGACAAGGCTGTGAGGAAGCCGACATTCTCATAGATTGCTCATAGGAGTGCAAAATGGGTCACTTTTATGGTGAAAAAATTTGCAATACGTTTTTAAAATTACAGATTTGCTTACCCTTTAATCCAGTAGCCCTAGGAATCTGTCCCAAAGATACACCAGCAAAATGCAAAAAGATGTATGCACAAAGTTATATACACAGACACACACGCATGCACATACATAACTGGTTGAACAAACTAGGGTATATCCACACAATGGAATACTACGCAGCCATAAAAACAATCAGAAAATCTCTACACATTGATATAGAGCAATCTCCAGGAATTTATTGTCAGGTGAAAAAGCAAGGTATCAAAAAATATATATATTATGATAGTATTTTGTAAGAAATGGAATAAACACACACCCTTCTATCTGCAAAAAAAAAGAAAAAACCCAAAAAACTGGAAAATGAACCAGAAATGTAAAAGTTACCTATGGTGAGAGAGAATATAATAGACACAGAAACATAAGTTTATTCAGATTTTTCTGAATAAATATGGTTATATTTTTGACTTTGAAAATTATGTAAATATTCCACATATTCAAAATGGAAACTATGTCAAAAAGACAAAGTTAATCCCATAGAAAATTATGTCAAAAAGACAAAAGTAATGATATCAAAACTAGAAAACAAACCAAAATGAATAAATTTAACTATTTATCAAATTAGTGACATAACCATAAAAAGAAAATCATTACAGGCCAGGCATGGTGGCTCACGCCTGTAATCTCAGCACTTTAGGAAGCCAAGGCTGGTGGATCTCTTGAGGCCAAGAGTTGAGACCAGCCTGGTCAACATGGTGAAACCTCGTCTCTACTAAAAATACAAAAATTAGCTAGGCATGGTGGCACATGCCTGTGGTCCCTGCTACTTGGGAGGCTGGGGCATGAGAATTGCTTGAACCTGAGAGGCAGTGGTTGCACGGTTGCAGTGAGCCGAGATCGCGCCACTGCATGCCAGCTTGGCGACAGAGTGAGACTCTGTCTCAAAAAAAAAAAAAAGTTATATATGCTGGTTCTGTTCATTACAAAGACCTAAATGTAATGACAACTGAGTGAATAAGCACCACCAGTGCCCAAATTGTGGTTTCTAAATCCCCGTCTTCATCTGCAGGGCTCACTAAAGGAACTGCATAGCTGATTCAAGGTCTTGTGCCTGACATATACAAGATACACCTGGAAATCTTGTGGAGGGGTGAAAAAGCCTCAAAGGCTAATGGGGACTGCTAAAGGGCACGGGCTTCCTTTTTGGGGTGAAAATGTTGTGCAATTAGACAGTAGTGATGGTTGTACAACTCTGTGAATACATTAAAAAGTACTGAATTAGACACATTAAAGGGTGAATTTTACAGTCTGTGAATTATATTTCAAGAAAATGTTATTAAAATATTACTTAAATATTTCAATAACAAGACAAAAGAGTGTAATGGAAACTACATCACTGCCACCATGCAGATTATGGGAGTGATATTCATGAAACTGCCACATGATCTTCATGCGTGTAGAGTTTGCTGTGCTCCTGGGATAGCGTTTCTGCAGTAAAATCCTTCCCTTTTAAGATATTAACATACTTTTTAGTCATGTTTCTTGAAAGAATGGAAAATGACTTCAGTATCAATTCAATTTTATTAAACTTCCTATTTTTTCTTAAACCTTAAATGTAGAAACCAATACTCAAAGCTGTTTAATAAAACGGGTTTCAGCATAATATATCTGTGCTCATTAATATTCTAGGAAGGTTTTTAACTGGTAAAGTTAATTCGTTTAAAAAATAAGCTGAAGATTGGGAGGCTGAGGCAGGAGAATGGTGTGAACCCGGGAGGCGGAGCTTGCAGTGAGCCGAGATTGCGCCACTGAGCTCTAGCCTGGGCGACAGGGCAAAACTCTGTCTCAAAAAAAAGAAAAATAAGCTGAAGATTATGAGATGAGGGAATTTCTAGACTGTACCTGAAAAAAATAATTTTGGGGGCTGGGTGTGGTGGCTTACACCTGTAATCCCAGCACTTTGGGAGGCTGAGGCAGGTGGATCACCTGAGGTCAGGAGTTCGAGATCAGCCTAACCAATATGGTGAAACCCTGTCTCTACTAAAAATACAAAAATTAGCTGTGTGTGGTGGTGCGCACCTGTAATCCCAGCTACTCAGGAGGCTGAGACAGGAGAATTGCTTAAACCTGGGAGGCGGAGGTTGCAGTGAGCCGAGATCGTGCCACTGCACTCCAGCCTGGGTGACAGAGGGAGACTCCATCTCAAAAAAAAAAAAAAGAAAAAAAGAAAAAATAATGTTTGGAAATTGTCACTTATTTTGAAAATGAAATCCAAGATTAGGTTCCAAGAGAGTTTTGAGAACCTGTGCATAATTTGTGTGTATGGACATTCTTCTGGGAGAATTTCCGTGAGGTTACAAACCACTGGTATAAAAGGTAATTAGATGTAGAGTAAATAAGTAAATAAATATGCTTGAATTTCAATCTCTCTCTCTATCACTTGATGAATGTAGTAAGTAGTATTGTTGATATGTCCTTCTCTTTACCATTTTGTTCTTTAGGAAAATTATTTTGTAGAGTGAATTTTATTGATAAAGTGAAGAGTTGCTTGAGGTAAATAGTAATGTTAGGATTGTCCTGAATAAAGAGGCTTTTTTAATCTTAAAAAAAAAAAAACTGATGGGGACATGTCAAAGGACACACATGTCACCATGGCTCTACTGCCAAAGATGGGACAATTTGATCATAAAAAGGAAGGATGAATGCAATTGAGTGAAACATATGGAACATATAAAAACCCACAGGTTACTGTTACAAACATTTATGAGATAACTAGGGAAATGTGAACACTGACTATTTGAATATATTAATAAATGACTGGCCAGGCATGGTGGCTCATGCCTGTAATCCTAGCACTTTGGGAGGCCGAGGTGGGCAGACTGCTCGAGCCCAAAACTTCGAGACCAGCCTGTGCGATATAGTGAGACACCCATCTAAATTTGTTTACATATATTTTTTCATTTAAAAAATAAAAACGAATTTAAAAAAGAAGTTAACTTTTTGGTGTGATTGTGGCAATGTGGTTATGTTAAAGAGAATAAGAGGACTGGGCACGATGGCTCATGCCTGTAATCCCAGCACTTTGGGAGGCCGGGTCAGGAGATCGCGACCATCCTGGCCAATACGGTGAAACCCCGTCTCCACTAAAAATACAAAAAATTAGCTGGGCATGGTGGCACGCGCCTGTAATCCCAGTCACTCGGGAGGCTGAGGCAGGAGAATCACTTGAACTCGAGAGGTGGAGGTTGCAGTGAGCAGAGATCACGCCACTGCACTCCAGCCTGGTGACAGAGTGAGACTCCAAAAAAAAAAAAAAAAAAAGAGTAAGAGGTCTGTATCTTTGAGAGATACATATAGAAGTATTTGTGGATACAATAACATATTGCCAGGGATTTATTTAAAATCATCCGTGGTGGAGACAGGACAGGGAGTAAGGGTAGGGCTGAAACACGGCTGGTCGGATATTGATAATGATTGAGGCTGAGGCCGTAGCCTCTCTACTTTGTAATGCACTTGAAAATTTCCAAAATAAAAACACAGAAACAATTTCATGAGTTCAGGCCGAGGCAGGCAGATAGCTTGAGCTCAGGAGTTCGAGACCAGCCTGGGCAACACGGTGAAATGCTGTCTCTACAAAATACAAAATCCAGCTTGGCATGGTGGCGTGCACCTGTAGTCCCAGCTACTCTCCAGGTTGAGGTTGGAGGATCACTTGAGCTTGGGAGGTGGAGGTTGCAGTGAGCTAAGATTGCACCACTGCACTCCAGCTGGGCGACATTGAGACCCTGTCTCAAAAAAAGAAAAAAAAAACAACAGAAATAGTAAAAACAACCAATACATTGGTCAACCCTAATTCTCCTTTTTCACTCTAGAAATCAACAATTGGAGAAAAGAACGAAGCATTTACTCTCCCTTTTTTTGGGTGTGCACTGAATTTTAGAGTAACCAAATAGCCATAGTTGATGAGGGAAAACTTTTTTTTTTTAGAGATGGGGTCTCGCCCAGGCTGGTCTCCAACTCTTGGGCTCAAGAGAGTCTCCCACCTCAGCCTCCCAAGTAGCTGGGACCATAGACCCTCACACAAAAGCATCCCAGCTGATATATCTGGCTAGAATGTTCACATTAGAAAGTCACCACTTGCAGCTTTGGGAGGTCGAGACAGGAGGATTGCTTGAGGACAGGAGTGGGAGACCAGCCTGGGCAACATAGTGAGATCCCATCTCTACAAAAACTTATTAGAAATTAGCTGGGCATGGTGGCACACACCTCCCGTCCCAGCTACTTGGAAGGCTAAGGCGGGAGGGTTGCAGGTTGCTTGAGCTCAAGAGTGTGAGATTACGGTGACCCATGATCCTGCCACTGCACTCTAACCTGGGCGACAGAGATTCCTGTAGGAAGAAGGGAGGGAGGGAAGTAGGGAGGGAGAGAAGGAGGAGAGGAGGGAGGGAGGGAAGGAGAAAAGGAGGGAAGGAGGGAGGACGAGAAGGAGGGAAGAGGGGAGGGAAAGAAGAGAAGGAAGGAAGGAGGGAGGGAGAGAAGGAGGGAAGGAGGGAAGGAGGGAAGGAGGGAGAGATGGAGAGAGGGAAGGAGGGAAAGAGAAACAGAGGGAAAGAATTAGGGAAGGAGGGAAGAAGAGAAAGATGGAAGAAGAGAAAGAGGGAAGAAGGGAGAAAGAGAAGGAGGAAAAAGGGAGGGAGAGGAGGGGAGGGAGGGAGGGATGGAATGAAGGAGGAACAGAGGGAGGGGGGGAGAGAGGAAGAGAAAAAGAGAAGGAGGGAAGGAGGGAGGGAGAGAATGAAAGGAGGAAAGGAGGAAAGGAGGGAAGGAAGGAAGGGAGAGAGGGAAGAAGGGAAGGAAGGGAACGAGGGAGAGAGGGAGGGGGAGGGATGGAAGAAAGGAAAGGTCACCACTCGCAATCCTCAGTGCGATAATTTATTCTAACAAGGACCATCAATAGATGAAACCATTAGGGTTGGGTGGAAGTTTTATGAAGCAACTTACAAAAGGGATCAGGCGTTCCCTTCATGGATCCACTGATCAATGTTAGCATCACTGAAAGGGATAATGACCATGTACCCCTGGCATAGTGCAGTCAGCAGGAAGTACGTGGTACCACCTATGAAATACTCTTCCTGAGAACTGACCAGGACTCTAATCAAGCCTCTAGAGGTAACGAGTTAAATTAATCCACTTTCTTCAGCAAATCAAAATCATTTATTAAAAAGGCACATGAGGTCAGGCACGGTGGTTCTCACATGTAATCTCAGTGCTTGGGAGGCTGAGGCAAGAGGATCGCTTGAGCCCAGGAGTTCAAGACCTGCCTGGGCAACATGGCAAGACCTCATCTTTATAAAAATACAAAAAATTAGGCAGGCATGGTGGTGCACGCTTGTAGTCCCATCTACTTTGGAGGTTGAGGTGGGAGGCTCACCAGAGCCTGGAGGTCAAGGCTGCACCAATCCTTGATCATGCCACTGCACTCCAACCTGGGTGACAGAGTGAGACCCTGCCTCAGGGAAAAAAAAAAAAAAAAAGGCAGAGGGGTTGCTCTGTGTGTGTGTGTGTGCGCGCGTGCACTGGGGGAGTGTTTTAGATGGACACTTCAGAGGCAGAGTGAGCACTTTGTGTGGGACAAATAAAACTACAGAATTATTTTTAAGGCATCTAAACATTCTGACTATTTCATAATGAGGAATAACTGCTCAGTTTTTTACATATATGGTTATGTGAGAAGTGTCCACTTTTTAAGAGTATATGGGGATGAAGGGACATGGTGTCTGGGACATGGTGTCTGGGGTTTGCTTTAAAATACTTAGGAAAAAGAGGCCGGGTGCAGTGGCTCACACCTGTAATCTCAGCACTTTGGGAGGCCGACGCAGGCGGATCACTTGAGGCCAGGAGTTTGAGACCAGCCTGGCCAACATGGTAAAACCCCAATATTTTTAAAAATACAAAAATTAGCCAGGCATGGTGGCAGGTGCCTGTAATCCCAGCTGTTCGGGAGGCTGAGGCAGGAGAATCGCTTGAACCTGGGAGGCAGAGGTTGCAGTGAGCTAAAATCACGCCACCGCACTCAAGTCCAGGCGACAGAGCAAGACTCTGTCTCAAAAAAAAAAAAAAACTTGGGAAAAAGAAACATAGATTAGAAAGGTAAAAGAATGGAAAGAGAAAGCAGAAGTGCCCTAATCTCAGTAACTGTGGAGTCTGGCAATGGGTGTGTGGAGATTCCTTATGCTATCCTCTCTACTTTTGCACATTTTAGAAAACTTTATATGGTAGGGAGATGTTATTACCATGACATAGAAAATAAGGTCCATTCTTGGTTTTTTGTTTATTGGAGTTTTTTTAAAGAGTCAGGGTCTTGTTATATGGCCCAGGCTGGAGTGCAGTGGTGCCATCACGTCTCACTGGAGCTTCCAACTCCTGGGCTCAAGTGATCCTCGCACTTCAGCCTCCCAAGTAACTAGAATCACAGCCACGCACCACCACACCCAGCTATTTTTTTTTTTTCTTGTAGAGACCAGGTCTTGCTATGCTGCCCAGGCTGGTCTTGAACTCCTGGCCTCAAGTGATCCTCCCACTTCGGCCTCCCAAAGTGCTGGGATTACAGGCGTAAGTCACCATGCCTGGCCTATGATTGTTTGTAGCAAAAGTTTAAGAGGGAAATGTGAGAAGTTAATGTACTCAGAAACTCTTATTTCCCTACTCTTAGTTTACAGGGTTGATTATTTGCTGTAGCCAACAATAATTAAAATTCAGATGCAATAAGACCAACTGGCAGGTGGGAAGACTTTTAAATAAAAGTTCTCAATTCAACCAACAAATCAGTGAGCCACATTCAGATACACAAGATAACAGAAGGAGGCAGTTGGCCACCTTCTGTCCCAAACTACCCATGCCACGGTCTTGAGTCGTTGGAAATATTTGGTAGAGCATGCTAATAACATTTTCCATAAACTCCCAGAAATCTTAGATTTGCAAAGCCAATGCAACCAGGAAATTCACATTTCTGAAATACCAGGATGCACTTGGCCGTACGGGGGACATTTGTAAAACAGAGAAAACATCCCAGTTAACAGCATCGGCAAGACACCTATCCCTGCCACTTGAATGGCAGTGCCAACTTCCTGCACATCTGGCTTGAAGGGCATTTGGAGAGATGGCAGGAAGGTGATCCCCTGTGAGTTTATGACGGCATCGTAGTTCTGGAGCACAGCAATTAAGTTAAAGACACCAGCAGCAATGTTGAGAATTCCTGAAACAACGAATGAATTGTAGGTGTCCTCCTCAAACATTCTCATGGACATGTTTCTAAGTGCAAACATGTTAAAGGCTCTCCCGAAGAATCCGAAAATGCTGGCAGTCAGTAGGAAGCGTTGAGCCATGGAAATTTCAAAAGGGAGAAAGGTGTCCTGGTAGCTGTATCGGTAACAAAATTTGGTTGTGGTGCTGTTGGTGCGACGCCGGTAAATGCAGACTCTAAATATTCCCACGCAGGCGATTCCAGGGGGGTAGAGCGAGGTGTCTTTCATGTACCATATTCGCCACTCCACGAGGCCCGTGGACGTAGAGGAGAGGATCCATCCTATGGTGGTAAGGGCGAAGACTGAAAATTGGCAGTCGGCACTGTTGCAGAACCAGACCATGGTGGCAGCGCACCCAGGAAACTACAAACAAATACAGAGCATGGTGAGCGGGGGGACCCTGGGACCTGGGACAGCCTCCCATGGGTGAGTAGCGCCAAGAGGGAGGTGTTGTATTGGAGAAAGGAGACACTAGACCCTCTAGATCTGCTGGTGGGAGTGCAGTCTGAGCAAACTTTGTGCAGGGCCGCTCCGCGATATTTCCCGAAAGCTTTAAAATGCACACACCTTCAGACTGGCAGTTCCACTTCTGGGCATTGGTGCAAAGACATGAATAAGGTCGGCCACAAATATGTAGCCACAAAGATGGTCCTCACAGCATTGCTTGTAATATTGGAAACCGGGGAACAACGTCAAGTCCAACAACAGGGCTTGGTGAAGGAATTTATGCTATGTCCACGCGATGGAGCTATACGCCAACATTGACAATACAAATGGAATCATACAAGGTATAAGAGTTTTGTGTGGCTCTTTTCACATGGCACGTTTCCAAGGGTCATCCATGTTGCAGCAGGTATGAGAAGGTTGTCCCTTTTCATTGCTGAATGGTGTTCCATTGTGTGGGTAGACCACAGTTTGTTCATTCATCAGCTTTTGGACATTTGGTTTGGTGCCATGTTTTGGCCATTATAAACTATGCTGTCATGAACACTTGAATATAAAAGTTTGTATGGGCATATGTCCTTGTTTATCTGGTGTAGATGCCTAGGAGTGAAATTGGTGGTTCATATGTTAAGTGCGCATTTAACTTTTTGTAAATTGCTCAACTGTTTTCCCACGTGGCTGCACCATTTTATATTCCCACCAGCAATGATGGAGGTTCCAGTTTCTTCATATTTTCTCCAACATTTGGTATTTTTAATGTTTTTCATGACAGCCATTCTAGTTGACATTCTGTGTGACCAAAAGGGAGGTGTCCGTAATATTTCAAATACAAATTACATGTTTCAAAATAATATGTACGATATAATCATAGATACAAATCGAACTGAAAATCTACATCCTAAGCTATTAGGAGACATTTTTAACTGGGTTTGAGAGATTCTGAGTTTTTTCTAAGCTATTTGGATTGTGAAGGGTCACACACATATAGAAAAGCACACAAGTGTGCAGCTCAATGAACGATGGTGGGGTGAACACCCATGGAGCCAGCATTTCATTTCAGATACACAATATTCCCACTTCCTTGCTTGCTTTCATAGTTTTGTCATCTCAGCATGCATCCCCACACATCTTACTTCTATTTTGCCTGTTTTTCAAAATGGGGATCATACGGTCAATGCTTTTGTGTGACTGGTTTCTTTCACGCAATGTTGTGTCCATTTATGACACTCAGATTGTAATTTTTTAAAGGTGCCTGGCTGTTCAGTATTTTCAAATATTTCTGCAATAAGCATGATTATTTAAAACAAGAAAACAATAAAAAATATTTCACAAAACAGTTGTCTCGGGAAACTTGCTTGAGCCGAGGAGTTTGAGACCAGCCTGGGCAGCATAGCAAGACCATGTCTCCAATAAAATGTTGTCAAGCAATGGAAGATTCATTAGTTTGAGTACATAAATACACTTTACTACCTAGTATATGTTAAAATGAAGCCAATCATTTATTATAATACTTTGCAGATAGTAAAGTAGAAAAAGATTTAGTAACGTGAGAAAATGTCCATGGTGGGTTGGATCTAAAATGCAGATAACAAACTCGTTAGTATCTATAGTAGTATCATCTTATTTTTGCCTATCATAAAATAGGCTGGGAAGACAAAACAAGATGCATCTGAATATTAGGATTACTGGTGATTTCTCTTTTCGTGTCTTAAGGTCTATTACTTTTTTAATTGGAAAAAATGGTGAGCATACAGAGACACAAACATAAAAGTGTATTAATTAATTATTACCAAGAGTAAGGCCAGGCATGGTGGCTCACACCTGTAATCCCAGCATTTTGGGAGGCCGAATAGGGCAGATCTCTTGAGGTCAGGAGTTTGAGCCCGGCTTTGCCAACATGGTGAAACCCCATCTCTGCTAAAAATACAAAAATTAGCCGGGCATGGTGGTGCACGCCTGTAGTCCCAGCTACTCGGGAGGCTGAGGCAGGAGAATCGCTTGAACTCGGGAGTTGTAGGCTGCAGTAAGCAGAGATAGAGCCACTGCACTCCAGCCTGGGCAACAGAGCCAGACTCCGCCTAAAAAAAAAATTATTATCAAGAGTAATAAAAACATGGCTGTCTCCTGACCCAATCTCCTATTTCTTGGAACCAATTCTAGTGGACAAATCAGAGAAGTGGGATCAAAGTGTCTGGGCACTGATGCTCACCAGGGGTGTTGTTGACACTAGGAATAAGAGAAATCTGGAGACAAGTAATATGTGAAGCAATACGGATGCTTAAGTACATTTCATAATTCCAGGTGATATAGCATACTATTCAACCATTTACAATGAAGTCTTCAAAAGCATTTTAGTGACAGGAAATTGTCACTGTTTGCTAAGTGGGAAAAGGATGCAAAAGAATGTATAAATATACATGTTGTTTTATATATATATGCGTTTGTGTGTCTCCTTGTGTGTTTGTGTTTGTGTGTGTTGTGTATTTGTCTGTGTCTCCTTGTGTGTGTTTGTGTCTCCTTGTGTGTGTTGTGTATTTGTCTGTGTCTCCTTGTGTGTGTTGTGTATTTGTCTGTGTCTCCTTGTGTGTGTTTGTGTGTGTCTCCTTGTGTGTGTGTGTTGTGTATTTGTGTGTGTCTCCCTGTGTGTGTTTGTGTGTCTCCTTGTGTGTGTTTGTGTTTGTGTGTGTGTGTGTGTGTGTGTAGTTGTATGCCCCCAGTTTTGTTTTTAAAAGACACCCACATGTATATGCAGAAAACTTTGAAAGGCTCTCCTGGGTGCTGGGAAGGGTACAGAGGAGTAGCTCACATACCTCTCCCCGACTTCCCAAGGAAGATCCACTCTGGAAAGAGACACTCATTTTTAAGTGATGAATAAAGATGGGATAAAATAGACATTGTGAGTGGAAGGAAGGAAGGAAGGAAGGAAGGAAGGAAGGAAGGAAGGAAGGAAGGAAGGAAGGAAGGAAGGAAGGAAGGGGGAGGGAGGGAGAGAGAAATGGAAGGGCAGGAGGGAGGGAGGGAGGGAAGGAGGGAGGAAGGAAAGAAAGAGTTGCTGGAGAACACTGAGGGTCTGAACTTTATCGGGGAGGCATGCTGGGGAGGGATGGGTCAGAGGTTGTTCCAGGCTGATGTCAGAAGTCCCTCCTAACGGCCGGAACATTCCTGGCGGATGCCACATTTATAGTAATCATTCTTTTTGGCAAGATATTCTTGAACAAATGATGATGATTATTATTAGAGAGAGGGTCTCTGTCTCCCAGATTGGAGTGCAGTGAAGTGATCATAGCTCAATCAGCCTCAACCTGCTGGGCAAAAACCATCCTCCCACCTCAGCCTCCCAAGTAGCTGGGACCACAGGAGTGTCCCACTACACTCAGCTAATTTCTTTCTGTATTTTTTTGTAGAGATGGGGGTCTTGTTATGTTGCCCAGGCTGGTCTCGAACTCCTGGGTTCAAGTGATCCTCCCACCTCGGCCTCCCAAAGTGCTAGGATTATAGGCATGAACCACTGTGCCTGGTTCAATAACTGCATTTCAAAATAAGTGTAATCCTGGGCACCTTGTTTTTGCATCTTTTCTGGAAAAAGGTCCGTAGGCTTCGCTAGGTATCACACAGGTTCATACACAAAAGAGATATATATCCTTTTTCGGCATATTTCGAGATGGCTCTTCAGAGAAGATGCAGACACAGGAACAGCCCTGTGTGGAGACAAAAGTGACTCCATCTTGGATGCTAATCCAGCAGTGTTGACTTTTGATTAACCCCAGTCCTGTGAAGGCCTCCTGATTCCTACTTTATTTACCGTCCTTAGTGTAAGAACATACACTCACTATAAATATAAAAATTTTTTTTGAGACAGAGTCTTGCTCTGTTGCCCAAGGCTGGAGTGCAGTGGTGTGTGATCTCCGCTCACTGCAAGCCTTCCTGGGTTCCAGCGAGTCTCCTGCGTTAGCCTCCCGAGTAGCTGGGATTACAGGCATGTGCCACCACGCCCAGCTAATTTTTTTTGTCTTTTTAGTAGAGACAGGGTTTCGCCATGTTGGCCAGGCTGGTCTTGAACTCCTGACCTCAGGTGATCCACCCTCCTCGGCCCCAAAGTGCTGGGATTACAGGCGTGAGCCATCACACCCAGCCAGCTACTATTTTAAAGAAACAAAATAACAAGTGTTGGCAAGGATGTGGAGAAATGGGATCCTTAGTACATTGTTGATGGGAATGTAAAATGGTGCAGATGCTGTGGAAAACAGTATGGCAATTCCTTAAAAAAGTAAAAAAACAGATACCACCTGATAAAGCAATTCACCTTCTGGGCATATACCCAAAAGAAGTGAAAGCAGGGTCTTGACCAGTTATTGACACACCCATGTTCATAGCAGCTCATTCACAGTAGCCAAAAGGCAGAAGCCACTCAAGTGTCCATTGACAGATGAATGGAGAAGCAACACGTGATCTATCCATACCATGGAATATTATTCAGCCTTAAAAAGGTAGGAAAATCATCCAGGCACAGTGGCTCACACCTTTAATCCCAGCACTTTGGGAGGCTGAGGTGGGAGGAGGATTGCTTGAGCCCAGGAGTTTAAGTCCAGTCTGGGCAACATAGTGAAACCCCATCTCTACAAAAATTAGCCAGGCTTGGTAGTGCACACCTATAGTCCCAGCTACCTGGGAGGAGGCTGAGGTGGGAGGATCACCTGAGCCTGGGAGTTCGAGGTTGCAGTGAGCCATGATCTCACTGCACTCCAGCCTGGGCAACAGAGCGAGACCCTGTCTCACAAAAAAGAAAAAAAGCGCCTGGTGCGTGGCTCATGCCTGTAATCCCAGCACTTTGGGACGCCGAGGTGGGTGGATCACCTGAGGTCAGGAGTTCGAGACCAGCCTGGCCAACATGTTGAAATCCTGTCTCTAGTAGAAAAAAAAAAAAAAAAATTAGCTGGGTGTGGTGGTGTGTGCCTGTAGTCCCAGCTACTCGGGAGGCTGAGGCACAAGAATTGCTTGAACCCGAGAGGCGGAGGTTGCAGTGAGCCGAGATTACACCACTGCACTCCAGCCTGGGTGACAGAGGGAGATTTCCTCTTAGAAAAAAAAAAAAAAAGAATTGCTATGTGATCCAGCAATTCCATTTCTGGGTATATACTCAAAAAGATGGGACAGCAGGGACTCAAAGACATATTTCCACACCCATGTTCATAGCAACATTATTCACAGTAACCAAAGGTGGAGACAACCCAAGTGCCCACCCACAGACAATGGAAGCCAAATGTGGTCTATACCGACACCAGAAATACGATTTCTATCCACAGTCTCAAAAAGGAAGTTCTGACACAGGCTACCACACAAACGAACCTCGAAGACATTACACTGAGTGAAAGAAGCCAGTCACAAAAGGACAAAAACTGTCTGGCTACCCATATGGGAGGTACCTGTAATAGAGAGTCAAATTCATAGACAGAAAGTAGGTGGTAGTTGCCAGGGGCTGGCGGGAACTAAAGGGGAGTTCATGTTTCACGGGGACAGAGTTTCATTTGGGGAAGATAAAAAGTTCTGGAGGTGGACAGTGGTGACAGTTACCCAACAATTACATGTACTTACTGCCATTGAACTGTACACTTAAATGGCTAAAATGGTCAATTTTATGTTACATATACTTCACCACAATAAAAAAATAAATACACAATAAAGAGGGAATGAACCTCCGCTACCTAGCGACGTGGTCTTCGCATGAACCGGTGGCTTGAGGGGAGGGCAGTCAGCTCACCTGGCCAGCGGGGCCGACATGGACACAGCTCCTCTCGGACGTCCTGCCTAGTTCTTCAGCACCGGCTTCTTGGTCCAGGCAGCTGGGAGTTCTCATCAACACGGTAGCCATGGTTTCCAGTTCTGAGGCCCTCCCTCAATGTTCTGTTCTGTTCCCACATTCCACCAGTCACCCTGCTCATCCAGGTGTCAGTCCTAGGTCCTGAGGTCGCTGCAGCCACCACCCTTTAGTTGCTTCATTTGCTTCATCATGTAGCCTCTTTTGCTCTGTCAGCCTTTGGAGGGTAGGTATGTTTGCTAATACACCTGCAGGGTCCACTCCAACATTCGTATGGGCTCCTAATTTCTCTCTCCCCACCAGCCCTAGAACTGGTGTCTAACTCATATCACCTGCAGGTAATGCTTTTTTTTTTTTTAAGACGGAGTTTCACTCTTGTCACCCAGCATGGAGTGCAATGGCGTGATCTCGGCTCACCGCAACCTCCGGCTCCTGGGTCCAAGCGATTCTCCTGCCTCAGCCTCCTGAGTAGCTGGAATTACAGGCACCTGCCACCACGCCCAGCTAATTTTTTCATATTTTTAGTAGAGATGGGGGTTTCACTATGTTGGCCAGGCTGGTCTCGAACTCCTGACCTCGTGATCCGCCCACCTCGGCCTCCCAAAGTGTTGGAATTATAGGCGTGAGCCACTGTGCCTGGCCGACATTTTTTTTTAAGCAGTGGTAATATATAAGTACAGGCGTTAGCAGAAGTGGCACCAACCTGGATGAGATTGAGTTGTGAAGGCCACTGACAACCCATGTATTAGGAAAGACACCATTAATTTTAATTTTATTTTTTTGAGACAAGGTCTCACTCTCCCCCAGGCTGGAGTACAGTGGCAAAACTGCAACTCACTGCAGCCTCAGTCAACCTCCTGGGCTCAAGAGATCCTCCCTCTTCAGCCTCTCAAGTAGCTGGGACCACAGGCACGCACTACCATGCCTGGTTAATTTTTGTATTTTTTGTAGAGATGGAGTCTCGCTTTGTTGTCCAAGCTGGTCTTCAACTCCTGGACTCGGGCGATCTGCCTGTCTCACCCTCCCAAAATGTTGGGATCACAGGAGCGAGCCACCGCGCCAGCTGGGAAAGACACTGTTAGTTCATGGGAAATGACCTTTTTCTAGCTAAGTCTTGAATTACAGGCTTGTTGGAACAGTTTCGGTAGGTAAGACAAGTGGAAGATGCGGAGTGTGTGAAACTGACCTGCTAAGACTGGGGACAGCTTCAAATGGAACCTGTGTAAGAAATGAGGCTGCCAAAAGGCAAACGATGCCAGCTACCCAGTATGTAGGACTAAACATTACATGGAAGTCAAAATCCCACCGGACTCCTTTGCTTACAGGGTTTCCATAAGAAGGAATTTATTCTGAGCAAATGAGCAGAGATGTGTGCAAAGATCTAAGTGCAAAGCACACCCAATGAACTCTGTAACTGAGGTTACAACTGGGACAAAAAGGCAAAATCCTAAAACCACACTTAGAGAACTGTTCAGTAAACCATTTTATATCCTTATAATGGGATATCACACCAAAATTCAATACTATGTTGAAGAATAATTAAGGAAAACGTTCCCAATACTGCTAAGTAAAAAGCAGATTTCGAAAATATTATTATATAATCCTGTTTCCTTAAAAAAAGCAAAAGGAAAAAGGAGACAGGGAGGGAGGAAAAGAATGGAGGGAGGGAGGAAGGGAAAGAGGGAGAGAAAGACGGAGGGAAGGAGAGAGTGAGGGGAGGAATGGGGGAAGGAAGGAAGGAAGGTGGGAAGGAGGGAGGGCAGGAAGGAAGGAAGGGGGTACGTGGCTATGTTGCCTTCCATGGCAAAACAGGCTTTGCAGCTGTGATGGAATCGAGGATCCAGATGTGGGGAGATGATCCCGGCTTATCCAGGTGGGCTAGTGTCATCACAAGGGTTCTTGTGTGAGGGAGGCAAGAGGGTCAGGGAGGGAAATGAGATGATAGAAGGAGGGTCAGGGAGAGACTGGAAGACGCTAGACTGCTGGCTTTGCGGATGGAGGAAGGGGTCGTGAGACCAGAAATGGGGTGGCCTCCAGATACTAGACAGGCAAGAAACCAATTCTCCCTGGAGCTTCCAGAAAGGAACACAGCTCTGCTCACACCTTGACTTTAGCTTGGCGTGACAGATTACAGACTTCTGACCTTCACAACTGTAATGCGTAAATGTGGCATTTTAAACCACTAAGTTTGTGGTAAATTGTTACAGCACCAATAGGACACTAACACACTGCCTATGTCTGGCTGGAGAATTCTTTTATTTTTTATTTTTGAGAGAGTTTTGCTCTTGTTGCCCAGGCTGGAGTGCAGTGGTGCAATCTCGGCTCACTGCAACCTCCACCTCCCGGGTTCAAGCGATTCTCCTGCCTCAGCCTCCCGAGTAGCTGGGATTACAGGCGCCCGCCTCCACGTCCAGCTAATTTTTTGTATGTTTAGTAGAGACGGGGTTTCACCATGTTGGCCAGGCTGGTCTCAGACTCCTGACTGGCTGGGGAATTCTATGTGATCTCTTTTGTTCTTCAGTGTCCTACAATGTGACAAGTTTATGTGCTTTTCTGCACTATTGGTTATCTTTTTTAAAAAAAAAAAAAAGCAATGCACACATGCATTTAACTACACCCTCTCCTCAAAGCCCACTAAAATGACAGAAACAGCTTAAAAGAGGCATTAACCCTCAGAGAACACAGCAGATGATTTACCAAAAAGATCCTGGTAGCAGGAAAGGTGATAGACAAATGCCAACTGGCTGGGTAGACCAGAAGGCTGAGATGCAGACCTGCCAGGAGCAAGACTCTTTGTGGTACCAGGTGCTTCTGCAGGGAGTGGGGTGTCGGCGGGGGAAGTACGGGGGACTGTCAGTAGAAATAGTGCCTGAGAATCTATATCCGATGCCCCCAATTACCCCCTTCACCGCCGCCGCCCATAATCACCAGACCACCAGTCCCCTTCTGTGGCAGAAGGCAGGAGGGCCAATCTGAACTTGGAGGGAGGTAGCTGTACAGTCTTGCTCCCACTGGGCTCCAAGTGTTTGATGAACTCCAAGTGTTGTCATATAACAGATTTTCATGTGGAGAGCAGAAATAGCCACTTCCTTTTTTTTTTTTTTTTTACAGTATTTGGAGAATTTATTTTTCTTTTTTGAGACAGGGTCTACTCTGTCGCTCAGGTTGGAGTGTAGTAGTGTGATCATGGCTCATTGCAGCCTCCAATTCCTGGGCTCCAGTGATCCTCCTGCCTCAGTCTCCCTAGTAGCTGGGAACACTGGCACATTTCACTACACCCAGGTAATTTTTTTTTTTTTTTGTAGAGACGGGGTCTCCCTATGTCTTCCAGGCTGGTCTTGAACTCCTGGGCTGAAGCGATCCTGTCACCTCGGCCTCCCAAAGTGCTGGGATTCCAGGTGTGTGCCCCCGCGCCCAGGCAGGTCTGCTATTTTAATATTTGTTTTGTTTCTTCTGGTTGTTGTTGTTGCGGCTTCCCTTCTACTGCCCTCTTTTGGGCTATCTGAGCAAGGTCGAAAGTTATCTATTGAGTTGTCTGAATCTCTTTGTACAGTTTTTAAGTGCTTGTTCTAGAGATGACAATACACAGGCATTTCATTGCCTATTTTGAAAAAACTATTTATTTATTTATTTATTTATTTATGACAGGGCGTGGTTCTGCCGCCCAGGCTGGAGTGCAGTGGCACAATCTCAGCTCACTGCAACCTCTGTCTCCTGTGCTCAAGTGATCCTCCCACCTCAGCCTCCCCAGTAGCTGGGACTACAGGTGCAGGTCACCATGCCTGGCTGATTTTTTTGTATTTTTAGTAGAGATGGGGTTTTGTCATGCTGCCAGGATGGTCTTGAACTCCTGGGCTCAAGCGATCCTCCTGCCTTGGCGTCCCAAAGTGCTGGGATCACAGGCGTGAGCAACTGTGCCCGGTCCATAGCCTATTCAGAATTAATATTTCATTACTTCCAGAGGAATGTAGCAACTTTACCACTAGGTGTGTCCTTTTCCTTGCAACCTTTAGGTTATAGCTGTCATATACATTAAGATCTACATCTCTCCCTTCTAATTCATAAATACCATTTTGGTTTCTTTTTCAATCAAACTTAGAAAAACATTGAAGAAGCCAGGTGCGGTGGCTCACGCCTGTAATCCCAGCACTTTGGGAGGCCGAGGTGGGTGGATCACCTGAGGTCAGGAGTTCGAGACCAGCCTGGCCAACATGGTGAAGCCCCATCTCTACTAAAAATACAAAATTAGCCGGGCCTGGTGGCACAGCTACTCGGGAGGCTGAGGCAGGAGAATCACTTGAACCGAGGAGGCGGAGGTTGGAGTGAGCCAAGATCGCGCCATTGTACCCTAGCCTGGGCAACAAGAGCAAAACTCCTTCTCAAAAATAAGAAAAAAAAATTGAACATGCTTTTCTTATATATGCTAAAAAGTTGACAACTGTTATGGACTGAATGTTTGCCCCCCTTATCCCCTAACTAGATGTTGAAATCCTAACCCCAGTGTGCTGGTATTAGGAGGTGGGATCTTTGGGAGGTAATCAGGTCATGGGGGCAGAACTCCCCATGAATGGGATTAGCGCCCTTATAAGAAGAGGCCTGAGAGCTACTTTGCTCTCTTTCCACCATGTGAGGATACAACCAGGCCAACAACCCGGTTCTCACCAGAACCTGACCACAGGGGCACCCTGATCTTGGATTTCCAGCCTCCAGAACTGTGAGAAATCAATTTCTGTGTTGTTTATGATTCACTCAGTCTATGGTACTTTGTTATAGAAGCCTGAACGGATTAAGACAACATGTAATATTTGCTAATAGTTTGAGTCCTTTGAATCAATTTAAGAAGAAAGGCTCATGCCAGTAATAGTTTAAAAAGTACTCTAATTCCAAATATCCGTTCTACAGGCGATAGTTTAAGACTGAAAATTCTGCACGAGCAGAATAATGTAAACAAAATATTCACACTCAGGGTTTTTCGTATTTGAAACTCTCCCTGCATGCTATATTCTTTTTTTTCTTCTTCCTTTGATTAGAATGGGCCACAAAAAATAAATAAATAGGGCCGGGCGCGGCGGCTCACACCTATAATCCCAGCACTTTGGGAGGCTGAGGTGGGCAGATCACAAGGTCAGGAGATTGAGACCATCCTGGCTAACATGGTGAAACCCCGTTTCTACTAAAAATACAAAAATTAGCTGGGCGTGGTGGCACGTGCCTGTAATCCCAGCTACTCAGGAGGCTGAGGCAGGAGAATCACTTGAACCTGGGAGGCGGAGGTTGCAGTGAGCCAAGATCGCACCATTGCACTCCAGTCCGGGTGACAGAGCAAGACTCCATCTCAAAAATAATAATAATAATAATAACAACAATAATAATGATTAAATTAAAAAAAATAAATAACAAAAAAAGGGTAACACATCTCCCCAGTTTTGTTCATAGGCCAGTATTTATATATGATCGGATATGAACAAGGACGTCAGTCTTCTGGTAGAATGTTTAGCTGTTTAAGTATATCCAGTTGAGTAATCAAATGTCATTGGTATAAAAATAAATTCCTCTCTGAAGAAAAAGTTTAAAGTTTAGAACTTAGGAAATGCCAGAGAAAACAAAGAATTTTTAGAAACATTTTTTCCTACATATTCTTGAGCTCTCTTTAAATGCCTACATAATGAGCTGTAATAGAGCAAAAATGTCTAAAAATTCCTTCACAGGACGTGTTTGCTCTAAATCAACTCACTATTGAGATAGGGCAGCTGGATGTACTTGTGTCAAGTCAGTGGAGAAACACTCCAGGCTTACGATGGAGTCGCCACCACCAGGCTGGGGATCTCGATGTGTACATCTTAATCTCTGGATCCTTTCGACACCCAGTTCTCATTCGCTTAACTTTCCCTTTTCAAAAGCAAAATTAATATGTAGGCTGGGCAGGGTGGCTCACACCTGTAATCCCAGTACTTTGGGAGGGTCGTTTGAACCCAGGAGTTCGAAACCCATCTGGACAACATAATGAAACTCCATCTCTACAAAAAAATAGAAAAATTAACCAGGTGAGGGACGCACGCCTGTAGTCACAGCTACTTGGGAGGCAGAGACGGGAGGACTGCCTGAACCCAGAGAGATCGAGGCTGCAGTGAGCTGTGACTGTGCCACTGCACTCCAGCCTGGGCAATAGAGTGAGGTCCTGTCTCAAAAAAAAAAATACACACACACACACACACACACACGCACAGATATGTAGGTGAAATCCTATGAAAAGAGAGAACACAGGGAGAAGGCAAAATTATCATGTAGGTAAAAAACTCTTGAACGGGGCAGTTTTGTGGTTTGTAATATCCATCTTTGCTTTCCTAAATATAGAGCAATTGCTGCAAGGCTGGTCTCACTAAAAGAGCTTTATAAAATTGATGGTATGAGGTTTAGTGACAGTAGGGCACGTTACAACTTATAAAATGCTTTTCACACATCTTTGACTGAAATGGATCACAAAAATAGCATAGCAAGACGCCAAGGGAACTCATCCATCCAGGGGGCCACAGATCTTTAGGGAGAGCTGGCTTTCAGCTCACCACATCAAGGATGCTGCTTGCCCTTGGGGGCTTCTTCTGAGCCAGATGAGGCTCCTGGCATTCCAGTCACCTTTGCTGTCTCAGCACTCCCTTTCCTGCCTTCAGAGCAAAGATCCAACACTCAAAGAGCACAGGGGTTTGAGGATACCCTCAACAAACATTTGATGAAAAAACAAATGTGTGCAGAGGCACCTGGGTATACGCTCTACACACAGAAAGATGATATCCAGATATGTTAAAGCAACTCAGCAAAGCAAGCAGCGATTATATCAACTTCGAACCCTGACATGAAACTTGGATGACACCACACGTCAAACAGTGTTTTAAGGGGCAAGAGTATGTACAGGGATTTGTAAAAAACTTCCTCTTTGCCTGATGCACATGTATAAAAAATAAATGTTTTAACATCCCTTTGAAGTCCTTCATGCACACTGTATGATATGGTTTGGATTTGTGTCCCCACCCAAATCTCATGTTGAATTGTTATCTCCAATGTTGGAAGAGGGGCCTGGTGGGAGGTGATTGGATCATGCGGGTGGATTTCTCCCTTGCTGTTCTCATAATAGTGAATTCTCATGAGATATGGTTGTTTAAAAGTGTGTAGCACCTACCCCTTCTCTTTTCTTCCTCCTTCTCTGGCCATGTAAGACATGCGGGCTTCCCCTTTGCCTTCTGCCATGATTGTAAGTTTCCCGAGGCCTCCCCAGCCATGCTTCCTGTACAGCCAGCAGAACTGTGAGCCAATTAGACCTCTATTCTTTATAAATTACCCAGTCTCTGGTAGTTCTTTATAGGAATGCGAGAATGAATTAATACAGAATTATATCAATACCCCAGGAATGGGGTATTAATATAAAGATACCTGAAAATGTGGAAGCAGCTTTGGAACTGAGTAACAGGAAGAGGCTGGAACAGTTTGGAGGGCTTAGAAGACAGGAAAATGAGGGAAAGGTTGGAACTTCCTAGAGACTTGTTAAATTGTTGTGAGCAAAATGCCAATAGTGATACAGACTATGAAGTCCAGGCTGAGGTTGTCTCAGATGGAGATGAAGAACTTATTGGGAACCGAAGCAAAGGTCACTTTTGTTATGTGCTAGCAAAGAAGTTGGAGGCATTATGCTCCTGCCCCAGAGATCTGTGGAACATTGAACTTGAGAGAAATGATTTAGGGTATCTGGCAGAATAAATTTCTAAGCAGCAAAGTGTTCAAGATGTAACCTGGCCGCTTCTAACAGCATATGGTCCTATGCATGGGCAAAGAGATGATCTGAAACAGGAACTTATATTTAAAAGGGAAGCAGAGCATAAAAGTTTAGAAAATTTGCATCCTGACCATGTGGTAAAAAAGAAAAACTAATTTTCTGGGGAGAATTCAAGCTGGCTGCAGAAATTTGCATAAGAGGAGCTGAATGTTAATAGCCATGACAATGGGGAAAATCCATCCAAGGCATTTCAGAGACCTTCACGGCAGCCCCTCCCATTATTGGCCCAGGGACCTAGGAGGGAAAAATGGTTTTGTGGGCCAGGCCCAGGGCTCCTGCTGCCCTACATATTCTCAGGACACTGCTCCCTGTGTCCCAGCTGCTCTAGCTCCAGCGTTGGCTAAAAGGGCCCCAGATGTGTCTCAGGCCGCTGCTCCAGAGGGTGGTAGCCATAAGCCTTGACAGCTTCCATGTGGTGTTAAGCCTGCAGGTGTGCAGTGGGCAAGAGTTGAGGCTTGGGAGCTGCTGCCTAGATTTCAGGGGATGTATGGAAAGGCCTGGAAATCCAGGCAGAAGTCTGCTGCAGGGGCAGAGCCCTCATGGAGAACCTCTGCTAGGGTAGTGCACAGGGAAAATGTAGGGTTGGAGCCCCCCAACAGAGTCCCCAGTGGGGCACTGCCTAGTGGAGCTGTGAAGAAGGCCACTGTCCTCCAGACCCCAGAATGGTAGATCCACTGGCAGCTTGCACCATGCACCTAGAAACGCCATAGGCACTCAACGCCAGCCCTTGAGAGCAGCCATGAGAGTTGAGCCCTGCAGAGCCACAGGGGTAGAGCTACCCAAGGCCTTGGGAACCCACCTCTTGCATCACTATGGCATGGATGTGAGACATGGAGTCAAAGGAGATTATTTTGGAGCTTTAAGATTTAATGACTGCCCTGTTGGGTTTCGGACTTGCATGGGGCCTGTAGCCCCTTTGTTTTGGCAGATTTCTTCATTTTGGATTGGGATTATTTATCCAATACCTGTACCCCCACTGAATGTTGGAGGTAACTTGTTTTTTATTTTACAGGCTCATTGGTGGAAGGGACTTGCCTTCTCTCAGATGAGACTCTGGACTGTGGACTTTAGAATTAATGCTGGAATGAGTTAACACTGGGCAACTGTTGAGAAGGGACGATTGTACTTTGCATTGTGAGAAGGACATGATTTGGGAGGGGCCAGGGGCAGAATGATATGGTTTGGATTTGTGTCACTGCCCAATTCTCATGTTGAATTGTAACCCCCAATGTTGGAGGAGGGGCCTGGTGGGAGGTGACTCAATCATGGGAATGGATTTCCTTCTTGCTGTTGTCATGATAGTTCTCATGAGATCTGGTTGTTTAAAAGTGTGTAGCACCTCCCCCTTCTCTCTCTCCCTCCTGCTCCAACCTAGTGAGACGTGACTCCTTCTTCACCTTCTGCTATAACTGTAAGTTTCCTGAGGCCTCCCCAGCCATGCTTCCTGTACAGCCTGTGGAACTGTCAGCCAATTAAACCTCTTTTCTTTATGGATTACCCAGTCTCAGGTAGTTTTTTGTAGCAATGCAAGAACAAACAAATATACCATATTATAATTTTCTGGTAAACAGAGAAAGAATATTAATAACTATATCTGTATGAATACATCAACAAGAGAATAAGTGAACTATATGCCCAGGAAATGGCTTTTGCATCTTTTCTGTGAACACCTAAGAGCAGACAGATCATCTGGAAGGCTCTTAGGAAGGCTATGTTGGGTGAGGTGCCTATTTTCTCCCAGTGTGTGATTAAGAACATTTTCAAACAGCAAAGTTGAAAGGATTTTACAGTAAACACCTGTATACTCACCACCAAGTTTCTGCCATTAGTGTTTTACTGTGCCTATCACGTATCAATACACCTATTCATCTCTCCCCACCCATTCACCCATCTTATTTTTTATGCATTTCAAAGCAAATTGCAGACATCAGTATATTCCTCCCTAAACACATCAGCCCGCATAGCATGAAGTGCAGTTCAATATTTATTTTTTCCTTCTCTCGTAAAATGCACAAATCTTAAGTACATGATGGCTGGATTCTGACAAAAGCCAACACCTGTGTAACCCATGCCCCTATCCATTTGCAGAACATGAACTTCACCCCAAGTACCCTGTGCACACCCCCACCTCTGGAGACAACTATGACTTTGATATTTTCTACCACAGACAATTTGGCCCATTCTAGAACTTCACATAAACGAAGTCTTGCAGCAGGCACTCTTCTTACCTGAGCCGTCTCCCACTTGGCACAGTGTTTCTTAGATGCATTCTTATATTTTGTGTGCTTCAGTAATTCATGCCTTTGTATTTCTGAGCAGTATTCTATTGTACATAGTAGACTATCATTATTTATTCTCCTACTGATGAACATCGGAGCTGTTTCCACTTTTTGACTATTAGAAAACATTAGACCGAATCACAGAACCTGCTCTAATTTACAGCCCAAAGTTTAACAAGAGGTTAAACATATAAATTAAGATATGACCATCATAAGGCCAGGCGCGGTGGTTCACGCCTGTAATCCCAGCACTTTGGGAGGTCACGGTGGGTGGATCACTTGAGGTCAGGAGTTCAAGACCAGCCTGGCCAACATGGTGAAACCCCATCTCTATTAAAAATACAAAAATTAGCTGAGCATAATGGTGGGCACCTGTAATCCCAGCTACTTGGGAGACTGAGGCACAAGAATCGCTTGAGCCAGGGAGGTGAAGGTTGCAGTAAGCTGAGATCACGCCACCGTACTCCAGCCCGGGCGACAGAGCGAGACTCCATCTCCAAAAAAAAAAAAAAAAAAAAAAAAAAAAAAAAAAAATCTGACAATCATAGACAGAAAGGGAGTTTAAACAAACACAAGAAAACACATATAAACCCATCCCTGGGCTGCAGTGACTTATACCTGTAATCCCAGCACTTTGGGAGGCCAAGACAGGAGCATGGCTTGAGGCCAGGGGTTTGAGGCCAGCCTGGGGAACACAGCAAGATGCTGTCTCTGCAAAAATAAAAAATTAGCCAGGTGTGGTAGAGAGTGCGCCTATAGTCCCAGCTACTTGGGAGGCTGAGGTGGGAGGATCACTGGAGCCCTGGAGTTGGAGGCTGCAGTGAGTCATGATCGCACCACAGCACTCCAGCCTGGGCGACAGACAGAGAAAGGCTGCGTCTTTTTTTCCAAGTGTTTTCCCATAACCCTGACTGCCTAACCTTCAGGTCTCACAAATCTGCTCCCTAGCAGAAACACTTCTAATCCTACCAAATAAAAGAAATCAACCGTTATCTACCTCTCGGGTGGTTCTGGCGGGCGATCTATTCTGACTACAGGGACAGTGTTTCCTCCAGGTGCACAACAGGATAAGAGCCGTATTCACAGCTTATGCAGCCGTGCTGTGAACCAAGCATGGCGTCTAAGCACACCAACATTTATCAACTCACTTGACCTCACAGCAGCCCATCTCCAATTACGAGAGAGGAGCTGGGGCTCACAGAGGCTGGGTTACTTGCTGTGGCCACACAACTAGCAGTGACAGAGGTGGCTTTGCTCCAGGCAACTTGACTCCGTGGTCCCAGCCACTTTGGTGCCACTCCATTATCAGTAGACACGAGGAGGCGGGCGAGATGGAGCCCATGGACAGCCCCAGTTCTTCATCCCTCCCTGTGTCCACACTCTGCCATGTGAATTTACGGTTCCTCCACTAAAAGGTGGAGCCTGTTCCACACCCTTTGGTGCCGGGGTTGGCCAGGAGATGTGCTTTGCCAGAAGAAGGTTAGCAGGTATGACAGGACAAAGCCAGGAGAAGCCCCTTTGTGACAGGGTGTGTTGTCTTGTGCCCCTGCCATGAACACATCCAGCCACACGGCTGGTCCCATGAGGAAGAGGAGAGGCACACAGCACAGAGCCCAGCCCGAATTAGCTCATCTACAAATTCATGAGCTAAGTCAATACTTTGTTGCACAGATTATTGCTGACATTTTACAGTTTGTTACACAGCATTACTGGGGCACCAGCTAAGTGATGCGACCTGGTCCCTGTTTCCTCACCACAAACCGACTAGTGTAAATAAATTACACACATATAATCAATCCCACGGTTTACTCAGATGGCTTAAGAATCTGACGTATGGTGAGGACATTCTTTTTTTACAAAAGCTGTAAAGTAGGTAAATCAAAGACATCTCCATTCACTTGAAGAGACACTATTTATTTTGTTACAGTCAAGCAGGATGATCTGTTGATAGGTGAGTGGTAAGTGTCGAGCATGAAATCTACACACATTTGCTGTGGTGGACTGAAGGATACAAGCCACAGGCCACCCCCCATAGGCAGAGCCCTCCACAGCCACACTACAAGAGGGCGAAGGAGCAGCTGCCACCCAACAACACCAGGGCCAACCATTAGCACCAGATTGATTTTCTATGAATAATACAACTAGATACAGAGTTATGGATGTTGACTCACTAGAATCTTTGGGTCCCCACTAACCAGACGTTTCAGAGGCAAACAGGGGAACTGACAGGACAGCTGGCTCTATGTGCTTTGCTACAAGGATACTCGAGCACGACGTATTGCTGTGTAGAAGAGAAAGTCCTAAAAAGACATCAAAAGGCTGAGTACAGACACCAATTGGATTATTCACATTTTACACACATATCATCAAAATGACCACAATACTGTATTTGAGGGCAAAGAATAACAGGTAAAAGCTCTGCCAAACAAAATACTCTGAAATTCCTTGGGTCGTCTCCCCGAGGGAGAAAGATGGGGGTAAGTGCACAGCCAGCTTCACCTTTTCAGACTGACCAGCATTCACGCAAGTGACTACCAGCTGGAGAGGAGGAGGAAGCTTCGCTGGCAGAACAGGGATTTTTCAAGTTAGCAAGAGCTTAATTTAACAGGAATACACACTTTTGGAAAGACATTTATCCTTTTGGCATTGGTAGGCTGCCAAAAAGGCGGTTTATTGCCTGCATCATTGAGCTTGCCAGTTTGGACTTGGCTCTATAGAGAATGCATTACCGTCAACACGGCCCCTCTGGCTCAGGAAGTGTGGATTCTAGTCTTTTAAGACATCTGTGTGTGTGCATCTGTGCACGCGCACGCGTCTGCTTTGGTAAGGCTGTGGTCACTGCTGCTGACAAAATGAAATCTCCATTCCACTGGAAAACTTCTTTTATGGGAATAAGGGGAAGTCAGGGTTAAAATGATCCGTTGATCCAACAAATGCCCTAATACGACCTAAACACGAAGTCACCCAAGGGATTCACTCACCATTAACATGCATTTAATTAAACATTTTTTGAAGAAATACACTGAATCTACAATTATTAGATAAAAATAAGTAAGTTATAAATTATAACCAAGCCATCGGCGGCTGAACGTCTTTTCGTGTGCTTGTTTGCCACGCGTGTATGCTCTTTGGTGAAGTGTCTATTCAAGTCTTTTGCCTGCTTTTCACTTGGGCTGTTTGTTTTCTTACTATCCGGTTTGAGAGTTCTTTGTACATCCTGGACACAAACCTTTTGTCAGATACACGATTTGCAAATATTTTCTCCCAGTCTGTGACTTGTCAATTGGGAACTGACAGCATGACAGTGTTTTCTTTTAACAAACCAGGCTCTCTTTAGAATCCTGCCATTTCAATCAAGGAAATGGGCATAGAATCTTTAAACTTCATGGCAGAAAAAGATCAAGCTCAGGAGCTGTGTAGTCCACGGGACCTCTGAAGAGGAAGGGGTCTTCCCGTCCATGGAATGTGGCCCTCATGCCATGCTAAACGATTTAAGGAGGAAACAATGGAAAAGTAGCCAATTATCACGGACAATCATATGCATACAAAATACATGGGGGGAAAGTAACTGAAAAAATCTTCTGTTGGTCTTGAGAAACAGCTAACAAGCACATTACTACTGGACACGCTCTTAACCAAAAAATTTTACTTTGCAGAACAACTGTGATGTGAGGTGAGAAGGACTAAAGCTATTTGCCTGCTTGGTGCGTGACTGTGTTTTTTAAAGCATGCACGTTATTTCTTTAAGTGGCAATTTAATCTGAGAATGAGTGAACCCAACCACACAGGTGGTTCCTTTCACAGTTGGTTTTTAACCATTAGGAAACTATTCACCCTTCCAAAAAGTTAATAAATTATCATCATCATGATGATGATTTCTGCTGGGTCAGAGAACATCATTAGATAACAGAGACAAATGCTCACACTGTTGAACGAGCAGGGACAAAACCTGGCAGCCCATGCCTGGATGAATGACAAGAGAAGATGAGCACCAGGGTCCCCCTCTCATGCACGTCATGACGCGCTGGCTGCTGTCCAAGCAGTTGGCTCAGCATCTGAAGACGGGAGGAACAACGGGTTTCCCACTGACAGTGACCACTCGGCAGGCACCACAGGCCCAGCCCACAGCCCATGCAGTGGAAACTCACATCCAGCAGAGCCTGGTGTCAGGTGTAGTTATGTGTAAAGGAAAATGGCTCTCAGCAATCAAAGGGGAAACTAAAAAATTAAATAAATCATCCCACACAAACACAAAAGTTATTGCTTTTATAACAGCCTCTTTGCTATGGGAGAAGTCTCTTTCCAGGCCATGAACACAGATGGGGTCTTCACGAGTATCCTTGGGAACGGAGCTGGAGCTCGGAGGCCCCGTGCCCCTCCTCCACCGGGGACTGGTCTCTTATTTGCCCCTTTCGGGCTGAAGGCTGTCCAATAAGCACTTCAGCTGCTCTTCACCAAGGTGGATTTTATCTTCCAGCTCCCGCTGCTCGATGATGAGGGCCGACTTCATCTTCACGAAGTGCTCATAGTCCGCGAGGCTCTCCTCGCTCAGATAGTTGGCCAAAATGTCAAAGACGATGCGCTCGCGGCGGTCCAGGTTCTCCTTGAGCTCCTTGGCGTCCTCGTGCTGCTGGATCAGGACTCTCTGCTTCTCAAGCAGTGATTGCTGTTGACAGACAAACAAGCCTGTTGAGGACCAGGATGAAAGCTGGGGCACTGGCCAACCCTTGAAGACACTGGCAACTTGTGGGCTGGTCCCACAACTTATCGATGGAAACCCTGATGCCACCAGAGATCCGATGGGGTCCACACAGACAAACCCAGGGCCCAGGGCCTGGGGGCATGTGTCTCATGGTTGCAGCGGGCCAGCCTGAGGCCCCCAGAAGCCGCCCACAGGCCTCTCTGGGTTTCCTCTTGCTGTCTGAGCCTGACTCTCTCCCACCTGCCTCGAATGGTGAGCAGAAGAGTCACCAAGGGACTCACAACGACAGAATTCTGAGATGCTGCAAAGGGCAAAGGACTGCGGGGCCCTCTTGGCGTCAAGGTCCGCTCCATGGGAACACCGTGGGACAGCTGGCCACATGGGTGGACTCGAGAGGAATTCAGGGTAGGCTTACTAAATGCTCCTGGCAGGAGGAGGAGAAGCCCCCGAGCCTGCAGAGCATATCTGCACACAAGGAAGCCTGAGGGTGGAGAAGACGCAGTGCTGTGCACGGGTGTCGGCCAGCAGCCCCCTCGGGCACGGTGCCACCCTGACCTAGCTAGTTCCACGACACAGTTACTAAGCACTCGGCTGAGTGCAGAAGGGCACCGTCTCCAAGCCCAGCGCCAGGACAGCGTTCTGCGTGGCCCAAATCACCCTCACCTGGAGAAAGGGGAAGGGTGCTTCTTCTGCTCCCCTTCTGAGAGAGGTTAAGATGTTTTATTCATGATACAGATGAACATTCTGAAGGCCTGTTCTGTGCAAACAAAACTAGCTGTTTTACTGATATTTGGCCTATGAGGTAAAAGCCAACGAGGCAGCTATTATTTCTCTTGGTTCATATGTGAAAGGACGAAAAGACAGACCCACTGAGAAACGCCTTGAAGTTAGATGCACTGTCTGCTTCCTTCTAGACTGATACATGCCCTCTTGTTAAATCACAGCTACAACCACCACAAGAAAATAGCTATCATTGAGTACTTACGATCGTCAGCAGGCAGGCATGTCTGTTACGGACTTATACATGGTAAAAGAAAAGTAAAAACAACAACAACATGATTTTTCTAAGAAGAGACAATTATCAGTAAGAGTCAATAGGAATATCTAAAAAGATGTTAAAAAGAGGTAACAGTTCTTTGAGAAGATCCCGCAACCCTGCAGTCCAATGACGGTTCAACTCCCTGCATCTGATAAGCACCTTTTCCCCTCAATTAAAAGGAAGGAGGCCAGGCACAGTTGCTCACACCTGTAATCCCAGCACTTTGGGAGGCTGAGGTAGGCGGATCACTTGAGCTCAGGAGTTCCAGACCAGCCTGGCCAACATAGTGAAATCCCATCTCTACCAAAAAAATACAAAAATTAGCCAGGCATGGTGGCATGCACCTGGGAGCTCAGCTACCCGGGAAGCTGAGGTGGGAGAATCTCTTGAACCTCGGGAGGCAGAGGCTGCAGTGAGCCGAGATCGCACCACTGCACTCCAGCCTGGGCAACAGAATGAGACCCTGTCTCAAACAAACAAACAAACAAACAAACAACTAAAGAAATATAAAAGGAAGGAGAGGGTATAGAGCGTGCACTGTCTCGACAAGGTCTGCAGGAGGAGGTGGACAGGCCATGTGGAAGCTATGCTAGGCTCCAAGGAGCTGACTTTCACGACACTTGAAAAACAGCCTTCCCACGAGACCACCCCCCATTTCCAAGTCAGACGTATCTGCATTTACCCGATCACCGGGAGAAGCGCCGTCGTCCAAATTATTGAGGGCATTCTCCACCCGGGCCAGGCGGCCTGACAGCGACAGCAGGAGGTTCACCACTTTGTCCAGGTCTCCAATGAACATCCGGAACTTGTCAAACTCGCTGGGCTTGCAGACGCCTTTCACGATGGCCTCCACCTCGGCCCCCAGCACGGTGTTGGCCTGCACGTCCTCCAGCAGGCTCTCGCGGGCCTCCCGGAGCACCTGCAGCTTGCGGCTGATGCTCTCGATGAGCTCCTGCTGTTGGGCACGGGATGGCAAGGGAACACGGAGACACTGGTTAGGCCGGCCCCCACCCCGGCCACACTGCTCACTGCCACCTTGGCGCACCTACGTGAAAGGTGCAGCTGACCTGCGTGAAAGCTCACTTTTGCATCACCAAATAATAGGGGATTTATACGACTAAGGGAAAGAAGAATGACTCCTAATGGCACTATTGGCATTTAAAAATAAAATAAACCTGTTCTCGTTCTGTTCATGCCCTATTAGAGAACGTCGGAGTTGTGGCCCCGATGCTCGTCATGGTAGATGCAGTTTCAACCCATATCTTTGGAAGGAGTCACAGACCTATGTATTCTGTCCTTTGGAATTTTCTAATTTAAAGATTCACATAGAGAGAAAGTAGTGAGTCTTATGTCCAGCACCAAATTCCGTGATTAGTTATGTGTCCTGTACATATAATTATTGTCACTAGCAATTATTTTTATTTATTTAATTTTTATTTTTGAGACAGGGTCTTGCTCTGTTGCCCAGGCTGGAGTGCAATGGCCTCCCGGGTTCAAGCAATTCTCGTGCCTCAGCCTCCTGAGTAGCTGGGATTACAGGCGTGCACCACCACACTTGGCTAATTTTTGTATTTTTAGTAGAGATGGGGTTTCACCATGTTGGCCAAGCTGGTCTTGAACTCCTGACCTCAGGTGATCCACCCGCCTTGGCCTCCCAAAGTGCTGGGATTACAGGTGTGAGCCACCGGGCCTGGCCTAGCAATTAAAATTTTAATTGCTAAAGAGAAAAAAAAAGAAAAAAAATTTTAATTGCTAATACTAGCATATAAAAATTAAGACCAATAAAGGGATACGAATGAACTTAACAGTCTTTTACTATAACCTACTGATTTCAACTTGACCAAAATGCAAACAGATGACTGTTTTCAAAATTGTAGTAAAATATATGTAACATAAAGCTTGCCATCTTGACCACTTTTCAGAGCATAGTTCTGTGGTGTGTGGTACATTCATGCTGCGATGCACCTGTCACCACCATCCGTCTCTAGAACTCTGTCATCTTCCCCAACTGAAACTGCGTAACTATTAGACACTAACACTCTATGCCCTTTCCCACCAGCCTTCTAAATGATGACCTTTTTTCTACTTGTTTAGAGAAGCGGTCTTGCTATGTTGCCCAAGTTGCAGTGCAGTGGCTACTCACAGACATGATCATAGTGCACTACAGCCTCAAACTCCTGGCTTCAAGTGGTCGTGCCCTGATTCCATAATCTATGGGTAAAATGACCAGCCGGATGAGCATTAGGCAGGAAAAGTCAACCCCACAGCAGGAGAAACATGTGCCAGATACGAGGCAGCCTATTTCCTGATTGCGTGAGGTCTTTCCCTCACATGGATGCATTTATTTTATTTTATTTTATTTTATTTTTTGAGACAGGGTCTCACTCTGTTGCCCAGGCTGGAGTGCAGTGGCATGATCACCACTCACTGCAGCAGTGACCTCCTGGGCTCAACCAATCCTCCCACCTCAGCCTCCTAAGCAGCTAGGACCATAGGCATGCACCACCACACCCAGATAATTTTTTTATTTTTGTAGAGACGGGGTCTCTCCATGTTGCCCAGGCTGGTCTTAAACTTTTACCTGCCCAAAGCAAGATCTAATCTTCCCCAACCTTTCCATAAAGAAATCCTCCACCGCCTTGAATGAATGCAGGTCTTAAGATCCCCATATTCCTGAAGGGTCCTGCGGCACACCTAGGGGGAAGGAACGCTACACAGAGAGGCCAACAAGAATCTCAACAGGCAGACCTTGTGGCTTTCTCCTCGGTCTGTTAGGACTGGATTGTAGTCTTTTTGTCCAATCACATTTCTACACAGATTTCTATCAGGCCTATCCAATGAAGGCTCCATAAAAGGCCCAAGAAGACGGGGCTGGAGACTTCCTGACAGGTGAAGACAAGAAGGTTCCTGGAGGGTGGAGCACCCAGGGAGGGCATGGAAGCTCTTCCGCACCCCTTTCCCCATGCCTCGCCCTACACATCTCTTCATGTGTATCCTTTGTAACATTCTTTATCATAGATGTAAATGTTTCCCTGAGTTCTGTGAGCCACTCTAGCAAAGTAATGGAAACTAAAGAGGGGGTCATGGGAACCCCAACTTGAAGGTGGTTGGTCAGAAGTCCCTGAGACTCAGACTTGCGACTGGTGTGTGTGGGGGGTGCAGTCTTGGGGACTGAGCCCTCAACCCGTGGGATGAGACGCTACCTCCAATTTGACAGTGTCACATCTGAACTGAATCAGAGGCCACCCAGCTGGTGTCTGCTGCAGAAGTGACTGCTCGCTGGGTGTGTGGGAAACCCCCCTCACACATGTGGTCACCGAAGTCTTCTGTGTTGGTTGCTGTGGCGTGAGAGCAGAGGAAAAGTGGTTTGTGCCTTTTCCTACTCACTACCTATCTGGAGAGACTGTTTAAGTTGAGAATCTCACAGCTGAGAATGTGGCCAAATTTTAGATAGTCATCACTTGAGGGAAAAGCACAAAACAGGAAACAGGCATGAAGAACTTCCCAAATTCCTGATACCAATGCTAGCCTGAAGGAAGACTGCAAGCAATGCAGGGAACTGTGGATAAGGAAGGACGCCCGCCAGGGCTGCTCAGGAATTTTTTTTTTTTTTTTTTTTTTTTTGAGACGGAGTCTCTGCTCTGCCACCCAGGCTGGAGTGCAGTGGCGCTATCTCAGCTCACTGCAAGCTCCGCCTCCCAGGTTCACGCCATTCTCCTGCCTCAGCCTCCCGAGTAGCTGGGACTACAGGCGCCCGCCACCACGCCTGGCTAATTTTTTGTATTTTTAGTAGAGACGGGGTTTCACCATGTTAGCCAGGATGGCCTCGATCTGCTGACCTCGTGATCCGCCCACCTCGGCCTCCGAAAGTGCTGGGATTACAAGCGTGAGCCACCGCGCCCGGCCGCTCAGGAAATTTTCAGTGCCATTATTCTTCAGCAATTACGGAAATGTAGATTTTATACTGGTGCATGAACATGTGCCCTCAAAACCTACCTCAGCTGAGCTAATTTGAAACTGGGCTCTCTGAAAGGAGTCCAGATTTCTTTATTGGTTCTTTTACATGTCATATGCAAATTTTTATTGAAACCATTTCCCCTTTGTTAAAGGGCCATTGTATAAAGAACAGCCGTTGGCTTTCAAAGATTTCTGAGACAAGACCTGGCCTGGGACAGTGAACAGATCAGTGGCTGTCCACACCACCCAGGGTGCTGAAGGGCTCACCACTGTGGTCCATACTGTCTGGCAGGCCCATCTGCTATTTCTTGCAGTGCGTGGCTTTCCAGGAGGCTCAGGTAAGAGCCTGCAACAGTAGAGACCAGGCACACAGCCACTCTCATCCCTCCACTAAGAATGAGCCCTGGGCCATTCATTCCCTTCCTCCACCTTTTGTTCCCTTCTATAGGGGAAACAAGGTCTATTCTGTCTGGGCCCTGCACTCACCTCCTGGTTCCAGGGAAAAGCCATAATTCTCAAAGATTCTAAACTTAAACCAATCAGCTATCTGGTTCAACTCAACATGGTGCCCTCTTTTCTGGGCAGAGTCCTTCTGAGCTGCCCCAAGTATAAAACCATATCTTGTCATCTCTGCGTGATGCTTCTCTACCAGCCACCAGAGCCCCCTGCTGCCTCCCTGCCTGGGGCTTCCACTCTCTCAACTCTGTCCTTAGTCTTCTCCTAAAACAGAGGGTTCCCTGATTTGGCTCTCAGCTCTATGACCACCTAGCAATGCTGTGACTGAGACAACTGTGGTCGCCCTGGGAATGTTGGAAGCCTACGGAATTAGGGTCTCATATGTTCCCCTGAAGCAGCTACAGAGCAGGTGGCCTGCTAAGTCCCCATCTGCGCTATGCTCGCTTCCTCCCTGAACACGCCTCCGCCTGTGCACGCGTTGCAGGAATGTGCGACATCATAAGCGTGTGGCTGCGGGAAAGCAGGGAGAAAATGTAATGCAGCAGTGGCCGCTTTGTCCAATCAAGCAGGAAAACAGGACCGCTGAGTCATCAGCACCATAGAGAGCTGGGATGTACAGCATGTGCTTCTGGTGCAGGTGCCCAACTCACACTTGCTGAACTAAAGTGAGGCCAACTTCCAGCCCACAGTGACTCACTCAGTTCCGGAGCCACACTTCTGGTGAGGCGGCTTCCCAGCATCTCCAGCCTCCCAAAGCAGGTGGACAGAGTGCCCCACAGATGAGGGCGGCAGAATCAAGGCATGCCGCTTCTGAAATTCATTATATCATGAAAAACAAAGGCATGCGAGCAAAGAATGCAGTTCTCTAAACCTAGGGTGTGACCCAAATTCAAATGGTCCAGATGGTATGATTTTCCTGGTTCTGTGTGGAAAAACCGAACATGTTTTGGATTCTTTATTATTTTTTAAAAGAGGAATGTGCAACCAGAATGAAGCGAATGGTACCGTGTGCCAGATGGAGGGCCCGTAAAAGCCCCAAGACCTAAACCCTTAATTTTCATTTCCCTTTTTAATACCTTGAACCAAAAAGTTACCATCTTCCAGCCCGGAAGCAGTGGCTCACGCCTGTAATCCCAGCACTTTGGGAGGCTGCGGTGGGTGGATCACTTGAGGTTCGAGACCGGCCTGGCCAACATGGTGAAACCCCATCTCTACTAAAAATACAAAAATTAGCAAGGCTTGGTGGCAGGTGCCTGTAATCCCAGCTACTCGAGGGGCTGAGGTAGGAGAATTGCTTGAACCCGGGAGGCAGAGGTTGCAGTGAGCTGAGAGTGTGCCACTGCACTCCAGCCTGGGTGACAGAGGGAGACTCTATCTCAAAAAAAAGTTACCACTTTCTAATTTGAAAATAATTTTCCTTTATCTGAGGCAGGGGGATCGCTTGAGGCCAGGAGGTCAAGGCTGCGGTGGGCCATGATTGCACCATTGCACTCAAGCCTGCACGACAGAGCAAGACCCTGTCTCAAAAATAAATAAATAAGATAAAATGAAAGAGAATGGTGACTAAACTAATTTGACATTGGATCCTATTGAAACAGCAAAGAGACGTTTGTGGAATGGCTCAAGATTAGGACATAGAACTAACAACAGAGGGCTTCACTAATATCACCTCAAATTCCACTGTCCTGAGTGAAAGCTGAACACAAACGCCCTGGGACACGTGGTGCAGGGTCTGCGCTGGGGCAGGATGGTGTGATCCGGATGCCTGCCCCTGCCTGGACACGCACACGCTGTCATTTGGAATGGACTCTCCTACCTTCTTCACCGACAGGTCGTGGTCCAAGTCGCTTCCCGAATCCTCTTCGTGCTCCTGCTGCTCCTGCAGGTCCTTCATCTTGATCAGCAGCTCCGCCTTGGGGGCCGACGTGCTGTAGTAGGTAGAATTGGTGGCCAGGGACACGGCCGCAGGCACGCTGGGCTCCTCTTTCCTGGGTAAAGGTGTGGGAACTTCAATGAGCTGGGACTGTGCACGCAAACAGCCCCTCTGCCCCACCCCCTGGGTTGTGACAAATCAACACTGGTGCTCACGAAAGGACACCAGCCAGGGAGATGAGACAGCCAAAGGGGGAAAAGTAAGTAGGTAACAAGGTTAAAACTAAAAACCATCAACCCTGTCAAATGGATACTCGTAAGTGTATGAAACATAGTTTTTAAAAAAGGCAAAAACTCAAATAAGCAGGAATATCTAAGAATCTCTGCTACAGAGGTGAGAGCACAGATGATCTCTACCAGGAGCCTGGGTTGATGAGGACAAGGACATGTGTGACGCTATCTACAAACACCAACCCTTCTCCCTTCCTCCCAGCAGCCCTGTCGGCGCCCTCCTGCCTGGGTCCACTTGGTCCAGCTGCTCCTCCTTGGCTGTGTGTCATACCCACTCCACCTTCCTACCCATGAATGACGCTGTGCTGGCAGAACATATGTCAGCAGCAGGGAAGATGCCACCACGCATGCCTTTGTGGTCAAGTGGCTGAAGGAGATACGCTGAAAGTGCTACTTACAAAACCAATTAAAATACATTTGTTCAGGCAGGTGTAAATTGTCGTAATTTTTTTTCATTTCTATTTCAAGAGATGGGGTCTTACTCTGTCACCCACACTGGAGTGCAGTGGCACCATCATAGCTCACTGCAGCCTCCAACTCCTGGGCTCAAGTGATCCTCCCACCTCAGCCTCTCGAGTAGCTGGGACTACAGGTGTCTACCACCACGCCTGGCTAATTTTTTGTACTTTTTGTAGAGACTGGGTTTTGCCATGTTGTCCAGGCTGGTATTGAATTCATGGGCTTAAATGATCTGCCTACCTCGGTCAGCCAAAGTGCTGGGATTACAGGTGTGCACCACTGTGCCTGGCCAAATTATAATAAATTTTTTAAATGCAGATGTAAAAAAATTTCAAATAAAGTTTTAAAAAAACATTTCATAAAGAAACACATATATATTCAATCTAAGCCTTCATTCTCATGTTGGCACTAGGGACACGTGGGGGCTGGATGACTCTCTGTGGGGGGGGCCCTCCTGTGCACTGTAGATGTTGAGCAGTGTTCCTGGGCTCCACCCACCAGATGCTTGGAACACCCCTCCCCACAGTGACATTGCCAACTGTCCCCCAGGGTAGACAGCGGCCCCCACTGAGAACAGCTGTCTTACGAGAAAGGAGACCTGTGGGCATCATCAGAAATCCTGCTGGCCTCAGGCCAAGGCAGCTTGGTGGTCTGCAGTGTGTATTTTCATGTCAGGCCCAAAGCCGTTAACCCTCCATTTCTCTTTCCGGAGGCTCACAAAAAAGCCAAAAAGTGCTAAGCATCGAGGAGCCCTTATGAAAACCCGTCTTCCCCAAAAGCACGCATGAAAACAGAGAGGCAGACCCCCTTCCCTTTACAAGCCTAAGAGATGCCAGGCAGAGTCACGCCCAAGCTGGGAGGCCACGCCTACTCACCTCTCCTCTGTGCTTCTAGGAGAGGGGATTTTGGGGAGCAGCTTCCTCCGTTGCTGGGCTTCTTCCAGGAGGTGCTCGTCTTTGGGGAAGATGCCTTCCATCAAGTCCATAGTGGTTTTGATCTTCACACTGGGATCCAGGATGTCGGCCAGGGACTTATCCTTCCCCACGATCTCCCTGGCCAGCTCCTCCGACTTCAGGTCTTCCACAGTCTTCTCTTTGGCCTTCATGTAGCTGAGCCCTGGAGGGGAGGTGCAGCGGTCTTTCTCGGGGGGCACCTGGGTGCCCAGGGGCTGGGGCTCAGCCGGCTGGGCCCTATGTGGGGCCTCGGGCTCAGCACCCTGCCGCGTGTACAGACAGAAGCGCGAGTAGAACTGCTCAGATGTGCTCAGCGTCTTGATCTGGTCTTTCTCCAGCCCGTGGGGCAGGGCAGGTGGCTCGGCGGGGCATGCCAGGCTCTGGCGGCTCTCCTTCTCTGGCTGGCTCTCCGAGTGCACGATCTTGATGGGCACCATCTTCACCGTGGTGTTGTTGTCCATCACCCGCTCAATTCTGGAAGATGAACAGTCTGCTGAAATCGCAAAGCATGCTCCAGCCACAGACCCTGATTGACGTGTCCCCTGCCCTCCCCTCTGGATGGGAACCTGACTCAAAGGCACTAGCCAGCCACCCAACTCGAAGGAGCCTCCATGATCCCACATCCTGGATGAGGCAGAGGCCTCAAGAAGCTCCCTCTGACTCCTACCTCCGCCTTCCAACCACAGCATCCTTTCTATGCTCAAACCGCCAATGCCACCCCTGAGGCATCCCAAGGTGTCCTCCAGGGGTTCGTGGAGGGCTGTGAGGACTATTTAATACCATTTGTCATTCCGCAGATGATAATGCAAACTTCAACAAGCCCTGTTGGGTTAAATGTTCTTTTGTAGGGGAAGCCTGCAGTGGATGGGCATTTTCCAGGATTCCCATCCGTCCTTAGGTTGGTGCAGGCCCGCGGGTTCCTGCGTAGTTCTCAGGGCCTGGGGAGGGCTCCTCTCCGGAGTGGCCGTGCTTGGAGTCAGGCCAAAGCCCCCCACCACCCCACTTGGGAGAACCTCCTGTGCCATATGCAGGACAGCCCACCCAACACTGTCCTTGTACCCCCCGCCCGCTGTGCTTCAAGCTAGCGTTGCACAGATTTGCACACCAGTGAGATACGATCTCGCAGTAAGCAGCGAGTCATCGGTTCTGTATTACTTCCAAAGGGCACAGTTTTGCTTTTTTTTTAAAAAAGTGTCAGCCAGATGTGGTGGGTCATGCCTGTAATCCCAGCACTTTGGAAGGCCGAGGCGGGTGGATCACTTGTGGTCAGGAGTTCGAGACCCACCTGGCTAACATGGAGAAACCCTGTCTCTACTAAAAATACAAAAATTAGCCGGGTGTGGTGGTGCGCACCTGTAATCCCACCTACTCGGGAAGCTGAAGCATGAGAATCGCTTGAACCTGGGAAGCAGAAGTTGCAGTGAGCTGAGATCAGTGACCTGAGATCACACCACTGCACTCTAGCCTGGGCAACAGAGCAAGACTCCATCTCAAAAAAAAAAGAAAAGTTTCTGGATGAAAGGGACTAGAGAGGTACCTAAAGCATCCCTGGGAGACTGGGGGAGAGAGAACAGGAGGAACAGGCCCAGCAATGCCACAGTCCCTTGTCTGGGGCAGCCCTGCACCTGCTGCTCTCAGCGGCACCGTGCTAGACCATGCTGACCAGGGCCATCTCAGCCAAGAGCTTTTCAGAGCACTGGAGAAGCAGCCCCATATGCTGGTGGTCAGGAGGGAAGCAAAAAGAAACAGGCCAAACTCCACAACCCCAAATTAGGATGTGTTTCTAATGAAGTCAACCCAAAACTGCCCCTACGATGTTACACAAATGTATCCAATTTTCCACAGCAGGAGGGCAGCCACGATGCTCTAAATTTAATGCTGTTTTTCCCTCTTTCACTGGTGACTGGGAATGCAGGAGGGCTCTTTCCCTATCAAGGCAGTGGTGCTCAGGCTGAGATGAACTAACTGCGTATTTTCCTCCCTCTCTCCAGTAGGGTTCAGCAACATCTGATGTGTTTTATCTAGGGACTCACAGACACCTCACAACTGCTTCCTCATGAAGACAATTTACAAAGTCTAACTGTGGAAAATACCATTTAGATAGGTCAGACTTATGAAGGAAAACCCTGGCTAGGCACAGTGGCTCACACCTGGAATCCCAGCACTGTGGGAGGCTAAGGTGGGAGGACTGCTTGCGCCCAGGAGTTTGAGACCAGCCTAGGTAACACAGTGAGACCTCCCCACCTCTCTGTTAAAAACATAATAATAATAAATAATAATAATAATAATAATAATAAAAGAAGGAGGAAAACCTGGCCACCTTATCCAAGCACCAGCAAACGCAGAACCCTCTGCACTCCCTTCACCCCCGCCCCCCCGGCTCCCGGGAGAAGCTCTGCTTGCCTATTACTGACTTTCACATCAGCCTGTATTGGTATCCTCCCCCTTTTGTGCAGAAATTTGATGTGCACAATAGAAACAAATTAAACAACATAAACAAATCTCCCTTCACAGGTTTTAAAATATTGGGAAAGAGGCTGGGCCCAGTGGCTTGCCCCTGTAATCCCAGCTCTTTGGGAGGCTGAAGCAGACAGATCACCTGAGGTCAGGAGTTTGAGACCAGCCTGGCCAACATGGTGAAACCCCGTCTCTACTAAAAATACAAAAATCAGCCTGGTGTGGTGGCAGGTGCCTGTAATCCCAGCTACTCGGGAGGCTGAGGCAGCAGAATCACTTGAACCCAAAAGTCAAGATCGCACCACTGCACTCCAGCCTGGGCGACAGGGAATAATAATGATAATAATATAAAATACAGTACCGGGAAGGAAAAAAAACAAATCTCCTATCTCCCACGGGTTCACATACACTTTCCAACAAAGCATCTATTCCTGATCATTTTTTAACAGAAATGGTCTCTCTTCTTAAAAACAGTCTTGACTTCCACATGAGAACAGTTTCACGAGCCTTGACTTCAAAATAAGGACAGAACACAGTGGGTCGGACCTTCCAGCGACCAGCCCTCATCAACTCACACATTTCTCCTGTTAATGAGCCGTGCAGTCTATGAGATCTTATTATAGCAGCCTGAAAGGAGTAAGACACTTTCCTTTCAGAACCTTACAATGTTACCAATTCAAGGGATATCTGAATGATCTTTAGATACATTTTAAATGATGCAAAGCCCAGTTTTGGCCCACAGAGAAAACTGTGGTTACAATGCCTCGGCTGGAGATACAGGATCAGTATCAGTCATGTTCTTTCTCTGCTGAGTTATTTAGAAGCTAAGAAAAAAAATTACTTGAGACTCTAGAGCAGTGAGGTCCCACAGAATTTTCTGCGGCGATGGGAATACCTGTTATCTGTCCTGTCCAGGACGGCAGCCACCCGCCACACCTGGTGTGACTGAGGACCTGCATTCATCGACTTGGTTTTCTTTGCCCCACATTTACACAGCACAGGTGATGGTGGGTCCTGTGCTGGGCGTGCGGCTCTACAGCAGGGTTCCCAGCCTAAGAGCAGCTGGCATCTGCGGTCGGACAATGCTCTGTGGGGGCCGCCCACACACTGCAGACCCTGAGTGGCCTCCCTGGGCTCCACCACTAGATGCAGAGAGCACCCCCCACTCCCATCGCACTTAGGACAACAAAAACTGTCTCCAGACATTGCCTAATGTCCCCTGGGGGCCAAAATCACACTCCACCTCCTAGGTTGAGAGCCACTGCTCCAGAGAATGAGACAGAAATTCTCCCCTTCTTCCATTTCTCAGTCCTTCAAGGCACTCAAGGAGGTGGTATTTGTGTGTGAAGAAAGCTAAACAGCCGGTGCTCTTTTTTGCACAGGGTCTCACTCTGTCACCCAGGCTGGAGTGCAGTGGTGCCATCCTGGCTTACTGCAGCCTCGACCTCCAGGCTCAGGTGATCCTCCCACTTCAGCCTCCTCCCTGGGAAGCTGGGACTATAGGCATGCACCACCACACCTGGCTAATTTTTTGTAGTTTTAGTAGAGACAAGGTTTTGCCATGTTGCCTGGGCTAGCCTCGAACTCCTTCAGCTCAAGCGATCCACCTGCCTTGAACTCTCGACGTGCTGGGATTACAGGCGTGAGCCACCATGCTGGGCCTAGTGCTCTTGAAAGGTCAAGTTCCTGCCTAACATTCATCAGCATCTCAATGGACGCAATAATTCCATGCCTGAAATCCTGATGATAGCACCATGAAATGTGAATGAGTATTCTTCTGCTTTAACAAAAGGTATATACCAGCTTAGCTTTCTAACATTAAAAAAAAATCTGGAAAAAAAGGAGTAAGAAAATACTGGACACCATGAAAAATACCAATTTCACCTAAAGGTCGCATGCTTAGGTTAAACTCGATTCCAATCACAAATATTGACTGCATTAAAACAACAACAACGACAAAAAAAAACAGACCTCTACCCTGCAGATGCCTGTGGGTAATGCAGATATAAATGCATCTGGCTTGGAGGAAGGGGAAGATGTATCACCTATTCACATCTACCCCTGTTCCCTGCAGGAAACAGCAGCCCCCCAGTGAGATAAAAATCCAACCACCACTGAAGCTTCACTTTCTGTCCACACAGTTATTCCCCAGTACTGACTTTAAGTCCAACGCCTTGAGCTAAAGCAAGGTGCCCAGGTGACTCCCCAGAAAGACCCACTGAGAACCCGCGTCCCACATTAGGAGCCTCATGGGGAGGGAACACCGTCGCAGGACAGTACCTGGTTGAATCCTCATCCTGGATGAGCAGGGGAGGTTTGTCCGTCAGTTTCTGGGGGGCGAACTGGGGCGAGGGGGAGCGCGAGGTCTCCATGGTGGCCGTCTGCAGGCGCAGGTGCTGCTGCTTGGGAGGGAGCAGTGCTTCTGGCAGAGGACGTGATGCGTCCCCGCTCACATGCTGGCTTCCACGCTCACAGACAGTGGCCTTCGGGGTGTCCTGGGGCTGGGCACTGCTGAACACAGAGGGGCTGTGGGAGAGGGACAGGCGGGCCACATACACATCCAGGGACGCAGGGGATGGCGTTGGGAAGGGCCTGCCGAGGACGCCCACGGGGGCGTCAGCAGGTGCGCCGTCTGTGGCCCTGTATCTCCTGGGCTCGCGCTTGGGTGGCGGTGGCCTCTGTGGGGCTGGCCTCTTGGAGAGCAGGGCTGAGCTCACTGGCCACGAGTCTTGTCCTCGAGCATGCAGGGGTGAGCCAGGGCTCTGGGCTCGGGGTCCCAAGTCTGCTGGGGTGCTCTCCTCCGAGTATCTATAATCTCGAGGTAGGGTTCCCGCTCGGCCCCGGCCCTCCCGGGGCAGCTCTGGGGCTCCCCGGCAGTGAGATAGTTCAGAGAATGTGGGTGGGTTCGGTGCCTTCTGACTCGGTGGGTGCTGCTGTGATCCTGGGCTGCCTTCCCGACACTGGGCATCTGCTTGTCTAGAGGAAGAACAAGTACAAATTAATCAACGATTCCAATAATACCTTCCCACCACAAGGGACTGGACCTGGATCTTCACAATCCCCTTAAGCCACTTTCAGGAGTTAAATCCATATGCACTTTCCCACACCTGTCGCCACCGCAACTCCTCATGCAAGGTGGGGAGTCGTGACGCACCTCAGACAACATGAGGCTGTCGACTGGCATGTCCCACAAGGGAACATGAAGCATTCAAGACACAGGCGCACACATCACACACAGACACACATACACACACAAATTGCATTTGTTTTTGCAGGAATAAATGAACAAAAACTTTAGAAACAACATTAATGTTTGTGGAAATGCTCACATACAGCTAGATTCAGAAATATTTACTTCAAGTCACAGTATTTTTATGTGGCTTATGGGAAATTGCCATATACAAAGGGGTAAACCTTTCTAAGATGAGCTGCAAATCAATTCTTTAATAAAACCTTGAAAATCAGTATTGTATTATGAAAATTAAGACCAACAAAGGCTCTTTTAAAGAGTTGGGGTCTCGCTTTGTCACCCAGGCTGGAGTACAGTGTGATCATAGCATGCTGCAGCCTCGAACTCCTGGACTCAAGCAATCCTACCACCTCAGCTTCCCAAGTAGCTGAGACTATAGGTGCCCACCACCATGCCTGGCTAACTTTTAAAATTTTAGTAGAGATGGGGTCTCACTGTGCTGCCCAGGCTGGTCTCAAACTCCTGGGTTCAAGTGATCCTCTTGCCTGCCTGCGGAGTAGCTAGATCTACAGGCATGCGCCACCACGCCCGGCTAATTTTCGTATTTTTAGTAGAGATGGGGTTTCACCATGTTGGTCAGGCTGGTCTTGAACTCCTGTCCTCAAGCGATCCACCTGCCTCGGCCTCCCAAAGTGTTGGGAGGTCTGGTCCCAAAGTGTTGGGAGGGCAGCCTCCTCTGCTCTCAGCTTAGAGGAGGCTGAAGACACAGCACAGGCTTAGAAAACAAGCTGTAACCAAATAGCTCAACCTCAGCTTCAGACAACAGCAACCCCACTCAAAGAAGTCAGATTTCTCATGTGCATCAGACAGACACTAACAGAAACTCCTAGCTTGAAGTGTTATCAAAATAACTTGAATGGCTGGGCACAGTGGCTCACATCTGTAATCCCAGCACTTTGGGAGGCCGAGGCGGGTGGATCACTTGAGGTCAGGAGTTCGAGACCAGCCTGGCCAACATGGTGAAGCCCCATCTCTACTAAAAATGCAAAAATTAGCCGGGCATGGTGGCGTGTACCTGTAATCCCAGCTACTCGGAAGGCTGAGGCACGAGAATTGCTTGAACCTGGGAGGTGGAGGTTGCAGTGAGCTGAGATCATACCACTGCACTCCAGCCTGGGTGACAAAGCAAGACTCCGTCTCAAAAAAACAAAACAAAACAAAACAAAACTTGAACACAGCTATGCATGGGTTAGAGAACAATACATTTGTCTGGTTATAAAACACAGAATGACATTAAAATACTGCCAAACTGATTTGCATTCTGAGAAGCGCTCTCACAGGTCAGATGTCTCCCCCACATTGCATTTCAATATTCAATGGTTCAGAATTCAATATTCCATTTCATTTCCATATTTCTTTCTTTCTTTCTTTCTTTCTTTTCTTTTTTTTTTTTTGAGACAGGGTCTTACTCTGTTGTCCAGGCTGGAGTGCACAATCTGGGCTCACTGCAGCCTCCACTTCCTTGGCAGATGATCCTCCCACCTCAACCTCCCTAGCAGCTGGGACCACAGGTGTGCACCACCACACCCAGCTAATTTTTGTATTTTTGTAGAGATAGGGTTTCACCATGTTGCCCAGGCTGGTCTCAAACTCCTGGACTCAAGGGATCCACCTGCCTTGGCCTCCCAAGTGCTGGGATTACAGGTGTGAGTCACTGCGCCCAGCCTCAATATTTCAGCGTTCAATAATTCATTTCATGCCAAAGAGTTGAGGTACACTTGCACTTTTTTTCCCTTTGAAAACTCCTGAAATCTATCACCCATAGACCCACTTGAAAGCACCTGGTACCTGTTATTTAAAAGCGCCAGGTATTAGTTCGTTTTCACGCTGCTGATAAAGACATACCTGAAACTGGGAACAAAGTGACGTTTAATTGGACTTAGAGTTCCACATGGCTGGGGAGGCCTCAGAATCATGGCGGGAGGTGAAAGGCACTTCTTACATGGCAGTGGCAAGAGAAAACGGAGGAAGCAAAAGCGGAAACCCCTGATAAACCCATCAGGTCTTGTGAGACTTATTTGCTATCACAAGAATAGCAGGGGAAAGACCAGGCCCCATGATTCAATTACTTCCCCCTGGGTCCCTCCCACAACACGTGGGAATTCTCAGAAATACAATTCAAGTTGAGATTTGGGTGGGGACACAGCCAAACCATATCACATCACCACATCACAGAAACAGATAATTAAATGACCTATAATTTATTGCTAAAATCCAAGTGCCTTTGGTCACCCACTGATTAAAAAGGAACTCTATTTGCAAAGTGCCTTCTGCAGAAGTGCTCCGAGATCCACCCATAAACGAAAGAGAACTCACCTGCAGGGAGCAAAGGCCCTGTGAGAAGTGAACAATGACATGGAGCAAGAGACCCACTGAGAAAGTGGACGGCAGGCTGGCTCCTGGCTTCTCTCCTAATCAGAAGGTGCCCACAGGCTCCTTCCCATCTTCCTAGAGGGCCAAACTACAGGAGCTGGGTGCTCTGTTCTCAGGGGAGTGGTGTGTGCTGCATCGTCACTTCCCACGCCAGAAGTGCAGCACGGGGCGCGCTCCAGCCCAACACTGCACTTCATTCAGACCTGCAGCAGCACAGCAATGTCTGGACCAAGTTTGCCCCCCACCCCCACCTTGCAAAGTCAAACTATAAAATCACTAATTGGTTTTTATTGTCGCAGTTGATAAGAATCTGGGCCATCAGGGTCAACAACACAAACGAAGAAAAGGACCAAAAATGGGGATTGGGGACTTGCTGGGGTCATATTCCAACTTTTGTTTCTAACTGGTTCCAAGAGGCAGCTCTGCAGGTTGTGTGTGTGAGTGGTCCATGTTGTGCTTGCGCACAGATGCATGTCTATGTGTTACGTGCATGTCTATATGTTGTATGCATCTGGTGTGTATGTGTACAGATCTATGTGTAGATGTTGTCTGTGTCTATGTTTTGTGTGTGTAGATGCATGTTGTATGTGTATAAATGTCTGTCTGTCTATATGTACACTGTGTGTGTGCCTGCGCTGTGTATGTGTGTAGATGTATATCTCTGCATAGATGTACGTTGTATGTGTATGTCTGGTTGTTTGCATGTGTAGATGTAGGAGTCTGGGTTGTGTCTGAATGTACACATGTGTCTGTGTGTAGATGTATGTTGTATGTGTACGCCTGGGTTGTGTATGTGTGTAGATGCATGTCTCTGTGTCCATGTGTGTTGTATGTGTGTGCCTGTGTTGTGCGTTGTATGCGTGTGTGGGTATGTGTGCCTGTGTTGTGTCTGTGTGGAGATGCATGTTGTGAGTGTGTGCCCGGGTTGTATATGTTGTGTGCATGTGTAGGTACGTGTGTCTCTGTTGTGCCTGTGTGTAGACATGTGTCTCTGCATATATGTATGCATTTCTCTTTGCCATACTTCTAAGGATAAAATAAATGGTGACAGCAAGATCCAGAGATAGAGTAAGCAAGGCACTAAGATGACTTAAGACTTTGTGTCTTCGCACAAGCTCCAGGAATCAACTGCAGCAGGAAGTTCGGCCACACAAAGGAACATTTCAAAGGCAGCTGCACTCTAGGATCCAATTGATATTCAGCCTTGGTTGGTGTTCATTCTCATGCAAAACATGCTAATGCCACGTTCCCAAGGAGACAGCTGCTTGCACAGTTCCCAGAGGGGAGAGGGCCGGCAGGCTCCAAGCAGCAGTGGCTTCAGAGATCTGCTACATGGAGCCCACGGCCCTGCCATTCTCCCTGGGCTGGCCGCCACTGAAGGAGACAGAGCATGAAGCTCTAAAACAGCACCTCAAAGCCAAACAGAACTTATATGAAGGGGACAAACCTGCAGGAAGGGCCACCATTAGTGTACTCAGTCACCCAGCATGCTATGACAGGACCGAAACCACTGTTAGGAAAAAAACAAACACTCTAGAGATCCTGCTGGCATTACTCTATTTTTGCTTCCACGACGAGACAGCCAGCCCCATGTCTGAATGCAAGGTCTCCTTGCACTGCCCCTGCCTCCACACAGCCCTCAGCTCCCCCAGTCCTGCCCTGACATCACCCCACCTCCAGGTCACGCCCCAGCAAGGGGACTCTCTCAAATCATCCCATTGCTCACCTGCCTCCACGCTCCTCCCTGGGCTGAAAGCACCTCTACAGAGGGCAGGGATCTGGGCTATTTCCTTCAGGGCCTTGCAAGCAAATATTTATTACATGCATCATGTTATGCCCTCACTTGAACACAATGTAAATGCACCTGTTGCTTTCAATCACTTTCACTTTTTTTGTGCGGAATTTTAAAAGGTGAGAAGCTGCATTTTTTCAAGACACCATGGTTAAGTTCTCCGTGAAAGGACCTTGTGTGTGAATGTTCCCAACACAACTAAACAGTTTTGAACTGCTCTGTAATCAATAATCCACCACTGTTTTCTGAATAGGGTTAACAATTATCTTTAGCAAGGAGGATGGGAAAATTTCTGAATCTTGCAGATGACTTAAGGAACACACACCACAGGGTCCTCCTCACCTACTTTTTTTTTTTTTTTTTTTTTTTTTTTTTTTTTGGAGACAGAGATAGGGTCTTGCTGTTTTGCCCAGGCTGGAGTGCAGCAGCGTGATCACGGGTCACTGTAGTCTCGACCTCCCAGGCTCAAGTGACCCTCCTGCCTTAGTCTCCTGACTAGCTGGGACCACAGGTGTATGCCACTATGGCCTGGCTAGTTTTTAAATTATTTTGTAGAGATGGGGTTCACCATGTTGCCCATGCTGGCCTCAAACTCCTGGGCTCAAGTGATCCTTTTGCCTTGGCCTCCCAAAGTGCTGGGAGTACAGGCATGAGCCACTGCCACAGGCATCATAACTACTTTTGGTGTCAATGATGGGATAGGGATGCATTCTGATTTGCAGACACACAACACAGGTGCTGCTGAAATGCTGCCCGCGATGAACTCCAGCGCCTGAGTGCTTTCTAAAGTACGGGTTAAACATCTCTCTTCCGAAATGCTTGGGACCAGAAGTGTTTTGGATTTCAGACGTTTTTGGATTTTGGAATATTTACACATACATAATGAGACATCTCGGGGGTGGGACTCAAGTCTAAACCTGACACTCATTTTGCTTCATATACACTTTATATAGATAGCCTGAAGGTAATTTTATACAATATGCTTAATAATTTTGTGCACGAAACAAAGTTTGTATCCACCGAACCATCATAAAGCAAAAGTGTCAGTCTCTCTGCCACCCATGTGCACAATCTGTAGTTGTCTGGCATCTCCGTCATTCCGGACTCTGAATTTATATGCTGCCAACAAGCAATAATTTTCCTATACTGATATATAAGCACTCAACAGTGAAAAGCACGATATACCATCAATACAGTGAGAGAGGAATGTGTCCAGGGTAAGTAAGCAGCACGGCAATGGCACCAGAACACCCGCCTCAGCTGTGAGGCGCCAGCAACAGCAAACAGCAGCAGCTTGCCCAGTCTCTACCTGCATTCTCACTGCGACACATCCCACGAGATCAGCTGTGGAATTTTTCCTTTATGGCATCATGTTGGTGCTCAAAAAGTTTTGAACTTTGAAGCATTTAAGATTTCAGACCTTCTGATTAGGGACGCTTGAGCTGTGCTAGCTGCCTGTGACTTGAGGTTTCCCCGGGCAGACACATCCAATCGGGATCCATCACGTGCCAGCTATGTGACGTCAGGCAGGCAACTACACCCCAGAAAGCTGCCTCTCCTGTACAAGCTGATCACAGGCCACATCGCATAGGATGGCGGTGAGCTAGCAGCAGATAAAGGCCCTGGTGTGGGAGATGGAGTTGCGTGGGCTTCCTATGAGCCAGGCACCTGCTGAGCACCTAAGACCAAAGGGTCAGTCTGTGATGGGGCAGACCTGGACACAGGCCTCTGTGACACCAGCACCATACAACCTTCTTCCCAAAGCATAACACCATGCAACACACCCAGCCAATGAGATGGGAAGGGCACCCCTGCAGCCGACCAAGCCAGCCGGTGAGGGGTATAAAAGGTGCCAAGAGAGCTCTGGGCAACGGCACTGCCTCATTTTTACAATGAAGAGACAGAGTGAACACACTTCCCGTGGATAATGACATTGAGGTGTTTCCTCCTTTCATTTACATATTCTGCTAACTTATGCCATATACAAACGTATTATACACAAGCATACCATCAAAAATAGCAATGGATAGGGCAGTATCTGTGGTGGCCCAAGAGTCCTCCTTGAAAATGTATGCTACAAAGCCAGGGTCTGGGACCGGAACTGTGTGCACAGAGCACAATTATCTCATGGGACAACTGGGGTAGGGCCCAGCATTGCTGCTTCCAAACAGAGCCAGGTTTCCATGAGCATGGAACGTGGAACGCTCAGTAACTCAAACATCAACTCAAGCTCAACACTGACAGTTTGAGGTTATCATCTAGAAAGCACTCCTCCATTGGTTGTGGGCATAAATAGAAGGGATTCTGTAAAGCACAGAATTTTTATCAGGAATCACAGGTAGCTGGTCTGCCCTTCAGCCTGGTGAGGTGTATCAGACGCTGCCAGGCAGGTGTTCACACGCTGAAGAAGCACGGCGCCACCAGGCCTCAGAATGCGGGTCAGGCAGCTAAGAGCCGGCACACCCATGTCATTTTGAGCACAAGTCTCCCGAACGAGTACCTGGTGTCTCCACTGTCCTTCCCAGGCCCTGGGCAGCTCTTACAGACACACACCCTTGGGGAGGCACAGGTGGAAAGCTCTTTTGCCAACACAGCACTCCACAAAGGCCAGATGAGGTGGAAAAAGGAGACAGTGGGGAAGGCGATGGAGCCCAAAAGAGGCAAGAAACCAACCAAGCAACCAACCTATCAATGCTGAGATGTATTAGAAACATTTTAAACAGTGTGAACACCTGGGAACAATGGCACCAAACACTCTCCTTAGACATACCAATTTACCAGGCTGAGCACAGTGGCTCACACCTATAATCCCAGTGCTGTGGGAGGCCGAGGTGGGAGGAATTCAAGACCACTCTGAACAACATAGCAAGACCCAGTCTCTACAAAAAATAAAAATAAAAAAAAAATTAAAAATTAGCCAGGTATGGTGATGCATGCCTGCAGTCCCAACTACTCAGGAGGCTGAGGTGAGAGAATTGCTTGACCCTGGGAGTTCAAGGTTGCAGTGAGCCATGATCACACCACTGCACTCCAGCCTGGGTGACAGAGGGAGACCCTGTCTCTAAAAACAAATGAAAAAAGCCTGGATGTGGTGCCCCGTGCCTGCAATCCCAACACTTAGGGAGGCCAAGGCAGGAGGACTGCCCGAGGCAAGGAGTTAGAGACCAGCCTGGGCAACATAGCAAGACCCTGTCTCTACAAAAAATTGAAAAACCAGCCAGGCATGGTGGTGGGCACCTTTAGTCCCAGCTACTCAGGAGGCTGAAGCGGGAGGATTGCTTGAGCCCAGGAGTTGGAGGCTGCAGTGAGCGATGATCATGCCACTGCACTCTAGCCTGGGTAACAGAGTGAGACTGTCTCTGAAAAGCAAAAAAGAAATATTGATTTACCATAGGACTTTCCAGACTGTGAGCATCAGCAGGCTAGAGGCTGTTTGGTTGTCCTTTGCATGCCCAGCTTTCAGTCATAAAAACTGAAATTGCCCAATGAACAGACAGACCAGCTAGTGACGACAAAGGACACAGCTGTTCTCACAGGCTCTGCTGCAACTTTTGTGTCCTGTTGGAACCACCTTCAGGGAGGACAACAGCCCTGAACCATCCTTCAGTCAGTCATTTCTCTACTGCCGTGTCTCTGCTGAAGCTGCTCCCTGTATGCCAGGATTCTAGTGCCATGTGGGGAAAGCAATTACTCTAGAAAGTCAGATGAATTTAGTGTTTCTTGAGTGTCTTCACAGATGGATAAAAAGGTCTGCTGCTTCCTTTGGGTTTTATTTGTGCTTGCAGGGACTTGGATGGCAAAGAGTAATGAAGTTGAATTAGAGAGGCTGATAAATCACTTGTGGTTAAGAATGGGAGGAGACAGAGAAGATTAAAAGAGAAATCCAAAGCACAGATGATCCAAATCATAGTTACAGGCACTGATTTCTCGAGGGGTTAATGCCCAATAACAGAACCTGCCTAGATTTGGAGATGATAATGTGAGATGGCCCTCAAGTATCGGACCCTGAGTATGTCTTCAGCACACACATTTTGAGGATCTGTTCCAGGCCTCTATTGTCTCTGTGCCTGGAGAGCCACATTCTTGGTTCCAGAGCGTGAGCCCTGGGAGCTGGGCTCTCCCGCCTTGATGAGGGCCAGGCCTGGGCAGAGGTGGGAAATAGCAAGGGCTGGCATGCCTGCAAGCCTGTGTTTCAGGGAAAGCCCTCCAGGCAATGTGGATGTTGAGCCAGCCCTGGGAATCTCTGCTTTACAGGAACTCTCCCTCCGGAACTCCCAACCTCCCACTTTCTTACCCACTTCCTTTAGATATTCAAAGCTATTCCTGAAGTTTTCATCGCTGCCTTGGCATACCCCTCTGAAATGAAATTACTCTCATCTGTGAAAATGGTAAGATTGAGTGCACCCCCCGCCCCCCACTGCCCTCTTCCAGGCCTGGAGGGACTGATCCACATTCCTCCAGCCAGAAAGGCTTCTTGAACCCTGGGCCAGTTCGTCTCTGCTAACTGTAACAACTTCAAAAGGCAGCTTGTGGAGGTCCACTCTGGTTCACATATGGACTACTGCTCACAGTAGCAACTAAAAAGAGGCCAGAAAAGTTATAAAATCATAGGTTTTACAAATTCATCAGACTCCCCACACACATGTAAAAAGTCTTCCCATCCCCTCTCCCTTAGTGTTCCCTTCACAGTGCTTTCAAAATGAGCAATTACAGACACGCGGGTTTTAAAAATTAATATTTGTCTTACCTTCTAGACCAGGAGTTTGCAAACTAGAAACCAAGGGCCAACTCTCCACTGCCTCCTGGTTTTGTAAACGAAGTGTTATTGGAACACACACACGTCCCTCATCAAAAGCTGAGGACAGCTACATGAACTCAATTCCAGAAAGTCTCAAGCCCTTCACAGGAGAGAAAAGACCATGGCTTCTGAGTCCTAGTGAAACTGTGTGAGGAAGGAGACTCTCACACACCTGCCCTGCGACCCAGCCAGTCCACCGCTCCCAGAGAAACAACTCTCTCACCCAAGAGAAACAACACAAGCCCTCATTCATGTTGGCCAAACACTGCCCACCTACTGGTGAGTGGATCAACCAGTGGTGCTGTATTCACAGAAGGGAACACTAGCCAGTAATTTAGAAAAACTACCGAGACACAGCAGTGAGAATGGGTCCCAGGGGCACGACCCTGAATGAAGGGTCAACCGCCAAAGAACGCACAAGTAGGGTCCAGTTTACATGAAGCTCAAGAAGAGGCAACACTCACTAGGGTCACACATCAGGGAGGGATGGTTGTGGGGCAGGGTTTCATTGGAAAGAGTACAAAGGAGCTTTCTGGAACTTACTGTTTTGATTACGAGGTGTATAAAGTTATCAAAATCAGCCAGGCACAGTGGCTCATGCCTGGAGTCCCAGCAACTTGGGTTGCCTAGGCAGGAGGGTCACTTGAGGCCAGGAGTTTGAGACCAGCCTGGGCAACATAGCAAGATCTGGTACCGAAAGAAAAGTTTTTAAAAAAATTATCCAAGTATGGTGGCATGCACCTGTAGTCCCAGCTACTTGGAAAGCTGAGGCAGGAGGATCACTTGAATCCAGGAATTCAACGATGCACTGAGCCATGACTATGTCACTGCATGCCAGCCTGGGCAACAGACAGAGAACTCATTTCTAAAAAACAAACAAACAAAGAAGTCCCAACAATTCCTTTGAAACTCCTTCCTTCAAACAAGTGGAGCTTGTTAGAAGTAGGCCGGACTCTGACTCCTTTTGAACAAGCAAAATATGGCAGAACTCACATGTTTACTACGACATGAACTATTGTGAATAGTTCACTTGTGTGAACTATTTATATTGTGAATGCCAAGGCATGGAAGCCACCTAAGCAGACATTGACAGATGAGTGAATAAAGAAAATGTGATGCGTGCATATAGAGGAATAGAAAAGACTTAAAAAGGAGGGAAATCTTGCCATTTGTGACAACATGGATGAGCCTACAGGACATTATGCTAAGTGAGACAAGCCAGGCACAGAAAGACAAGTGCTACATGGTCCCACTTACGTGAAGAATTTTAAACTTTCAAATAGAATGAATGGTGGTTGTTAGGGGATGGGGGAAGGGGAAACAGGGAGGTATTGGTGAGAGGGCACAAAGTTTCAATTACGCAAGATGAATTACCCAGAGACCTACTGCACAGCGCAGCGTCTGTAGTTAATAATTCTGTATTGTACATTTACAAATTTGCTAAGGGGGTAGATCTTATCAATGACAACAAAAAAAAAGAGGGTTGACAGGGTGGGAGAAAACTTTTGGAGGTGATGGATCCGTTTAAGGCACTGATTGTGGTGATGATTTCACAGGCTTATAGATACTTATCTCCAAATTCATCAAGTTGTATACATTAAATATGTACAGCCTTTTATATGTCAATTATACCTCAATAAATTGGTTTAAAAATGTATGGCAGAAGTGCCGATGTGTGACTTCTGAGACCAGATCACACAGGCATTGCAACTTCCTCCTTCCTCTCTCCCGAGGATAACTCACAGCGGGGAAGCCAACAACCATGTTGTGAGGACACTCAAGCAGCCCTATACGGAGATCCATGTGGGGAGGAACTGAGGCCTCCTGCCAACAGACATATGGGTGCCCTCTTGGAAGCGGATCCTCTAGCTCCAAGCAAGCCTTTGGAAGACGGCTGTCCTGGCCCACGTGTTGACTGCAATCTCAGGAGATGCTGAGCCACAATAACCCAGCTAATCTCCTCCCTAACCCTCAGAAAGTGTATGAGATAATAAATGTTTAGTGGTGTTCAAGCCACCAAATTGGTGGACGATTTGTTATGCAGCAAGGTAACTAACACAATTATTCTACTCTTTATGCTATAATGATCAAGTGATCTGTGGCTGGCTTTTTGTTTTCAATGTATACACAGGAAATTTTGAGGAGAAAGCAGACCAGAAATAAAACTCATAAACACATCAGGTTATCTGCTTCTAAAAATCTGATATGGGCACAATCAGTACCCTAACTGGATTTCATGCCAAGATTCCCAACAATTGCTTATAGCATATTAGCTGACTTTTTTGTTATTACTATATTTCTTTAGGTTAAAAGAGAAAAAAAATCATATCTGAATCTCTGTGATAAATACTATCTTACTGTGGCAGACATTTTCATTTACCTCAATAATAGTTTTAGAAGCATCTGGGTTGTGTAATATTTATTAGGTATGATCTATTATTGACAAAAGCTTAAAGCTACTAAGGTCTGGGCAGAGGTAACAAGCAATGTATGAATTTGAGTTTACCTTACACCTTGTTCCCTACACCTACATGCTCTTCTGAGCCACAAATGTGTATGTGAATTTCTAGACATCTAGGATGGATCTAGGAGGTGTTCATATTACCAAACACTTTCACCTGTATTCTTTTCACCTCCACAACTCTATCGGGGTATCAGTCACAGACCATAAAACTCAGTGACTTGAGAGGTACTGTCTGATGAGTTGTAGTGAGCTGAGATGTCTGTCTGATGAGTTGTGGTGAGTTGAGATATACTGTCTGAGGAGCTGTAGTGATTTGAGATGTCTGTCTGATGAGTTGTAGCGAGTTGAGATGTCTGATGAGTTGTAGTGATTTGAGATGTCTGTCTGATGAACCGTAGTGAAGTTGAGATGTCTGATGAGTTGTAGTGAGTTGAGATGTCTGTCTGAGTTATAGTGAGTTGAGATGTCTGATGAGTTGTAGTGATTTGAGATGTCTGAGTTATAGTGAGTTGAGATGTCTGTCTGATGAGCTGTAGTGATTTGTCTGTCTGATGAGCTGTAGTGATTTGAGATGTCTGTCTGATGAGTTGTACTGAGTTGAGTTGTACTCTGTGATGAGCTGTAGTGATTTGAGATGTCAGTCTGATGAGTTGTAGTGAGTTAAGATGTACTGTCTGATGAGCTGTAGTGGGTTGAGATGTACTCTCTGATGGGTTGCAGTGAGTTGAGATGCCCTGCCCTACCTATGCATGCCTGGTGGTTCCCAAATCTCTGTTTTGATTCGCACTTTTTGGGACCCTCCCCAAGGAAGCCATTCCTGTTCTGAAGATCCAGTGAAATGCGGGGCCGGGTGCGGTGGTTCACGCCTGTAATCCCAGCAGTTTGGGAGGCTGAGGGGGGCAGATCACGAGGTCAGGAGATCAAGACCATCCTGCCCAACATGGTGAAACCCTGTCTCTACTAAAAATAGAAAAATTAGCTGGGCATGGTGGTGGGCGCCTGTAGTCCCAGCTACTCAGGAGGCTAAGGCAGGAGAATCACTTGAACCCAGGAGGCAGAGGTTGCAGTGAGCTGATATCATGCCACTGCACTCCAGACTGGCAACAGAGCAAGACTTCATCTCAAAAAAAAAAAAAAAAAAAAAAAAAAGCAACCTCCTCCATGAAACATTTCCTGGACCCATTGACACAGATATGCCTTTCTTCTCTGAACTTGCACAGTACTGAATCTCTACCTGTTGATTCCTAGACTGCACTTCACCATTCTGTGGTATTTTCATTTAGTATCTCTCCTCCTAGCTGAAACGACTGTGCTCACCCCTGCCTCATCTACCTCTGTATTCCAGGTCCAACACAATGCCTGGCACAAAGCAGATTGCAGCAAAAGCTCACTGAGTCAACAGGAAAGAAGGAACAAAGAAACAAAGGAAGGGAGGAGGGAAGAGAGAAGAAAGGAGCAGAAAGCAAAGCAGGCAGCCTGATGTGCTCGGGCCTTCTGAATCCCATGCTCCTCAGCCATTCACATTTATGTTGCAGTCTAAATGCCTGTGCCCTGCCTCCCAAATCCATAAGTTGAAATCCTAACCCCAATGGGATAGGATGAAGAGGTGGAGCCTTTGGAAGGTGATGCAGTCAGGAGGGTGAAGCCCTCAGGAATGGATGAGTACCCTCATAAGAAGCACTCAAGGATAGCATTGTGGCTGAAGCGTGTAATCCCAGCACTTTGGGAGGCCAAGGTGGGAGGACTGCTTGAGGCCCGGAGTTTGAGACCCTCCTGGCCAACATAATGAGACTCCATCTCTACAAAAACAAACAAAATTAGCCAGGCATGGTGGTACATGCCTAAAGTCCCAGTTACTCAGGAGGCTGAGGTGGGAAGATTGCTTGAGCCTAGGAGTTTGGGAGTTTGAGGCTGCAGTGAGCTGTGATTGCACCACTGCACTCTAGCCTGGAGTGACAGAACCAGACCCTGTCTCAAAAAAAGAAAAGATATGCGAGGGAGCTTGCTTCCTCTCTCTGCTCTCCCTCATGTGAGGACACAGGTAGAAAGTGCCATCTGTGAACCAGGAATCCACAGGCCAGCACCTTGACGTTGGACTACCAGCCTCCAGAAGAACTGTGAGCAATAAAAGTCTGTTGTTTAAGCCTCCTAGTCTATGGTAATTTGTTTTAGGAGTGTAAACTGGCTAGGACAATTTCTATATTATCTTCACTATTAAGAGAGGACAAACTCCTTCAAGGAAGGTTCTGTCTGTGCCTGATTCAACTTTGCATGCAGCACAGCACCCGACCTCGGGAATGCTAATTGCTAACCAGGGAGGTAACACACTGATGTCACCTGAAGACCTGTTCACAGAGACTGCAGTTCTTCTGATCCTAGCGGTGATTAAAACATAGGGGCAAACAGACAAACAAAACCCCTTAGACTTCCAGTGTGCTGGAGCTGAAGGGCCTAGGAGAGGATTCCATACTAAGTGAGAGGTGGACAGCCCCAGCTCCACTCCACAGCCATGTCCCAACTCTCCTCTTCCACTGTAACGTCACATTTCCACAATTACTATAGAAACAGATTGTGTTAGGCTCACTTGCCCAGTAAGAACGATATGAGGTCACTAAGTTTTTCCATAAAACAGTGACTGTAATAACAATATTGGCCAGGTGTGGTGGCTCACGCCTGTAATCCCAGCACTTTGGGAGGCCAAGGCAGGTGGATCACAAGGTCAGGAGTTCGAGACCAGCCTGGCCAATATGGTGACACCCTGTCTCTACTAAAAATACAAAAAAAAATTAGCTGGGCGTGGTGGCGCATGCTTGTAATCCCAGCTACTTGGGAGGCTAAGGCAGGAGAACTGGCTGAACCCAGGAGGCAGAGGTTGCAGTGAGCTGAGATTGCGGCACTGCACTCCAGCCTGGGTGACAGAGCGAGACTCCATCTCAAAAAACAACAACAACAACAACAACAACAACAACAAAGAACCACAATATTAACTGGTGACCGAGAAGCTCTTTGGTGTTCAGAACGTGTTTCTACATATGTTTATGTGGTCCCCACTTACTTTGATCTATGTATACCCTAAATGATGAAATGTTTAGAAGTGTCTCACGCAGGAGAACAAACACACAACTTGAGTATCAAAATGAACATAAAAACATCACAGTGAGAGCAAATGTAAACAAAAAGCAGAAGGGCACAAGCAGGGGCAAGCACCCTTATGCAAAGAGCAGACCGGACACGAGAATGTACAGAGGTCCTATGGTTGTGCTTCCAATAGGACCACGAGTTTCCTGTCAACCAGAGCAAAAGATGGGAACTACGATGAGTTAGGGTTGTCGGAAAGCTGGGCACTTCTTAATTTTTCCACAGAGACAATTTTTCTACCAGCCTTCCGAGATGGATGTCTACACCTCCTAGGGAATTCATGCTGACAGAGCTCCTGGTGGCTACACCTTCTGCGGCACACATGGTAACAAGAGACCAGTAATGGCAATGTACAACTAACAGAAGCCAGTAGCCACCAAAAGGCAGAACTGGCCACACAGAGGCTCCAGGTGCAAGGGCGACAACGCTAAAATTCAACACACTTGTATGTCAAAAAAGTTGAACTGTAACCACCCACTAACATCTGGAAGGCACACAGCACACGGTAGGGATGTTATCTGCAACCTAAATGACAATAATCAAGAAAGGGCTCATCTTCAGTAGGAAAATGAACACGCGCTGAAGAGTAATGTACAAAAGAAAAAACACAAATGGCTAGTCAGTGCACCAAAAAAGTCTGACTTTGCTAGTCCCTGAAGAAATGCAAGTTAAAAATGAAATAACTTTTTTGCCTATCAAACCACAGAATTTTAAAAATGTCTAATATTGACAAAGTTTTGGGAGAAGTAGGACTGTCCTGGGCGATCGGTGCCCCTAGAGTGTAAATAGTAAGCATACACTTTTTGGAGGGCAACGTGGTGATATTTTCTAGCGCCTGCCTAGCAACTCCATGCCCAGAATTTTATCCGAAGGAAATCAACATGGAAGAGCACAAGTATTTCACTACAGATATCTGCTGCAGTATTATTTACAACGTCAAACACCAACAGCAGCCCTAAATGTCCACAGTATGGCTACAGGGTTGTTAGATTTTAGAATGTCATGCACCATACACATACAAGTTACAGAAAAAGGCAGCTTACATACAGTATGTGTAATATAATTGCATGTGTAAAAACATATTTGCAAGGACTTCAAAGCAGATATACTTCCATGTTCCACAGCGGAGACTCTGGGTGATAGGATTGAGGGTGATTTGTTAATATCCTCACTCTGCTTCCCAGAACTTCTATATATTCTTAATAAAAAGGTTTTAATTAGCAAAATTGATTTTTAAAATAGGAAATGTTAATAAAAACTGTATATCACAGCCTAGAAAGCTGTAATCCCAGATTAGTATAAAACCTCATTCTCAAAAACATATGTGAAGCTTACAAAATCAGGAGTAATTTTGAATTTTGGGTGGCCCTGTGGTAAGATATATTAAAAACTAGTTAGAATAGCATATCAGCTTCATAAATTAAGAGAAAATCTCAATCTTCCTTCTATCACAATTGCACGTGACCCCAAACTGTGGAAACCTTCCATCTCAGATCATTGCCTGCCTATCTTCTAACTCAGCTGAACCAGAATCGGAAATGGATTGTTTATCCAATAGACTTCAGATATTTGTTGTACATGACATTAACTTTATATGCATAATTACTATAGAAAATGTGTGTAGTACACATATGTGTATGGGCATGTATATGTGTATACACACACACGTGTATAAATGTTGAAAATTTTCCTAGAATTTCTAGCTTTTCCACCCTTAATGGCCTCCAAGTACATTTAAGGGTCCGCCAGCTAGATTTTTTTAACGGAATAATTTTATAACAAATTTCATGCAAGTTATACCCAAGAGCACCTTGGCAGTGAGTGGCTTTATGAGGCATTACCACAAGAAGACCGAAGTAGGCTTAGCTGTCAAGGGCATTCCCATCAACAAAGCCCTGTTGACAGAAAATTGAGTTTGCTGACAGAGCTGATTTTATTTGTAAATGGATATCGAAGCTATTACCCCTGTGCGTGTGTCTCATATATATTCATATGCTTTTGTTCCTGGAAATAATGACGGCAAATGAGCAAAACAGTGCAGCCACAAATCACCCCACAGAGCTGGAAATATGACTGAAGGGAAATTTGAGTCCCTGGCTTCTCTCCCTAAGAACCAAAAATGACTACAGCTGGAAGGGACCTGGGAAATAATTTAAACTTCAAGATCAAGGTAATGGTAAACATAAAAAATAAATAATTTTTAAATAAGAAATAATTTAATCTGTGTTCCTTGTTTTATGGATGAAGAAATGGAGGGTCAGAATGCTTAGGTGGCTTCGCAAGCCACACCAACGCAGGCTGAGGAGCACACATGCTGTCTCTGCCTGATTAACGGGTTTCTGTACTTCACTCCCAGAAGTCCAAACTGAAATTCCTTCTCACTGCACTGGCAGCAAACTGGATAAGGGATGTGAAAGTTACTAAGAGAATAACTAGGAATTCTTGGGCCAGTTCTACATTCAGCCTTACCTGGAGGACCTCGACCCATTAGTCCGCAGGAGCCCACCAGACTGAAAATCAGCCATGCTGCCCCACGAGGGCTCTTCACTAACTGGTTGTGAGAATCTAGTCACCCCGCCCCCAGTTTGCTTTATTATAAAATCAAGATGGTAACCGCATAGTAGGACCCAAGGTATACATATGAAGAGGCACTGTGAACTTTCAGGAATTTTAAATAAGGTGTCGGCAAATATGTTTTAAAGGTAAATAAGTAAATAACTCTAGGACCTCTTCAGACATCCAAGGATGTCTACAAGCCTTCCAGAAATGACCCGACTGTCTTACTTGCTCTAGGAAAAGCCAGCTGGAAATCAGTGCCCGAGGACAGGGGAAAGATGGGTGGATACAAGACATCAGCTTCTTCCCACTGCTCCCCTACCCTGGTCTTCTTAAAAATTTAATGCATATGAGAGGTAAAAAATTAAAGGTAGTGTAAAGTAAATGTATTCCAAAGGCCACATAAAATATTCCCTTCCTTCCTCAACCTCCAAAATCCAAAGGCGGACTCTGGAAGAGCAGCCAGCCCATGCAAAACAAGCAGCAGTCAGCGTGCATTCACCAGGGTCATTTGTCCCTCTGGCTGGGCAATAGAGCCTTCCGCAGCCTATATGCTTGACACCAACGTGTATGGTTATTCCTAGCACTCTGTAAAAAACTCTGTGTGTGTTGTTCATGCCTCTGTAGATGAGAATTCCCCTGCAATTTTTTTCCTTAAGAGGTATGGTGTTGGTTTGGGTTGGTGGTGATCGGGGCGGGAGGGGCGGGGGGGCAGGGGGGTGGGCGCAGGTGGAGGCGGAGAAACAGAAAGGGACAAAGTATAAAATGTTTTTGCCACTATGTGTGACAAAAGAAAGAAATGTGCCTCTACCACCCATGCAATGCTTTTCCGCAATAAAATAATAAGAAATACTTGTAGAGTATGACCTCAAAGGTTCTATTCCGTAATGAAAAGAAATATGCCAACCATTCATCAACTTGGTACCAAATCTTCAGTTTTTTTATATGATACATTAAAATATTATTTTCCATTCATCTTATAAATCTTAAGACCATCTACGAGGCAGTAGGCTGTTTACTCGTAAGTGCTACCAGGTAGATTTCCAAAAACCTTTCTTCAAACTCCTTTGCCTTTTTACCTTTCAACTAGCACAACCGCTAAAAACATGCATTTCAAAATGACACCTACTCTTGTGAGTCAGTAAATGCAGACCAAAGAGACAGCCTGTGTGTGCAAACATATTTATGCATCAATTTCCCTGTGAAAATGCCATCGACCCTCTGCACACACAAAAGCCTCCTTTAGTAAAGCAAAGGCATTCCAACCATTTAGAAATATAGCCAAAACTAATCATCTCTTTCTTTTATCACAACATAAAATGGGGGAAAAAGCACATGTATAGTAAAACCCTTAAACTGTCACAATCACACCAAAGAGCAAAATAAAAGAACTGGAAAATGCTAAGAACCATGGTGATTCCATTTTCTCTATTTAAATTATCTCACTGCAATCAGCAGGCTATGTGCAAACGCACTCAGGGAACATTTCTCATGACTAAACATGCACACCTGATTTCGCCGCTTTTTTTTCTTGAGGATGTAGCTGACTCACCATTTTTTCTCAATGTCCGCATTCAATGCCTGTGTAGTGAGAATGCCTGTTTCTTACTGCTACTGAAAAACAAAAGGCAAACGAGGCAGGCAGGTCTTCATGCGATGCTGGCGTCCTCCAGCCAGCTCCCTCGGGGAACCCATCTGCAGAACTCACATGGAGCAAGGGTCCCACATACCAAGGGCTGCAGTCCCATCAGAGCAGATGATGGCTCTACGGCTTCCAGCCTAGAACACGGTGTTAAGAGCACCGCCTTCCAGTTCCAATGTGCTTTCAGCTAACCGTGAATCCCAAAGCTGTAAAAATTGCATGCATCCACGAGGACATGCAGCACCGGCGAGCATGCCCTTACACATACGTGCACGCCTGTGGAGCTCGAGCCGGAATCTGCACCCTGATTTGCATTATTTCTCATCTTCAGGCAGAAGAATAAACAATGAGAACACATTCGCCGACCTCACCAGACCTTACCCACAGCATTGTGAGCTGACAAGCAACCTGCCCTTCAAGATAGCAGAACAAAAGAGCCACTGGGAACTACAAACCCCTAACAAACGGCGCAGGCGTCCTGAAACCGGTCCCATCTGGGATGAAGTGCCCCGAGAGCAAACGCAGAGGTCCCTTACCCGGCTCTGCTTACCGTGCTGGATGGGAGTTCGCCCAGCTGTGAAGGCAGCGATGTGCTTCAGGGACCCACAGCCCGCCTCTGCTGCAGCTCTCCTCCTGCCTACTGAATGGAGTCCTAAAGCCAAGCTCACAACAGCTGGCCTGTCTGTGCCTGCTGTCTTGTTGATGGGCAAGCTCACGCAGGCTCCGTCAACCTTCACCTCCACGGCTCAAGGCTCCGCTTGCATTTCCCATCACTTCATCAGCAACTCCTTGCCTCAGTGGGGAACATTCCCAACACTTCAGTGCTTAAACCCCAAAAGTCTTGTAATTTAAAACCCCAAAAGGCTTGGGGGGCAGTCTTCCTTTATGTGTGTGTGTGTGTGTGTGTGTGTGTGTGTGTGTGTGTGTGTGTGTGTGTGTCTTGTAATTTAAAACCCCAAAAGGCTTGGGGGGCAGTCTTCCTTTATGTGTGTGTGTGTGTGTGTGTGTGTGTGTGTGTGTGTGTGTGTGTTTGGAGAAAGGATCTTGCTCTGTCTCCCAGGCTGGAGTGCAGTGGTATGATCATGGCTCACTGTAGCCTCCAACTCCTGGGCTCAAGTGATCTTCCTGCCTCAGCCTCCCAAAGTGCTGGGATTATAGGTGTGAGCCACTGTGCCCAGCACTTCTTATATTTTAACGGGGAAATATAGAAAGCCCACTGCACTGATGTTACAGCTTTCTCTATTAAGTGATGCTAGATAATCCTATAACATATGTGACACACAGTTCAACTCCACAACCATAAGGAGGAAAAAGAAAACATTCAACAGCCTATTCTATGTCCATATATTCTTGGGTTGATTACACACTCATTAGGAATGTAACCCATCAAGCAACTAACAAGCGTTTCCGGAACTTTGAGTGTGTGCAAGGCACTCAGGGAAGACAAAGGCAGGCTGGACCTGACTTTCCCAATTAACCATTTCACAATGATCTCTATTTAAAGTCCCTGAGCCCCACCTCCCTCCTAACGCAGCCCCAGACCTCAGCACCACAGCCCCTCCAGGAAGCAGCGTCGCCAGCCACTGCGCCTCACAGCCCTATCCCACCCTCCCACATCCTGGGCTTAGCCACCAGGACGGAGTTTCTCTTTCCAACCTGTTCCTGTCACCCTCTTCTACATTCATAGCAATTACTTCCAACTCTTGCTCATTTCTCCAAATAACATATGCTGCTTTGCAGCCTATACTGTATCACTGCTATTTTAGATTTTTTTCCCCCATATCGACACTTAACCTTAGGCACTGTGCTGATTCATTAATGTTATATCCCTTAAGCATGTAAATAAGTCTGCGAGCAAGGTTGCTCTGCATATCCCCATGATCCAGGGCCGTGAGGTCAGCAAGCTTGGGGGACCTGACACACTTACACTGAGAGGCAGAATGAGGATTCCAGCCTGTGTCTTCAACTCCGAAGCCCGTGTTCTTTCCAGTACTTTTCATCTTCACGTATTACTTTACCAAGTACATGTTACTGTCTCTAAGAGAGGGTGCCATTCACCCCGGGCCATCACCTTTTCTCAAATGCTCAACACATACTGCCAGGCCACACACGGAACAGCAATCAGCTGATGGCTGATTAAATATTTTATTATAGGGCTGGGTGTGGTGGTTCACGCCTATAACCCCAGCACTTTTGGGAGGCCGAGGCGGGAGGACTGCTTGAGCCCAGGAGTTGGAGACCAGCCTGGGCAACATGGCAAGACCTGGTCTCTACATAAAAATTTGTAAAAAATAAATATTTCATTATACTTTTTTTTTTTTGAGATGGAGTCTCACTCTGTCACCCAGGCAAAAGCGCAGTGGCACCATCTCAGCTCACTGCAACCTCCGCCTCCTGGGTTCAAGCAATTCACCTGCCTCAGCCTCCCGAGTAGCTGAGATTACAGGTGCACGCCACCATGCCCAGCTAATTTTTGTATTTTTATTAGAGACGGGGTTTCACCATGTTGGTCAGGCTGGTCTCGAACTCCTGACCTCAAGTGATACGCCCGCCTCAGCCTCCCAAAGTGCTGGGATTACAGGCGTGAGCCACTGCACCTGGCCAGGGTCTTGCTATGTTGCCCAGGCTGGTCTCAAACTCCTGGCTTCAAGCAATCCTCCTGCCTCAACCTCCCAAAGTGCTTGGATTACAAGCATGACCCATTGCGCCTGGCCAGCATCTCATTTTAGAATGGGTTTAGATTTACTAAAAAATTGCAACAGCCAGGCGAGAGCTCCCATATGCCCTCTACCCACTTCCCCCTATTATTAATATCTGACTTACTATGGGGTGTGTTTGTCATAGTTAATGAATCAATATTGGTACATTAATATTAACTAAAGGTCACACTTTATTCAAATTTTCTGTTTAATCAATGTTCTCCTTCTGTCTTTGAACCTCATCCAGGTACTGCATCATACTCAGGCCTGCTTCTTCAGACTCCTCTTGCTGTGAGGGTGCTATAGCTTTAGACTGAACACTTGTGCCCCCCACCCCCAAATTCCTATGTTGAAACCTAACCCCCAGGTGATGGTGTTAGGAGGTGGGGCCTCTGGGAGGTGATGAGGTCATAAGGATGGAGCTCTTGCGAATGGGATTAGTGCCCTCATAAAAGGGACCCCTGAGAGCTCCCTCTCCCCTTCCATCATGTGAGGACGCAGCAGAGAGACAGCCATTTGTGAGCCAGAAAGCACCTTCACCAGACACCGAATCTGCCAGTGCCTCGATCTTAGACTTCCCAGCCTCCAGAACTGTGACAAATACATTTCTGCTGTTTATAAATCATATAATCTTAGGTGTTTTATTATAGCAGCCTGAATAGGCTATGATAGTTTCTCAGGCTTTCCTTGTTTTTGATGACCTTAATAGTTTTGAAGAGGTCTGTTCCGGCATTTTGCAGCATGTCTCTCAATTGGGAACTGTCTGATGTGTTTTTATGATTAGCCTGGGACTTCTGGGAGAGAGACCATGGAAGTGAAGTGCCACTGTTATCCTATGATATCAAGGGGCATGCTGTCAATGTGACTTACCTGTCAACGTTGGCCCTGATCGCCTGGTGAAGTTGGTATACACCAGTTTCTCCACTGTGATGTTCCTCTCCTCGGTCCCCTTTGCCACACTGTACTCTTTGGAGGGAGCTTACTGTTGGCAGCCCACACTGAGCGGGGAGCGGGGGAGCTATGCTCCACCTCCTTAAGGGCACAGTAGCTACATAAAGTATTTGCAATTTTCTGCACAGCAGATTTCTCTATTCTTCATTTGTTAATTTATTCAACCATCCTGCGTATCAGTCTGGGCTGTGGATTCATTTTATATATTGGATTATAATCCACTACTACTTAATTTTGCTGCTTAACTTGTTCTGCCTTTGGTCATTGTTGGTTCCTGTGTCCCTATGACATACCCACACTGTTGTCACCGCTGGGTTTACATATGGGTGTATTTGAGCGCTTATTTTCTGGCACTATAAGATACTCCAGGCTCATCTTGTACAGTCCCTGCCCCAACCCTAGACTCAGTCATTCCTCTGAGGAGCCCTGGTTCCTTTTATTGGAGAAAAGCCTTAGAAAACAAGTTCTGCATGCTGGCTGTGCTCTAGGAATCCTGTTTTTTTATTTTTGTTTTTATTTATTTATTTATTTATTTATTTATTTTTGAGAGAGGGTCTCACTGTCACCCAGGCTGAAGTGCAGTGGCACCATCATAGCTCACTGCAGCCTTGACCTCCCAGGCTCAAGCGATCCTCCCAATCCAGCCTCCCAAATAACTGGGACTACAGGTGCACCACCATGCCCAGCTAAATTTTTTTTGTAGAGATGGGGTCTCACTATGTTGCCCAGGCTGGTATTGAACTCCTGGGCTCAAGCAATCCTCTCAGCCTCCCAAAGTGCTGGGATTATAGGCATGAGCCCCTGTGCCTGGCCTAGGAATCCACTCTTAAAGGAGACCCTCCAAGAATTCCTTCTAAACAGAAAGCACATTTATAATATTAAAGTTTATAATGTGGCTTTCCAGATACCCATGTTTCTTAGAGCGAGGCATAATTATCAGGGCTTATAAGATGCTCAAATCTTTTTGTAGATTGTATAGTATAATACTATTAAGACTTTAAAATCATAATCATTGTAACAAAATGCATACAAATCTGCTTTTAATTGACACAAAACATTTGTGCCCTTGAAAAAGTCCACACATAAAAAAAGAACAGAATGAAATCACCACCCTAGTACCCTTATGTTCTGAAAGAACTTCCTCCTCACCTCTTAGTCTTGGTGAAACCTTGAACTTTTCTGAGTCACTTTCCATGAATTGAGGGGCATGCCCAGCCCATGTGGTCCAAGGACAACCTTCCCTAACCCAGGCTATCACTAACAAGTCAGAAAAGCTGGTGCTCCAGCATCCTGCGTGCTCCTGCATTCTTGGGCTGTGAACAAGCTACAGCCCCCTCTACTTGGACAAAGCAAACTTCCCCAAGTTAACCACACTAGGGATGGGGAGATGGATATCATGTTGCAAGATAATCGCGAACTATTACAAAGAAGCCTCTTTGAAAACATCCAGACAGACTGCCACTGGGTTCCATGCTCCCTGTGCTGGAAGCACACTCATGTAAGACCATCCCTTACACCCCTCCACTAAGCCCAACATGGTCGGCAAGCAAACCTTTGTGTAAAGGACCAGATGGCAGATATTTTCAGCCCTAGGAGCCATCCGATCTGTTGCAATGACTCAACTCTCTGCCATTATAGAGAGGGAGCAGCCACAGGCCGCCTGTGAGCAAACGGATGTGGCTGCATGCCAATAAAACTTTATTTAAAAAAACAGACAGGGGGCCAGAGTTGGCCTGTGGACCATAGTTTGCTAACCCCTGACTAAAGCAATGATTACACAATCCTTTCCTCTGTTGAGTCATCAATATCTGCTTCCCTAGAACTCGAAACCAGTGAGTCTAGGGGTGCTTTATCATATTCTTCCAAGTAGAGAAGAAAGTTGCTCTGCTCCCCCAGGAACTTGTTTCCAAGTGACCCTGACCTAGACCCCTCAACCCTTTACCATCTGACACCACCCGATTTGGGTGAGCTGCTTGAGAGTGTCGCACAAACCATGAAACCCAAACTCTGCAGATGATTCCGGAAGTGATCTGAGGAAGGATGGGATGCAGGTGTGTGGGATTTGCTTAGGAGAAGGGGAGCCGGGAGGGTGCTCTGGTGCATACAGTGGGCAAACACAGAGTGGAGAGCGGCACGGCAGTGTGGAGACTTTCTATTCAGAGACACAGCCTGTGTTACACCGGCTCCAGTTCTGCTCAGGGAGCCACAGGTAAAACTACCTGTGCCTGGTAAACAGGAGGCAGGGCTGACTCACAGAAAGAAACAAATGACTTGAAGGAAGGGACCAGGCGAGTTCTGCAGAGGACATCCACATACCTGACTCAGAGGTTTCCTTGTCTTGCTTCCTGCTTTAGGGCAGGGCAGGAAGGAATGTGGAGAAGCGAAAGGCCCCTGTGGCTGCTGGGTCCGGTGGGACAGTAGGGATGCTGCCCGCCTCCCCCCTGCCCCAACGCCAGGGGGACCAGCAAGGGCTGGAATCTAGCCAGAGTCCTCTTAGCAGGCCTGCAGGGAGGGCAACCTGGTCACCGTGTGGCTGCTTTTGCGCTATCACGGCAGAGCTGAGTGGTCGCAGCAGGGACACTATGTTCCTCTGAGCCAAACATATTTATCATCTCATCTTCCGCAAACTTTGTCAATCTCTGAACTACAGCTGCTTAATGCACAGACCCATTTTATTTATTTATTTATTTTAATTTTTTTTGAGACAGTTTCACTCTTGTTGCCCAGGCTGGAGTGCAATGGCACGATCTCGGCTCACTGCAACCTCCGCCTCCCAGGTTCAAGCGATTCTCCTGCCTCAGCCTCCTGAGTAGCTGGGATTACAGGTGACTGCCACCACACCTGGCTAATATTTTAGTAGAGACGGGGTTTCACCATGTTGGCCAGGCTGGTCTCAAACTCCTGACCTCAGGTGATCCACCCGCCTTGGCTTCCCAGAGTGCTGGGATTACAGGCGTGAGCCACCACGCCCTGCCTGACAGACCCATTTTAAATTAAAAAAAGTTTTCTTATGGATTCCCAGTGTTGAGATTTTTTTTTAAAGACTGAGATAAAATATATCATAAAATGTGCCCTTTGAAACAGCGCAGTTCAGTAGTTTTTAGTATATCACAGCAGTCACCATCACCACTATCAGATTCTAGAGGATTTTCATTACTCCAGAAAGAAACCCCACGCCCATGAACAGTCTCTCCCTCACTTCTCCCCTCTTAACCCCTGGCAGCCACTAATCTACTTTCTATCTACGGATGTGCCTATTCTGGACATTTTATATAAATGGCATCATACAATATGTGATTTTTATTTTTTTTTATTAGACTGCTAAATGTCTCTATATAAAATCTGTTTCCTTATTTTAATGGTTCTTAGGCTATAAAACACAAAACAAAATTTGCAAGTTATATGCAAGCAAAACTGTAAAGCTGATGTCAGGTCTATATGACAGGTGATGTGGCTTTGCTGAGCATAAACCATGATGCTCGCGGCCCAGGGCACTGCAGTGCCGCTGCTTCTTGGCCCAGCTATCAAAGTTTCCTGGGTGCCACAGAAGGACTCATCTCAGCCATCACTTTTGTTTCGACTAACAGGGCACAGAGCTCTGCTGGCACGGTACCCTGATGTTCTTCCTGTCCCTCATCCATGGGGAGCACATCATTTACAGGGGAGTCCTGAACTTACTCTTTACTTCCACCAAGGGAAACTGTGTCAGCACTGTGGTCAATGAGACTCCCACACACACATACACAGCCATGGTCTTGCACACCATCCACAACACTTGATTTAGATTCTAAGAGCTAGTATGGAAACGAACACACAAAAATTTAAACTGGCAAAGAGGACAGACATGTTCCCAAGGATGTGCTCCAAGTGCCACGTGCGAGAAAGCCCAAAGCAGAAATACATCACTGGCTCCCGCGCCGTCACCGCCCACGCGTCAGTCCTCCCTCGCCCTCCGGCCTTCTGGACTCTCCTGGCGTTGGAGGCGGTGGTGAGCTGTGTGGTATGCAGGGGCCTGAAGCGGGTTGCTCAGCTGGCCCGGTGGGATGCAGACCTGACACGTGCTGCTAGCTCTGGCGGCCTCCTCTAGGAATTCTTTGGGTTTGTGCAGATTTAAAAGACACAAAACTTGTGGGAATATTTGAATGCATTTTCTATTTATATTGAGAAGGAGGTGACTCAGAACTATTTCCTTTTTTATTTCAAATGTGTGGGCCTTCAGAAAACAGATGAGCTAAATCGATTTCTGAGACTAACTGCAAGGACCTAACTGCCACATAAGACACTGAATCTATGGGACTCTTAAGTCAAACTTTAAAAATGAACACATTGGCTGGGTGTGGTGTGGTGGCTCACCCTTGTAATCCCAGCACTCTGAGAGGCTGAGGCAAGAGGATCACTTGAGGCCAGGAGTTTGAGGCCACCCTGAGCAACATGGCAAGGCCTTCTCTACAAAAACTTTTTTTGTTTTTTTAATTAGCTAGGTGTGCTGGCGCATGCCTGTGATCCCAGCTACTCGGGAGGATCACTTGAGCTTGGAGGTTGAGGCTGCAGTGAGCCATGATTGTGCCACTGCACTCCAGCCTGGGTGACAGAGCAAGACCCTTTGAATGAATCAATCGGTTATCAATCTGTACAGCCTTCTGGGTGGATGTCTGTGTCACCTCAGCCCAATCTGGGTGGAGGACTGGACTAGGACACAGCCAAGAGGAATGGAGGCTGGAAGAAGCTAAAGGGGAGAATGGACATCTATGTTTCCAGGTAGCTCTCTGGAGAAAGGTGAAAGCCCCAAAGGATCCCGTAACATGCGAACGCAGCCAAGGTCGGCCCAGAGGCTGAGAGCTTTGAAGAACGCAGCCAGCTGACAAGAAAGGAGGCCAGAGGAGAGGCAGAGCAGAGCGGGGCTGCCACGTCAGCACGTGCTACGGGAGTCTCTCCCCCAAGAGAGGCCGCTGGGGGCTCCAGGGATGGGGCTGCTGGGAAACAAAGGGGCAGCTTTCCACAGGGCTGGATTCTTCTGGAAAGGCAAGTCTCAGGCCACAGCCTAGGAGTCACATGAGGGATCAAGGATCCTGTGCGAGTACAGCTACGTATGTTGGCACCCAACCATGGGGCAGCAACTGTTGTATTTTTTGTAGAGATAGAGTATTGCTAGGTTGCCCCAGCTGGTCTCGAACTCCTGGACTCAAGTGATCCTCCTGCCTCAGACTCCCAAAGTGCTGGGATTAGAGACACGTGCCACTGTGCCCTGCTCAATGACACAAATTCTGTTTGTAGAAGACTGCTTACCTGCCCCATCTAGAACTGAGATGCCTGAGTTAAATTTTCCTCTGCATTTCCCTCTGGCTTCCCTCAGCTCTGGCATCTTGGGGCATTGGTCACTTTCACCCTCCTTTTGCACACTTCTCCCTCCACACGAGGGCTTTGTGGATCTGCCTCCCTGCTCCCGCTTCTCCTCCTTAGCCGAAATCCTGTAACCATAAACTATCACCTGAAAGCTATTCCTTCTAAATAATCTAGAATCACGCGACCAAACCAAAAAGTAAACAAACGGGTGGCCGCCTGTCTCGGTCCTGGGTTTCTTAAAGTCCCCATGGGTATAAATGTAAGGGGAAATTGTAGTTGCAAAGTAAGGCATAAAAACAAGGCCAGGTGTGGTGGCTCACACCTGTAATCTCAGCACTTTGGGAGGCTGAGATGGGTGGATCGCTTGAGCCCAGGAGTTCAAGACCAGCTTGGGCAACACGGTGAGACCTCATCTTTACAAAAAAAATACAAACATTAGCTGGCATGGTGGTGTGCACCTATAGTCCCAGCTACTCCAGAGGCTGAGGTGGGAGGATCACGTGAGCCCAGGAGGTGGAGGCTGCAGTGAGCAGAGGTCGCACTACTGCACTCCAGCCTGGGTGACAGGGCGAGACCCTGTCTCAAAAAACAACATCAAAAAAAGACATAAAGGGAAGTCCGCTAGACCCATGCCGCAGGCTCTCTCCTACAGCTACCGTTTATCCCTTCTGGGGTGAGGGTGTTACATCCGCAAGTACTCCCTGCACAAGAACCTTTCTGCTCAGCATGCAGTACTACACTGTACAAAGCTATGCAGAATGCTGGGCTCTGCCCTGACAAAATTCCAAGATCAAGTTTCACCTTTTTATCCTGACCCGATCCAGCACAGTCTATTCATAATTACCTAGCACAGCAGCTCAGAATGGAAAGCTTCAATTGCCCTGAGCTAATTGAAGGCCAGGGAAAGCAAACATCTGCCCTAAAGTGACAAATGAGGGGGAGAGCTTGGATGATAAATCTCTGTTACTTATTCTGAAATCTACATGAAGGAGCTTGTTTTGTAAATGAAAAATTGGTCTTCACATGAATCTCTGTACACCAAGTCACCTCTCAGGGAAAACATCCAGGAAGATGACCCTCAGGTTCATTTAGCTTGTTTATACATATTATATGAAAGCAAATTTTTCCCTAAAGAGCTCTATTTCGTATGCATTCAATTTTGCAGCTGGTATTGGGATTTAGGATATACTCTCTTTCTTTGCCTCCCCTCCCATCTGTCCCAACAAAATACAAGCCTGAGGTCAGTGCCAGCTCATCAGTGCTTGGCAGTGGCTCCTGCAGGCGGGGGCGGAAGTGGCTGCAAGAAGGCACAGAAGGAAGACACTGCCAGCACCCACAGCTCCAGGGGGCCGCCCCCAGATCTCATTTCAGTGCCAGTCTCTGGAGCCACCCAGAACACAGTCCTCACCCAAGGCCTCTCGAAATTGAGGAGCAACGAACAAATGTGGTACCTCTAAACTTTCCTACAAGGTCTAAAATCTCATACCCAAAACAAATCTGTGCTACCAAATTTATTTTGAGATGTTTATGTCTTCTTGATTCCAAATGCCATGCTAGTGCAGAAGGATAAATAAAGGCCATTTCACTTACTAGTGTGTAAACTAAAATTCTAAATAAAATTTTAGGACACACAATGTACCAATATGGAAAGATTATTCACCACAATCAAGAAAGACTAACTCAAGGAAGGTCAGCCTGGTATTTATCCATTCAGCCACCAATCCATCTGTTTATACATCCACCTACCCATCCTTCTATCTTCCCATTCACTCATCCATCCACCTTCCCATGCCTCCATCCATCCATGCACCCATGTATCCATCCATCCACTTGCCCTCCCCTCTATCCATCCATCTATCCACCCACTCACCCTCCCTTTCATCCATCCATCTACTTATCCATCCATCCTCCCACCCACCCACTTACTTTTCCATTCGTCCATCCAACCACTTACCCTCCCATCCATCCATCCATACACCTCTGCATCCATCCACACACCCATCTATCCATCCATCCACTTACTCTTCCATTCATCCATCTATCCATCCATGCATCCCTACATCTCATCCATGTATCCATCCATGCATCCATCCATCCATCTATCCACTTACCCTTCCATCCATCCAACTATTCATCCACCCACCCTCCCCACCCTCCAACTATCTACCTGAGGACTGGTCCATCCATCTGTCTACTCAACCACCCATCTGTCCATCCACCAGTCCCTCCATCCATCCAACCATTTATTGAGCATGTAATCTGTGCAGGAATTATGTCAGGTACGGGGTACTGAGAAATGAAAAAGTAAAATCCCATCTTCCAGGAGCCAACGGTCCAGCCCAGCAGACAGCAAGGAATAGTGAAGGTGTACAAATACATCCGTGATGTGAGTTTAAGAGTCACTGTCCCCCTGCCAAACCATCCCAGTTTGAAGAGGTTAGCACATTCATGGGGCAGTGGATGTCCACTTTCAAGGTAAACTCTTAAAGATGGATTGACTGAACCAGAAGGTGTGCAGAGCTGTCAGCCTTCAGTTGCATGGTGCCAAGGAACCCTCCAGACAGGTTTCTCAAAAAGCCCTCCAGTCAGGTTTTGCCAAATGCCCCTCTTCTGTGCCACCCACAGGGTGACAGCTCCCTCTTCCCTTCATCTTAAAGGCTTTCACATCTGTCATGAACGTAAAGCCTGATCAGCTCAAGGGTAGGATGACACTTCCTGAGAGAGCTGACAGCAGGTAGAAGTGGTTACTATAAAGGTAGAATGGAGAAGCAGGGACATTTCTCCCAGTGTTAGGGACTGAACTGTGCCCCACAAAATCAATGTGCTGAAGCCATAACTCTTAGTATCTCAGAATGTGACTGTATTGGAAGACAGGGCCTTAGAAGAAGTAATTAAGGTAAAATTAGGTAATTAGGGCCATTGGGGAGGGCTCTGATCCAATAGGACTGGGGTCCTTATAAGAAGAAATGATACAAAAATGCGCAGAGGGACGACCTTGTGAGGACACAGGGAGAAGACGGCATCTACAAGCCTAGGAGAGAGGCCCCAGGAGGAACCAGCCCTGCTCACACCTTGCTCTGGAACTTCCAGCCTCTAGGACTGTGGGAGAATCCACTTCTGTTGTTTGAGTCCCCCAGTCTTGGGGAGTTTGTTATGGCCACACTAGGAAACAGACCCAGCATTCAAGGGGCCCCAAGTCAGCAGGAGAGAGCATTTCCCCAAAGCAGGCTCCAGCTGGCTATGATGCCTGAGCTTGTGGGTCTGAGGTGAAGCCTCTGATGGCAGTGGGGGTGGGGGCTGGGGTGCGGTGGGCTGTTCAGGACAGAAGAGCTGGAGGGAAGCAAACGTGCTGGGTCTGCTCCCTCAGGTTCAGTTCTATTTTAGCTCAAACGCCACCTGTTTCTCCCATAACCCAGCCAGAAGTCACTTTGCTCTATCTCCTCTGAGCTTCTGAAACATCATGTAACTTAAAAAAAAAGTATCATCACTTCAATCTGCCCTACTTGTCTTTATATTAACAGGATCTTGAACTTCACAAAAAATGTTATCTCTATTTGGTTCACATGAGCAACAACAACAAAAAACAATTCCGATCTCAACATTCTTTTGTTATCCAAACAGAATACAATACATACTTTTTGCTACGCATCGATTATCAGAGCAGCACTTCATATGATTTACACAGACATGTTTACGTTATTTGAAACTTATGCAAAACACTGGGTATCTTCAAACCTTTGTATTCTAGATTTTCTTTTTGGTGGGCAAAGAACAATCCCTTGCCTGAACTTTGACTTCTATTATTCTCCATTGAAATTTTTCAAGTGTATTCTTTCTTGCTGGTCCTTCAGAAATTAAAGAGTCTCTGAAAAAAGTTGAAAACAACTTTTCAACCTACATATTCTCGAATTTCATCGCGCCTCACCACTCAAAAAAAAAACCGCACCCAACAATTCTGAAAATTGCTGGGTTGGTAGCTCAAAAGCAGAGAGTTTCTGGAACTAATTTCTTTGGAGTGGTTATGCAGTCTGCTGGGAGACATGGCCTTGATGAATGAAGCAGGGGGCCCCGCTTCCTCTCGACCCTTTCAGTATCGACAGTGCCATTCACTCACTCACACACAGCCTGCACGTGACAGCTGTTCAGGGCGACCCCCTCCATGCACAGCAGAGCTATACACTCTCACCAGCACGGGTGCCCTCTGCACAGATGATACACTGGTGGCATCGGGCAAAGCAAGGCCCGCATGTGCAGAGCCCATCGAGCACTGCCCACGATGCACTGCACGGCCAGCCTCAACGGCCTGGGAGCTGGCTTGGAAAACAGACTGCAGCTGGTGCTCGGCACGTGACCTACTTGGAATCCACAGTCATAAAGCTCTAATTGTGCTTCTCAGACACAGCTAAATTCTGTAGGTGGATTATTCGTCGGCCTTTCTGACCCACGCATTCTTGGTTTCAGCCTCAGAGTCTGTTAAGTAACTGCAGAGACTTCCTACACAAGCACACACACAATATCAATCCTGTCGTTGCAGAGTCACATAAATATTTGATCCCCTTGTAGAAGGATAACAGCTCTGTTTAAGGCCAAATGAAATAAAACCCCATTACATGAGGCTCTTGAAAGCAAACTTTTAAATTGGTAATTTCTGCAACAGAACCTTGAGTTTTGAGGTCAGTGTTTAATGTGAATGTCATGGCAATCACACAACATTCTCAAGGCGACAGAAAAATCCACACCCGGGGACCCTGTCGTGCATTTACTCCCATCCCTCCATCCGCCTTTTTGAAACAAGATTGCACCACATCTTCTGTAGAGACGCACACTCTCTGCCTGCCCTCCTCGTGTGATGAAGGGGAAGATTATACTATTTTTTTTTTTTTGAGACAGGGTCTCGCTCTGTTGCCCAGGCTGGAGTGCAGTGGCGCAATCCCCATTCACTGCAACATCCACTTCCCAGGTTCAAGCGATTCTCGTGCTTGAACGAGTAGCTCAGCCTCCAGGGTAGCTGGGACTACAGGCATCTGCCACCACACCTGGCTAATTTTTTTTTTTCTATTTTTAGTAGAGATGGGATCTCACCATGTTGCCCAGGCTGGTCTTGAACTCCTGGGCTCAAGCGATTCACCTGCCTCAGCCTCCCAAAGTGCTGGGAATACAGGTGTGAACCACCACACCCAGCACAGATTATACTATGTATTTAATCTAACCCTGTCCTTGTCTCAACTAAGCGGCTACGGCGCACATTCTGGAATTATGGCACAAAACGCTCTAATCTCCTGCTGCTGCCACAGTTCCTGCAGATGCTTGAAGCCTCTCTTTGGGAGGTGACTAACTCGATTTCTATTTTAAAGCTCAAAATTAACTCATTAACTAGGTCCAATTTAGGAAGGCCTGCCCTGTTCCTTTCTTACTAACAATCCTTAGAGGCAACTCTGATTTCCAGGCCGCGGCTAGGCACACAGCTGTGTGCTAGATAGCTAAAGCTGCCCTTCCATAAGGCGCTCTGTGCAAAGCGTGCAGCTCCAGTATGTTCAACTGGACTTCTCATTATGTCTCCATAAGCAGTCTCACCGTGCGGAAAACACAGTAGCCATTTTAAGAACCAAAAAATGTCACCGCCGTGTAAGAAGGCCTCCCCGCCCTGGGATGTGTCTCCAGGCAGGGCTGCAGGGTGCACAGGCTCTGCCCAGACCTCCAGTACGTCAGGGATGCTAGAAATCACGCCGGATTTCAGCCGCTTTGGGTTTGGCAAAAGCCAGACATCTAGCCATGTTAACCAAGCACCCACCCATCGTACAGAAGCCCACCCTCAGACGCCTCTTCAGTAACTCTGAATCCAAATTTCACCCACCTCGGCGTGGACTGTCCCTCCTCGGCCCGGACTGCGGAGGGAAGCTCTTCTCTGGGCTCGCCGGGGTCCCCTGCCTGCCTTCGCAGTTCGACAGAAGCTTCCTGCAAAGGGCAACATAATGAGACACCAAGTCCTCAAGCTGCCTTCCTCAGGACATCTGTGATTATGAAAGCCCTCATTTGTGGGTTTGCCTTGCCAGGGCAGTTCTACAAAGCATTTCATTGAGATGACTGAAATAAGACCCCACGTCCACTTCTGTTCTGGGCAGGAAACAACTCCTACGTGAAGCCTGTAAAACCGTGTGGCACAATTGGCCAAAAGAAATAAAATAAAATACAGCTGGTCACAAATTACAGCGGTGAAGCCTCAAGCTCTAGTACTCGTCAGAGCCTGGGATTCTTTGCTCCTGACAGAGCAAGCATGGAATTCTCAGAGGTCATGCTGAATAGCCACAAGCCAGGGTATCCAACAGTGGAAATAAACACTCACAGCATCTGTGTGGATTTTCAGGGCTGGGACGCCACAGAGCAAACCAGCAGCCTTCTTTCCATGCACTTATTAGGTATCTTGTATTAAATTACTAGTGGTTCTTTTTTTTTTTTTTTTTTTTGAGACAGGGTCTTGCTCTTTTGCCCAGGCTGGAGTATAGTGGTGAGAACACAGTTCGCCACAACCTGAACCTCCTTGGGCACCGCCACACCTGTCTTAAGTTTTTTTTTTCTTTTTTTTTTTTTTGTAGAGATAAGGTCTTGCTTTGTTGCCCAGACTGGTCTGGAACTCCTGGCCTCAAGTGATCATCCTTCCTCGGTCTTCCAAAGTACTAGAACTGCAAATGCACCACCGCACCCACCCTGGATTCTTTTAAAAAGAAACTGCATCTATCATTGTGGAACATTTTTTTCTTTGAGATGTGCAAGTGCAGATGTAATAGGGAGAAAAAGCTTTCAAAGGGGGTAGGTGCAAGAGAGAAAGAGACTGTTCACTTTGAAGCAGGGCTAAGAAATATGCAGTTTTCTAGAAAGCTGGACATTAACTCTCACCATCAAAACTCTCACCTTAATAAAGTGCAATCACTTAATGTGTTTTAAATACATTTTGTCCCAGAGCAATCCTTGAAAATACTTGCAAATAAAAAACAGAATACTAAAAAAACCCAAATACTATAAATATTAAAGGTCATCCATCAGTGTTTGAAAAGTGGCTACTGTATGTCATTTTAAGCTTTTACATAAACCACACATTTCCATGTCAGAGGCGTTAGTTATCATTTTCCATAGTTTCTCCCTCCAAGTTCTTTGCTGAGTATGAAGGTAGGAGCAAGCTACTTAAGGGGAAACTCAGTTAAAGCCAGAGATTATGGCAACGAGAACGAGAATGAAAAATGTGGGTTTTCGGGAATATGGCAGTTTAAATTGCCTTGAAGGTGTCAACTTTGTCCCCAAATACCTCTAACAGAGGACACTAGGAGATCTGGAAAAGGTAAATGCTCGCACAGCTGGAGCTGAGTAGCCCTGGCGTCAGCCACTGCATTCTGGGTGTGTCCTGTCCTTGGGTTAAGATGATGGTCAAGGGGGCTGTGGCTCCATGCTTACCTGCTTGTAGTGGTCTGTGGACGGTGAAGACCGGGACCTCCCATGAACGTGCTGCGGCCTCTCCTGTGGGTCCAGGCTCACATCCAGGATGTCATCCGCTGAGTGGCAGCGCCCAGAGCTCCTGGCCTCCAGAGGTTTCCTCTGTTCCTTCCAAGAGGCCTGATACTCTGCAAAGGTGCCGAGCCTCCGCGGCAGGTCTGAAGTCCCTGCCTTCTCCGCTGCGCTGTGAGCGTTGAGGCTGTCCCCAAGGGAGGTGGTGCGCGACCAGGGCTCCGTGCCCTCACATGTGCGGCCCGCTGTCCGCGGCCTCTCTGGCTTGTCTCTCGGGATTCCGTGAAGAGCTTGCTTCTGGGCAGGCCTCTGGGGAACAGGTTTGCTCGTTTCCTCAAAAAACTTCCACCTGTCAGCAAACGTGCCCACAGTATCCTCAGATGTCCTGGGGTGCTGGTGAGGACTGTAGCCCCTCGTGAGGCCCACCTCGTTCATCTTCTCAGGTTCCGAGTAGGACTTCAATTTCTGCTCAGCTGTGAACCGTCTCCGGCCTCCGATGCGGGGCGGGTGGGGCCCGCCACTTGTAGATGAGGGTGGCTGGGCCAGGCCTGCCTCCCAGAAGTGGGGGACAGTGTCTGGATCCCCCATCCGGTGTTCCAGTGACTCCGGGTATAGGTCTCCTGGGTTGGGGTCCAAGTCGCGGCGCTTGAAGGACGTGGCCCTCAGGACCCGGGCTTGGGCCTCTTTCAGGTGGTCTTTATAGGTGCCAGCGAGGGGTCCTTCCTGGGTGCCACCTCCCAACCCGGCCCTCCAGCGGCCGGTGCCATCCTCCGCCTCCCCTGCTGCAGTCAGAGCCACTGTGCTCCGGCTCTTCTGCAGCTTGGCTCTATGCATCTGGATCTCATTCCGCAGGGTGGTGGCAAAGCGGTCGCTTCTTCGGGTGGGCTTGCCCACGTGGGCGTCGAACGGTGGCGGTCTGGTGGCGCTGTCCTCTGGACTGCTCTCAGGCCGGCGCTTCCCCTCCTGGGTCAGGGAGTGCAACAGGGGCGTCTCCTGCGGGCAGATCCTGCTGCTCTCCCCATCTGCCCACGTGATGCTGGCTGCCAGCCTCTGGCTGGCTTTTTCTGCACGGCTGGCCCTGGGAGGCTCCTGGGCTCCCGCGGAGCAGCCCTCGGCCCCTTTGTCCAGCGGGTAACACCGTCCTGTCTCGCGGGCATCCGGAGGACCCTCAGGCTGAGGTAGGTGATGGCGTGGGCTCTGGCCCACCGTGGGTGGGGGAAGACTCTCGAGGGCTCCAAGGGCTGTGTCAGAAGGCCAGCATCCCGCCCAGAGCTGTGCTGCTTGCAGGTCTCCCTGCACACAGGGCCGGGGACCCTGCCAGCCGCTCCCCAGCTTCTGGTCACAGCTGCTGAGCCCCCTCACCTGAGGAGGGCTGTCGTTCTGGAAGCTGGCAGCCCCTGGCTCCTGCCCAAGGCTGTCAGCACAGAGGGGGCTGTGGTCGCTGTATAGGGGAGGGTGTCGGCCGCTATGAGGAGACTGAGGGAAGCGCACATCTGAGCTGGACAGAGAGGCCTGCAGCCTACTGGAAGCTCCATCCTTGGAGGGCGGCCAGCTGCCGTCTGCGTGGGCCTCCTGTGGGCAGCCCGGGCCTCCCGATCCCTTCCCGAGGCTCCCCGGGTGTGCTGACCTCCAAGGCCGATCGGTGAGCTCTGGTCTCCGGTCACCACGAGGCTGAGCCTGGGCCAGGGCCGTAAAGTGCTGTGCCGCAGCCGCCTCTGAGAACACAGGGCCCTGGGCCTTCTCGTGGCTCTTGGTGGCAGCAAAGCTGTCACTGCGGAGAGGGGGAGGGGGAGGAGGTGGGGATGATGGTGCTTTCTTCTTATCGGGAACATACCAGACTGGCCCAAAATTGGACCTCCCAGGGGCAGCCAGCTTGGGCTCGGCATTGTACTCTGGCCTGGGGCCTTTGCCGCTGTCACCGGGGACCCTGGGCGGGAAACAACTGAGCTTCTCCTCCGAGCCCTGAGGGTCGCCTGCGGCCTGGGCCTGCCGGCCACCCTGCCTGGGAGCCTCCCAGAGGCCCACAGTGTAGAGGATGTTCTCTGCGGAGGACGTGTCGGCTTTGGACAAGGTGTGGTCAGGAGTGCTAGAGCTGGTGGAGAAGGAGCCGTAGGCCGAGTCGCGCTTGCTGTGGCTGCCCAGGTGGTCGATGCTGCTGTTGGACTTGGCCACCGAGAGGCGACTGGAGGGGTGGTCCAGGCTGTCAACGCTCCCCAAGGAGCTGAAGTGATCTAAGGTGCGCTGTAGGTTCGTCTGCTCCCAGGAACTGGACAGGTCGTGGGAGGAAGAACTGCAAGAATGAGAAGAAGGACAAGGCATGGTGTGCTTTAGCAACAGCAATGGCAAAGGGCAAGGCGGTGGACGCAGCTGACCCTCTGTGGAAATACCAAAATGCCAAACAGTAATTTCCCACGGTGATGTTGCTGAGGCTGAGGTTGCAGCTCAGCACATCTGGATTTTAGTAGAGACACGGAGAAACTGGGCACAGGCTGAAAAGACTGTGTCCTCCCTGTTACATGGCTTTTACCAAACAGATGCCTTGCAACCCTAGCGCACATTCTCAGCCTGATGCCCGGATCGTTGGCAGGCAACGTCTGCATTTACACGTCTATGGTCAATCAACAGTTAAGCGCAGGGGTGGCCACACCACAACTCAGGTTGTTGTTGTTGTTGATTTTGGTTTTTTTTTTTTTTTTGAGACAGTCTCACTCTGTCGCCTAGGCTGGAGTGCAGACGCGTGATCTCAGCTCACTGCAACCTTCGCCTCCTGGGTTCAAGCGATTCTCCTGCCTCAGCCTCCCGAGTAGCTGGGATTATAGGTGCCTGCCACTGTGCCCGGCTAATTTTGTTGTATTTTTAGTAGAGACGGGGTTTCACCATGTTGGCCAGGCTGGTCTCGAATTCCTGACCTCAAGTGATCTGCCTGCCTCGGCCTCCCAAAGTGCTGGGATTACAGATATGAGCCACCGCACCCAGCCCAAATGGTTTTTATATGTTTTATGGTGGGAGAAGAGGCATACTATTTCTCCTATTTCACCTGTGAAAATGATATGAAATTCAAATTTCAGTTCATACATGAAGCTTTACTGGAACCCAACTGTGCCCATGTGTCTGCGTAGTGTCTGTGGCTGCTCTTGGGCTATAATGAAAGAGCTGAGTAACTGCAACAGAGATGTGCGGCCTGCAAAGCCAAAAGCATTTACTAGCTAGCCTGTTACAGACCAGGTTTGGTGGCTCACACCTGAAATCCCAGTGCTTTGAGACGCTAAGGCAGGAGGATCACTTGAGGCTGGAGGATCACTTGAGGCCAGGAGTTTGAGACCAGCCTTACTTAGCAATATAGTGAGACCCCCATCTCTATAAAAACTTTTTAAAAAATTAGCTGGATGTGGTGGTGCATGCCTGTAGTCCCAGCTACTTGGGAGGCTGAGGTGGGAAGATGGCTTGAGCCTGGGAGGTTGAGGCTGCAGTGAGCTGTGACTGCGCCACTGCACTCCAGCCTGGGCAATGGAGTAAAACCCTGTTTCAAAGATAATAATAATAATAATAATATCACACACTGCTGTGTTCAGCTTTCAGCTAACTGGTTATACCCTACAGAGTTATTGACACTCACACCAAAAAACACAGGCTCCTAAACAGGATGGTGTCTAAGAGGATGAAATTGACGGTGAGTTGACACATTGATTCCTCTGTAAGGTAATAACTGTGTGTGACTGAGAGCTCTCAATGGTGAAACTATTTATCCAGGATGTTAAGTGCTTTCTTTAAAGCTCAACAAAGCTGAGATGTTCACCCTTCAACAGGAAGAAGCTGTGGCTCCACTAGGTTGGGGGAGAGTGAGGATGAGAGAACCGTGTGACCAGGACAGAACACTGGAGAACAACTGGCTGTCATCTATGGGAGGGAGAGGACTGTTTGGGTTTCCCACCCATCTTCTGTAAGAACAGACCACGTATCCTCAAACCCGGGGCATGCTCCTGACTACCCACCAGTATTCTGGAAGGGACTTTTCTGTGAGATCCCAAGTCCAAGCAGATCTAGAGAACTCTGAGCACTGTTTCCACACAGATGTGGGCAGTGTGCATGTTTCTTTCATCAAGAGACTGCCAAATGGGCTTAATGGAGATCTCATCACCTTAAGTCACTTCAGGAATAAAATAAAAGGCCCACTGTTCACTTAAGTGTTACTACTCAGTTGAGAATCTGTGGCTTTTTGTTTTTTTGTGTTTTTTTTTTCCCCAAAAAATACACTGGGCTCTAAATACCATCATCTTTTGTCACTTTAGGGGTAATGTTATATTTCAGTTGTCTTTCCTTCGTGTCATATAAATCTTTACCTTGCAATTTTACAGACCAGTATTTTTTTTTCTTTTCTTTTTTTTTTTTTTTTAAGAGACGAGGTCTTGCTCTGTTGCCCAGACTGGAGTGCGGTGCTGCAATCATAGCTCACTGCAGCCTCGAACTCCTGGGCTTCAGTGATCCTACTGCCTCAGTCTCCTGAGTAGCTGGGACTACAGGTGTGCACACAATGCCCAGCTAATTTTCTTTTATTTTTAATAGAGATGGGGTCTTGCTGTGTTGTCCCGGGTGGTCTTGAACTCAAACAATCTTCCCACCTTAGCTTCCCAAAGTGTTGGGATTACAGACATGAACCATTGCGCCCAGCCAAGACCAGCATTTATTAACAGCCAAAAACTGAGTGGTTACATTAGCTCCAAACACAGACACATACCTGCGTGTGCACGCACGCGCACACACACACACACACACACACACCAAACATGCTCACTGATACTCACACACTCACATACACATATACATGTGCACACACATGCACATACAAGCAAAGAGATGCACAGGCACACATACAGGCACACACGAACAGACACATGAACACTCATACACATACAAAGACACACACACACAAACGTGTAGAAATACACATGCACACTCACACCCCCCCACACACTCACACCCGTAAACATACACAGATACACACACACACTCACGCAAGCAGGGAGACATCCACACACGCACACCAAAAGCAGACTATCTGCTGTTACCGCCATCCTCTTAACAGGAGACTAGTGAGGATACTGCCACTAACTCCAAGAGGGTTGAGGAGAGGCTACCAAAGCTTAAAGAACCTCTTGGGAGCTTTTACAAGATATACCTGCCACCCCATATATATCTCCTGCCTTCCAGTCCATGTGTAAAACCCTGGAAAGGAGAGGGGTGCCGTGGATGCCACCCCACCGGCTCAGAACCCTACTGCCTGGCATCCCACCTGGCCAATCCCAAAGAAGCTTGGCTGAAACCCAAGTCCTATGCTCCCCTTCTTGCTCATGCCTTGTCTTGCCATTTCATTTTGTGTCACACGCTTGCCGGTTCAGTCAAAAATTCAGAGCCCTCCAACTGTGATTATGTGTCGGTGGCCCAGTCTCATCAGAAACATCAAAATCATTCTGCAGTCAGGAGTGCGCTCCCTGCAGAAGGCTGAACAAACCTGGCATCCTGGACGGGAATGGGTGCCTACCTCGCGTGGTGTCGGCCGGACCAGGAAGGACAGCCGCTGGTGGAGGTGAATGGGGAGGCCGCTAGCTCGGGGTGGCTGTCAGAGAACTTGGTGGCATGCCAGGAGTGAGGCCTCCAGCCCAGCTCGCTCCTCCTAGAAAAGAACGCAGGGGAGGCGGGGGGTCAGGGACTGCACACAGCGCTCACTCTCGTGCCAAACAGTGCAGGGGGCTTGGGGACCGCACACAGGGCACACGCTCGTGCCAAACAGTGCAGGGGGCTTGAGGACCGCACACAGCGCACGTGCGCTTGTGCCAAACAGTGCAGGGGGCTCGGGACTGCACACAGCACATGCGCGTGTGCCAAACGAACAGTGCAGGGGACTTGGAGACCACACACAGCACGTGCACTCTCGTGCCAAACAGTGCAGGGGGCTCGAGGACCGCACGCAGCGCACGCGTGCTCGTGCCAAACAGTGCAGGGGGCTTGGGGACCGCAAGCAGCGCGTGCGCGCTCGAGCCAAACAGTGCAGGGGGTTCAGGGAATGCGCACAGCGCGCACGCTTGTGCCAAACAGTGCAGAGACTGACACTGATCACAGCAACTCAGGCAGGTGCACGGCACCATGTTCAGGGGTTGCCAGCTGAATCCAAACCCACACCTTCTTTTTAGATTTTTGTTCACCACCCATTTGCCCTAACGCAGAGTGGGAATCACAGGCTCTAGATGTGCAGCAGCCCTTATCTTTATTTTTATTTTATTTTTGAGACAGAGTCTCACTTTGTTGCCCAGGCTGGAGTGCAATGGCATGATCTTGGCTCACTGCAACCTGGGCCTCCCAGGTTCAAGCGATTCTCCTGCCTTAGCCTCCCAAGTAGCTGGGATTACAGGCGCTCACCACCACGCCCAGCTAATTTCTGTATTTTTAGCAGAGACCAGGTTTTACCATGTTGGCCAGGCTGGTCTTGAACTCCTGACCTCAAGTGATCCACTCACCTTGGCCTCCCAAAGTACTGGGATTACAGGTGTGAGCCACCACACTCAGCCAGCCCTTATCTCTAAAATGTGTTCCTCCATAAATATGGACAACTGTTAACTTGTCAATTTAAAATCTTACAAATGTAAAAATAAATAAAGAACATTTATTCTAAATAAATAAGTAAGCAAATGTTGCCCTCTCCCTGCCCCAGTATGAACACAAACAGCATCTCCTATCTTTTGCTGGAGAAAAGGTATATGGGTCCCTCAGGCGGCTGGGTCACACACAGTTCAGACAGCTTATCTGTGTCTATTTACCTAGGTAACAAAGTAAAGACAGCCACCTTCTGGTTAACTAAGACTAGTAGCCGCATCTTCCCCTGAGCCTCTTAGTCAACCAAAGATCCCCCCAGGGAGTCATGACAACCCACACCAAAAGGCTAAAGTCCCTTCAGCCAGGGCTCCTGAATATGGACGAGCTTTCCTGGGCTCCCCCGCCACAGTCCCCACCATCCCATGTGTGGCTTCTTAGTGTCTTGGCCACATCTGCCCAGATGTGATGAGGTGTGTCTGGTTAGAAATCCCAATGGATGTCGGTAATGCAATAGGGCCTCCAGGGGAACACTGCTGGGCGTGAGATCCTCCTCCCGAGCTCACTTCTCCAGCCTCATGGTAGGAAGCCAGCTTTACATTTCTCTAATTTGGGACAGAACTGACAGCTGATAACCCAATCAAGAATGGAGAACGAGCTCAAGCGGGCCTCTTTAAATACTTTGTGGAGATCAGATGTTTTTCCCAGCAGGCAAAAACATTAAAGAACATTATGCAATAAAGAACATTTTACAAAATAAAACTGAAAAGCATGTATAACACAAACCTTTCGATGACTCAGATCATTTTAACGAGGAAAAGTATACGGGTGGCAAAATGTGGAACATGCTGACTTTATGACAGTTTCCCAGGAACCAAAGAGAAAGTATAAAAGACAAATTCAGCACCCCATGGAAGGAAAGCAATTGTAAAACCCAGACTGTACCTCATGGAATTTCTCAAAATCCTCGTAAGGAAGGTTCTGGCCATGTGAATTTCATTTTCAGCTGGCTTTCTCTGTGCTATGACATCCACAACTTCTTTCATCTTCCTTTATAGTTAATTAATGAAGAAAATAAACTAGACTGACTGAAACTGGAGGAAAGGGGAGAAAAAGAGAAGGCTAGGAAAAGAAAACGTCTGACACTCAAGACGACGCTAGTTCAGCCCTGCTTCGGGAATAACTGGGCTACTAGCTGGTTTAGAGGGTCAGCAGTTCTCCATGGGTACAATAAAAGTTCTCCCAGATAAACTATCATTAGCAAGCACATATAAGAATATTAGCAACAGATTTTGTTCTCACAAAGTATGCATGCAAATGGCCGGGTGCTGTGGCTCACACCTGTAATCCCAGCACTTTGAGAGACTGCCGTGGGAGGATTGCTTTCGGCCAGGAGTTTGAGATCAGCCTGGGTAGCATAGCAAGACCCCATCTCAGCACAAAATTTAAAAATCAGCCGGGCGTGGTGGCGCGCATCTGTGGTTGCAGCTACTAGGGAGAATGAGGTGGGAGGATGATTTGAGCCCAGGAGGTTGAGGCTGTAGTGAGCCGTGTTTGCGCTACTGCACTCCAGCCTGGGGGACAGAGCAAGACCCTGTCTTTTAAAAAATATATACGTGTGACAGATTATGAGGAATCCAGTGACCGTGCCATGCCATGGCATGAGGAAGCCCAAGTGAGCCACGTGGATAAGGCCGTATGGAAAGCGACACCAGGCAGCCCCAGCTGTCGCCCAACCTCCTGGCCCCACGCACCAGACACAGGAGAGAAGGAAGTCATTTGCACGTATGGCCCCTGCAGAGGCAACGTGGAAAAAGACTGAGGAACCCAGCCAGCAGCCAGAACCAAGGCCCAAAGCTTCTGGGCATCTGCTGCTGCTCAAGCCAGCCCCGCGGAAGGCCCCTGTCATGGGGGAAGGGAGAGAGTGAGTCGCAGCTGTGCCCTGCCTCTATTCCTAGCTTTGGCCCTGGACAGATGGACATCAATCCCGGGTGTAGCCACTGACGAGTCAAGAGGGAGGAGGGAAGTCACTTATCCTTATTCATAAGTGGTTAATTTATTCAAAGTGACAAAATCCAAAGTTCAGTTCCTTGGTCATTCTGGCCACATTGCGAGTGCTCAATGGCCACATGTGGGTAGTGGCTACTGCCTGGGCAGCACAGATATGGAACATCTGCAGCCCTGCAGCTGGAGCACTGCCTTAGAGATGTAGTAACCCCATCTCAGCTGCATGGCAGGAATGCTGCTACGCCCCTGCGACTGTCTGCTGCCTGCAACCCTAGCACAGTGACTGTTTACACCGCCTCCCTCCCCAACCCTTCTATCATGTGCAGATAACTACCTTTTAGAGATTTTCTAGAGCATATTTTTAAATCTTGAAATAGCCAGCCCTAACACATAGCATGCTTCTGAGTACCTCCGTATAGGCCAATTGCTTTGTGCTCAATTTTACAACTAGAACTTCTGTTTGACACCACTAATTTTGGGGCCACTTTTCATGCAGCAAAGATGATCAAAATGGAGAGTAATCATCTTAAATCTGCTTTTAAAAACATAATAATTTTAATTTTTTATTTTTTGTAGAGATGAGGTCTTGCTATGTTGCCCAGGCTGGTCTCAAACTCCTGGCCTCAAGCAACTCTCCTGCCTCAGCCTCCGAAAGCACTGAGATTACAGGCATGCGCCACCATGCTCGGCCTTAAATCTGCTTCTGAAAATATCCAGGAAGTATCTTCCTCCCCATGTACACAAAGCTTCAGTTTGCAGAACTGTTTCAAATAAAATGAATCATCCCCATGCACCGATTCCTTAAATCCAAGTATGAAGAGAAATTAGCCCTTTAGCTTGGTCAGTTACATCGGGGAGACAGCAGCTTGCTGGTAACATTAACCTAAACCAGCAGTTAGCCAAAAAACCCAAAATACATCTCAACCTTCCACTGGCCTCAGGCTAAAATAAGAATTAATTCAGTGTTGCAAATGAATAAGGCAGTGACCACAGAAGCCTTCTAGCAGCTGAGAAGGCTAAACAATCCCGTTCCTGGACCAAAATCATTCTGTTGAAATCGGAACATTATGTTTTAAAACAAAATTGTAATAATAATATCATTTCAGATTTACTTTTACCTTAGAAGTTTATTCTATAATGATGATACTCAGCTTATATCTAATACAGACTTTAACAGCTGGCCATTTAGTCAAAACGTATACTGTTCCATGGGTGGAAGAATGGACAAACAAAATGTGGTCTATTCCATACAATGGAATATTACTTGTCAATGAAAAGGAAATTTTGACATATGCTACAACATGGAAGAACCTTGGGGATGGTATGCTACGTGACATTAGACAGTTACAAAAGGACAAATGCTGTATGATTCAACTTATATGAGGTACCTGATTTGTCAAAATCATGAATGCAGAAAGTAGAATGGTGGTTGCCAGGGGGTGGGGGAGGGGAGACTGAGAAGTTGCTGTTTAATGCATATAGAGCCTCTGTTTTGCAAGATGAAACAAGTTTCTGGAGATTGGTTGTATGATGTGAATACACTTAATGCTACTGAACATTACAATGGTTAGGATGGTAAATTTTATGTGTATTTTACCATAATTATCAACAACAACAAAAACCCAAAGTGTATATTGTGCATCTCCCATAGCTATGGGACATCCCTGTGGATGTGTCCATCGGCGGGGACAAAAAGATACAGGGTTGAGGTCAAAATGCAGGCCAGGGAAAGAGGAAGATAGGACAGTCCGAACAGGGGCGTCACAGCCAGAGAGGCTGATGGCATGGAAGAGGGCTCCCCATGGACGGGAATGCATGTGCAGAAGGCATCTTGGGTGGGAGTTGTCGGAGGCAGGCAGGGAACCTGCCTGGAAGTGAGACTTCCATGCCTTCAGAAAATGCATCTCACCTGGTTTATTCCTGCACAAGCACACACTCTTTCCAAACTGTCTGAAGAGAATGAGCAATGCTGTATGAGGCAATGAAAAAATGAAAACAAACCCAGAAGCTGCTTTTTAAAAAGATAATATACAGATATATGTGTTCTTACATATGACACGGTCAGCAGTTCTTATACGAATTGTGGCTTTTTTTTTTTTTTTTTTGACAGGCTCTCCCTCTGCCACCCAGGCTGGAGTACAGTGACGCAATCATGGCTCACTGCAGCCTCGACCTCCTGGGCTCAAGTGATCCTCCCGCCTCAGCCTCTTGAGTAGCTGGGACCACAGACACACACCACCACGCCAAGCTAACTTTTTGTATAATGAGAGATGGGGTATCGTTATGTTGCCCAGGCTGGTCTCACACTCCTGGGCTCAAGAAATCTGCCTGCCTCGGTCTTTCAAAGTGCTGGGATTACAGGCGTGAGCCCCTGTACCTGGCCTAGGGATAATTTTTTAAATAAGCAAATGAAGACACACAGTGAAAAGAGTTGCACTCTTTCTGCTTTAACTGAAGATATCTTGGTTACTGTGGACAGTGAAAATTTACTAATATATATGCTTTTTTTCTCAAGTCTTCTGAATTTCCTGGTGCATAATGAATGTATTTGGGGATCAAGCCGGGGTCAGAGTGGTTTCTGTTTGTTGGCACCTCTGAAATGGCTGGATTGGTGTTGATAAGGAGATGGTGGGGAGGACCTTCAGCCCCTACATGCTGGTCGCTCAATCACAGACCCGTGGAGTTGGGGACAGAGTGCTCTGGCGCCACCTAGAGCCCGCCTACACTCCCGGTCCCTCTGGCTGAGTTTCAAGGGCTCCCAGAAGGACTTGAGTAGACTGAAGGCTGTGGTGTTTCCTCCTGCACAAGCCACGCACTCTTTAAACACTTTAAACCACCTTGTCCCTAGAACCGTGGGTCTCATGTGCAGGACAGACATGTTTCTGTGTATTCCCTTTCATCCTGCAGACTTGACGAGTGCCTTTCTTTCCCCAGTCTGCCTGGTTTTGTGATCATTCTCCCAAGCCATTATCATTTAAAAATTTTATTTATTTAATTCAAAAATTTTTTAAAGAGATGAAGTCTCATCATGTCACCCAGGCTGGTCTTGAACTCCTGGGCTCAAGCAATCCTCCCACCTCGGCCTCCCAAAGTGCTGGGATTACAGGCATGAGCCACCACACCCAGCCCAGGCCATTATCATTCTTCCAAAACATAATGTTTAGCCAATGCATACTATTCCTTTCATATAACAAAACACCATGGTATCGACAATATCGAGTTTTCTGGTACTCCAGATGGAATGATTCATTCTAATGGTGGGTTCCCCTGAAATCCCTTCCCCATGGATTGTATACCAAACTTCATTGAAACTTACTTCAATTTTTTAGAGTAATTTTATATGCTAGGTAGTGTTTGGGTTTTTTTTTTTTTTTTTTTAAAGGACAGGGTTTAGAACACAAATATAAAAAAATGCTAGGATGTCATTGAACATTAAGAACAACAGCTGTATGTTTGAGCCCAGGAGTTCAAGGCTGCAGCGAGCTATTATTGCACCACTGTTCTTCTGCCTGGGTGACAGAGCAAGACTCCATCTCTAAAAAAAAAGAAAGAACAGATTAGATATCAAATATCCTGTTTTATTTTTAAAAGGAATTATTACAAGAACTGCTTCAATGAAATCTTTATTATTCACAAAGAGCAGAATTCCTTCCCTTCCCTCAAACTAAAAAAAAAAAAAAAAAAAAAGAAAAGAAAAAAAAAATCACGAGTGTTGGGTTATTTTCCTAACCTTTTAGAAGAAAGCAAAGAAGCACCTCCTCCCAAGACAAATAGTTTGTGTTTCGTGCCCCCAGCTAACTAAGTGCACAGTAAGAGCACTGGCTGGAGGCCAAGGCAGGGTCTGGGAGGGGAGGCGCCTTGGCCTGCTGGGAGCCTACGGTCTGAAACACAGGCCCACCTGGTCCCCCTGCCTGGAAACTGCGATGGGGGGCGGGGGGTGTTGGTGGTATTACATACGTGGGGGGCTTTTGGCCTACACTGGGAGCTGAGGAACGTTTTGTGGGAAAACAGATAAATAATAGTTTCTAAGGGCTTCTTGGAGATAAGGAAGAGCAGGTTTTGAAAGAAGAGTCTGCAGTTGGAAAGGCCTTGCAGATACCGGTCCAGGATGGGAAGCCCTGGAAACAGTCTGGGGGCCTCAGGGACTGTGACAAGCTTCCTGATGTCAGACCCCAGGGTCTGGGGAGAAGGGAATTTACCTGGCAATTGCTCACACTCTTCTAATCCTTTAAACAAAAACCACCTCTCTGCAAACATCAAATGAACCCCAGCTCTGACTCTGCTTCCTTCCTTTTCCTGCCAATCCTCCGGAAGGCTTCTTCCTCTCCCAGTCTGCCTGCACCTCCTGCCAGATCAGTCTCCCTGCATGCAACACAGCCCTGGCCAGGTCTTGCCCTCACTCTAGAACCATCAGCTGCTCCCAGTTTCCACAAAAGGAAGTCCATGCTCCTAGGTTCTCTGTGGTCTAGTCCAGGGGTTCTCAGAGCATGCTCCCTGGGCCGGCAGCGTCTGTAGCATCTAGGGTCTTGGCAGATAAAGCAAATTCTCATTTCCCCAAGACCAAGGAAGTCTGGGCTGCAGTGGGACAGGAGTGTCTGCACCACCTGAGCAGCTGTGTGTGAGCCACTGGGTGCTGGCCCCATCCTACGTTTCCACCTCCCTCTCCCAAGCCTCCCCCTCTACTGTTCTCACTAGAACTTCCAGCTATGGCTTCCAGCTTTGGAGCACCTAGTATGGCTGGCAGACGTTTATATCTGCCTCTCAAAACTGGCTCAGCTACAAAGGATCGCTCCGCTGGCCTGTCCTCAGCAAAGACTTTCCTGGATCAACTTCCACCCTTCCTTCCTCTCTGAGTCCGCACTTGTGAGAGCTCTTCAGCCCACTCAGCTGCAAGCTCCTGGAAGACGGGACCTAAAGGAATGATTTTAACCACGTGGTGGGAGTGCTTCTCACATACATCACATGAATGTATACAAGTACGCCAGAGCACTCTAGAAATGGTTAACTCTGCATGTATTTTCTATAAGAAAAGTCGCCCCCTAAAGGCACTGTGGGAAGATTTATATGCAGTGTCTTTTCCCAGGCAGTGGTGCGGCAATGCCTGCGTGAATGGTGACATCATGTCTGATAAAGTCTATGGTCCTAGGAGATAAGAGGCAAGTAGTTCCTGCTTTTAAACATGAAGAGAACTGAGGCAAGATAAAAATTCCCAAATGACCTAAGTAGCTGAAACTGAGACATCAGAGCCTCATTGTAAGCAAACGCCAGGGCCCAGCAGCAGCATTCACGTGGGGTGAGAGCCCCAGAGTTGCTCTCCACCTGGCCAGCCTGCCTGCCTCACCCCTAGCAAGAGCGTGCCCCGCCTCTGGCCTCCACCTCTGGTGTTCAACCTGGGTCCTATGGCAGAAAAGACTGCAGAGGAATGCCACAGAAGCCACAGGCAGAACCGAGCGGCACAGAACAGAGGAGTGGAGCAGACCCGAATGACTTGTTTTTCCCATTAACCTCTGTAATGTTCATTTCTATAAACCCATTACTGTTGGAAAGAAAAGGAAAAAAAAAGACGATCGCTGTCCCAGTATCCAAACCACTTGTGTTCAACCATATATATGCCCCAGGTGTCAAATCATCATTTCATTCAGCTTGATGTTTTAAAAAGGGCACCCACACAATTTCCTGGCTATGTTTCAACAGAATGAATTTGTTGGCAAAGAAACTCAGCACATTCAAGTGTGCAGTCATTAATATGACTCGTTTTATATAGCCCTAAGGATGAACACCACGGATATAAGAAAAAAGACACAAAAAGTTTAACTTGTTGAGTCAACATATCAGTATACACATGGCAAAAGCCATACCAAAAAAAAAAAAAAAAAAGCAACAAGGGATTGCAGACTGCTGTTCTCTAAATGCTATGCTATGTATAAAGCGCTCTAGCCATGTAAATAGACGCAAAGGGAAAGGAAAGAGATTTCAAGAAACAATCTCCCCTAGCCCTTTGTGGAATTCTGCCCACTAGAGCTCAGCAAACAATATCCCCACCTAGCCCTTTCTGATGTTCTGCTCATTACATAAAGCCCATAATAATTTACTGTATTTTTACTCAATTTGTCCTCAAATTCCCTTCCCAGAGCCCATGGTTACTCAAGGTACTAGAAGAGTTAAGAAGATACTCTTCATAGAAAAACAAAAACCAAGGTATAGAGAAGAGATACGAGGTTTAGGGAAAGTAACCAATAAAAGAGACTTTACAGTCACAGCACAGCAAAGAAACATTGAGCCCAGACCATGAAAAGAGATGAAACTCAGTGGCAAAATCGGGGAGGCAGAGGGAGGAAGGTCCACGAATTCCTCTGAATGCAAAGTTACAGGCACTACCACCACAGGTGAACTGAATGTGGCAGTAGTGAAATGCTATTACAACTAAATCACATTTCTCCAAAGGAAGCTTGTGCTTTTATTCCAAACTTTTTACAGATCCTATACACATTCAGAGAACTATTAAATACCACTGCACATGTGGTCACTATGGTAAGCCAGACGTCCACTCACATGGGATCGACATATGCCGAATGGCTGATAAAAATCTTCCCTTATTTGATCACTTATCATCTCACCGAGAGGGTGGCAGGCATCCTTTTCTTTGCAAGGGCATTGAGCCAGAGAACATTCCTCTGTGTCTTTACATTTAATAAACCACCATGTCATAGTTGGCAAATCAAAGTAGTGAAATCACTGAAGAAAGATCTGATTCCTTCCTCTTCTTTGTCATTTACTATAACTGCAGACCAATGACCTTGCTTTCCGTACTATTAAAGGCAAGCACACCCACAACCAGCAGAGTAAATGGTACAACTACCCTCCGTGGTGCAGAGAACTGTTGCTACCTGCCCTGTCCATGACGCTGGCTACCTTACCAAAACATGGTCTGGACGTCGGAACTACTCGAGTTATTTAATCAGCCCACTTCACCTCCCCATCAATGCTGTCATGACTACCATTCAGCAAAGCCTTCTGAGCACTCTCCTTAAACATGCCACTCCATTCCATTCCAAAGGCCTTTGGACTCTAACTGCCACAAACAGGCTTTCTTTAACAATAAAACCAAGTTATCAGGCAACTATTCTAAATGGTTTTTATGAGGATTTGGTTCTAAAAGTACCTTCAGATAGCCAAGACGTAGGAACGCATCTTGCAGTTGGGGACAGGAGGGGTTTGAGTGTGTGTGGGTGGGAGGGAGACATGGGATGAAGTTGTTTTCATTATGGAGCATTTTCTTTGTGTGAATAAATTAGCAAGTGACATTAAAACAAACAAACAACAACAACAAAAAAAACAGGCTTTTGTTACAGATAAGGTATGCCCCTCACTTTGTAGAAAGGGCCAAGGCTGTGTCGGGTACTTCATTTCTTCCCCCAAACTCTCCCACCTTGGAACCAATGGGTGTTAGTGGTAACCGGGCTTGAGGTGACAGTTCTAAGAAGAGGCGACATTTACTCCGCCTTTATGACCTGCCGGGCAGCCATCGCTCATGGCTCTGCCAATATCACCTCTCCCTGCCCCTTGGCAACACACTGAAAGCACGTTTGTCTCCATCTGGACAAAGCGGCCAGTGCAGGGCAGAGCATGCCACAGCGTGCCAGTGCCACCACAGCCAAGGACGGGATGGACAGAGAGGGGACCCGCTCAGTGTGCTCCATGTGGGACAGACAGAGCCTTTGGGGACGTCTCGACCTGCAAAGGCCTCATCTACCTGTCCTTTAGGGGTGACTGCAAGGGCGAGTGGCACACTGGACAGAAGCCACATGTGGGCCTCCTGCCCTGCTAAGCCCACTAAGAGGTCAGCACGTGATCCCAGGGGCCCTTGGTGTCTGCTGGGCTGCTGCCTCTCGCAGGACACTACCTCCCAGATGACAGACACCAAGACCTGTCCCCAGATCCCTGCGCCCTCAAGTCTCAAGAGAGGACATTCCCAGAGTCTGCTCTCAAAATCTCACCAGAACACTCTTCTTTCCAAGCCAATAGCAAACTGGGAATTCAACCAGTGTAGATCAACCTTTTCTCCTAAAGCTCAGGGCTTTCAATTTGGTGGATCTCATTACAGCTGCTCTGTTTTAAAAAATAAAAGTCTACATCATTTGTGGAACCGATAAAAAAATAAAAGTCATTTAAACTTCATCGTTAAGGCTAATGCTAACTTCTCAATTCCTTGAACCTCAAAATAAACTTAACCTGTACAGTGTGGATCCCACTGCATAGCACATACAGGTCCTCCAGAGACCCCAAAACAACACAAAAATAAGCTAAACATTCTCTGTAAGTCTTACTATATTAGAAACCATCACTATTTGCAAACATTGATTCATCTGATTAAATTAGCTAAACCACACACTAAGGCAAAACCCCAATAGAAGTAACTTTCCCCAAAATAAAACAATTCTGATCTATGTGGTTTTCTTTTTTCTCCTGATTTTACTTAATAAAAACAATAAGCTGGCCGGGTGCAGTGGCTCACGCCTGTAATCCCAGCACTTTGGCAGGCCAAGTGGGGCAGATTTCTTGAGGCCAGGAGTTCAAGACCAGCCTGGCCAACATGGCGCAACCCCATCCCTACTAAAAATACAAAAATTAGCCAGGTGTGGTGGCACACGCCTGTAGTCCCAGCTACTGGGGAGGCTGAGGCACGAGAATCGCTTGAACCCGGGTGGCGAAGGTTGCAGTGAGCCGAGATCTTGCCACTGCACTCCAGCAACAGAAGGAGACTCTGTCTCAAAAAAATAGAAAAAATAAAATTAAATAAAAAAAAATAAAAACAATAAGCTGGGCATGGTGGCATGCACCTGTAGTCCCAGCTACTCAGTAGGCTGAGGCAAGAGGATCACTTGAGCCCAGGAGTTTGAGGCTGCAGTGAGCTATGATTGTGCCTGTCAGTAGCCACCGCACTCCAGCCTGGGCAACAGAGCAAGATTTCATCCTTCCTTCCTTCCCATCCTCCCTCCCTCCCTCTCTCCTTTCTTTCCTTCACTCATAATAAAATAAATAAATGAAATAAAAACAATAATGGAAAATAGCCTAAACCAGTCAGGGTCTCCTTTGTTTTAACAAGAAAATAAGCACAGTAGCAAACAGCCATTAGACCCCAAATGCTCACAGAATAGAAATACCCACTCCTGAATCACAGACAAAGACATCAGACAGCCTCGAAGGCATGGGTTTCACCTGACGTCCTCCAGTGTCCCCACTAAGGAGCATGCCCTCCATCTGACCATGCACCATTTCTGCCTCAGGAGTAGTTCTGGAGGGGGTGGGGTGCTGGGGGAGTGGGGTGGGGGTGTAAACCTGCTGACGTCTTAGGCGGCCCCTTACTGCTGCCACCGTTGCGAGTAGCAGCTCCCGGAACATCTGTGCTAATCAACCTTAGGGCTGCAGGGCCACCTGCTCCAGGACAGCTCCAAGGAGCCAGCAGCAGAGGGGGGCACAGCACAATGTGGGCTTGGAGCAGCAGTCAGGGCACCTTAGCAATGCCCAAGACGGGACGCATGTTGTAAGAAACCAGCTCCTAGCAAACATGAGTGCTCTCCCTCGACATGCAGCCTCTTCTCTTCAAATGCAGGACCACACCACATGGTCTCGCAAACCCTTGCAGCCTGATGCAGAAAACCCTTCCCTCTGCTGCTAAGCTGCTCCTGAATGCAAGCTTAGTGGATGTAATTAGATTCACAAGAGGGTTTAGGGCTGCCAGCAAAGAGGCAGGAAGTGACATGAATCAACCCTATCCACGATTTGGCCCCCACAAAATGACTCGCAACACATGACCGGTTCAAGAGAAACTGCCCAGAGTGGGGTCTGTGACAAGGTGGCAGGTGGATTTGCTGTAAACAAAACTAATATTATAATGCATATTTGGGGAAAAAGCCAAAAGGGTAATTGCAAAGCTTTAGAAAATAATTTATGATGTGATATTTAAAAGAAATTTTCCCTAGGGTGTTTGAAATTACAGGTGCTTTTTAGAAGCTGAACTTAACAGCCATTTGCCTCTGAAGGGAGAAAAATGGATGACTCTGTCCCTAGAGCTGTTAACGCAGATTTCAGAGAGAAGACAGCAACAGGCAACAGCCACGGTCCCTGGCACCGAGTGGATAGGATGAGCCCAGCTAAGCTAGGAGCTGCCGTCCCCTTCTCGGTCCTTCCCCACCCTCCCAACCCTGCTTCCTCTCCTCCGGAGCAGCTTGAGGGCATCAGGCAGACCTCCCTTTTGCACTAACCCAACTGGGCTAAGTTAATGAGGAAAATGCCAAAGGGTCACCCGGTTTCTGGCCTTAACCTTCCCAAGAACTTGTGCTTAAGGCCAGCAAGCGGTAGATCCGCTGCTAATGCCCAGCGAAATAGCCTGTGGCTCTGTGTGAAGATTCCAGAGCCCAGATCCATTCAAGACCTGCCCAGGACTCTCCAGGGGTGGGCCTGGGCACCTAGGAAAACAGTGCAGTGGAAAAAAACTGGACACACACATACACATAATAAAAGGCTACATGTCTGCCCTGAACTTTCCTGCAAGGAGCACTCCCCTGCCAAGTAGAGACAGAACAACAAACCGCCTGGGAAGAAAGAGAAAAGCAAAACTGCCAGCCTCAGCCTCTCCTCCTGACCTAACCGACAGATCTGACTCCTGGGCAGCACCCCTCCCCTGACATCTCGGGCCGTGGATGCCACCTGGACCTCACAAGGAAGAACATACATGCACTTGGTAGGGCTGATTGTTACAAGTTCTTTGTCTCCAGCTCCCACTGCCCTGGGCGAGAGGAAGCGCTGGCCCTCATTTGTCTGCGGAGATAGTGATCCGCCTGTCTCCTCCCGCATCGCTTTCCCAGCACCAGCTTCTCAACGACCACAAGGTCCACGTTGCCCATGCCTGTGAAACAAGATGCCACCGCTTTGTGAAAGTGGCCCATCGCAATCCTATCCTGGCTGCCTGGTCCCCTGGTCCCCACACATACAAAGATAAAATGAGCCTACAAAATAAGACGTGTAGCAGCTGTCACTACAGGGAGGGGAGTTTATCCGTGAACCACTATTCAAATCATGTTTAAAAAACCATGGAGAGGCCAGGTGCGACGGCTCACGCCTGTAATTCCAGCACTTTGGGAAGATCGCTTGAGCCCAAGAGTTCGAGGCTGCAGTGAGCTATGATCGCACCACTGCACTCCAGCCTAGGCAAAAGAGCAGGAACCTGTCTTTAACAAACAAAAAACCACGGATTCCTGTGCTTTACACAGAGATGTATATACCTCTTTCCCTCATCACATTTTTGCAGATGGGGGCAGACAATTGCAACAAGTCAAACAAGGCTTGGGCAAGCTAGTTTACCATTTGATCACGCTTTTAAGCAGAGCAATATAGAATATGAATATGTTGGTGTCTCAATCTATGAACTACCTGCAGAGTTCCTTTCATGAACTAGCCACTTGTAAGGGTACATGCTCCATCCTGGAGCTCTACATAAAATGCCAGAAAATGCTACCTAATCCATAGAGACAGAAGGCAGATTAGTGGTTGCCTAGGAATGGAGAAAGAGGAGGGCGGGGAGATTTAAATAGAGATTTAAATTTAGATAGAGAAGAATACGTGTTCTGGCTTTAAGAAGAACAATTTTGAAAGCACCCATTGGTGCTTTTGTAGTAAGGAAAACCACATAAAGGTAGTTGGAGTATTAGAAGTTCTATGCACATTTGGTCACAGAAGTCTTCTGTGTTGAGTGTTGTGTGAGAGCAGAGGAAAAACAGCTTGTGGGTTTTTTCCTAACACGGTTATTGAAAGTGTGTTGGGAAATAAAAATTTGTAAATAAACTCCGCTGCTTTATATCTCGTTACACATACTACTTAAATAAAATTCTATTTAAACCACATTATCATTTTGTCCACATCTCTCATTTAAAGGAAAGTGGGTCTGCAGAACACAAAATGGGGATTCTACACAGTGGCTCCTGGAGATCCTTCAGGGCAAAAGTTTAATCCCTTTTCCCAAGAGTCTTTTAAGTACCTACTCAGTGAAACCAGCCAGCAGATGCCCTGAGGCTTCGCTCTCTCCTCCCACCAACCAGTTCTCCTGTGGCATGGCTTTCCTTTGAACAGATTTTAGACTGTCTATCTTTATCACTAAATATGTACTTCTAGCTCAAAAAAAGAATCACATCTACCTTGCTTCTAAACATATGGAATGATACCTGACTTCACTCCCATAACTACGGAAATGCAAATGTAAATAGAAAACCATATTTCACCTATCACATTCAGAGAATACAAACAAACAAACTACAAATATCCTATGCTAGAGATGATGTGAAAGGGTCTGAGAAACTCAGAAATGTCTCTGAACATTCACAACGGACACACCTTCCGACTCAGGAACTCCCATGCTAGGAATTTCTACGCATAGCTATGCCCTGGTGATACAAAGTTGGCCAGCTATGCTGACTAAGCTGGTGTCTCCATCAAAGAAGAGACACACAGTAAGACCACAAGCACAGCCCAGTGTTTTTGGGGTCTCTGGGAGCCCAGAACGAGACAGTACAGGAGACAGAAGAAAAGGGAGTTGCAGTCAGCCTTGGCAGCGGGATGATGACCCCCAGAGCCAATTTATAACTCCTCGTCTTACCTCTGCAGAACAAGCTTCCCTCACCACCACCGGCATTCCACTAAGTTAACTGAATCGTGTAAGAACAAACGTGCTGCTATAGGAGGGTTAAGACGGTGATCACAGAGGAACCATAACACAGTGTCATGGTGCCTCTTGTGCCCCACCCTCCCCAATGGCTCAGAAACCACCATTCTGAGATTTTACTTTCTGATCTACAAAGAGTTGTTAAAAGGGTGCTCAGGAATAGCATGTACCACTTACAATTGACTTTGCTAAATTCATGAGGCAAAAAATGTTTTTCCTTCCTCCCCTTTTTTTTTTTTTTTTTTTTTTTTTTTTTTGAGACAGGGTCTTGCTCTGTCACCCAGCCTGGAATACAGTGGCACAATCATGGCTCGTTGTAGCCTCGACCTCCCAGGCTCAAAGAATCCTCCCATATCAACCTCTCGAGTAACTGGGACCACAGGTGTGCATCATCATGCCCAGCTAATTAAAAAAAAATTTTTTGAGAGAGAGATGGGGTCCCACTATGTTGCCCAGGCTGGTCTCGATTGAACTCCTGGGCTCAAGTGATCCTCCCGCTTCGGCTTCCCAAAGTGCTGGGATTACAGGTGTGAGCCAGCACGTCTGGCCCTTCCTCATTTCTGAATCTTTTCTTTGGATACTGTTTTGGCATCTCCACCCACCCCCACTTCAAAAAAGCCTTTAGGAATTTGTCTTGGCTGGTTTGAGTGCAGCGGTGTTTACAAATAATTAGTCACAACCAGTTACAGATTTCTTTGTTCCTCTCCACGCACACTACTTCACTTGACCAGACTTGAAAAAAAAATTTTTGTTTTTTCAAAACAAGGAAGATATCTTCATGTCTGTACTAAAAATGGAAATAAATGTGGGTCAATTAATTAAAATTTACAGCCAGCCTTCAAAAGAACATGCTAATTTTGTCAAGAGGGATGTGTAAGCACTTGCCTGTTAATAAGCCAACTTTAAAACCAAGGTGGAGAGTTATTTCTCTTTGAAAGCGACATATCACCAACACTCTTGTGGTACCTGGAGTATTGCTTTAGTTCCTGTATATAAAAGCATCATGTCCCCAAGTTCACTTTCTAACCTCTTAAAACCATCCAAGCTCCAACTGACACGTAATGTACAGGAATAGACAGACAGCTCCCTCCAGACCCTCCCTCCAGACCTCAGCACAGTGCTCTAAACCCTTGGTGGCTGGCATCTTCGTGACAGTCACTCTCTTTCTAGCATGAAAACAGAAAGCGCAGTGGCCTGCCACCTTGTGTACAAGACAGGCAACAACATGTCACCTCACTGGGAGCATAAGCACCGTTTTCTGCCTGCCAAGAAAATAATCTACATATAAACAAAGGAAAGATACGAGTATTCAAATCCACTTAATACATTAAAATTTATAAAAATCGTCGTAATAAAATTAGGAACCGTTCAGACTCTTGATGCCGGGCCCATGCTTGGCCGAGACATATAACTCTAAGTGCATGTCCCAATCGAGATCTCTGTAGTGATGTGGGCAGGACAACTGGCTTCCCACTTTGATGTTCCACTCATTCCTGTGTGTCGTGGTAAATGTGGGAGGAAGCTCAGATCTTACCTTTTGACGACCAGCTTCAGGGTCTTATGGGACCCCTTCACCAGGCAAATCGCTTCCTGTCTAAACCCTGAGAGACCAATGTCATTGATGCCGACGATCTCATCTCCAGCCAGTAACTTGTCGACCGCCGCGGCTTTACTGCCCTCTTCAATCTGTAACAGAGAAGCATGTTCCATGAGCCTTCCACGAGCAGCAATTCCTGAGGCAGAGCAGGTCCTCGGAACGCAGCAGACATACCTCACACTTGGCGGGAATGGGCCCTGGGGGCTGACCTTATTACCACTCAGGGGATCAGGGATGCACTACACCCCTCACCCTGGCCTGCCTTCCCTGGACACGACTCCTGTTTATCCAGGGAATGGGAAAGCTTGAGAACACACACAATGGAAAACAGGGGACCTGAAGATACTGATTCATTTTCTAGATCTCCTTTAACCAGACAATAATTTTTGACCATTTTAAATTACTTATTAATTATTTCTCATACATTAATCCTGGAACTAGACTGTTTTTGTAATAGCTTTATAGAAATATAATTCAAATACCATATATTCACTCAAATAAAGCATGGCTTTTAGTATTTTCAGAGTTGTACAACCATCACCACCATCAATATTAGGGCATTTCCCCTAACCCCGAAAGAAACCTTGTGCTCATTACTACTCGGTTTCCAATCCCTCCAGCCTCTGGCAACCACAAATGTACTTTCTGTGTCCATGAATTTGCCTGTCCTAGACAGTTCACATAAATGGAGTAATACAATATGTGGCCTCTTGGGTCTGGCTTCTCTCACTTAGCACGATGCTTTCTAAGTTTATCTACGTTGTAGCATGTAGCAGTACTTCATTTCTTTTTATGGTTGAGTAACATTCACTTGTATGGACAGACCGCATTTTATCTATTCATCAGTGTCTACTTTTGGCTATTATAAAGTGGAACTGCTGCGCCCTATGATAACTACATTTAACAACCTGAGGAGCTTCCAGGCTGTTTTCTACAGCAGCTGTACCGTTTTACATTCCCACCATCGGTGTATGAAGGTTCCAATTTCTCCATATCCTTGCTAACACGTATCTGTTTTTTGTCATAGCCCTAATCCGATTATTATACCATGCCGTGTATGTTAAGATATTCACTACTCAGTGCTAAACACAGTATCCTCCCAATGTGTATTGACTGACTCCGTAACAGCTTGAATGCCATCCATTCTACAGCTTTTTTTCCCTTTTTTCTTTTTTTTGAGACAGAGTCTCGCTCTGTCACCCAGGCTGCAGTGCAGTGGTGCGATCTCGGCTCACTGCAACCTCTGCCTCCTGGTTCAAGCAATTCTCCTGCCTCAGCCTCCTGAGTAGCTGGGATTACAGGCACACGCTACCACGTCCAGCTAATTTTTGTATTTTTAGTAGAGACAGGGTTTCACCCCATTGGCCAGGCTGGTCTTGAACTCCTCTGACCTCGTGATCCACCCGCCTCGGCCTCCCAGAGTGCTGGGATTAGAGGCGTGAGCCACCGTGCGCGGCCTACATTCTGTAACTTTTATTAACCTAGATTTTCCTATACAGTAAAGTAGAACTCAACAGCAATTCATTCCAGTTAATCTGTCCATTTTCTGGCACACTGTGGCCAGTGAGCCAATCCAGCCAGCTTTCTTTCCCCCTCCCACCACCCAAAGTTTTAGTGTAATACAGTCACACCCATTGGTTTACATATTGCTACAGGGCAGAATTGAGTAGCTTGGCCCACAAAGCCAAAAATATTTACTACTGGGCTTGTTCCAAAAATGGTTTGCCAACTGTTTTACACCAAAAAGCTTTATAAACTGCTAGGAAAACCAGTGAGAAGAAATCACTGGTTACAAGCACATCAGCATACAGCCTTTGAATCCACTGCTAGCCAGCTGCATGTCATGGCTAACCCAAGAACAACTTCCAAGAGTGAGCCTGAAGCTAATGCCGTCCATTCTTCTGGCAGTTGAAAAGCTAAGTGTTTTGGATTCAAGCTTACTTCTTGGGGTGGGGGGTCAGGAGAAGCTAGGTGCTAAGTAACTTACAATGCCTCAATTCTGAAGCTGCATATTTTCCTGAAATCTCCACCTAGATCTGAGGACAAGTGAACTTTTGTGAATAAAGCAATTATTCACTGCTAGTCAATACCATAAACAAATTTTAAAAAGCACTCCTAACAAAAATATGCAGCAATTTTTTCAGTCACCAACTGGTTTCAAAAGTTCTAGACGATTTTATCCTGATGTCTTTACAGACTGTAAATAAGCTTCCACCCACTAAGGTTGCACACACAGCCAAGGGATAGCAAAAGGCAGGCGATACCTGGGGGAGACTGGGTTTCGACATGCCCCAAGAGGGAGACCAAGGGGCCGGCCAGGAGGCTGGGGATCTGGAGCAACCCTCCCCCCAGGTTTCTTCACAGAGGAAAGGCTTCTTCCAGGGCTGTGCCTCAGGAGGATGGATCAGAGATGAAGGGCGCTATCTGTTTCTCTAGGTCACTGCTAAGTGCTGTGGCTGGAATGACGCCCGCACATCTGTATTTCGATGCTAGAAAGCCTAAGTGTTGATGTGGCTGACTTTGCTTATTTCTATTGCCCCCTGAACCAAATAAGAGTATCCAGGCAGGGTGGGAAAGACAGTAAAAATGAGGTGTGTATAAGGAGGCAAGTTACAGACATCTGGGGGTCCAGGGATTCCAAGGAAGATCTTGGCATCCTGGAGCTGGTCTTTTGTTTTGGAGCCTTCGGGTCTTTAGTGGCTTTTCTTGCCTGTCGGGAATTCCACCTTGTTGAAAGACCACAGAAGTGTTTTTCTATCCACGTGTTATATCCATGGCTGCCAACTCCGGACCCTAAGACTTCTGGTCTCTTTTTCCTCGTTTCCTTGTATTCACAATGGATAACATAGCTTACCTGCCATGCAGATGCTATTAATTATAGTCACGAATATACAAAACAAGTCAAGTATCAAAAACCCAACTCAAAGTTTTAGACATAACCAATCAGTTCCTCATAATTTTTAGCTGAAACTGTCTATAACTGACCTCAGAATAAAGAATAATTTCTTTCTTCCAAGAGAGATACCCTCATGACAATGTAAACATCCAATTTACTACAAAGAGGTGAAAAGATTGGTCTCTTTAAGTACATTCTGATAGTAGATGTTTCTCCTCTAAACTGTACTTCACGTTACAATTTTGGAAAATTTGCTCCAGAGTAAAGCAGCAAAAGAAAACAATTAATATATATTTATAGACATGTATCTAATTTAAGAGACTTCACCATTAATCTCTATGAATATAGATGATTTTTCCCAATTTTAATTCCACTGCCAAAGGAAACATGGTGTAAAACTCAGAATTTAATTTATACCTTTAATGAGTCTGGAGAAAAGCATAGACAATTACTAAGGGGAAGAATCCAACATTTTACGTAGTAAAGCAAAGCATAAAAATATTGACTAAAGTAACAGAATTGTGAGAAAAATAATACCAGTCACATGCTGATGAAGTAACTGCTTAGAAAACTAATTGAGCCTGTATTTTGAAGTGTCCAAAAATGCACTGTGTTTTTGGAGACAGGGTCACATTCTGTCATCCAAGCTGGAGTGTAATGGCGTGATCACGGCCCACCACAGCCTGCACCTCCCGGTCTCAAGCAATTCTCCCATCTCAGTCTCCCGAATAGCTGGTACTACAGGCATGCACCACCACACCCAGCTAATTTTTAGTTTTTATTTTTTTTGTAGAGATGGGGGTCTCCCTATGTTGCTCAAGCTGGTCTCTAACACCTGAGCTCAAGCCATCCACTTGCCTTGGCCTCGCAAAGTGCTGGGGTTACAAACATGAGCAAAAATGCACATTTACAAAGTATAATTCTATCATCACAAATTTCTAAGGACATCGATACACCTACTGCGTACTCACAAAAATTAAAACAAAAAACCTTGATACTTTTTTCATAAATTTGCATTAAAAAACAACAACAATAAAAAATAAATTTCAAAGGACAGAGCCTTATTTTGTTTTTGCCTTTAAACAATTATGAGTTCTAGGTGAACACAACCCAAATGTCAATCAACAGGTGAATGGATAAATAAAATATGGCATATACATACACATATAATGGGAATATTATTCAGCCTTAAAAAAGGAGAGAAACTCTGACACAGGCAACAACATGGATGAACCTTGAGGACATTATGCTAAGTGAAATAAACCAGTCAAAAATGGAGAAACACTATACGATTGAATTCAGGTACCTGAGTCATCAAAAGGATAGACAGAGAAAGTGGAATGGTGATTACCAGGGGCTGGGGAGAGGAGGGAATGGCAAGTTAGTGTTTAATAGGCAGAGAGGTTCAGTTTGGGAAGATGACAAGTTCTGAAAATGGACAGTGGTGATGGTTGGACAACAATGTAAATGTACTTAACACATCACTGAACAGTACACTTGAAAATTATTAAGAAGATAAGTTTCATATTATGTGTATTTTACCATAATAAAAAGTTATGCATTCCTCAATATCTAAAAACAAGGGGCTGGGTGCGGTGGCTCATGCCTGTAATCCCAGCACTTTGGGAGGCCAAGGCAGGCGGATTACCTGAGGTCAGGAGTTCAAGACCAGCGTGGCCAACATGGTGAAACCCTGTCTCTACTAAAAATACAAACAAAAACTAGCTGGGCATGGTGGCGCATGCCTGTAATCCCAGCTACTCGGGAAGCTGAGGCATGAGAATTGCTTGCTCCTGAGAGGTGGAGGTTACAGTGAGCCAATATCATGCCACTGCACTCCAGCCTGGGCGACAAAGTGAGACTCTGTCTTGAAAAATTAAAATTAAAAAAATTAAAATAAAATCAAGGAAACTATTTTGACCCAGTATAAGAGTGATATATAGTGAACTTTAAAATTGTGTCTAGGGCTGAGAGCAGTGGCTCATGCCTGGAATCCCACCACTTTGGGAGGCCAATGTGGAAGGATCGCTTGATTCCAGGAGTTCGAGACTAGCCTGGGTAATATAACAAAAGAAATCCTGTCTCTACAAAAAAAAAAAAAAAAAAAAAAAAAAAAAGGGTAAAAAATTAGCCAGATATGGTGGCACCCAGCTACTCAGGAGGCACCCAGGTACTTGGGAAGCTAAGGCAGCAGGATCACTTGAGCCCAGAGGGTTGAGGCCGCAGTGAGCCGTTATCATGCCAACCCACTCTAGCCTGGGTGACAGAGCGAGACCCTGTCTCAAAAAAATAAAAATAAAAGGCTGGGCACGGTGGCTCACGCTTGTAATCCCAGCACTTTGCGAGGCTGAGGTGGGTGGATCACGAGGTCAGGAGTTCGAGACCAACCTGCCCAAGATGGTGAAACCCCATCTCTACTAAAAATACAAAAATTGGCTGGGCTTGGTGGCACGCTCCTGTAATCCCAGCTACCCAGGAGACTGAGTCAGGAGAGTCGCTTGAACCCGGAAGGTGGAGGTTGCAGTGGGCTGAGATTGCGCCACTGCACTCCAGCCTGGGCGACAGCGTGAGACTTCATCTAAAAAAATAAATAAATAAATAAAATAAAAATAAAAATAAAAATAAAAATAAAAATAAATGAAGTTGTGTCCTTCTCTCCACAATGACATGTTTGAATTTAAGTATCACAGGAAAATCTTTAGGCAAAACCATAAAGACTCATGGCTTGCAGGGTCTTGGGACAGCTTTTGAAGCAGCACTTCTTCAGGGTGACACAGTTCTGTGTCTGACTCAGTGGTGACCGGGTGGGGTTTTCGGTGGGAATGTGTCTCATTCCCACAAGCACGTGTGTAAGCAAGTCCTGAAGGACTCTCAGAAAGGGCTGTCAGTTGCTCTGACTTCACTGCAAAGGACAACATGATGCTGTTTCTTCTCATCTGCAAGGATTCCTAAAGCTTCCCCTCTAGATATGAAGGACGCATTCCACAACATCCATCAGCCTTCCCCCACCACACTCCACCTATATTTCCCAGCAAAAATGTGTTTTGGTTTGGGAGATAAAAGTCTTCATTTTTTCCCCTGGCTTCCTTATCCAGATAAAGTACCTCTACATGTTTATGGTGCTATGGGGAAAAGTAGTCAGAAAAGCAGCAGCAGCTTTGAAAACCTCCATTCTATTCTCTTTGCCCCACTGAACTTCTCAAGTTCAGTAGAATTAATTAGGCTTAATTAGGCACCTTAGGGAAGGTGCCGCATGCGTGATAGCATCACAATGATGCTCATTTTGTCACAGTCCCAGGTCTACAAGGTAAGGAAGCACTTGGCACTGCACCGATTAGTGACAGCCGCTTAATGTCTGTGGAGTGCCAGAGCCACAAATGAGGAAGTTCTGTCCTGTAGTACTTAGGAAAAATCTTTGCTCTCACTTGCTCTAACCTCAAAAAGCCCCTCTACAAAAAGCTAGGAAGTCAATCATCCCCGACCCATGACGATGCCGGCCCAGGTGCCATGCTATGGGCACTCACAGACCCAAAGCACCAAGTCCACACACCCGGGCAAATACTGTTGTTTTAGTTATTAACTGATATTCTGTGTGGAAACTCACTCTTATGGCCCCGATTAGAGTTCAACGTCTCCTAACGTGCAGAATGCCTCATTGTTCTCATGGAAATGTTTTCTCTAGGAACAGCAGGAAAAAAACAGTTAATCAAAGTCTTTTATGGAACAAAGTTGTTGATACTTCGTTGAAGAGACAATCCAAATGAAGTCCCATAAGGGCAAGGGCATCCTGAGTGCAGCGGGGGAGCAGGCTCACGCTGAAAAGAATGGGGTCCCTGCAGTGGCAGCATGAGGGGGATGTGACCCTCTGTCTCGGGTGGAGATAAGAAGGCCTCCAAATAGAAACGGCAACTAGAAAAAGCTGGGAAGGCCTTCCGCAGAGGCTTCCCCGTGAAGAAGGGCGTGGAGGCAGGAGGCCTGAGGCATGAGTGTGTGTGCAGGGGAGTGTCTGAAGATAGGGCCGAAGTGGGGGAAGACGAGGACCCCGCCCTGGAATGGGAATCTGGACGCTGTCCTGCAGGCAGTGGGGGCCCAGCGAAGGCAGCCATGGCAGTGGAGGAGTGAACTCATCACTACAGCAGCTGCTTCTGGAAGACTCGTCTTATAGTCACACACAAATGAATTTATTTGGCAATAAGAATAAAACGACAAGGACAACGACCCTGATGGGCACTACCCCTACATCTCTGCAGAACTCCTGGGGTAAGAGGCAGAGAAAAATCACGGGAGTAATGCACCAACTCCAGAGGCTGGGAAGGAAGATCTGGACATGTCACCTGCCGCAGGGTTTTCAGCTTGAGGGATTTGGAAAATCACAGTGACCAGAAATCAAAATGAGAGGAGAGAAAGCAGTTTTTTTTTAAGTCCAATATCATATTTCAAGGGCTATGAGTCACACCTGCAATTGATCAATTCTGACCACCTCAACAATGCTTCGCTTTCCAGAGATAAAATATCTGCATGATGAGGACAAGCACTGAAGTCACCTCTCAGTCTGCTTAATTTATTGAGCTCGGCGTCTTCAGAAAGGAAACCTGACTCATCCAGGAAAGAGACACGTTGGGAAATAAATGAGAACACCTTGTCCACACTGAAGGTTCTCTGTGAGACAGACTTGTGCTCCGATAACAGGGAAGCCCCTAGAAGATGGAAATCCCCACCCAAATGTGTTGAGACTTAAAAAAAAAAAAAAAAAAAAAAAATTCCTGGCCCCTGCTGTGGTCCCAGAGGCCAGGGCAGGGAAGGGAGTTGCGGTGCATCCAGATTCATAAGGCTTTTGGGCAGCAGGCACCAGGCACCGCCAAGATGCCCAAGGGGAAGGTCAGGTCAGCCCCAGGGGTGGCCAAGGCACAGCCCAGAGGTCCGCCAGGCTGTCGGCTCAACCTGCTTCTGCAGAAGTGGAAATGAAGCCCAAAAAGGCAGCAGGAGGCCAGGCGCGGTGGCTCACGCTTGTAATCTCAGCACTTTGGGAGGGTGAGGTGGGCGAATCATGAGGTCAGGAGATCGAGACCATCCTGGCTAACATGGTGAAACCCCGTCTCTACTAAAAATACAAAAAATTATCCAGGTGTGGTGGCGGGCACCTGTAGTCCCAGCTACTCGGGAGGCTGAGGCAGGAGAATAGTGTGAACCTGGGAGGCAGAGCTTGCAGTGAGTCGAGATGGAGCCACTGCACTCCAGCCTGGGCAACACAGCGAGACTCCAACTCAAAAAAAAAAAAAAAAAAAAAAAAGGCAGCAGGAAAGGATAAATCCTTAGGGAAAAAAAGCACAAAAGAGAAAAGGGGGAGCAAAGGGCAAATGGGCTGAAGTGGCTCAGCAGGAACCTGAAGATTGACCTGCAGGAAGCGGAGTCTAAATGCAAGTAGAGTCCAGGCTCCCAGGAAGCAGGAGGGAAAGAAACCTGATTACTATCATACACTGCTCAGCAGCCCCTGTCTCCCTTCCCATATATGCCAGGGGAATACTTTCAGCAACTGTTTTGTAAATGCAAGTTTTTTAGTAGTTCTGTAAACATTTTTAAGGAGAGAATCCCACCTAATTCCATGTTTTAAGCATAAATGCTTTTTTTAAAAGAGGTGAAATCATTTGCTAGTTGTTTTTTGGTATATATTTTATGAGAGGCTTTGACTGTCTTGGGTGCTAGGCTGGGTGGACAGTTTTCATATCCTACAGCACAAAGCATACTGACTGGCAATTTGCAGTCATGGTCAGGCCTTTAATATGTCTTGAGCAGCTTAAATTACTTATACTCATAGGTTTGCTTTTTGTTTTTGAGACTGGGTCTCGCTCTGTTGCACAGGCTGGAGTGCAGTGGTGCGATCACAGCTCACTGCAGCCTCGAACTCCCAGGCTCAAGCGATCCTCCTGCCTCAGCCTCCCAAGAAGGTGGGACTACAGGCATGTGTCACCACACCTGGCTAATTTTTTATTTATTTATTTTTATTTATTTATTTATTTTTTGAGACGGAGTCTCGCTCTGTCGCCCAGGCTGGAGTGCAGTGGCGGGATCTCGGCTCACTGCAAGCTCCGCCTCCCGGGTTCACGCCATTCTCCTGCCTCAGCCTCCCAAGTAGCTGGGACTACAGGCGCCCGCCACTACGCCCGGCTAATTTTTTGTATTTTTAGTAGAGACGGGGTTTCACCGTTTTTTTTTTTAGCCGGGATGGTCTCGATCTCCTGACCTCGTGATCTGCCCGCCTCGGCCTCCCAAAGTGCTGGGATTACAGGCGTGAGCCACCGCGCCCGGCCTATTTATTTTTATTTTTTGTAGAGACGAGGTCTCAGCATGTTGCTCAGGCTGGTCTCAATCTCCAGGCCTCAAGCAATCCTACTACCTTGACCTCCTGCTTTGGTCTCCCAAAGTGTTGGTATTATAGGTGTGAGCCCATGGGTTGTTTTTTAGTAGAACTGTTTCGGAAGGAAAAGGACTCCTTGATCCTGGCTCTCCCTATCAGAGAGGCATGCACCCTGAAAGTCTTCTGGTCGTGGCAGTCGGTTTTCCTAATCTCTCTGTTAATGTGCTATGAAAGGCTGAAAACTTGAGTATGCAGTGTTGCTGATAACGGTGAGTGACTGTGACTTCTGATGTGACAGCTCGTCAACATCTGAAGGTACCGGCGCTTGGGGAAGGAAATGTGACCCATCCAGCAAGGCAGCAAGTTGTGAAATATCCTGAGAACATGCATCTACACTGAAGTTTCGCCCGGAGACAGACTCGTGCTCCTAAAGATGGAAACCACCACCCAAAGGTGCTGAGACTTCAAAAAATCCTAATTCCTGGCCTTTTAAGGAAAATTTGCCTCCAAGTTTTCAGCTAGAAGGTCGCTGGAGTACCTGGAAAAGAATCCAATGACACAGCTCTTTAGATTTTCTGTAAGGACATTAACAACAGGATACACATTGAAACAGCTTTGTATTGATCTTCCAAAGTATCAATAAAATCTCTATTAGGAAAGAAAAAATTCCTTTCCTCATAGTTGACAAAATTAGTAAGAAAGCAAGAAAAATGATAATACAATACAAAAAAGCTCCTCAGGAGGCTATGGCGGGATCACCTGAGCCTAGGAGTTGGAGGCTGCAGTGTGCTATGCCCACGCTTCTGAAGAGCTACTGCACTCCTGTCTGGGTAACATAGTGAGACACCCATCTCTTAAGAAATATACACCCCCCCCAAAAAAAAATAATAAATAACACTAACAAAATAAACCAAAACCCTCCTCGTGTGTTTTGGAACTAGATGCTCAAGGAGGTATTCAGTCCACAAAGGTCTAGCCCTTGTTTCATCTCTCCCTAAAATGAGGGCTGCACCACACGAGGCACCATGGCAAGGAGAGGCGCGAGGATGAGGCATGAGGAGAGGACGAGGACGTGGCTGCACCAGGTGACAAAGCCATGCTAATGGACACACAGGCCAAGGGAGTGTCATGACAGAAAACCTACGGCTGGGTGATCGGCTAGGTGAAAAGGGGGCATGTGGCTCCCAAAAATGTGGAGGGAGATGAGGTGAAGATCTGGAGGTGGTGGAGACTGAGTTGGCAGACAGCATTTCTACAGAGCAACGGAAGGCAAGCTGACTGTCCCAGGAGTGACTGGGAGAAACGGGCAGGGGTGGAATGTGCCCTGGGCAGGTGAGAGCTGCAGCGTCAGAATGCAGGCCAACTGGACGGGACCGGAAGAAGAGTGTGCATTCTGTGGCAAGGGGTGACAGTCTTCTTGGAGGGAGGTCAGCATAGAGCCCAAAGGTGTGTGCCTCCTCTCCACATGTAGCAAAGATCCTGGGGCCTCAGGACTTGGCCAAATCCTGACCACCATGTCAGCCCTGAATTTCACAGAGCACAGGCCGAGATCCACCTAAGAGATGGTTAATGGGGAGCAACGTTCAGGGAGGATTTCTGGAACACCATCGTGTGTCAGAGGAATTTACAGTGCAGCTCTGAAGACAACCTGTTGCAACATTGCCAGTTAGCAATGCATTGCCTCTGCATCCCAAATGCACCTTCACTGCCCACATGGTGATCCTGGAGCAGGACCCTGTGGGCGTTTCTCCAGTGCTGGCACCTGGTGAGCACCATCAGCAGAGGGCGGTGGAGGCACGCGGGCGGTGGAAAGGGCTTGCCTTCATCATTCCAGCGTGCTTTCCTCCCTGCCTGCTCCAGTGGGACCTGGCAGTCATGTGGCACACACAGTGGCACTAAGCTCCAAGGGCGGCCTCCTAGCAAGTTCCACTGGTGCTCTGGCGGGCAGCTTCCCAGCGACTTTTAGAGACAATTCCTCGGTGGCTTTCCACCGAGTCCCACAGACACCCCCAGCCAGCTTCCTAGTGAGCTTCAGTGGCATGCCGGGGGTGGCTCCCTACTCTCCAGCCAGCGGTGGCCCTCAGCGACTTTCTCCACTACCTAGTGAGCCATCTTCCATCGAGATTCGAATCTCAGCTTTGGAGGGGGTGGGGAGAATAGTTCCAAATTTATTCCTTCCTCAGGTACTCTGTGCCCCAGCCCTGGAGGGAGTGGCCACTCCCTCTATCTGCTATTCTCGTATTCTTTAGAGTTCTCCTTACCTATAGTAGCTACTAGTTAATAATTCGTCGATAATAGATAATAAACTGCCACAAGTTAATAGTTCTTTACATTAGGGGTGAGCAAACTTTTTCACAAAGAGCCGTAATGTAAATATTTTGAGCTTTGCATGTACACGATCTCTGTGCAACTGTTCAACCTTGCTTCTGTAAACAGAAAAGCCGTAAGCACGGGGGCATGGTGGGATTTGGTCAGTCCACGAAATCCCGCTTCCTATGAAGCACTCCTGTTCCAACTACTGTGTGGCTTCCGTCTCCTAACTAGATCCTGGCTGATACAAATCCCATGAGGCAAGTGCAGTGACAGACATGCACAGGATCCCCTGGTGGCAGACAGGAGGGAATAATCACATCAGAGGGTGGGGGCACGGAGCGTTTCAAAAGATGAGGAATGATCTGGTACTGAAGACCTGCCTCTGCCACTTACGTACACAATTTGGAGAAATGCTTCCTACTCTTGGTTTTATCACCCCAAAAATGGTGGTAAGAGCTGGTTGTCTTACATCCTAGGACGACCAGGAGGATAACAGTGAAACAATTATGAAAATATGTTGCAAACTCTAAAGTATGCTACAAGTACAGTTACAACTTATTCTGCTGTTGTTATAATTTCTTCATGTCCAAACTGCCAGTGGAACCTAGGCTATGCTGCTCCACTCTCAGGGACAGTGACAAAGTATCCGTTTTCATCATAACACGAGGAAATCAGAGCTTAAGTGGTATTAAAAAACACATTATATATGCCGGGCATGGTGGCTCACATCTGTAATCCCAGTGCTTTGGGAGGCCAATGGAGGAGGATCACTTGAGACTAGGAGTTTTGAGACCAGCCCGGGCAACACAATGAAACCAAGTTTCTATGATTTTGTTTTTAAAGTTAGTCAGGCACAGTGGCACATGCCTGTAATCTCAGCTACCTGGGAGGCTGAGGCAGGAGGACCACTTCAGCCCAGGAGTTCAAGGCTACCGTGAGTTATAATCGTACAACTGCACTCCAGCCTGGGGGACAGAGAGAGACCCTATCTCTAACAACAACAGCATCAACAAAAACATAATATCAAATGTGTTCTCTTAACCATTTTAATTGCATGGAGTTCAGTAGCATTAACTATAATCGCATTGTTGTGTAAGAGATCTCTAGAACTTGCAAAACCACAACAGTACCCAATGAACAATCCCCCATTGCCTCTGGCAACCTGCATTTTATTCCTGCCTCTGTGAACTTGACTATTCCAGATATGTCACATAGGTAGAATCATACAGTATCTGCCCTTGTAGGACTGGCTTATTTCAGCTAACATCATGGACTCAAGGTTCATCCATGTGGTTACAGGTAACAGGATTTCCTTCCATTTTGAGGCTGAGCAATATTCCACTGTATGTACACTCTCCATTCTCTTTATCCACTCGTCTGTCAATGTCCATTTGCGCTGCTTCCTACACCTTCAACTCCTGAATACGGGGTGAATACCAAAATTGATATGAGTGGCCAGACACGGTGGCTCATGTCTGTAATCCCAGCACTTTGGGAGGCCAAGGTGGGCGGATCACTTGAGGTCAGGAGTTCAAGACCAGCTTGGGCAACATGGTGAAACCCCATCTCTACTAAAAATACAAAAATTAGCCAGGCATGGTGGCACATGCCTATAATCCCAGCTACTCAGGAGGCTAAGGCAAGAGAATCGCTTGAACCCAGGAGGTGGAGGTTGCAGTGAGCCAAAATCACGCCACTGCACTGCAGCCTGGGTGACAGAGTGAGACCCTGTCTCAAAAAAAAATATTGACATGACTGGGAAAACAGACCAAGTGACTCAGTGATGTGCATGTATGTTAACCACAAGACCCACAGAAGAATGTGCATACCAGGACCATCTGTAAGAGCTACAAATGGGTTATTTTACCCAAATGTCCAATAGATAAAACATGGATAAACAATAGGACACTCCAAACCACGCTCCTCCACCTCAGCACTATTGACATTTGGGGCCGGATCATTCTTTGCCGTGAGGGCTGCCCTGGGTATTGCAGGGGACTCAGCAGCATCCCTGGCCTCTACCCACTAGAAGCCAGTAGCACCCTCCTGCCCCGAGTTGTGACCAATTCAAATGCTTCCAGATGTTACCACATGTCTCCTGGAGGACAAAACTGCCCCCAGGGGAGAACCACCAATATTCCAGAGAAAGGATAACGTATTAGAAATGGTCACCCATGGCTCATGTGGAACAGTAAAACAAAACCAAGGCACCTCTAAAGTCACGCTTTAACCTCCTGCCCTGTAAAATCCATTTACCACGGCAGGAAACAGGCAGCCGTCTTCCTCACGCAAATCATCTTCTCTCTCGCCTCTAGCAGCAACGCAAAAGAGCAGTTTGATCAGGTGAGGGGGAGGGAGGGAGGCACTGCATTTAATCAAGTCCTACTCACCACCATGTAAAACAAGCCTTGCTGTTCTGGACACCATCCCCACCCTGCCCAAACATCACACACCCGCAACAACAGGCCCTTTGTCCTTCCTCCCTAGAGAAAGTGGTCTTTCTTGCCTGCAGAGCTTTGTTTACTGGGTCCCCTCTGGAAACACCATGCACCCCCATCGCTGCTGTGCACACACTCTGCCCAGCTCGCCCACATTCAGCCCTCAGGACGCCATCTTGAACCCCACCGTCTCCACCAAGGGACTCTGTACATCTCCCAGCCTCCCTAGTGCCTGGAGCACATGGCCACTATCTGCTCCTAACCCTGCTGACAGTTACCAGCTTATGCTTCTCATCCCACAACAAGACTAGCATCTCACTGATGACAAAACCCAAATGATATCTGTTTCTTCCCTTCCTATACAAAAGCTGGTCGCAATGCAATAGGCAATGTTTCTGGAGAGGATGAACAGAGAGAAAAAGAATCATCGAACATAAGCGACGTTGTCTAAAGCCCTGCTTTCATCTTAGCACTACAGGAGGAAAAAACAAAACCTGTACCATATTCCTGGTCTTTCAAGTCCATCAATGGAGTCTCGCTCTGTTGCTCAGGCTGGAGTACAGTGGCGCAATCTCAGCTCACTGCAACCTCCACCTCCCAGGTTCAAGCAATTCTCCCTGCCTCAGCCTCCCGAGTAGCTGAGATTACAGATGCTTGCCACCACGCCCAGCTAATCTTTGTATTTTCAGTAGAGACAAGGTTTCACCATGTTGGCCAGGCTGGTCTTGAACTCCCGACCTCAGGTGATCCACCCACCTCAGCCTGCCAAAATGCTGGGATTATAGGCATGAGCCACCGCGCCCGGCCTCAAGTCCATCTTAGAAGTATCAAGAATTGTTTAGTCAAAGCACCGCCAGCAGGCTTCCAGCCAACACAGAACGCAGACCTGCCCAGATCCTCACCCCTTCTCACTCAGCTTTTTTATCTGTTTTTGAGACAGAGTATTGCTCTTGTCACCCAGGCTGGAGTGCAGTGGCGCGGTCTCAGCTCACTGCAACCTCCGCCTCCTGGGTTCAAGCGATTTTTCTGCCTCAGCCTCCCAAGTAGCTGGGACTACAGGTGCCCACCACCACACCCGGCTAATTGTTTTTGTATTTTTAGTAGACACGGGGTTTCACCATGTTGGCCAAGCTGGTCTCGAACTCTTGACCTCAGGTGATCCACCTGCCTTGGCCTCCCAAAGTGCTGGGATTACAGGCATGAGCCACCGTGCGCGGCCTCACTGAGCTTTTGAAAGCAAGTCATCACATCACTGAAGCACCCGCTTAAACAGAGATAACTGGGATTACTTAATTTTGCATTTTCAAAGTGAAAAGGCGATCTGAAAGAACTGATAGGCAACCAAGAAACAGGAAAAGGAACTGCTGGCCATTAGAACAAAGTGTCCCCGCTTCTCAGAACGCACAGCTGTTTACTTTAATGGACATTCCCATCCTACTGCTATTTCAAAGGGACGGGCCTTGTTCAGTGAGATAATCTAATGCTGCCGCCGTGCAACGTCAGGGAGGCCTAGGGGGCACTGAGCCGAGGCTGCTGCACCTTTCTCTGGAGTGAACTCAAAGGGCCCCTCAAGCCTTTGACTTTTTATTGGGTAACATATGGATGATCTCACCCGTCACAAGGGCTATCTTTCTTTTTTGAACAACTCTCTTCAGGGATGCCTTTGTCACAGCCTAGGCAGCAGAGCCTAAGAAGGCAACACGGGGAAAACATAAAGCCCTGGAGTGCACACGCCAGCGCTCGCAGAGGCTGGGAGGGGCCGCTGCAAGTGGAGGGGCTGCATGTATAGAACACACACCCTCAGGATGGGGTCTACAGCCTCGAGCACTGGGCATTGTGGTGAAGGGACAGGGTCCTTCCTTCTGAAGGAGCAGCCACTACCCAGTGTCGGGGGTAGTGACTGCTCATGGGGAAATGAGCAGCCAGGATGCACGAATTTTGCAATGTGTTTAATGCAGCTGAAAATCTGGAATTTCGGGGGCGGGGTGGGTAATCTCCCTGTGTCTGCAAATGTTCACAATCTTTTTGCTTTTAAAACTAAGTGAAAGCACGGTGGACACAGTGACTCACACCTATAATCCCAGCACTTTGGGAGGCCAAGGCAGGAGGATCACTTGAGGCCAGGAGTTCGAGACCAGCCTGGGCAACATGGTGAGGCCCTATCTCTACAAAAAAATTTTAAACATTAGCAGGGTGTGGTGGTGTGTGCCTGTAGTTCCAGCTACTCTGGAGGCTGAGGCAGGAGGATCACTTAAGACCAGGAGTTTGAGGATGTAGTGAGCCGTGACTGCACCACTCTGCACTCCAGCCAGGGCGACAGAGCAAGATTCCATGTCTCTGAAAAAAAAAAAAATTCTTAATTAAAAAATAAAACTAGGTGAGGCCATCCCCACTCCCCCTAAAATCATGTCCAAGGGTCAAACGTGTAACCACCAACTGGCATGCTCTGGTGCAGGAAACTCACACCCCACTCTGTATAAACATCAATTCCTTCCGCATTATTTTTGTGTTAGAATCCACAGTGTCATGCAGGATCCCTACACACCAAGGTGGTGTTCTCAACGTTCCCTCACTGTTTCTCTTCATCCTAGACTTCATTAGCATGTCACCTTCGTGTCCTCTTTCTGCCTCTTCAAATTTGACTTCTCTATCAGGGCTTCATTCAAGTCCCACGTTCTCCAGGAAGACCGCACCTTTTGGAACTGACGTCCTCCTCTCTCCCCCATTACTAATATCAGAGGATCCCTGGCAGCCATCAGCCCTGCCCTCCTTAATATCTGAATCCACCATGGAGACTGGAGCAGCCTCGTGCCCCCTTGCAGCGCAGGGTGGCATGTGCGGTCCCAGCGGATGGGGGAAAGGCAGAAGTCAGCTGCAGGCTTGAGGAGAGCCTTTGTCTCTGCAATCAAAGGGGCAGAAATGTCTGGTACCACCCTTTCCCTTTTCTTCTGGTCTTAAACAAAGACAGGATGCGTGGGGATGCAGCAGCTACCATGCAACTGGGAGAGAAAGGCCTGAAGAGTCACGGAGGCCAGGAACAGCACAGCCTCTTGCCCAGAAGTAGGGGTGCCCCGGCGCTGCATCCCAGGGGCAAACGCTCCAGTCCAGGATCCCCAGTGAGGCAGTTAGAAGAATGGAACAACTCTTCCCAGAAAACACTGACATTTCTCAAGACTCATCATTATATAAGTCCAGATGATTTTTCCTTTAATGTTTATAACTTAAAAACCAACACTCAACAGAATAGTTCTAAACAGCAAAACTTTGTTCACTTGTGTAATTAAAATATAAAACATCTCAATCCCAATAGATTGAGGGGTATAATCTATTAATGCGTCTGAGGAACAAGCAAAGAAAAATGATAATGTCTGGCTGTTTTTATGTTTTTCTTTAAGACACAAATTGCATCTGCCCGAAAAATGGGGCTACACGGAGGTAGTTTTTTTATTATGCTAAACACATTCCTCATCTCATCAGTGGTATTATTTCTCCATGCTGAACTCTTGTTAGAATCAAACCAAAACAGCCAAACTATTCTCTAATTTGTAAGCCTCCTCTGAAAGTACTTAAGATTTATGCCACTCTAATCAAGACACCACTGAACAAAACCCAGAAGCCCTTTGTTGACTTTTTCCAGCAGACAACTCTCAAAGGCAAAGCATTTATTTCCCCCAAGTTCATTCGGTTTTGCTTTAAAAAAAAAAAAAAAAAAAAGGAAACATTCTTAAGTCTTTAAAAAATGACTCCCATTCAAAGTAATTAATTCTTCTGAGACAGCAGCACTCAGCCTCAGCTAAAGCCGAGTAACTTAGGAAGATTTTTAGTGCGCTTTGGCGGGTATGCAACCTTCTGCCAGGATGGTGGAATCTGCCCACCTCTGCTTTTCCAAGTTAAAACCCGAATTAGTCATCCATCTGCCACAACACTGAGTTAAGCGTGTGCCTAGTTCGTGGTGGGCAAGAGTTTGCAGAGCACAGCGACAAGGCGGCTGACACACCCGATGGTCGTACAAGTCAAGGATGGGTTCATCGCTTCTTCCTGGCGCAGAGCAGTTCCCACTTTCCTTGGCAAAGTCTCAGCTCCAAAGCTGTTTCTGAAACCGTAGCAGCCTTGTTTCACTCCACATCCTGTACTGTACTCAGTCCTTTTAGGGACAAAATCTGATGCAATATCTATCTATCTATCTATCTATCTGGATTAATATGGGAATAGTTGGGATTTTTATCGAGTTCAAAAATTGGGGCATCAGCTATTTTCCATGACAGATAAAAAAAATTTCTGCCCCCAAATTCTAAAAACAAAATAAGCGTAGGTAACAGTGACAGATTCTGAACAGAGCTAAAATGCATAACACAATGGGCAAAGGTCCTTTTTACCACATTTTGACATCGAGGGTGCCAAGATATGATAGGATGCCTTTTTTTTTTTTTTTTTTTTTTTTTTACTATACTTTAAGTTCTGGGATACATGTGCAGAACGTGCAGGTTTGTTACATAGGTATACACGTGCCATGGTGCTTTGCTGCACCCATCAACCCGTCACCTACATTAGGTATTTCTCCTAATGTTATCCCTCTACCCCCAACTCCCCGACAGGCCCTGGTGTGTGATGTTTCCCTCCCTGTGTCCAGGAGTTGAACAATGAGGATGCCTTTTTTTTTTTTTTTAAAAAGAGTGGACCACTTACACATATGTAATTTTTAAAGTAACAAAGTTTAAAACAGCCACAATTAAAAAGGAAATAAATTTTAATTTTTTGGTTCTCCTTTAAAAAGATGCCCTGAACATCTGCCGCAGACTCACCCGTGGCATTCTTTGAAGTGATTTTGACATGAGACATGCTAAGATTACGTGTGCCGTTTACTCCAAATAAAATCACCGAGGAGGAGTCTGCAATAAGGCCCAACTCCCGTGTTTCTGTTTCTCCTGACCTTATGAATTTAATATAACTCTCCACAGTACAATCCCAATTTAAATATGGCCATCCTGTGTTGCTCACACCACTACAGCAGAAGCTCTCAACTCCCTGCCCCCCAAGCTGTGATTCCCACTCTTAAAAACAATCGTGGGATGAGAGGTCAGGCAATTATTTCTTTCTCAATTTTACAGAAAAGCAAACTCAGGACCGTGAAGAGTAATGAGTTGCTGTGACAGTCACTCTGTGTATGCGACTTTCACAAGAACAGCAGGGCTGGAATCGGTGGGCACCAAAGCTTTAAAACACGAGAAAATGCAAAATAAAGGGATGGCAACTATGACCCCCATCCAGGTGCCTTCAGCAGGTCAATCTCAGCTGGGCTCCACTCCCTCAACTGTGTGACAAGAGGCTGGAACCAGATGTGGGCTGCAGTCTCCTCCCGCTATCCAACCCAGAGAGCCATCCCGACACCCCTTCCTCCCCTTTATAGACAAGGCACCCAAAATGGGAACATGAAGCAATGGCCCAAGAGGCAAAGCCTCTCCTAAACTGGCAATCACAGGTTTGAGTGGCATTTCTTCTTTTTATGATGTAACTGCTCACGTCCGATCTGATAAAGCAATTTTTGGCAGAATCTCTAACTTAAATCTAATTATTCCTATTCAAAATGCAATTTAGTTTATAACAGTACGCTTTACAATAGAGTTCTCAGGAAGCCACTGGGGTTAAAAAGTGAAACTGTCCTTTGTGATTTGCAGCATAATACCCACATCCCTACGTGTACCTGGTCTGAAGTGTCAACAACGTACCTGATTTAACCCTAAAAGCACAAACCAGACTAACGAGCCTTGGCTTTCTCCATAAGGCATGGAATTTGGTATCTATTTTCTAAGACTGTCTCTTCTATTCCTTCATCTGGGTGGGGTCACAAGTATGATTTGCTGTGTGAAAATTCATCAATGTCTATGCTACCATGTGAGCACTTTTCTGTACCTAGATTCTCTCTCAAAACATTTTATTACCCTTTGTTATGGGGCTGAATTATGTCTCCCAAAAAGATATGTTGAAGCCTCACCTCTGGAACCTGTACATGTGGCCTTATTTGGAAATAGGATCATTGGAGGTGTAACTGGTGATGACGATGTCATCCTGAATTAGGGAGGGCCCTAATCCAATAACGGTGTCCACAACAGATGAGGGAAATTTGGACACAGATAAACAGGGGAGAACTATGTGGAGACGGAAGCAGAGATTGGCATGATGCATCTGCAAGTCAGGGAATGCCTGGAGTCACAGAAGCAGGAAAAACAAGGAAGGCTCTTCCCCCAGAGCCTTCAGAAAGAGGCTCTGCAGACACCCTGATTGCAGACTTCTGGCCTCCAGGCCTCTTTACTATGAGACAACACATTCCTGTTGCTTTAAGCTTTGTGCTAGGTACTTTGTTATGACAGCCCTACGAAACAGATGTAGCCTCCATTTGCTACAAGAAATGGGCTAGTAAGTGAGCACAAAGAACTGCTGGTGTGGCCACTGAATGTTCCAGAAGGAGATCAGGAAGCCTCAGTCCTCCACAGCTGGGGGCTCACTGGCTGCTCACACACGCCTCTCCCGGAGTCCTGGCAGGTGGATCTGGGGTACCCAACCCCTCCACGGGATGCTTCTGGATCCTGTCCCCAGCAGAAAACACTGGGGCTCGCTTAGGAGCTGGTGGTGCTGGGTCTGTCAGCACCCAAGAAATACATCTATATAAAAACAGGCTTTCCTATTAAAGAGGAAACCATCCACAATCCCACTGAGAAGCACACTCTCAAGGCTGTAAAGATGCCGGCTTTTCTAGATTGGTTCCACTGCATACCGGAGAATGCAGAGTGAGGCACATAGTAGGTCTACATCCATCCATTGTTAACAACTTGAGTGGGCTGGGCACCACTGGCTAAAGAGGGTATGTTTCCAGCTCTCCCCAGAGATAGAAACACACATTAGAAGCAAACCAATGACCTTTTCTGGGCCTCAGTTTCCTTATCCATAAAATGATCAGTTCAATCCTAAAGATCTTTTCTAGCTTTACAATTCTGCCATGACAAATTACAATCATCATTTTTATTGCAGGTCAAATTCGACTGTCTTTAAAATTGCAATTCATACAAATTTTTGCACCAATAAGGTGCACTGGGTATCCCAGGGGGAAAGTGGGCGATGTGAGGGAACCTCTTGGGATGGAAATGTCTTGCGTCTTGACGGTCTCTATGTCAATATCACACCTGTAAAATCCCAGCACTTTGGGAGGCCAAGGCAGAAGGACCACTGGAGACCAGGCATAACAGAAAGAGAAAGCCTTTGGTAGACCCAGCTCGGAGCAGACCTTCAAGGTGATGGCAATAAGAACTAAGCTTCAGGTGCCATGAAAAGCCAGCAAGGAGCTAGACTAATCCCAGCTGGAAAACGCCTGCAGGTGGTCTGGGAATCAGAGGGTAATATCTTTGGTCCCCACTCCCCTGCCAAGGCAGAAAGTGAAGGATCCTTCCTAAAAGCAAAGCATGGGGAAAAAATCTAGTTAATTAAATGTTTCAATTAATCAAAGCATTAGCCAAATATGTTGCCCGGAGGTAGCCTGGAGTTTTTTCTGATTACCGCATCTACCTTTTCATGGGCACTAACCTCCTCCAAAGTATGTGAATTGCTCAGCAGCTAGCAGTCATGCCTTACATTCCAACACATCTTGATCCACTTCACGAGAGACTGCTTTTAACGAGCGTGCCCTCTCTACTGGACCATAACTCTTTAAAGGAACAGAACAAGGGAGTGACAGGCCTCTCTCCAAATACACTGAACTCCTGTTAATTCAAAACTAGAAGTTGAAGGGATACATCAGACTTCAGTCACCTGGGGAAGATCCTTGGCTCTCAGTTAAATTCCAGTTTAAACGGTCAACAATTGATTAACAGAGTTTTACTATATAATAAAGTTTTGAACTTGATATCTTTATAGCAAGAGAGAAGTTAAAAGGGGCAATGTGAGGGAACCTCTTGGGATGGAAATGTCTTGTGTCTTGACGGTCTCTATGTCAATATCACACCTGTAAAATCCCAGCAGTTTGGGAGGCCAAGGCAGAAGGACCACTGGAGACCAGGAATTTGAGACCAGCCTGGGCAACACAGCAACACCCCATCTCTACAAAAAAAAAAAAAAATACAAAAATTTGTCAGGTGTGGTGGCGCACACCTGTGGTCCCAGCTACACAGGAGGCTGAGGTAGGAGGATTGCTTGGGCCCAGGAGGCTGAGGTTGAGGCTGCAGTCAGCCGTGATCACGCCATTGCACTCCAGCCTAGATGACAGAATGAGACTCTATCCAAAAAAAAAAGAAAAAAAAAAAAGCAATATCCTGGTTGAAACATTGTTACCATCATATTACAAAAAAGGTACTGTTGCCACGTGGGGAACCTGGGTACAGGACCCATGGCATCTCTCTGTATTGCCACCTGAAGCTATAATGATCTCAAAATAAAAAAAGAGGCCAGGCATGGTGGCTCACACCTATAATCCCAATACTTAGAGAAGCCAAGGCAGGAGGACTGCTTGACGCCATGAGTTCAAGACCAGCCTGGGCCACATAGCAAGACCTGATCTCTACAAAAATTAAAAGCGTTAGCCAGGCTTGGTGGAGTGTGCCTGCAGTCCCAGCTACACAGAAGGCTGAGGTGGGAGGACCACTTGTGCCCAGGAGGTGGAGGCTGCAGTGAGCTGTGTTTCTGCCACTGCACTCCAGTCTGGGTGACAGAGTGAGACTCTGTCTCTAAAAAAAGAGAGAGGAAGAGATGAGACTGACAAAGAGGGGATCATAAGGCCACGCTGGTCTACCAGGGGCTGGAAACAAAGGGATCTGGCTGACTTCCGGAAGGCTGTGGTGAGAGGCAGGGGCCCTCCCATTAAGACTTATCAATACCAGGGTACAAGTTTTTCTGTTTGTTTTCTCTTTTTTTTTTTTTTTTGACACAGAGTCTTATCCGCTAGCCCAGGCTGGAGTGCAGTGGCACGATCTCGGCTCACTGACCTCCTGGGCTCAAGTGATCCCCCCACCTCAGCCTCCTGAGTAGCTAGGACTACAGCTGTGTGCCACCGCACCTGGCTAATTTTTGTATTTTTTGCAGAGACGAGATCTCACTATGTTGCCCAGGGTGGTCACGAACTCCCTGAGCTCAAGAGATCCACTCGCCTTGGCCTCCCAAAGTGCTGGGATTACAGGCGTGCACCACCACGCCTGGCTTAGGTCATTTTCATAAGGACATGGGGTGCCACAGAGAAGGGGCATATGAGCCAGGAAGCCAAACAACAATGCTGGCCCGCTGTACAACTGTGAGGAGAGGGCGAACTCTCATGGAGCAACCAGGGAGCAGGCCGCTAACTCACTTCATAACCTGAAGCGACTTTTTGGAAAGATTAGAGAAGTGACTATACCAAAGCTGCAGTGATGTGGCCTGTCAACCAACCAACCAATTAATCAATAAAAGAAAATGACAGCCAACCAATCAATAAAAGAAAATGACAGCTTGTAGCAGAAAAGCAGGCATGTAAGAAGGTCAGCAAGTGGGCATCTCCGCTGGCTGGCCTTTGGTCTACACAATGAGCAGCGCCCCCGGGTGCTGCAGACGGGAATGATCCCACAGAGCTGCCACGCAGCCCAGCCTGGCCCCAAGATGCCCAGCAGGTATGAGAGGGACAATACACACCCAAGGTTCAGGGTGCTCACCTCAAAAGTGTCAGTCTCCGCTCAGGTGCAGCAGTGTTCTCTCCTTCAGTTCTCCCCAGTGTGACAGCAGGAAACCACTGTCCCCAATCCTCCCCACCAAAACAGTATCTGAGAGGTACCTGCTCTGCTTCAACGTGTTGTTAAAAACTGTACAGCAACAGGCACTCTCTTAAATACAATCTAATGTATCCATTCCTTGCTAAATTGCATGCAACTATTTTGATGCCTTTTAAACTCAAGAAAGAGTATCCTATCTTGTCTGCTGGTGTTATCTTCATTGTACCTACAAGCTAGGGAAGAGATTGGCAAAGTTCTCTGAAATTACCTAGAGCTAATGTGATGAGGAAACTTCTTCCCACAACTGCCTCCTTCTACCCCAGAGCGAGATATCTGGACAGGGCATGTGTGGTGGTGGGGGTGCTCAGCCCTACATTGATGGCAAAAGGTTCTTGATCCAGGAGCAAATAAAGACATGCTCTAAGGCGACGTGTAAAGCTGCCTGCCATCACCCCAGAGGGATGGACCCCAGGAGCACTCAGCAGAGAGGAAACTTTGGTTACTGCTCAAACTCCTAGCCACGCCCGCCCAGCTTAGCAAGTGCCACAAGGCCACCAGCACCCCCATAGGGAAGCTGCAGCCCTGGTCCCACATGGGCAGCCTCTAAAATCAATCCCATGGAAAGGTTTGTTTCAGGGCGAACTGTGGGGAGGAGTCTGGGGAAGGAGGGCAGAATGTGCTGCAGAGGGAGGAGAGATCAACAGGAGGTGAAGCAGAGGTGGGAGTACACAGAAGCTCCCACATGGACTGCTCCTGCCAGCCGGCGCCTGCTGTCTCTCCTCCCAGCCTCTGTGCTGAGGCACAGAGATCCACGCTCCCATCTTCCTGGGTCCTTGGGTGCATCCAGGAGGGCTTGCAGCACTCCTACACCATCTGCCAAAGGAGGCCGCCCTGGGATGCTCCAGACTATAGATTCCCAGATAGGCCACAGCAAGGGAAGCAGGAGAGAAGCTCGGTTTCCGACACAGTGCCTTCCAGGAGACCCACGGGTGAGTCCAGCTGTACTGTTAACTCCTGGAGGATGCAAACGGTCGCTCTGGGGTGGGAATGTTTACCTGAGTGGACGGTTGTTTGCTCTGGCCCTTTAGGTGAACAAAGTGGATGAATGGAAGGGAATCCAGGCATCCCAGGAGTTCATAACACAATGTTCTTCACGGAGCGCTGCACTCACGCAGGGCACCAGCTGGTTCTCAGCACACGTTACTATTGAGAGCTTCCCCTAACCCTGGCAGATACACCTGCATGTCCCCATCTTGTCGATAAACTGATTCGGGAAGCTAAAAAATTGGCCAAAGGACAGACACTTTATTCGTCCCAGAGATATGAGGTAACATGCTTAGGGCTGCATGGCTCATTACCGGCAGAGCATAAATCAGCACATGATAAAGTCTCCTCCTAGTTCCTCTCCTCACATCCCCGTATAAAGAGAGTTTTATCTCTAGACATGTAGAACTTAAATACTTAGATACTTAGAACATGCTTTTCTTTTTTTTTTTTTTTTTTTTTGAGACGGAGTCTCGCTCTGTCGCCCAGGCCGGACTGCGGACTGCAGTGGCGCAATCTCGGCTCACTGCAAGCTCCGCTTCCCGGGTTCACGCCATTCTCCTGCCTCAGCCTCCCGAGTAGCTGGGACTACAGTCGCCCGCCACCGCGCCCGGCTAATTTTTTGTATTTTTAGTAGAGACGGGGTTTCACCTTGTTAGCCAGGATGGTCTCGATCTCCTGACCTCATGATCCACCCGCCTCGGCCTCCCAAAGTGCTGGGATTACAGGCGTGAGCCACCGCGCCCGGCCATGCTTTTCAATACATACCTGACTTGACTTCAGCAACATATCAATAGCCACAAGGGATACACAAATTCAGGTTCCTCGATGGCCTCAGTATACAGTGGGGAATCTGTAAACGTGGATCTGCAAATCTATGCAACATGTTTTGCCTGTTAATCCACACAACATTCGCCCTCAGACATGGGGAGTATTGACCTGCTGAGAATATAAGCTTTTCAGGTTGTTGGTAAACAGGCCCTGGAGTGCCATATCCATAATCTATTTCTCCATCTTCCCCTTCCCTGGGCATAGCAAGTGAGCAGCCACAGATGCAAAGGATGAAAGCAAAGAGAAACAATAAAAAAGTGATAACTTTGTTACAACACGAGTAAATCAGAGGGAAAAAATCACGAGAAAAGGACTGGCCAACACTGTAAGTGTCCAAGAGACTAGGGAATGTTGTGTAGAGCTGTTTCCACATGTAACTCAGCACAAGCATTTAGGCATTACCAGAATGCAGACTCCAAAAGTGCTAGTAAGGATAACAGCAATACGTAAAATAAGTCCTAGGTCTCATTCATATTTTAGGACTGGCCGAGGCTTACACTAGGACTTCTTAGGACAGGACACTTTATGCAACTGGCCGTTTTGCAAGCTATTCTCCCAATAAAAGTGTTTCCCTCATTCATTATTCCTCCAACCCCCTTTTCCCTCTGATTAGAGTTCAACTTATCCAGACATCCCCCTAACACTATGTCTCTTACATTCGTCGGAGCTGATAATCTGGAGAGTATGTTGACATTTTCCAGCCATATTTGGATTCGCACAGCTATTGTGACAACCACTAAAAGTCCTACCTTCCTTTGGTGTGCACTGCATTCCAACCCAGCACGGTTAGTCATTGCAAAAGACTGTTTATGACACAGCATTCTCATCCGTCAGGCACGGCCTGGTGCCGGAAAGGCCACTGTAGCAGTCACCCCTCTTGTAATAAAAACAAAATCCCCACCAATAAAAGGCCAATAGAGTTTGTGGTACAACAATTTTGAGGTTTAGTTCCTCTTCACTGGGGTTGAACATTATGAGACTGGTTTGCCGGCCTCATTCTAGAAAGAGGTTTGTCGGGTTTCATGGATACTGAGCTAACACCAAGACAAGCACGGAATAATAACAATGGCTAAAGGCTTTTGGAAACCAAAATGAGAAAACCAGCAGATCGAAGATGATATTCTGGTGGCTGAATTGTCCTTTCAAAAGGTGGGCTGTCTTAGAGCCCAGATTTCACCTATGAGACTCGTCTCAAACCTTCATAGCCATCAGAGCTGGTGGCAGCAGCCAGCATGCGTCCCCGTGCTCCATGAAACAGCTGCAAAGGGACTGTGGGAAAACAAGGAATTCTCTGGAAGGCAGACGCCAACCACAGATCAGCCAAGCATGGGCTCAGAGGCGGCACAGATGCCAAATCCATGTTCAAAATGGCTCATCTCTGGGGAAAGATGAAAGAGACGATAGGAAGGTCTTAACCTTCCTTAGCCACTAAGAATTCTTTAGAAAAACACACAGACTGGAGGCAGTGGCTCATGCCTGAGGTCAGGAGTTCGAGAGCGGCCTGGGCAACATATCAAGACCCCATGTCTATAAAAGATAAAATAATTGGCCGGGTGTGATGGCTCATGCCTGTAATCCCAGCAGTTTGAGAGGCTGAGGCAGGCGGATCACGAGGTCAGGAGATTGAGACCATCCTGGCTAACACGGTGAAACGCCGTCTCTACTAAAAATACAAAAAAATTATCTGGGTGTGGTGGCACGTGCCTGTAGTCCCAGCTACTCAGGAGGCTGAGGCAGCAGAATCACTTGAACCCGGGAGGCGGAGGTTGCAGTGAGCTGAGATTGCACCACTGCACTCCAGCCTGGGTGACAGAGCGAGACTCCGTCTCAAAAATAATAATAATAAATAAAAGAATTAGCTGTGCGTGGTGGCATGCACCTGTGGTCCCAGCTACTCAGGAGGCTGAGGCAGGAGGATGGCTTGAGCCCAGGAGTTTGAGGCTACGGTGAGCCCTGATGGCACCACTGTACTCCAGCCTGGGCAACAGAGTGAGATCCTGTCTCAAAAACCAAAACCAAAACCAAACAAACTGAGGTTCACAGCAACAAAAATGAATAAACTACAACTGCCACCAGAAACAATATGAATGAATCTCACAAAAGTAATGTTGACTGAAAAAGCTAGACACAAAAGAGTCCATACTAGATGATGCTATTTATATAAAGGCCAAATAGAGGCTAACCTCATCTATAGTGTGGACATTCAAGACAGTCCTATATTTGGGGGGTTGGGGAGGCTCAAGGGCACCCCTGGGGAGCTAGAACATTCCTAAAACATAAATAGGAATGTTCCATCTCTTGATCTGGGTAGCGAGTTACATAGCTGTGTTCATTCCACAAAATGTAGAGGAAGGGGTTGCGACACTGCAGCTGCCAGGAATTATGTTTCTCAACTCATGAAGAGGGACTGTCTGCAGCAGACGGGGTGAGACCAGAGAGGAGCAGAGACGGACAGAAAGGAGGGTGACGGGAGCCAGTGTGGGCTGGTGTGCGCAGAGGTGAGGGCCAGGTCCTGGCTCTGAGTCCTTTGTCTCTGGAACTACCACTCCCCTCATCCTGCCCAAGTAGATACAATAAAAGCCTTTATTTGTTTTCCAGAAAAAACAAAAAGGTGGGTGGGGGTGGGTGACAAGGTGGGATGGGAGATGCTAGCTTGGAATGACTCCCCTGCCATTTCAAAAGTGAGCTGTTCCAGCAGGAAGCAGGGGGAGAAGTTATGGAGAACTGTGACCCCGGCTAACTGCTCAGGCTGGCTTCTTGTTCAGGTTTACTGGGTGGGTCTAAATCTCTCGAAAACATTCTTTAGCAACACAGCGCTTGCTAAACAACAGAGTCAGTGCCCCATAAACATGGGCCAAATGAGCCAGACTCCCTAACAAAGCAAAACAAAAACAAGAAAAAAGTCCTGGCAGTATACACTTCTGCAATAAAGTAAGGGTCGGCCAACTACAGCCTTTGGGCCAAACCTGGCCTGCCACCTGCTTGGTGAATAAAGGTTTAGTGGAACACAGCCACGACCTTCATGTATACACTGGCTGTGGCTGCTTCCTGCTACTGCAACAACCCTGAGGAGTCCCACAGAGAACAAGTGGCCCAAACAGAAAACATTTACGGGCTCCTAACAGAAGACACTTGCCAACTCCCACGCTAGAGAAATACTTTAACTTGCAAATCCAGCATCAGGAGATTGGAGGTGATGGTAGGCAACTGAGCAAGAGTGGGAGTTGAGAGGAACGCAGGAGCACACCAATTCGCCAAGAACTTTCAAACACTATTTTGAAATCTACCATTTTTTAAATTAATTAATTAATTTATTTATTTATTTTAAGATGGAGTTTCGCTCTTGTTGCCCAGGCTGGAGTGCAATGGCACGATCTCAGCTTGCTGCAACCTTTGCCTCCCGGGTTCAAGCCATTCTCCTTCCTCAGCCTCCCGAATAGCTGGGATTACAGGTACCCGCCACCACACCCAGCTAATTTTTTTATAATTTTAGTAGAGACAGGGTTTTATCATGTTGTCCAGGCTGGTCTCGAACTCCTGACCTCAGGTGATCTGCCCACCTTGGCCTCCCAAAGTGCTGGGATTACAGGCATGAGCCACTGCATCCGGCCTTAATTTTTTTATTTTTTTGAGACAGGGTCTTGCTCTGTGGACCAGGCTGGAGTGCAGTGGTGTGATCATGGCTCACTGCAGCCCCGACCTCCCAAGCTCTCAAGTGATCCTCCTGCCTCAGCCTCCCAAGCAGGGGATCACAGATGCACACCACCATGCCTGGCTAATTTTTAAATTTCTTGGAGAGATGCCGTCTCACTATGTTGCCTGGGCTGGTCTTGAATTCCAGGGCTCAAGAGATCCTCCAGCTTTGGCCTCTCAATGTGTTGGGATTACAGGCATGAGCCACCATGCCCAGCCTAAAATATTTATTTTTAGGGTGCACAACAGCACAGAATAAGATAAATAACATATCCACAGGACATACTCAGCAGACCCTCCTGTCTGGGACAATTATCTCTACAAATTTGCTATAACTTAGCAGCTCTGATCACTAATATTTCAGTAACAAAGTTTCTCTGCCTAAACACTTTCAGAAGAAAAATAATTTTTTCCCTAAAGAAATTTCATCATCAAAGGAAATTTTCCAAAGCATAGGAATTGTGGAAAAATCTTCATTAATTCCTACAGTTAAGAAAAGTTAGAAAATCAAAACTAAAAAACAAAACATATCGTGTGTAATGAGAATGGTCTGTGGTCTTCTTTGCAAAAAGCCATAACCTCATTCTACCATGAGAAAATCATCAGATGAATCCCAAGAGGGGTACAGTCTACAAAATTCCTGACCAGTACTCCTCAAAAAGGTCAGAGTCATCAATAACAAGGAAGGTCTGAAAAACTGTCACAGTCAAGAAGAACCTAAGGTGACAGGAAGACTAAATGTCATGTGGGCCGGGCGCAGTGGCTCACGCCTGTAATCCCAGCACTTTGGGAGGCTGACGCAGGTGGATCACTTGAGGTCAGGAGTTCGAGACCAGCCTGGCCAACATGGTTAAACCCCAACTCCACTAAAAACACAAAACAATTAGCTGGGCGTAGTGGTGCAGACCTGTAATCCCAGCTGCTCAGGAGGCTGAGGCTGGAGGATCCCTAGAACCCGGAAGGCAGAGGCCACAGTGAGCTATGATCACGCCACTGCACTCCAGCGTGGGAAACAGAGAGAGGCCTTGTCTCAGTTAAAAAAAAAAAAAAGTCATGTGGTTAATCCCAGGACAGAAAAGGACATTAATGGGAAACTGGGAAACTAAGGAAATAGGAACAAAGTTTGGGCTTTAGTTAACAACAAATAATGTAGCAATATTGGTTCATTGCTTGGACAAATATACCATGGTGATGTGAGATGTTAACAATAGGGGATGGCAGGGATATATGGTAATTGGAAGAAAAAAAAAAAACAATAGGGGGAAGCCCAGTGTGGGGGAGGTGAGAATTCTCCTTACTATCTCTGCATTTCTCTGTAGAGCTAAAACTCCTCTAAAATGGTATTTAAAAAACAACAACTTTGTACTGTGTGCATAGGACAAATGCAAACATCCTGGTTGGCCCCAAGAGTGACCAGCACCCTCCCCTGAGCCGGTGTTTTTAATGAGGTGGCCCTGCCACGCAGGAGCCACACAGCCTTTCTAAGGAGCCAGACAGGGTCTGAAAAGGGCTCCTGGGAAGCTGCAGACAGCTCTGGGGTCAAATTCCAGCTCTCTCCCTCCCTGCCCTCCTTCTCTCCCTAAGACAGACCCCACCCAACCCCAAGCAAGAGGGGAGGGAAGGAGGAGGGAGGGGCAGACAGCCAGGGACAGACAGACACAGGCAGATCCAGGACTCCTGCCCTCCCGCCTCGCCCCAAGCCAGGACAGCTAGGTTGGCTTTCTTGTGGAATTCAAACGACCAGACAACCCAGCCTGCAAGCTACCGGCTCCCCACAGCAGCCTTTCTTGTGGTGGGAGAGGAAGAGGGGGAATTCCTTTGAAAACCCTAAACCACAGACGTTTGTGTCATCAAAGAAGGTGCTGGCTTCAGACTCAAGGACAGAAAGGAGGGAGGCACCTGCGGAGCCCACCATGCTTATGATTTACCAGGACAAGTCAGCCGCTGTGTGCCCTACCACGGTGGGTTTCCTCCCAAGGACACCAGGGCAGGTGGAGACCTGCAGTGGTGAAAAGGAAACAACAGGAGGATGTCTCAGAGCGATCTGTCAGAATCCCATGTGGATCTTCAGGGATTTAAGTGAAATGAATCTGGCCAGACACAGTGGCTCACACCTGTAATATCAACACCTTGGGATTATCTATTTTTTTAAATAAAATTTTAAAAGTTTTCTAAATGCAGCAATCGTGAAGTAAAACAACAAGTTAAGAGGAAAATGATCCAAACTCTAAATTTATGTTGCCTTAACGAGTATTAAAAGAAATGAATCTCAGGAAGTTATAAATGAAAAATTTACAACCTAAAATCTTAATTAGGTTACCAAATGACTATAGCATGCAGACAGTATACAACACAGCATCACCACACATCATTAGGATGTTTTTATTTTAGAAACAAAGTCTCACTCTGTCACCCAGGCTGGAGTGTGGTGGCGCCATCATAGTTCACTACAGCCTGGAACTCCCAGGCTCAAGTGATCCTCCCACCTCAGCCTCCCAGTAGCTGGGACTACAGGCATGTACTACCACACCTAGCTAATTATTTTTTTGTTTGCTTCTTTTTAAATTTTTCTGGAGAGACAGTTTCCCTATGTTGCCCAGGCTGGTCTTGAACTCCTGGGTTCAAGCAATCCTCCCACCTCGGCCTCCCAAAGTGCTGGGATTCCAGGCATGAGCCATCACACCTAGCCTCATTAGAATGTTTGAACATCAGATGTGATTCTGTGGCCCACTGCATTAAGCATTCTGTGCTCATTTTTACACATAACTCATTCCGAATTGGTCTGCTAAGGAACTCCCTTAGCAATGAGGGAAGGCCTCCAACTATAACTGCCTGCCTATGCTGTGGGGTCTGACCTGCAGGACTCATCAGCCTGGATAATGTGAGTTCGCATTTTGTGTCTGGCATGCAGCAAAAACAAAAGCTACTGTGATTCTACCACCTCTTCCAGTGTCTCCCTCCTGCCTCCTCCTTCCCTTCCTAGGAATGTTAGATGGCCCAAGTCAGAAACTGCAGTTTTCATTATTTATTATGTAAGCCAAAGAGAGAAGGCAAATGAAACGATTCAAAAGCATGTACAAGAACTTATCTTCTACAATATTTTATGCATTATAAAAATCCTCACATACATATTATTTTACCATATTTACTGCCATGGAAGATATGAAGGATTTTAAAAATAGAAAAAAAAAATGGCCAGGCACAGTGGCTAATGCCTATAATCCCAGCACTTTGGGAGGCCGAGGCGGAAGGATCACCTGAGGTCAGGAGTTTGAGACTAGCCTGGCCAAAACAGTGAAACCCCATCTCTACCAAACATACAAAAATTAACCAGGCGTGGTGACGGATGCCTGTAATCCCAGTTACTTGGGAGGCTGAGGCAGGAGAATTGCTTGAACCCAGGACGTGGAGGTTGCAGTGAGCCAAGATCGCGCCATTGCACTCCCAGCCTGGGTGATGACAGCAAGACTCCCTCTCAAAAAACAAAAACAACAACAACAAAAATCTTTCAGTCTTCAAGTAACCGTAATGGGAAAAGTTTTCCAAAGCAAGTTATGTGCAACATTTATCTGCTTTCTTAAAAATAAATATTCACTACAGAAGAACCAAGAGTTCTATATTATATAAAAGTATAAAGAAGTGAGGGGGGAGCTCACCCATATTCCACAACCAAAAGACAAACATTTAACATCTTGGTGTACTCTCAATTCTTCTTCCCTTTCTATGCTGCAGCTGCAATTCTACATTAGATTAGAAGCATCTACCCTACTATAAACAGCCCACCTCATAAACAGCAGCTTGAATTGCTAAAGAATATTTTATAGTCTGAATGATTTCATAGAATTCTGAGTGTTTTCATTTAGCATCTGTGAAAATAGCAGGCCAGGCAAGGTAGCTCATGCCTGTAATCCCAGCACTTGCGGAGGCTGAGACAGGTGGATTGCCTGATTCCAAGAGTTCAAGATCAGCCTGGGCAACATGGTGAAACTCCGTCTCGACAACAAAATACAAAAAATTAGCCAGTGTGGTGGCGCACACCTGTAGTCCCAGCTACTTGGGGAGCTGAGGTGGGAGAATTGCTTGATCCCAGGAGGTGAGCCATGATCATGCCACTGCACTCCAGCCTAGTGACATAGACCCTGTCTCCAAAAAGAAAAAGAAAAGAAAATAGCAACAGATTTTAACTCCAAGGTTAAAATTTTTGTTTTCTAACATATTCCCAAGAATTGAAAATGGGAACCAACTGCATGTGAGTTGAATTTAGAGTATTTCCTGTGTAACAGGACTTCCTCTAGTACATATGCAGACATTCTCTTAATTTTTAAAACATATTAAAATATCAAGAGGGCCTAGAAATGGTACCCTGAAAGGAAGTGTCCAGTCTTGTGTCCTCTTTCCAAATCAACAGCACAGCCCTTCATCACCTGAAAACTTTTCCCATCCATGATAAAGTGATGGTCTCCGATGACCTCAAATAGAGTAGGAAACAAGTCTTACCCAAACTCGGAAAGCAGAGTCAAGGTTGAAGTTAGAGCTCGATGGCACCGGAAACAGACATCTGCACAGGCTGGAGCGCCCTTCTCTCCATCAGGGTCAAGAGATAGCTTTCACAGGACACTCTCTTTGTTCTCCCTGTGGGCTCTCCTTGCAACGGTTTTCTAAAAACTAGCCTCTAATATTAACACAAAATGCCACCAGCATGTAACTTGCTACCCAACACTGCACTAATACTCAGCAATGCAAAGCAATGAGCTCTTGATCCATCTGACAACACGGGCACATCTCAGAATGGTTATTCCAAGAGATAGGAGCCAGGTGGAAGGGAGCACCTGCTGCAGGACTCCATCTACATACAAGTCCAGAAAATGTACAGTGACCTAAAGGGACAGAAAGCAGCTCCGTGCTTGGGCTGGGGACACAGGCAGGAGAAAGAAGATGGCAAGGGGGCGCATGTGTGATGTTTCGGGTGTGTGGTTTGCTCATCATCTGCCCCACAGTGATAGTTTCATGGAGGCGGGAGCTCTCTGACCTTAGGACTTGTCAGATGAGCAAATGCGGCTTCCTTTCTGGTCAGATTCCAGACCCAGGGAGATGTGGGTGACAAGAAAAGATGACCAATGGCTCAGACATAATGCACCCACACCACAGAGGGTGATGGTAAAAAAACGCGTCTCTGCCCTGCTGCCTCGTTGCTATGAAAACCCAACAATACCCACTTGGGTTTGCCCACATAATGCATACAAAATAGCTGTTGGGGTCAAGCACACCAATTCGGAAGTGACAGAAACAATACTCCTGTATTGTGTGACCTGATATTGCTCAGTGATATGTATCTCAACACCCAGTGCCACCTGGTGAAATTTCAGTCAAGAAAATGACACAGTTCCTTTCATACCCCCAGCTCTCTTGCTTGGTTTCTGATTTCCTTCCACGTGCGACAGGGAAGGAAAGGGTCCAATCTTAGTCCCTTTCCATCACCCCCAAAAGATCCTTTGTATTCCTTAAGCCATTCCCACCACAGCCCCAGGCAACCACGAATCTCCTTTCCGTCTCTGGATTTGCCTCTTTTGGACAATCCCTGTACGTGGAATCCGGCAGTATGTGGCGTAAAAGCTGCATCCCAGTGGATGGTTTCTCTCACACAGAAGTTAAACCTCTGAAGGTGGCCCAGAGAATGTGCCAGCCCTTGGTGGCGCTCCCATGCCAATGTTTTCCTAGCCAAATTCAGGCACGAAGGGGCACACTGTCTTCAACTTCTCTTATTTAAGGCTTTTTGTTTCTTGCTTGCTTGCTTAACTCGGGTGTCTGGATGAAGCCATCCTGAACTTGCTGTAAAAGTTTTGAGAAGAAACAAAGGCTATACGACATACTATGATGAGTTCGTCACTACTGAGATACTTTCCTGCAGATTACCATAACCCCTCCTTCCTTAGTAGTCAAGGCTTGATCTACTATATGGTAGGGGTTGTGAATTCCCAGGCTCCCTGCAAGTCCCACAAGCAGGCATTTCTTAAGCAGTTTTTAGCTGCCGTGGGTGTTGGCAACAACCCAATCCCAGCCAGCTCGTGACCTTAAAACTCCTGATTTAAGGCCGGGTGCGGTGGCTCATGCCTGTAATCCCAGCACTTTGGGAGGCCGAAGCGGGTGGATCACGAGGTCAGGAGATCGAGACCATCCTGGCTAACATGGTGAAACCCTGCCTCTACTAAAAATACAAAAAATTAGCCGGGCGTGGTGGCGGGCACCTGTAGTCCCAGCAACTCGGGAGGCTGAGGCAGAAGAATGGCGTGAACCCGGGAGACGGAGCTTGCAGTGAGCCGAGATCGTGCCACTGCACTTCAGCCTGGGTGACAGAGCAAGACTCTGTCTCAAAAAAAAAAAAAAAAAAAAACCACACACACACACAGAAAAACTCCTGATTTAAGTCTTCAGCTTACTCAGTGCTCTTGCTTCCCAAGGAAATGTCCAGGACCACCCAATTCCAGCTGTTCTGCTGACTAATGGTGACCCCGATGCCCCAGTGGCCTGATCCATACATGGGGGCAGGTGCTACCACCATCTGAGGCTGCAGTGCCCTAGCGAAGGCACCCCGCCTGGCCCAAGAAGGATGTGAGGAACCTGCCACACATTATATTGGCCAGGCACACAAACACTGAGCCAGCAAGGACAGGAGGGTGAAGGAGACCCACCCAGCCGCAAGGAGCTGGGCACAGGGGTATGAGGCGACATCCCCAGTACAGCAGATCAAGCACACGACCAGGCCCAACACAGTCTGGCCACCTGGTGCTGTCTCCACTTGGCCAAAGAAAAAGCCAAGCAAGACAAGGAACGGTCTCAGAGCACAGCCCAGCGCCCACTCTCCTGTGAGCCTCCCCGCCACCAAAACAGGGCTGGTCCCCTATGTTCCTTCCGCATGCCGCCCTGTCGGGAGGGCAGGATGGGACATGTGCACACCACACGTTTCATCATCAGGAGAACCACATGGAGAACATGCTTCTAGAAGCCTCTATCCCTTGAACTGTCAGTTGAAGGAAGCTGGAGATTTTTGCTCACACGACAATAATTGACAGTGACTTACTTCCTGAGGTCAGAGAGAGGCAACATGAAACACGTTTTTAAAATATTTGGCTTATTAGATTTTTTGAACAATCCTATGCTAACAATCCCGGCTCCCAAGTGACAGTTGATGTTCTAAGGACTTATGCGACCAGCCTCCCCACAAACCACAAAGCTGGTCACTTCCAGAGCCGAGACCCCCTCCCGTGTGCCCACAAAAGTGGGAACCACTCTTGTCAGGGTGGCACGGGAAAGCAATGAGACCGTGCATCAGCTGACACACTGGTCAGCACCATGCGGTCAGTCTGCACCAAGGACCAGCACTTGGCACCGGAAGGGAATGGAGTACCGATACCACCTGCAATGTGGATCAATCCCGAAAATATGATGCGGAGTCAAAAAGCCAGTCACAGAACACCACATACTGCAGGATTCCATGTACAGGGAGTGTCCAAATGAGGCAAGTCCAGAGACAGAAAGGAGATTCATGGTTGCCTGGGGCTGTGGTGGGAACCAGAAGGGATGGCTTAAAGGAATAAAAAGAATCTTTTGGGGGTGATGGAAAGGATCTAAAATTGAATCATGATGAAGGATGCACACCTTTGAACTCACTATAAATCACTGAATTGTATACTTAAAATGGGTGAATTTTATAGTGTAGAAATTGGCCGGCAACAGTGGCTCACGCCTGTAATCCCAGCAGTTTGGGAGGTTGAGATGGGAGGATTGCTTCAGGCCAGGAGTTCAAGACCGGTGTGGTCAATATAGTGAGACCCTGTCTCTTAACAAAAAAAAAGAAAGAAAATCACATATCTCGATAAAGCTGTAAAAGAAAAACAGTGGGAGGGAAAGGGAGAGAGAGAAGGGAGAAGGAGGGGGTAGAGAGGGAGAAAAGAGAGAGAGAGAGAAGCTGGGGGGTAGACTGAGGCTGAGGCTGAAGGACAGCTAGAGAGGGAGAGAAGCGAGGGCACACAGACATTGCAAAGATGCTAAACCGGGCCCAGAAATGTTCTTAGAAACCTCCAGTTCCTATCTGTTGAGCGCTGTCTATGTGTCCAGCAATCTCTGAGGCCCTGCAGACTCCAGACACTATGCTGCCAGGGGTTCCCCTCTTTTTAGAGAGAAAACTGAGGCTGAGCATGGTCCACTTTTACCCAAGGGCAGCTGTCCACTAAAAAGAGGAGCTGGGAGAGGGGACATGGGCCTTTCCACTCCCCACTGCACCGTGCAAAGACGGCTGCCTTGGGCCTGGGCCTGGGCCTGGGCCAGGGCTGATCTGGTGCCCGGGTCTGCTGCCCCTCCCCTCCCCGCTCTCCAGGTGTGCAGATGCCTTCAGGTGGGCTGTACGTGGCTCAGGAAAGGTGCTCAGGGGTGCGAAGAAGCTTCCAGGCTCAGCTGCTCAGCAGGGTTCTTTACTTGACAGTGAGAGGTTCTAGAACAACTCCAGCTCCAACCAACTTTCTTCAGGGAACCTCTGTGTTCAGCCTCCAAACAAAAACAGAAAACTGAGCCGGGCGTGGTGGCACACAACTACTCCAGTGATGAGAGGATTACTTGAGCCCAGGAGTTGGAGGCTGCAGTGACCTATGATGGTTCCACTGGACTCCATCCAGCCTGGGCAACAGAGCGAGAGCCTGACTCAAAACAACCAAAAAAAAAAAAAAACATGAAGAGAGCCAGTGAGGTCGGGCAAAAGCAGTGCTGGGCTTCTGCACCCAGTACCCCCCTAGGGCAGGGCAGGTGCTCTCCCAAAGCCTTAAAAGTTTGGTTTTCTAAAATCAGAATCCTCCTGGCCCACGCTGGTGCTAAAAACACAACCCTTCTTTGAGGTATACAATGGTGTATGCTAATGCTGCTTTTCTTCTTCATTTTACTTTTTGTAGCCAGGCCCTGTAAGATGGCATAAGAATTAACGTTTTCCTAAACGCTAGTGCAGCCACATGGTTTCTCCCCATTGCCCTGCATTCTAATGTGCTTCCAAGGGGATGACGCTGCTGCTGCTCTTGCTTCCTTCCTTAGAACAGCAAGGCTCGAAACATTAAAACTGCTGGACAGGGAGGAGGGAAGAGAGGGAGACAGAGCCCCGGGAATTATTTGCCCCATACACATCTGTCCGTGCATATATTCAACTGGCCCTTTCTTCCTGTGGACTTCTGGTCCTCCAGGCAACTGCAAAGCACAGGTTCTCTGCCCTGCAGGTCTAGTTTCCTGACTCCCAGTTTGAAATGATATGAGGTCACTCTATTTGCAGTCAACACTGTCAGTGTGTTTTTTCCCATCAGTGAGTTGTTTTCAAGGTGAACACAATAAAACCTACTTTACATAAAGAAAAAAATTCTCTGTAAGATTCTGGACATCAGAATCAATGAGGATGAACAGGGACTCCCCTGACTGGCACCTTGGGTAGGACACGACAGCACCACCTCCTGATGGAGCGCCACCTGTTTCTGCACAGTGGCAGATGCTGGGTGAAGTTTTAGAACAAAGCCAGCACAAAGCTAAACCATGGGCTCTGCACCAGTAATCAGATCCTGCAGGCACGGGCAGTGCACCTTGCAAACACCCCTCTCTACCTGGCTCAGCTCCCTGACAAGGAAAACCCAAGTGGGAGAATCTCTTGACCCTGGGAGATCAAGGTAAAAGGTGAACCATGATTGTGCCACAGCCTGGGCAACAGTGAGATGCTCTTTTTATTTCTTTTCTTTTTTTTTTACTTTTTGTGAGATGTTGTCTCAAAGAAAATAAATAAATAAATAAATAAATAAATAAGGTGGAGAAAGAGCACTGGGGAGGAATGGCCAAGAGCACTGATGAGCAACACCAATTTACTTCGCAATGAGCCCATGGCTTCCCCTTGACCTCTTCCAGGTGAAGTTCCACGAGCTGCCTTGGCAACACCTGAGCAAAGCAGTGAGCACCGAGCTCTGCTCCCTGTTTTGGAGGGAGCTCTGCCTCCCTGTCTTGCCGGCTCGGTTCTGCAGGCACCTATACAGCATTTCCCATGCGCACAACATTCTGGAGGACATGCAACACCACACGGAGTGTCTGAGCCTCTCTTTTCTTCCAGCAGATTCCTCCCTCTGGAGGACACCACCTCCTCCTGACAGGCTTCCCCAGCACTCTCCTGGTGCATGGGACTCAACCCATGCTGGGGGCCACAGTCCTGGGATAGGGTGACAGGTCCAGCGCTGCAGCTCTTGGCTCAGCACCACCACCACACTGAGATGGACCCCCGTTTGCTGTGGGGGGCATCTTGCGCACTGGCAGATGTTGAGCAGCATCCCTGCTCTCCACCCACAAAGGCCAGTGGCATCCCCCCATCTTAAGACAACCAAAAATACCTCTGGACATTGCCAAATGTCTGGGGAGCAAAGTCACTCCCAATTGTGAACCACTAGTGTAGATGGGAACCTCAGCGAGGCTTGTCAGGGAGGAACATATCCTTCCTTTGAGGCTGCAGGTCTGTAGAACACAAGCCCAGGGACACGTGTGGCCACTGTGGGAAATGTGCTGGAGAACTAGGCCAGCAGGAAGGAGGCCGTCGGATCTCAGTGGGGTGGGACAGGGAGACACAGTGGGTCCTCCAGCATGCCTGAAGCCCCTCGAGACTTTCTAGCTGGGGAGTTAATGCAGTCCCTCTCCCACGGAAGCTAATGGTCTAGGCTGTATTTCTGTCACTTGCAACCAAAGTAGTTCTGGCTGTCTGGAGTTGTCTGGAATTCTGTTATCATGTGTGCACGTGCATGCACACACACACACACACACACACACACACACACACACAGAGTCTACTTGTGTGTCTCTTCATTGTCAGTGGAGTCCTTCAGCGCTCAATGTCCTAGTAACTAAGTGCTTAGTTATGAGGTCCCTAATTAGGAGGTCCGATGCAGGGGTGGGGTAGCTGAAAATGTGTACAGTGATTCATAATATAGTTTTAAACAAAAGTAGCCTGCAGAGCAAACATCTCCCAGTATTTTGATTCATTTTCTTCATGATGACCTAGGAGAAGAGAATTTCCAGCACTTTGGGAAAATGTGGAAGTCTGCCTTGGAGAGGAGAGACTGCGGGTCACTACACTAACACAAGAGCCAGAGAGAAAACTGGACAAAAAGTGTATTCATTTCAACATGGGGCGGTCACAGGTAATAAAACGCCCGCTCCACAACTGGCAGATTCCCGTTACGGAATGAGGACCAATGTGTTCCCACACACAGACAGTGAAGGGGCTCAGGGATGCTTGCTCTGAGGCTGCGGTTTTGTTCCGTCTGTCATTTCCTAGTCAACAGAGTCCCAGGGCCACCTGCTGTTTTCCTTCTCCACAAGGACGCGAGAAGACATTTGTTAAGTAGAAGTAAAGCACTTTCCATTGTGCCGGCAACTCCTCCTCCCATCTCATCTCCCCTCTGTGACTGCCCAGTCACAGGAAAACCTTTGCATGTGGCCACTTCCTGCTTCAAAAACCAACACAAATAAGTCCTTCCCCTTCCTCTGACCCATTACAAAGTAGATTTCTAGTACTTCCTATACACAAAACAAGAAATATCAAATATCTGAGGTTTTGACCTTGGCCAGAGGAACACCTGGTAGACCAGCAAGCAGGGGCCATCAGAGAAGCGGGCTCAGAGTGAGGTGCACCCGCCCCCCACCCTTACCCCTGCAACCTGCACACACGTTAGTGTTCAACAAGCAAGCCCCAGGACACATTGACCTGCAAGTGAGCTCAGCGGTCAGCTGGGGAGCTCAGCCGGTTCATATGCAGGCTCCTGCTGGTTCGTCTAGTGTGCTGGGGCACTCCCAGCTCTAGCTGTGCCCGCTCCCTATCCCATGTGCCTACTGGGTAAACGGTTTCCTAACTACTAAGCCTGCATGTGCCACATGGTCACATGCATTCTACTTCGAGGGAGCCAGCACACAATTCCAAAAGACTCGACCAAGAGATGGCCACGGGACAGCATCCCTCAGGACTGGAGATTTCCTTTCCACTCCCCACCAACCTAGTCATGCTCCCTGACAAACACAAAGTGCAAGACCAGCAAGGAGGGGTGTGCTGCAGAGGGAGGGGCTCGGCGGGCTAGAGAGACACAGGGTGGGCGTTACCTCCCATAGCAGAACCAAGTCCTGAGGATGGATCCCTGGCCAAGCCCCACTGTGCAGGCCTAAGGAGCTCCCTGCCTCTGGACAGGCACCCCTGGCTCCTCCAGGTCTTGCCAAGGTCATCCTGCCTCTTCAAGGACCAGACTCTCTTAAACACCTGAAGCAAACTTCAGCACAAAGAGAACACACGAAAGAAGAAGGTGCGAAGACCTTAACTAAGGTTCCCTAGGGGTCCCAGCCCTAAGGCCAAGGGAAGGATGACACATTAGGGAGAATCTGACAGTGGATAGCAGTGGCTCCTAACTGGCGTGTGCTACAGACTGAATGTGTGTGTTCCCCCACCCACAAAATCCATATGTTGAAATCCTGATCCTCATGGTGATGGTGTTAGGAGGTGGGGCCTTTGGGAGGTGATTATGTCATGAGGGTGGAGCCTCATGAATGGGATTAGTGCCCTTATTAAAGGGACCCCAGAGAGCTCTGTTGCCCCTTCCACCATGCATGGATACAGCAAGAAGGCACTGTGTGAACCAGGAAGCCCTCACCAGACACTGAATCTGCCACGCCTCGATCTTGGATTTCCAGCCCCCAGAACTGTGAGCAACAAATGTCTGTTGCTTTTGTTTGTTTGTTTGTTTTTGAGATGGAGTTTTGCTCTCATTGCCCAGGCTGGAGTGCAATGGCACGATCTCAGCTCACCGTAACCTCCGCCTCCCAGGTTCAAGCGATTCTCCTGCCTCAGCCTCCCAAGTAGCTGGGATTACAGGCATGCGCCACCACACCCGGCTAATTTTGTATTTTTAGTAGAGACAGGGTTTCTCCATGCTGGTCAGGCTGGTCTTGAACTCCTGACCTCAGGTGATCCGCCCACCTCAGCCTCCCAAAGTGCTGGGATTACAGGCGTGAGCCACCGTCAACTGGTCTATGGTCTTTTGTTATAGAAACCTGAACAGACCAAGACACAGTGACTGTGGTCCCCATCCCCTAGACACTTGGCAATGTCTAGAAACAGTTTTGGTTGTCCTCATTTGGAGACAGATGCCAAGATGTTGCTAAATATCCTACAATCCACAGAAAAGTCCCCACAGCAAAGAATCATCAAGCCCCAAATGTCGATAGTGCCATGTTGACAAACCACATCTACGGCACTAACCAGCTATTTCGGTTTCCCCTCTGAAACAGTCTTTTCTGACAAAAGTCAGTGTTTTCCTCAGTTTCCCTCCCCACTCTCCTGTGTGTAGTTCCATGGGTTCAACCTTAAGCCTTCCTCTAACGCACAACAGAATCTGACTTCTCTCGCCTTCTGCCTAAACTCAGAACTCACAAGATGCCTCTCGTGAGACCCATGCATTCAACACATGGTGTTAATGTCTGGCCTTTGCCAACAGGCTGGACAGTTATCTAAGAAACTAGGGGTTGTAATCCCAGCACTTTGGGAGGCCGAGACGGGCAGATCACCTGAGGTCCAGGAGTTCGTGACCAGCCTGACCAACATGGAGAAACCCTGTCTCTACTAAAAATACAAAAATATTAGCCGGGCATGGTGGTGCATGCCTGTAATCCCAGCTACTCGGGAGGCTGAGGCAGGAGAATCGCTCGAACCCAAGAGGTGGAGGTTGTGGTGAGCCAAGATCGCGCCATTGCACTCCAGCCTGGGCAACTAGAGTGAAACTCTGTCTCAAAAAAAAAAAAAAAAAAAAAAAAAAAAAAAAAAGAAACCAGGGGTTCACTTGAGACCCTGTAACAGCTAAACTGATCAATTTTCTTAGCCACAAGCTGCTTTCTTCCAGTTTAATCTTTGGGTGAAGGATAAGAATTATCAAGCTCTATGTCGGAAATTCATCAGGATGCCACTTCCAATTCAGCTGACCCCACTTTCCAGACAGATGGCTGTGGTGGATCAGCGACTCTAGGCAGCAAGAAAATTCAGGCCACCATCCAGGCGCCAGCACTCCCCCTGCTCCGTGTACATGGCAAAAAGAGATTCAAGCAGTTAAACTCATAGAACCAGAAAGTGGAATAGAGGCTACCAGGGGCAGAGGGGAGCAGGGAATAGCAACAATACGTATTTCTGCCAGGTGCGGTGGCCCATGCCTGTAATCCCAGCACACATACAAAAAGAAAGAAACGTATTTCTCACAGCCTGGAGCTGGGAAGTCCAAGATCAAGATGGCAACATAATCAGGTTCCGGTGAGGGGTCTCTTCCTGGACTGCAGAAGGCCACCTTCTTACTGTGTGTGAGAGAGGGAGACTTGCAGAGCCCAAGACATGCCAGTGTGAATCTGAAATAATCTAATGTATTTTCTGAAACCATTAGCTAATGATTCTTAAAAAATAAAAATAAAAATAAAAAAAACTGGGCCAAAATGCTCTCCTAAAAGCATCAACTGAACCTGAAACCTGAATAATATTGTATTAGATCTGAGCCCTTGGTTTTCTCATCCTGAAAGCATGCATGATAAATAAGCTTTGTACCTACCCCAACTAGACTGTCGTAATGAGCATGTTCAGATCACTCTGCCGCAACCGGCAGGTGTGAGTTCTGTTTTCAATCTGAATCATACTTTCTTCTGGCTTAGAAATACCTTCGCTTGTGAGTCACCTTCAGGCAACCGCAATTTCTCAACTTCCAGATTCACCATCCTTGTTTCCATATATTTAAAAAAATGCCTTGTACTAGGACTGGCTCCCAGTCTCTTGGCCCTAGAATCTCAATGTGTCCCTGCCACCCTAAGGGCTGAAAAGGAATCGGAGTGTGTACGGATCAACAGCGGCCCCCATCATGATTGGGCATCATTGGAACTCCACCTCCAAAGGATGGCTCTGGTCCTTGTCACCACAAACCTCTGGGGTCAGCTCTTAGCCAACAAAGCAATCACACCTACTGCAAGGGCACTGGAAAAGTGGGGTCTCTGACTAGTGCTGCTGGTAACAGCTGGCATGTGTAGACTGGCGACAGCTACTCAGCCCCAGGGTCCAGGCGTGGTGGCTCATGCCTGTAATCTCAGCACTTTGTGAGGCTGAGGTGGGTGCATCACCTGAGGTCAGGAGTTTGAGACCAGCCTGGCTAACATGGTGAAACCCCGCCTCTACTAAAAATACAAAAGTTAGCCGGGGGTGGTGGCGCATGCCTGTAGTCCCAGCTACTCAGGAGGCTGAGGCAGGAGAATCACTTGAACCTGGGAGGTGAAGGTTGCAGTGAGCCAAGATTGTGCCACTATACTCCAGCCTGGGCAACAGAGAGAGAATCTGTTTAAAAAACAAAAACAAAAACAAAAACAAACAACCCCAGGAAGCATTACCTTCCCAACTTCAGATATGTGAAAATTGTGCTCAAAGGTTTTAAATCCAAAGTCAATCAACACAAAGGATTAGCATCTGGTTTACTAACTCAAAGATAGCGCTATGGTCCTTACGCTACACCCTGCTGAGGTGTCATTTGCCTGTTCAAAATAGAAATAACCGTTGCTTTGCCATTCGTAAAATTGTATGTGTGGATGAAGAGACAGATAGACAGATATAGACAGACAGGAAAGCTGGGCACAGTGGCTCACACCTGTGATCCCAGCACTTTGGGAGGCAAGGCTGGAGGATCACTTGAGCCCAGGAATTCGAGACCAGCCTGGGCAACATAGTGAGACCCCATCTCTACAAAAAAAAATAACATTAACTGGGAATGGTAGCAGGCACCTATAGTCCCAGCTACCCGGGAGGCTCAGGTGGGAGAGTTGGAGGTTGCAGTGAGTTAACATCATGCCACTGGTCTCCAGCCTGGGTAAGGCTTACTCTGACAGAGCAATACTCTGTCACTAAAGCAACAATAATAATAAGAAGAAGAACAATAACTTCTTCCCTGGAACACATATGAGGAATGGATAAGAGAAAGTCTATCAGGCTGAGGTTCCCAAGCACCAGCCTATGATCAGAAGCATCCTTCGAGAAGGCCCTTGATATGGTTCGGTTCTGTGTCCCCACCCAAATCTCATCTTGAATCGTAATTCTCATAATCCCCATGTGTCAAGGGACGGACCAGGTAGAAGGTGATTGGATAATGGGGGCATTCCCCCGCCATGCAGTTCTTGTGATAGTGAGTTCTCACAAGATCTGATGGTTTTATAAGGCAGTTTTCCCTGCTCTTGCCTGCTCTCTCTCGACTGCTGCCACGTAAGATGTGCGTATTCCCCTTCCACCATGATCGTAAGTTTCCTGAGGCCTTCCCGGCCAAGTGAAACTGTGAGTCAATTAAGCCTCTTTATAAATTACCCAGTCTTAGGTAATTCTTTATAGCAGTGTGAAACCCTGCCCTTAAAGGGCAGGACTGGGGCAGGACCTGAGCCTCTGCATTTTGGACAAGCTCCCAGAGGAAGCTGATGCTGCTGATGGGAAGAGCACTCTTAGAGAAGCCCTGCTGGAAAGCATTTAGCCTGGCACCTGCTAGGTCCTTCGCTAGTACCCCATACAATGCAGCCCAACCACCCCGACCCGGAAGGACCCTATTCTCTCAGCGGAGGAAGGCCTCCTCCCTCCTCCTTGCTCCACCTCCCCACACAGCAGCACCACTTACTTTCCCAGAACTGCTTGGGTCTATTGGTCTCCCTGCTCCCCAAGGCAGGAGAGTGCATTCCATACTCCCTGGAGCTCCTTCTGCTTGAAAATCCCTCGGCCCCAGCCTCAGCACAGACTACACCTTTTCCCTTCCTGTGACACCTTGGCCACCAGAGCCTGACCAAAGGTTGACGTGCTCCCTCGCCTCAAACCAAAGAGAACCAATGTGGCCCCCTCGAGCTCAGAAAACACACCCATTCATTAAACTCAGGCAGGCCCCTGGCCGGGGGGACTCAATGTTCACCATGAGCTTTGCAGAGAATGCTTGGTGCCTGTCTGTTAACCTGCCAACAAGAGTCAAGGCTAGCTGGGCGTGGTGGCTCATGCCTGTAATCCCACCACTCTGGGAGGCTGAGATGGGAAGATCAGTTGAACCTGGGTGGTTGAGGCTGCAGTGAGCCCAGATCACGTCACTGCACTCCAGCCTGGGTGACACAATAAGACCCTGTCTCAAAAAAAAAAAAAAAAAGAAAAAGAAAAATGTCAAGGCTAACATGTAAGACCATAACCCTCCATCCAGGCTACACTGGACTCTCCTGGTGTTCTTTAGAATCACCAATACCTGCCCCTGCCCCTCCATCTCCTGACTAACTGGCCTGGGGTGCAGCCTGGCCATCAATAGCGCTTCGCAGCTCCCCCAGGGAGCACAGCCAAGGTTTCACCACTGCACTGGAGGAATGGAGTCATCCCCCTTCTTTTATTTAACTGAATACACAGTAACATTTCCAAGGGTCTGTTTTCACCCTGGCCTTAAAAGCTGACCAGAGGCCCAAAGACTCAACATTCTCTACCACTGTCCACCTTTCAAAAGCGTTTGAGCCTTGGTGCATTTTCCCAAATCTTGTTCGTTCTTTGAAAGATGAGAATGTACATAGTAATCTTTTCTTTTCTTCTTGTTTTTCTTTTTCTTTTTTATGGAGACAGGGTAGCTCTCTGTCGCCCTGGACGGAGTGCAGAGGCACAATCACAGCTCACTGCAGCCTTGACTTCCCTGGGCTCAAGTGATCCTCCCACCTCAGCTTCCCAAGCACCTAGGACTACAGGCGTGCACCACCACACCCAGCTACATCTTCTGTATTTTTTTGTAGAGATGGGGTCTCACCATATTGCCCAGACTGCTCTTGAACCCCTGAGCTCAAGCGATCCTCTCAGCTCAGCCTCCCAAAGCACTGGGATTACAGGAGTGAGCCATCACATCCAGCCTCTTTTGTTATTGTTTTTAAATGATGGATAAGAGCTGAAGATAAAGTTATTCTTAGAAATAGAGATTAAAAAAAAAGGAAAATGATACCTGTCAAAAAAAGAAAAAGGTTATTTAGAATACAATTTAGATGTTCCAATAAACTTCTAATATTCAGAAGTCTCCCACCTGTGTCATCCGAGCCCAGCAGTGAGGCGTGGAGGCCAGGTTATGCATGAAGAGCACAACTTCGGATGACCACAGACCCGCTTGCAAATTCCAATGTGCAAAAACAAGGCAAGGGGAAGAAAGTGACAAAGGTCATGATGGCATAACACATTCACTGAGAACCAGAACTGGACAGGGCGGTGAGACATTAGCCCCCGAAGAACCTGGCCCACCTCAGGCAAGCCATGGAGTTGCTACCGTGAGAGGCACATGCACCCACCCTGGGTGGGGACTATCACATTTGCAGGAGGCGGAGGCCCAGGCAGGCTTGCTCCCAACTGTGGCCACAGGTGGAGTCACCCAGAGGGCTTCAGACACACACAGAGGTTCTGTGGGAACACACACGGTTGTGTGTCGTGTTGGGTGCCCAGAAGCACAGCAGGCTACAGATCCACTGGCTTGCATTCCAATACCCAGGACTCCCCTCTAGCTTTCCACCCTCATTCTTCCCAGGGAGCTCCAGAAACTGGCTAAGAAAGGGTCAGACAGCGTCAAACAGGCAACTCAAATGTGCAGCCAGGGTCCACAAGGCTGTGGGAGGGAAGCAGCTACTATCTTCCTCACTGAAACACAAACATACACCCACATATGGAACCATAAATGCAGCTCGAGCACTCAGCGTCCAATTAACAACTCAATGCCAGGGAATGCCCATTTCCCAAGGGCCGTGCAGACTGTCCTTGACACTCAAGTTCCTGGAGAATGAGCTACAGACAAGATTGCATCTTTATCAGTGTGGATGTAAACATGCGAAGAGGAGGGGAAGTTACAATGTCACTTTCTCTAAAATGCCAGTTCATTAATTTTGTCAGCCCCAACTGAATTTATAGAACAAAATACCAAAACAGACTCCCACCATGTTGTGAAAACCCAAAGTCTTACAAGTTAAAATGTCATGCTGTTGTGGGATTATTGGTTCAAATATTGCTTTTGTGAAGCAAGGACTAAGCAACATAGTAAACAGGGCCTCTACTAGGGAGACAGTCCTGGTGCAATAACCCCAGTGCAGGAAGCTGGCTGGAAACACATTCTTCGTGATCCCTTTCATTTTTGTCCAAGAACAGTCTATTATTTTTCCTTTAATATTGAGCTGCAAAGAGAATTTTTTAACCACTTAAGCTATTCGAAGCACATATTATTCCATAACCTTTGTATTTTGATATTTAGGGAGATTTTTCCAAAGCTTCCAATGTAAGAAGAATGACCTTTCATCCAGGAGAAATATTTCCTGGCTTATTCCACTACATCTGAAAACAAGATAAGTAGAAGGGAAACTGCTTTGCTCTTTCATGAAAGCAAACCCAGCACCCCTGCCACCCCCTCCACAATCCCGAGGCCATCTCGAGATGGGGGTCCCAGGGAGAAAGCCGCCCAAGTGTCCCGCAGGAGATGGCTGGGAACATTCCTCTCTCCCTACCCTTGCCAGGTACTCAACCATAAGTGAACGTCCTGATGGTGAAAACAGCCGTGTCAAACTGCCCAGCCCAGCTAAGACCCTGCACAGTTCAAAAGGGCACAACGGTTGTGTGCCGGTTGTGTGTCGTGTCAGGCTCCCAGAAGCACAGCGGGCTACAGATCCACTGGCTTGCATTCCAATACCCAGAACGCCCCTCCAGCTTTCCACCCTCATTCTTCCCAGGGAGCTCCGGAAACCAGCTAAGAAAAGTTTAAGCAATTGCTTTGCTCCAAATGACTTATTTCTTTGTGGGGAGGGGAGGAAGAGAGGGGCAAAATCTATGGAATGGAAGATTTCTAGGTTTATGCTTTCCAGCTTACATATTCTCTTCTCTTACTAGAAATCCATGATCTTTTATTGTATTTTATTCTATTTATTTATTTATTTTTGAGACGGAGTTTCGGCTCTTGTCTCCCAGGCTGGAGTGCAATGGTGCGATCTCCGCTCACTGCAACCTCCGCCTCCCAGGTTCAAGAGTTTCTCCTGCCTCAGCCTCCTGAGTAGCTGGGATTATAGGCATTTGCCACCACGCCCAGCTTTTTTTTTTTTGTATTTTTAGTAGAGGCGAGGTTTCTCCATGTTGGCCAGGCTGGTCTCGAACTCCTGACCTCAGGTGATCCACCCACCCTGGCCTCCCAAAGTGCTGGGATTACAGGTGTGAGCCATAGCACCCGGCCGACCTTAATTTTTAAGCTGTTGTTTAAACTAAAAAGATTTGGGGGAAAACCTGGAATGTAAACGAGCCTCATTCACTTCATACCCAAATGTTATTTCTTGGGACGCTGCAGTGGCTCACGCCTGTAATCCCAGCACTTTGGAAGGCCAAGGCAGGAGGATACTTTGAGCCCAGGAGACCAGCCTGGGAAACATGGCAAAACCTTGTCTCTACAAAAAATTTTAAAATTAGCTGGGCTTGGTAGTACATGCCTATAGTCCCAGCTCCTCAGCAGGCTGAGGTGGGAGGATCACTTGAGCCTGGGAGGTGGAGGTTGCAGTGAGCTGTGATTGCGCCACTGCATTCCAACCTGGGCAAACGAGCAAGACCCTGTCTCAAAAAAAAAAAAAGAAAAAAGAAAAAAGAAAAAAGAAAAAAAATGTTGTTTCTCCATGTAAATCTGGAGCATAATTCCATGATTATTACCAAAAACAAAGCAAAAAGCAAAAATGACTTCGTATAGATCCTGCCTCTTCCTGGGAGAAGTAACTACTACCTGATTCTGTTTTCCTAGCACACTATACAATTTTACATGCAGTGAAGACATAACTACAAAAATAAGATCTATTTATGGTGACCATTCAAATAAAATCTTATGTTTAAGAATAACATGAAATTGGCAGAGACAAGATCACTTGAGGCCAGGAGTTCCACACCAGCCTGGGCAACATAGCAAGACCTTGTCTCTACTAAAAATCGAAAAATTAGCCAGGCATGGTGACACAAGCCTTTAGTCCCAGCTACTTGGGAGGCTGAGGCAGGAGGATAGCTTAAGCCTGGGAGTTTAAGGCTGCAGTGACCAATGATCATGCCACTGTACTCCAGTTTGAGCAAGAGTGAGACCCTGTCTCTAAAAATATGAAGAAGAAGAAGAGAAGAAGGAGGAGGAGGAGGAGGAGGAGGAGGAAGAGGAGAAGGAGGAGGAGGAGGAGAAGAAGAAGAAGAAGAAAAGAAGAAGAAGGAAGAAGGAGAAGGAGAAGGGAGAAGGAGAAGGGAGAAGGAGAAGGAGAAGGGAGAAGGAGGAGGAGAAGGGAGAAGGGAGGAGGAGGAGGAGGAGGAGGAGGAGGAGGAGGAGGAGGAGGAGGAGAAGGAGAAGGAGAAGAAGAAGAAGAAGAAGAAGAAGAAGAATTATTATTCTTATTCTCAAAATTGAGTTTTTCCAACAAATTGCTTCATTTCCTGCCCAAGCAGTTAGGACAGTGCATTGAAGACCCCCGCTGCCAGTGTTTGCTGGGAGTCCTCAGAGAAGGGACAGAGCCCCAGGGAGGTCCGCTCCTGCCCGGAGGCACTGAGCACTCCTCCTCCTCCTCCTGGCACTAAGCAAGCATGTTGAAGCAGCCTAGCCACACCTGGGCAGAGAGGAGCTGGTCTGCACCAGATTTGGCCATTCCCTCCGCAGAGCTTTCTGGAGCTGCCACCTGCGTGGCACTGAGCACAGATCCAGGAGCCAGGACTCCCAGGACTGATCCCTGCTCAGCCCTCGCCTCCCCCAGGCAGATGGGATGGAGGGAGGGAGAGGCAAGCAGTCATGCACAGATGCACACGTGTGTTCAGGCACCAGGATTCTCCATCCCTGCACCAGATGCGGATACTGTGCCGTGGTGGTACCACTCGCATCCCTTAACTTTTCTCTATCACTGCTGGTAGGACAAGGCTTCCTAATTCCTCCCTGTAACTCCTGTACCCATTTGCCCTTCTATTACAAGTGGTCTTTGCCACCACACCCTGCTTAAAAGTCTTCCATGGCTCCCACTGCCCTGGAGCAAGGCCCTGGCTCCTGCCCACCTCCCCCACTGCAGCCTCCTCCCCCCTTCCCCTAACCTGCAGGCTGCCACTAGCTCCTCAGCCCAGGGGGCCTTCCAGCTACATGCCCTGGAGGAACACCATGTGAGTTTCTCCCTCAATCGGGGTTCACCCACTCAGAGGTGAGGCTCCTTAAACAACACACACTCTTTCCCAGGCCTGTCTGCTCCTGGGTCAGATCCAGCACCAAAAATCACAGCTTAGTGATGATCCCTGTGACACGAATTCAGGGCCACTGAAGAACTGCCCCAGGATGGGCTCTAACAGGGGCCTTCAGGGTCAGCCTCCTCTCAGTGAGGTCTCTACAATTCAAGAATAAGGCTGAACACACACCTCGACCCATTTCCTTTTTTTAAATAACTGCTTTCTTGAGTATAACTCACATACGATAAAATTTACCTCTTTACAGTATAGAATCAAAGGGTTTTTAGTATATTCACAGAGTTGTGCAACCACCACTCTCTAAGTCCAGAACATTTTCATCACCCCAACAGAAACCCCACGCCTGCTGGCAGACCCTCCCCTCTGCACTCCGCCCCGGTAACCACCATTTTGCTGCCTTTGCATATTCAAGCATTTGAAGCATTTGCATATTCAAGATATTTGATACCAATGGATCATACGGTATATTTCTCAACCCGTTTTCACTTCAAATACTAAATAAAAGTTCGCAAATGTGGTAGCAAATGTGGTGGGGTGCAATATTTATTACAACCAACAGGCTTTAAAATTTCAGAAATTCCTGGGTTTCAAAACACGCATTACATGTAGGAGAAAAGAAATAAATCCACCTTCCCAGACCAGGTACCAGGGGCAGAGTTCACAATAAGCTAACAAAAAGCCACAACTGCTCCCATTTTCCACATTTACCCCCTCCTTCTTGCAAAGTACCCCAAGCAAGCTCAGGCTGTAGTTTGAAAAACTTCCCTGACGCCTCCCCCACGTCCTCTACTGGTTCAGAGAAGTGCTGCTTTAGAAACTGGTTCCGATTTCAGTGTGTATAAAACCATCTGAGCCAGTTGTTAAAATTCAGGTCCCTGGGTCCCAGCAACCGTGATTCCGAGGTTTTGCACATGCTAATTAGAATACAAATGGCAGACAGGCCACATCTCTGTAGAGCAGTTGTACAGAGAACTGCTCTGCTGTGTGGAGCCAGCATTAGCATCACCCAGATGATTCCTAACTTCTGGTTTGGGGTTCGGTAGGTCTAGAGTGGGGTCCAAGAATTTTCATCCCTACCAAGTTCCCAGGGGATACTGATGCTGCTGGTCTGGGAACCATACTTTGAAAACCACTGCTTACCAAGGACAGCAAGCCCCAGCCAGGATGCCAATTACTGCTCAATGCCTGCTTTTGTAAATAAAGATTTATTGGCACACAATCCTTTCATTTACATACTGTCTACAGCAGCGTTCATGCTATACAGCACAGAGGAGTAATTTGGCCCACAGAGCCAAAAATATTTACTCTCTGGCCCTTTACAGAAGTCTGCTGGCCTCTAGTTTGCAGAGGATCATCCAAACATTAGAAATATCCTGACCATGTCTATTGTCAAATTGAGACTTCTGGTACTTCATACAGATTTCAGAGAATGGAGGACGTGGAATTTTATTAAAACCTAAGGATTTTTTCAAAAGAAAAAGGAAGGCCAGGTACAGTGGCACACACCAGTAATCCTAGCAATTTGGGAGACCAAGGCAGGAGGATCACTTGAGCCCAGGAGTTTGAGACCAGCCTGGGCAACATGGTGAGAACTCATCTCTAAAAAAAACCTTTTTAATTAGCAGGGCACGGTGGTGCACCTGTAGTCCCAGCTACTTGGGAGGGCTGAGGTGGGAGGATTGCTTAAGCCCGGGAATTCAAGACTGCAGTGAGCTATGATTGTACCACTGCACTCCAGCCTGGGTGACAGAGCAAGACTCTATTTAAAAAAGGGTGGGGGAGGAATGCAGGCTGCTTCTAGAAGCTGGAAGCTGGCTGTGGCTGGAGCAAAGAGGGTGGGAAAGGATGGAGGGAGGGCCACATGTTGAAGACCCAGTTACAGAAGCCTCTGTGGGCCATAGGATGGTGCCAGCTTCAGTCGACATATGATGAGACTCTACTGGACAACTCTTCATATTTACAAAAAAAAAAAAAATACTGCAATAAAATAAATCTTGAGGCTCGAAAAACATAATCTGAAAAAAAAAAAAAATTTTAAAGGTGGAGGGAGCCAGGCACGGTGGCTCATGCCTGTAATCCCAACACTTTGGGAGGCCTAGGCAGGCAGATCACTTGAGGTCAGGAGTTCAAGACCAGCCTGGACAACATAGTGAAACCCCATCTCTACTAAAAATAAAAATTAAAAAAATTAGCTGGGTGTGGTGGCAGGTGCCTGTAGTCCCAGCTACTCAGGAGGCTGAGGCAGGAGAATCGCTTGAACCCAGGTGGCGGAAGTTGCAGTGAGCCAAGATCACGCCACTGCAATCCAGCCTGGGCAACAGAGCGAGACTCCCTCTCAAGAAAAAAAAAAAAAAAAAAAGATAAACTGGCAGGGTGGACTCGACGTGATGCCTGCTAGGAGCAAGGTGACAGGGAAGCATGAAGGACAGCGCTTTTCAAGCGTGGGAGAGCAGGGAGGCCTTCACCAGAAGAGCTTTTGCGCAGCCATTAGTACCTGTATTGGGGAAACATAGCATACAAGCAAGACGCTTACAGCCTCAGTGGTGAAAATGTTTTCACATTAGAGACCGAGAACTTTTGCAGTTGTTTATGTCATCCCTTCTTCTCCAGACAGAAGATATAAAAAAGCTGCAATCAAAGATCTCTTCATCTTATTGATAAAGCCACCAATAAGCCAAAATGTCTGTCAACGTCAACCCCAGCATATCAGACCAGTTCTATTACAAGATGCCCTGTCTGATTGCCAAGGTTGAGGGCAAAGGAAATGGAATCAAGACAGTTATAGTCAACATGACTGACACTGCAAAGGCGCTTAATTGGCCTCCAAGGTATCCCACCAAGTATTTTGGTGGGATACATTGTTACATTGTGAATGGATCTCAGGAGGCCAATAAGCTGCAAGACATATTGGATGGACTCATTAAAAAATTTGTTCTCTGTCCTGAATGTGAGAATCCTGAAACAGATATGCATGTCAAGCCAAAGCAGCAAACAATAGGTAATTCTTATAAAGCCTGTGGCTATCGAGGCATGCTTGACACACATCATAAACTCTGCACATTCATTCTCAAAAACCCACCTGAGAATAGTGACAGTGGTACAGGAAAGAAAGAAAAGGAAAAGAAAAATATAAAGGGCAAAGACAAGGAAAATGGCTCCGTATCCAGCAGTGAGACACCACCACCAAAGAAATTAGCCCTCCTCCACATACAGTGGAAGAAGAGGAGGATGACTGGGGGGAAGATACAACTGAGGAAGCTCAAAGGTGCAGAATGGATGAAATCAGTGATCATGCAAAAGTTCTGATACTCCATGATGATTTGGAAAAAACAGTTGAGGAGCGGGCCAACATCCTGTTTGATTTTGTGAAGAAAAAGAAAGAAGAGGGTATCATTGATTTATGTGACAAAGAAATTGTTACTGAAGCAGAAGGACTGGATGTTAAAGCCATGGGCCCTCTTGTTCTGACTGAAGTTCTTTTTAAAGAGGAGATTAGAGAACACATAAGAAATACAGGCACCATTTCTTATGATTTTGTCACAACAACAAAAAAGCTCAATGGTACCTTCTTCATGGCTTTACGTGTGGGGTAGCAATGCACCAAGCTCAGCTTATCTCTAAGATTCCAAATATCTTGAAGGAGATGTATGATGTAGATTTTTTAGAAGAAGAGGTCGTCATCAGCTGGTCGGAAAAAGGCCTTTAAGAAACATGTCTCAAAAGAACCTGCCAAAGAGATTCGTGTCAAAGTAGAACCATTTATAAAATGGAGGCAGAGGAAGAATCTTCTGGTGGTGAAGAAGATGAAGATGAGAACATTGAGGTGGTGTATTAGAAGACTGCCAGTGTACCTAAAGTTGAAACTGTAAAGTCCAACAACAAGGATGATGACATTGATATTGATGCCATTTAATGGGATGGATACAACCTAGCTTAACATTGTAATGCTGCAAATTCTTCTCCGTTACCAGCCAGCACAACATGTATGCGCAAAAGCTAAAATGGCTTAACATCAAGCTACACTATACACTAAAAATCCATTACTGTGAGTGGTCTGTAATTAAGCTCAATGAGACATCCAGGGAGTCCATACACACATCAGTGAGCAGATGTAGTTTGCTTATTTATAGCATGTTTCTTTTTGAAAAACTGGTGGTGGACACATTTGGATCACATTTATACAGTTATAAAAATAAAGATTTGATTTTGGCCATTCTTCAGATATTTGGCTCTGAATGACTTAAGCTGAAGTATCTGGCTCCATTTTCAAATGTTACATCATCGTTTCACCTGATGAGCATTCTTGGAGGCTGCTAGATATTGTTAGGTACTGAGGCTGTAAAGAGGTCTTCAACAGGATGTAAGGCAAACTTATTTGTAATTACCTTATTCAGCCCATTAAGAAATAGTACTACATAAGTTTTATCTCTAGTCCCTCCAATTGGCATCTGGTAATGTACACTGCGAGGTAGACTGATAACCAAATGACAGTGCAACATCCTACTGAGAAGTAAATATGACCTGAGTGTCCTAGAAATAATTTAACAGCAGGTTTTGAAACTTAGAGAGTTGTTTTCTCATTTCATGTATACTTGCCCTAAATTGTAGTCTTTGAAGTCGTGTGCACTGCACGTTGGGTGAGCCAGGGAAGTTATTACATTAACAACCATTTTGTGTGTACGCAGTAGTTGCTTCGTACTGAGAGAACTTGCTTTGGGGTACAATTAAAAAATAAACTGATTTTATTTGGGGGAAACAGGGAAGGGTGCACTTACTAGTAAACCTAAGCATTAATTTTCAGCTTTTGCCCTTATGATTTAAATTACAATTCCAAAATGTTTAGACATACTGAAAAAAAAAAAAAAAGTTAGAGGGAGGTTGGGTGTGGTGGCTCACACCTATAATCTCAGCACTTTGGGAGGCCGAGGTGGGTGGATCACTTGAGGTCAGGGGTTTGAGACCAGCCTGGCCAACATCGTGAAATCCTGTCTCTACAAAAAATACAGAAATTAGCTGGGCATGGGTGACGGGTGCCTGTAGTCCCACCTACTCAGGAGGCTGAGGTAGGAGGATCACTTGAGCCCAGGAATTGAAGGCTGCAGTGAGGCAAGGTCACACCACTGCACTCCAGCTTGGGCAACAGAGCAGGACAACGTCTCTTAAAAAAAAGAAAAAGAAAAATATTCAACAGAAAACCTTACAAACCCTACAATGTTATGATGAAGATACTGCCAATGTCCCCTAAATCTGGAAAATTTAAGTTTGTTGAGGGATCCCCCTATAGCACGGGTTTCTGAAATATAACCAGAAATGATGAAGAGGTGAAGGTTTTGATTTTGGTCTGAAGCTGTGTTGTTGCTGGGAAGTGAAGGAGTGGGAAATGACAAGAGAGCAGCTCATGTCTAAGGGGGGACACCGTCCCGAGCACTATCACCCTTGGGCTACAGGGACCCCGCTCGCTGTCTGAACCCCAGAATCAACCCCATGTCCACTTCGCAGGGAGGGTGAAAGACTCCCATGCTCCTGCTCAGAAAGTAGCAGCAGCAGCAGCAGCAGCAGCAGCAGCAGGGGGTAAGGCTGAGCTAACCACAAACTGCCACCACAAGGACCACAAGGATGCCGGTGACCAGGCATGTCTTCCTGAAGGCTCAGCAGACATGCTGACCACCTCTGTCGGAGCCCTGCAGGGGCCCACACCCACCGGGGTCAGGACAAAAATCCTATGACCTTTGAAATTGTGAGTTTTAATTTTGCTTCAACAGCCGTGAAGCCAAAATGACCAATCCTATTCTTTTGATTCATCAGGGATGCGCCACCCATGTGCTCAGGAAATCACAAGCGCTATGCCTGGGGCACTGAGGTTAAAAAGCTTGAAACACAAGGAAAATACTCAGGAGAATTGAAAACTTGTCCACACAGCAGCATTATTTACAAGAATCACAAAGGAGAACCACCCACATGTCCATCAAAGGATATGAACAAAACGCAGTCCATTCCCATAGGACAATAGCATTCAGACATGAAAAGGAATGACTGATACACACTACAACATGGATGAATCTCCAAACATTATACTGAGATAAACCAGACACAAATGACCACATATTCTACGATCCCACTGACATGAAATGTCCAGAATAGGCAAATCCGTACATAGTAACTGTGATGGTTAATACTGAGTGTCAACTTGACTGGATCGAAGGATACAAACTACTGATCCTGGGTGTGTCTGTGAGGGTGTTGCCAAAAGAGATTACATTTGAGTCAGTGGGCTGGGGAAGGCAGATCCACCCTTAATCTGGTGGGCACAATCTAATCAGCTGTCAGCAAATATTAAGCAGACAGAAAGACGTGAAAAGGAGAGACTGGTCTAGCCTCCCAGCCTACATCTTTCTCCCATGCTGGATGCTTCTGCCCTCGAACATCAGACTCCAAGTTCTTCAGTTTTGGGACTCGGACCAGCTCTCCTTGCTCCTCAGCTTGCAGATGGCCTACTGTGGGACCTTGTGATTGTGGGATGTAATACTTAATAAACTCCCCTTTATAGATATAGATATAGATATAGATATAGATATAGGATATAGATATAGGATAGATATAGGATATATATATATAATGGATCTCTATATATGATATATACATATGAGATATATAGGAGATATTATATACACACACACACACACACACACACACACACACACACACACACACACATAATATGTATATCTATCCTATTAGTTCTGTCACTCTAGAGAACCCTAATACAGATTTTGGTACAAAGAGTGGTTCTAGAGGAACAGAATATTAAGGATGAAGTTCTTTTGTGGGTTGAGGTTTCTGGAGTTGCCTGCTTAATATGATTAGACTCCAAAATGCTAAGGACTCCACTTCTCATAGTATGGAGAACACTGATAGTCCTTGGCATAAACCATTTAGAGAGTTATGCAAAATAAATGCATTTGACACTCCTGATTCACTGCTCATGAGAGGCAAGGAGTTTAGTGACTCTATACATAATACCTTTGACCATATGTGGAAAACCAAGGAATATAATGAAGTTGGTTGGTTGCTCCTAAGTTCAGTGGGCAAAGTGATGAAAGAAAATGATGAACTTGGGGATTCTGTCTCCCGGCTTCAAAAGCAGATACTGAGCCTCAAATCTGCTAAGATTGCCCTGAGTGAGAGTCTTATCTCCTGTAGAGAAAGAGCTGAAATTGTGGAAAAACAGACACATGCTCTTATCATGCGAGGGGCTGACCTTCAATGAAAGATGCATGCACAGCCTCGCCAGGTGTCTACTGTTAAAGTGAGGGCATTGATTCGAAAAGAATAGGACCCTGCAACTTGGAATGGGGACGGTGAGGGAGAACCCTGATGAAGCTGGGGACACTGAGTTTGTAAACTCCGATGAACCTTTTTTGCCAGAAGGAACAGCTTCCCCATCCCCTGTAATGGCAACATCCCTTCCCTGACCCATGGCTGCCATCAGCCTTTCCACCTTTGTCTGAGGAGATAAACCCTGTGCTGCCTGAGGCAACAGTGATGGCCTCCCCTGAGGCAATTGCCAGGCAAAATATGTTGATTCTTCTCAGGAGCCACCCCCGACACCCCTGTTTGCTTCTAGACCTATCACTAAAGTCCCAGCAGGCCCCTAGAGGTGAGGTTGAGAATGTGACCCATGAGGAGGTGCGCTACACTCGAAAAGAACCATTTGAGTTCTATAATTGATATAAACAGAAATCTTGGAGAACAGGCATGGGAATAGATATTAAGGGTATGGGATAATGGTGGAAAGAACACAGAGTTGGATCAGGCTGAATTTATTGATTTGGGCCCACTAAGTAGGGACTCTGCTTTTAATGTTGCAGCTGGGGAGTTAAAAAAAGGTTCTAAGAGTTTATTTGCTTGGTTAGCTGAACTATGGATTAAAAGATGGCCCACTGGGAGTGAGCTGGAAATGCCTGATCTCCCTTGGTTTAATGTAGAGGAAGGGATCCAAAGGCTTAGGGAGATTGGGATGGTGGAGTGGATTAGCCACTTTAGACCTACTCATCCCAGCTGGGAGGGTCCAGAAGACATACCCTTAACCAATGCCTTGCAAAATAGATTCGTGAGGGCAGCACCTGCATCTTTGAAGAGCCCTGTAATTGTTCTTCCCTGTATGTCAGATCTAATGGTGGGAACTGCAGTCACGCAACTACAAAATTTAAATATGATGGGAATAATTGGATCCCGAGGTGGCAGGAGCCAAGTGATGACACTCAACCGTCAAAGGCAAGGTGTGCGTAGCTACCATAATGGACAGCAGAGGCAAAGCGGCAATCAGAATAGTCTGACTCGTGTACAGCTCTGGCACTGGCTAATTAATCATGGTGTTCCTAGAAGGGAAATCGATAGGAAGCCTACTGCCTTCCTACTGAATTTATATAAGCAGAAAACTTCTGGGTCGAATGGACAAAAGACTAATTTGAATTATAAAAACAGAGAATCACAGCCCCTCAATCAATTTCCAGACTTGAGCCAGTTTACAGACCCAGAATCCCTTGAATGAAGAGGAGGCCAGGTCCCCTTGAGGAAGGACCCCACTACATTACGAACAATTTATGTGGTGACTCTTTCTCCCATCCTTCCCCAATGAGACCTCTGGACTTTAGCCAGGGTAACTGTGCATTGGGGAAAGGGAAATGATCAGACATTTTGGGGACTACTGGACACTGGCTCTGAGCTGACGTTGATTCCAAGGGAGCCAAAACGTCACTGTGGTCCTCCAGTTGAAGTAGGGGCTTATGGAGGTATGGTAATTAATGGAGTTTTAGCTCAGGTCCGACTTACAGTGGGTCCCCAGACTCATCCTGTGGTCATTTCCCCAGTGCCAGAATGCATAATTGGCATAGACATACTCAGCAGCTGGCAGAACCCCCACATTGGCTCCCTGACTGGTAGGGCGAGGGCTACTATGGTGGGAAAGGCCCAGTGGAAGCCATTAGAGCTGCCTCTACCTAGAAAAAGAGTAAATCAAAAACAATGTCACATCCCCAGAAGGATTGCAGAAATTAATGTCACCATCAAGGACTTGAAAGACACACGGGTGGTGATTCCCACCACATCCCCGTTCAACTCTCCCATTTAGCCCGTGCAGAAGACAGATGGATCTTGGAGAATGACACTGGATTATCGTAAGCTTCACCAAGTGGTGATTTCAGTTGCAGCTGCTGTACCAGATGTGGTTTCACTGCTTGAGCAAACTAACACATCTCCTGGTACCTGGTATGCGGCCATTGACTTGGCAAATGCCTTTTTCTCCATTCCTGTCCACAAGGCCCACCAGAAGCAATTTGTCTTCAGCAGCAATATACCTTTACTGTCCTACCTCAGTGGTATATCACCTCTCCAGCTTTGTGTCATAATCTTGTTCAGAGAGACCTTGATTGCTTTTCGCTTCCCTAAGACATCACACTGGTCCACTGCATTGATGATATTATACCAATTGGATCCAGTGAACAAGAAGTAGCAAACACACTGGACTTATTGGTGAGACATTTGCGTGCCAGAGGATGGGAAATAAATCTGACTAAAATTCACGGACCTTCTACCTCAGTAAAATTTCTAGGGGTCCAATGGTATGGGGCCTGTCGAGATATTCCAAGGTGAAGAATAAGTTGCTGCATTTGGCCTCTCCTACAAGCAAGAAAGAGGCACAACAACGCTTAGTGGGCCTATTTGGATTTTGGAGGCAACACCTCATTTGGGTGTGTTACTCCAACCCATTTATCGAGTGACCCGAAAGGCTGCCAGTTTTGAATGGGGTCCAGAACTGGAGAAGGCTCTGCAACAGGTCCAGGCTGCTGTGCAAGCTGCTCTGCCACTTGGGCCGTATGATCCAATGGTGCCTGAGGTGAGAGTGGCAGATAAGGATGCTGTTTGGAGCCTTTGGCAGGCCCCCATAAGTGAATCACAGTGGAGGCCTCTAGGATTTTGGAGCAAGGCCCTGCCATCTTCTGCAGACAACTACTCTCCTTTTGAGATAAAGCTCTTGGCCTGTTACTGGGCTTTGGCAGAAACTGAACATTTGACTATGGGTCATCAAGTCACCATGCGACCTGAACTACCTATCATGAACTGGATGCTTTCTGGCCCATCTAGCCATAAAGCTGGGTGTGCACAGCAGCATTCCATCATCAAATGGAAGTGGTATATACGTGATCGGGCTCAAGCAGGTCCTGAAGGCACAAGTAAGTTACATGAGGAAATGGCTCAAATGCCCATGGTCTCCACTCTGCCACCCTGTCTTCTCTCCCCCAGCCTGCACCAATAGTCTCATGGGGAGTTCCCTATGATCAGCTGACAGAGGAAGAGAAGACTAGGGTCTGGTTCACAGACAGTTCTGCATGATATGCAGACACCACCCCAAAATAGAGAGTGGCACCACTACAGCCCCTTTCTACGACACCCCGAAGGACAGCGGTGAAGGGAAATCTTTCCAGTGGGCAGAACTTGGAGCAGTGCACCTGGTTGTGCACTTTGCATGGACAGAGAAATGGCCAGATGTGTGATTATATACTGATTCATGGGCTGAATTCACGGGAAGAAGCATGATTGGAAAATTGGTGACAAAGAAATTCGGGGATGAGGTATGTGGATGGACCTCTCTGAGTGGTCAAAAACTGTGAAGATATTTGTATCCCATGTGAGTGCTCACCAACAGGTGACCTCAGTAGAGTAGGATTTTAATAATCAACTGGATAGGATGACCCTTTCTGTGGACACCACTCAGCCTCTTTTCCCAGCCACCCGTCATCGCCCAATGGGCCCATGAACAAAGTGGCCATGGTGGCAGGGACGGAGGTTACACATGGACTCAGCAACATGGACTTCCACTCACCAAGGCTGACCTGGCTATGGCCACTGCTGGGTACCCAATTTGCCAGCAGCAGAGACCAACACTGAGCCCTTGATATGGCACCATTCCTCAGGGTGATCAGCCAGCTACCTGGTGGCAGGTTGATTATACTGGACCTCTTCCATCATGGCAAGGGCAGAGGGTTGTCCTCACTGGAATAGACACTTACTCCAGATATGGGTTTGCCTATCCTGCACGCGATGCTTCTGCCAAGACTACCATCTGTGGACTCACGGAATGCCTTATCCACCATCATGGTATTCCACACAGCATCGCCTCTAAGGCACTCATTTCATAGCTAAAGAAGTGTGGCAGTGGGTTCATGCTCATGGAATTCACTGGTCTTACCATGTTCCCCTTCATCCTGAAGCAGCTGGATTAATAGAACGGTGGAATGGCCTTTTGAAGTCACAATTATAACACCAATTAGGTGACAATACTTTGCAGGGCTGGGGCAAAGTTCTTCAGAAGGCCATGTATGCTCTGAATCAGCGCCCAATATATGGTACTGTTTCTCCCATAGCCAGGATTCACGAGTCCAGAAATCAAGGGGTGCAAGTAGAAGTGGCAAAACTCACCATCACCCCTAGTGATCCACTAGCAAAATTTTTGCTTCCTGTTCCTGCAACATTACGTTCTGCTGGCCTAGGGGGTCTTAGTTCCAGAGGGAGGAACGCTGCCACCAGGAGACACAACAATGATTCCATTAAACTGGAAGTTCAGATTGCCACCTGGGTGCTTTGGGCTCCTCCTACCTTTAAGTCAACAGGCTAAGAAGGGAGTTACAGTGTTGGCTGGGGTGACTGACCCAGACTATCAGATAAAATCAGTCTACTACTCCGCAATGGAACTAGGGAAGAGTATGCATGCAATACAGGAGACCCATTAGGGCGTCTCTTAGTATTACCATGCCCTGTGATTAAGGTCAAGGGGACACTACAACAGCCCAATCCAGGCCGGACTACAAATGACCCAGACCCTTCAGGAATGAAGGTTTGGGTCACTCCACCAGGCAAAAAAAAACACACAACCAGCTAAGGTGCTTGCTGAAGGCAAAGGGAATACAGAATGGGTAGTAGAAGAGGGTAGTCATCAGTACCAGCTACAACCATGTGACCAGCTGCAGACATGGGGACTGCAATTGTCATGAGTATTTCCTCCTCCTTTTGCTAAAACCATGTTTGCGCATGTATACACTTGTACTAGTGCTAGGAAAATATCTTTATTTTCTTTTCTTTTCCCTTATCGTGTGACATAAGATTTATTGACTTCAGGCTGGGCGCAGTGACTCACGCCTGTAATCCCAGCACTTTGGGAGGCCAAGGCAGGTGGATCACTTGAGGTCAGGAGTTCGAGACCAGCCTGGAAAACATGGTGAAACCCCGTCTCTACTAAAAACACACACACAAAAAAATTGGCTGGCATCGTGGTGCACGCCTGTAGTCCCAGCTACTCGGGAGGCTGAGGCAGGAGAATCGCTTGAACCCAGGAGGCAGAGGTTGCAGTGAGCTGAGATCGTGCCACTGCACTCCAGCCTGGGCAACAGAGCGAGACTCTGTCTCAAAAAAAGATTTATTGACTTCATATCAGCATTTAAGTATTATCAGCTTTATGTAATAGTATTTGGGTTGGGGAATGATGCATTTCTGGTTATACAAAGGATAGTTGCATGTTAGGCGTAATTATGACCTTACCATTGTCTTTACTTGAAGATTATGTACGATCTCACATTGACAAGGGGTGGACTTGTGATGGTTAATACTGAGTGTCAACTTGATTGGATTGAAGAATACCAAGTATTGATCCTGGGTGTGTCTGTGAGGGTGTTGCCAAAAGAGATTAACATTTGAGTCAGTGGGCTGGGGAAGGCAGATCTGCCCTCAATCTGGTGGGCACCATCTAATCTAAAGCAGACAAAAAGGCGTGAAAAGGAGAGACTGGTCTAGCCTACATCTTTCTCCCGTGCTGGATGCTTCCTGGCCTCAAACATCAGACTCCAGGTTCTTCAGTTTTGGGACTCGGACTGGCTCTCCTTGCTCCTCAGCTTGCAGATGGCCTACTGTGGGACATTGTGATCATGTGAGTTAATACTTAATAAACTCCTCTTCATATATATTTCCTATTAGTTCTGTCTCTCTAGAGAACCCTGACTAATAAGAGAAAGCAGATCAGTGTGGGGGTGGGATTTGGGGGAAGGGAGGGAAAGGGGAGGGAGTACTAATGGATGTAGGGATTCTTTTTTGGGGTGATAAAAATGTTCTGGAATTAAAGTGATGATTGCACAAGTCAGTGAATATACAGAAAAAATACCACTAAACTGTACCCTTTAACATGGCGAATTTTGTGACATGTGAATTACATCCATTTATTTTTATTATTTTTTTTTTGAGACGAAGTTCACTCTTGTCCCCCAGGCTGGAGTGCAATGGCGCGAACTTGGCTCACTGCAACCTCCGCTTCCCAGGTTCAAGCGATTCTCTTGCCTCAGCCTCCCGAGTAGCTGGGATTATAGGCGCCTGATACCACGCCTGGCTAATTTTTGTATTTTTAGTGGAGACAGGGTTTCACCACGTTGGCCAGGCTGGTCTCGAACTCCTGACCTCAGGTGATCCACCCACCTTGGCCTCCCAAAGTGCTGGGATTACAGGCGTGAACCACTGCGCCCAACCATTATATCCACTTATTTTAAAAAAATTTTTTGAGACAGGGTCTCACTCTGTCACCTAGGCTGGAGTACAGTGCCGTAATGATAGCTCACTGCAGCCTCCAACTCTCTGACTCAAGCCAAATCCTCCAGCCTCAGGCTCCCAAGTAGGTGGGACTATAGGTGTGCACCACCACACCTGGCTAATTTTTTTTTTTTTTTTTGTAGAGACAGAGTCTCACTATATTGCCCAGTCTGGTCTCGAACTCCTGGGCTCCAGTGATCCTCCCAAAGCACTGGGATTACAGGTGTGAGCCACAGCGCACAGTCTCCATTTTTAATAATTAAAAAACTCAAGAAAAAAGAAGTGCAGGAAGGCTTCCTTCAGCCTCCCCGACCACCCCCAAGTAAAGGAACTCCCAGGCTGCACAGCACACCTTTAATCTGAGAGGGTGAAGTACTACCGTATTTACTGGATGAAACCCTCAAACACCGGAGATCGGAATGCTCCAAGCGGGGCAAAGTCTGGGAGGAAATCAGGCTGTGGAGACAATCCACAGACCAGTTCTCCCTGCGGTGCCAGGCCTGGGCTTGTCCAGGCCAAAAGCTCGGGGCTGCATGTGCTCAGGTGTGCCTGGCACCCAGGATGGTCACAAGTCAGGCTCTCTTCCTCTTTTCCTGCTGAACCACGCCCCTCTCTGACCTCCCCTTGACATTGAACCTTAAAAAGAGACTTCAGAAGCAGTCAAGTTAGCAGCAGGAGCCTGGCAGCCTAGGGCGGGCAGGAAAGGACACTCAGAAGGGCTGCTCTCAGGGAGGATCACAGAAGGGCTCCCTTTAGACAGTGAGAAATGCCTTTTCACAGAAAAGCATCACCTTGCTACAAGCAATGTGGAAAACAGGAAAGAAAAGCAAATTAATCTCAGGAGTCTAATTTCTCTGCTTTACTTTTTTGTTGGGGCATGGACAGCTTTTTTTACGGCCTAGACCAGCAGGCAGCATGCAGTCCTGAACTCGGGTTTTATTTCCGTGGCACAGCACAGGCTATGTGACACGCCTGTTGCTATGAGGCCTCTGGAAGCCTGATTTTGTAATGTCTTTGCAATACGCCAAGGCCTTGATCCTTAGAAACACCTGAAGCCTGTTCCTGTCTCCCAGGGCTGCCGGCCTCCCAACAGGTCCCCTCAGCCCAGGCTCATGGAAACAGCCCCCTGTGCAACCTGCTTGCTCCTGGGGACACTCTGACATTTGCCCCCAAACTCGCACGCCTGAAACAAAGCAGCAGAATGACCAGGCTTGATGCTTGAATGCAGGAAGGATGAGCGCCCTTTCACAGGCTGGCTTTCCTGCACCTACCAAACATCTACTGAGCATCTGTTATGCGCTAGGCATGGCGACGGGGCTGGCTGTGACCCTGCTGGGGGATCATCCAGGCTCAGACATACTCGAGGCAGGGACCTTCATGAGGCTCCTGAATCCAGACAGAATGGGTGGGAACCCAACCCCTTCACTTGCCAGCTGCGACCCAGGGCCCGGCAGGCCTTCCCTAGACCCCATCTCCATAAAAAAGGATTAAAGTTGGGCCAGGCGTGGTGGCTCACGCCTGTAATCCCAGCACTTTGGGAGGCCAATGCAGGAGGATACCTTGAGCCCAGGAGTTGGAGAACAGCCTGGCTAACATGGTGAAAGCCCAGCTCGACTAAAAATACAAAAATTAGCCAGGTATGGTGGCGCAGGCTTGTAATCCCAGCTACTTGGGAGGCTGAAGCATGAGAATTGCTTGAACCCGGGAGGTGGAGGTTGCAGTGAGCCCGGATAGTGCCACTGCACTCCAGCCTGGGCGACAGAGTGAGACTCTGTCTCAAAAAAAAAAAAAAGGATTAAAGTTGCATGTGATGATTGTGCTGGCACAAGGAGACAGATATATATATATACACACACATATATATACACTGGAGGTTGCAGTGAGCCCGGATAGTGCCACTGCACTCCAGCCTGGGCGACAGAGTGAGACTCTGTCTCAAAAAAAAAAAAAAAGGATTAAAGTTGCATGTGATGATTGTGCTGGCACAAGGAGACAGATATATATATATATACACACACATATATATACACATATATATACATACATATATATATACACACAATCTAGATCATTAATGTATTTCAATTAATCTGTTTAACTTGATGTATTTGATTATTTTATATATATTAATATTATATAGTAAATCATTAAATATTGAAATGTTATCTCGAAACATTTTTGGGGACCTAAAAGTTCATTTTCTTCTTGTGAAAACTAGAACATGTTCATGGGCCCCAGCGATGTGCCTGCTGTGCGAGTGAAGAGACTGGCCCTGCCATAACCACGGGCAGGTTTCTCAACCTCTCTAAGCCTAACGCTCCTCACTAACTGTCTTAGTTCAAGATGCTGTAACAAAACACCACAGGCTAGGAGGCTCAAAAACAGCAGAAATGTATTGCTCATAGCTCTGGAGGCTGGGAGTCCAAGGTCAAGACATGGCGGATTCAGTGTCTGCTGTGGACCTACTTCCTGGTTTGTAGGAGGCGCCTTCTCACTGTGTCCTCACAGGATGGAAGGGAGGAAGAACTACCTGAGTCTCTTTTATAAGGGCACTGACCCCATTCCTAATCACCTCCCAAAGACCCCACCTCTTGTTTTTGTTTTTTTTTTTTTTTTGAGACACAGTTTCACTCTGTCACCCAGGCTGGAGTGCAACGGCGTGATCTCAGCTCACTGCAACCTCCGCCTCCCAGGTTCAAGCGATGCCACTCCAACTCGTGAGAACCACAACAGATACTCTCCTTAAGTCCCAACTCAAGTCTTCTCCCATTAATTGGTTTCCTTTTAGCAGCAGCAGGAAAATCAGCCCATCTTGGCCTCCATCCCTGACTTCCCTCCGCTATAGAAGACCCAACTCCAGTATCAGCCCTACATTCTGCCTCAGCCTCCCGAGCAGCTGGGATTACAGGCACTTGCCAACCATGCCCGGCTAATTTTTTAATCTTTAGTAGAGACAGGGTTTCACCATGTTGGCCAGGCTGGTCTCAAACTCCTGACCTCAAGTGATCTGCCCACCTCAGCCCCACAAAGTGGGATTACAGGCGTGAGCCACCACACCCGGCCCCCACCTCCTAATACCATCACCTTGTGGGTTAGGATTTCAACACCGGAATTTTGGGGGGACAGAAATATTCAGATCATAGCACCAATAACAACTGTATAAACCTACCCCACAGAACCACTGTGAAGTTCACATAAAGTTGAACAGTGCCTGGAGCACAGTGGAGATTTGGCAGATGCTACTTGGATTCTTTTATTTTTTTATTTTTTATTTTTTGAGACAGTCTCGCTCTGTCGCCCAGGCTGGAGAGCAGTGGTGCGATCTCGGCTCACTGCAACCTCCGTCTCCCAGGTTCAAGCAATTCTTCTACCTCAGCCTCCGGAGTGAGATTACAGGCACACACCACCACTCCTGGCTAACTTTTGTATTTTTTTTTTTTTTAGTAGACATGAGGGTCTCACCATGTTGGCCAAGCAAGCTCGTCTCGAACTCCTGACCTCAAATGATCCACCCACCTCAGCCTCCCAAAGTGCTGGGATTACAGATATGAGCCACTGTGCCTGGCTGCTATGTGGATTCTGACTGCACCACTCCAATGCCATGTGACTTGGTGACACGGGACAACAGCAGTTCCCAGAGCCCAGGAACTCACGGCATAATGCAAAGCTGCTGGCATACAGTAGGGGTTCTACAGAGCCCAGGAGTCATTCCTACAACGTTCCACCCTCCAGGGCTCCAGACTGGGCAGTGCTGGTGAGGGTAAAGTAAAAGGAAACCCTGGTTCCTCCCAATTTTCAGAGGTCTGGGGACAGCCACCCAGGTCAGTGTGCAGGAGACAGCTGCACCCACCAGCTCACCACAGCCAGTCTCAGGATGCCGCTCCTCTGACCTTCTGAAGCAGAGACTCTTCCTTGCAGTGGGTCAGATGGCACGTTTCCAGAGGGCCACAAATAACAAAGTGGTAAGGTCCCACTGATCTCAGGTCTGCAGGCTTCCTACTAGGCTGTTTCAGGCTATGGTTTTCTTGGTTGCAAGCAACGGAAATGAATTCCTATATCTAAGCGAAAGGGTGATTCACTAAGATGCTACCAGGAATGTAAGGATTGTTGAAAGTCTTAGGTAAAGGGTCAGAAATGAGCCAGAGACAAGGAGCCTGGGGAGGCTGGGCTTGTAGACCGTTGCATCCAAGCTGTTGTCTCTGGGCCCCGGCCCATCAGCCACAGCAGGCCACAGAGCTGACTGCACCCAGCCTTGCCCTGCTTGAGACTCAGAGTCCTGGGAAGGAGTGTTAAGTCACACACCACCTCCTGCTGCACCATGAGCCATGCTCCTTCAGCCTCCACCTCTCCAAAGACCTCATCCACTGGGGAGTTGTCAAAGGAAGACGGGGAGCTAACAGAAAGAGACATCAGACACCACAGAATTTAACGTGCCATCCTCCCAACCCGGGCACGATCTAGTTAACCCAGTGGGCCTTCCTTAACCCACCCAGTCCATCTTCCCAAGGCCAGACACTGTGAGTGACCACAGATTAGGACCGTTAAAATGTCTGTGGATGTTTAAACGGCTAGATTTGTTATCGAGACTGGTTGGTGGTCCTTATATCCACCACACGCACATAAAACAATACCTGTCGAGAACCCGTGCTGCCCAACAGTGCTGGCAGATTCTCACCAGCACTGCTTTTCCCTTGTATGCCCATGGAGTATACTGCATGCACAGGAGAAAACCCTAAAATCCTGACTTCTGTGTCCGGAGGTGGTCTGTGATGGCGGCCCCTCCTAAGAGTTGGCTGTGTGCAATGTCACAACTGATGGCTATGTTCATTTTGTAAAAACCAGGCCCAAGTTCATCAGTACCTCATCAAAACCACCTTCCCAGGAAGACAGGAGAGGCTCCTGAATCTGGTAGTGTGTGGCAGTCAGTTCTGCTTTCTTCCTGACAGGAGGCACGGAGCACCATCGGGTGGGAAAAGCGCCGGGCACCCTTCTCTGGAGTCCTGGGGGCAGGCACCAAAGAGACAGCATGGAGGCCTGCCTCTCCACCCAGCCTCTGGCACCTGAGCCAGTCCCATACCCATGGAACCAAGGGTTACCGCAAAGCAAGGCTGCTGTGTGCATTTCTGTTTTAGAAAAAAAAATCTAAAATCTTTTCAGCCTACAAATTTTTAAAAAATTATTTTTAAGAAGTCTTTGTATGGCTCATGTGGCTTACACAGTAAGATAGGCTTGAGTGTCTTGTTTAGCAAGGAGGTAAAGAGGGAGAAAGAGCTGGGATGCTACCAGGGGTGGTGGCTCCCAACTGTAATCCCAGCACTTTGGGAGGCTGAGGCAGGAGGACTGCTTGAGCTCAGGAGTTCAAGACCAACCTGGGCAACATAGTAAGACCCCCATCTCCACAAAAAAAAAAAAACAAAAAACCAAGTCAGAAGTTGGGGTGGTGTGTGCCTGTGGTCCCAGCTACTCAGGGGGCTAAGGCAGGAGGATTGCTTGAGCCCAGGAGGTCAAGGCTGCAGGGAACTGTGATCACGCCACTGCACTCCAGCCTGGGTGACACAGCAAGATGCTGTTTCATTTAAAAAAAAAAAAAAAAAGAAATCTGCAGCTGTGATGTCACCCAGATGGAGACTTCAGGGATCCTGACTCCATGTACGACCTGCATGATCCAGACAGATCACTCTCAGCCCAAGTTACCTTGTCTTAGATGGTCCTCATAAAAAGGAAGGGGACAAAGGACCTAACGGTGCTCAGAACAGTGTAACAATGTGCAGTCGTTCATCCCATCTCAAGGCTACGTGTAAGCTGTGTTTAAAGGACTTTAATATTTGAGGATCTATTACATGCCAGGCAATATGCCCGCGATACCAGCAATGAAACAGAGCCAGTCCCCACTCTCAGGGACCTCCCGGGTCAAGTAGGCTTGAGGATGCTGCAAGACCAATGATTACAGAGGGCCACCGAGGGCATTCCACATGACTGGGGATGGACAGTTAGGGCCACTTCGCCTGGGTGATGTATTCTGAGCAAAGCCTTCCACAAAACTGTGAATGTCTCAGAACCTCTGCAAAGCCTCAAATAACAGAGGATGCTGGGAGACCAGCAAATCATTCTCTAAAGCAGCACTCAGCAAACTTTTTACCATGTGACTGAATCACGTTGTTAAAATATGGGTTCTGATTCAGCAGGTATGGGGCAGGGGCTGAGATTCTGCAGTTCTAACGAGCTCCCAGGTGATGCGGATATGCTGACCTAAAAACCACACTTTGCCTAACAAGAGTCTGCAGCGAGCTGGGCATGGTGAGGCACGACTGTAGTGCCAATGGCATCAGGAGGCCGAGGTGGGAAGATCACTTGAGCCCGGGAGCTCAAGTCCAGCCTGGGCAACATAGCTTAAGACCCCATCTCTTTTAAAAAAAGAAAAAAAAAAAGGCTAAAACGGAGCTGTCCAACAGACTAAGAGCACCACACATCTACCTTCAAATTGGTTAGGAGCTACATTTCAAAGAGTAAAAAGGAATATGTCAAATTAATTTTATTTTTATTTTTAATTTTTATTTTTTGAGACAGGGTGTTTCTTACTCTGTCACCCAGGCTGGCGTGTAGTGGCACAATCACAGCTCACCGCAGCCTCAACCTCCTGGGCTCAGGTGATCCTCCCACCTCAGCCTCTCAAGCAGCTTGGACTACAGGTGCCAGTCACCAACGCCTGGCTAATTTTTTGTATTTTTTTGTAGAGACGGGGTTTCACCATGTTGCCCAGCCTGGTCTCGAATTCCTGGGCTCAAGCGATTGGCCCACCTTGGCCTCCCAAGTGCTAGGATTACATGCACGAGCCACCATGCCTGGCCAGGTTAATTTTAATAATATATTTGAGTTACTTAACCCAATGTAGTCAAAATATTATAATTCCAACATAATAAATTATTATTAAAATATTTTACATCTTTTGTGTTTCAGACTAAGTCTAAAATCCAGTGTATATTTTAATTTACAGTATATCTCAATTTGAACCAGCTACATTTCAACTGTTCAACAGTCACATATGACAAATGGCCACCATATTAGACAATGCAGGACTGAAGGATCAAGGTGGGTAACAGCAGAAGATGAGGCCAGGGAAAAGACAGATGCTAAAGCATGAAGAACTTTTCATACTCAGCTAAAGTGTTGGATACAGTTTGGTTGTGTCCCCACCCAAATCTCATCTTCAATTATAGCTCCCATAATTCCCATATGTTATGGGAGGGACCTGGTGGGAGATAATTGAATCATGGGGGCAGTTTCCCCCATACTGTTCTCATGGTAGTGAATAAGTCTCATGAGATCTGATGGTTTTATAAGGAGTTTTCCTTTTCACATGGCTCTCATTCTCTCTTGCCTGCTGCCATGTAAGACATCCTTCTGCTCTTCCTTGTTCTTCTGCCATGATGGTGAGGCCTCCCCAGCCACATGGAACTGTGAGTCCATTAAACCTCTTTCCTTTATAAATTACCCAGTCTCGGGTATGTCTGGCAGCGTGAGAACAGACTAATACAGTGTTACATGAAGAGTTACTGGCAAACGAGGGTGGAAAATAGGCAGGATCGATAAAACATAAAAAGCCTTCTAAGGTGGGAGGATTGCTTGAGGCCAGAGTTCAAGACCAGCCTGGGCAACACAGTGAGACTCTGTATCTACAAAAAATAAAAATAATTAACTGAGCATGGTGCCGCATGCCTGTAGTCCCAGCTATCTCGGAGGCTGAGGCAAGGGTTGGGGGTAGAATCACTTGCGCTCAGGAGATTGAGGTTACAGTGATTTATCATTACACCACTGCATACCACCCACTCCAGTGGGTGACAGAGATGAGAACCCCATCTCTATAAAATAAAAATAAAGTGGACAGACATGGTGGCTCATGCCTGTAATCTCAGCACTTTGGGAGGCTGAGGCGGGTGGATCACTTGAGGTCAGGAGTTCAAGACCAGCCTGGCCAACATGGTGAAACCCCATCTCTACTAAAAATACAAAAATTTGCCAGGCATGGTGCCAGGTGCCTGTAATCCCAGCTACTTGGGAGGCTGAGGCAAGAGAATCACTTGAACCTGGGAAGCGGAGGTTGCAGTGAGCCAAGATCACGCCACTGCACCCCAGCCTGGGTGACAGAGCATGACTCCATCTCAAATAATAATAATAATAATAATAATACATAAAATAAATAAGCCTTCTATACCTAGCTAAGGTGTCCCATGAGGAATTACTGAGGCTTTTCCAGCAAGAGCATGAGAAGTAGACCACTGTTTTGGCACACCGACTACTGGAGGTCTCAAGAGTCTGTCATGTGAAGAGGTGAGCAGCAGTATGCATGTTACAGACTACTGTGATTGCCCAGGCAGTCACTGGAGCAAACCACTGGAGGCAGTGACGCTGGGCATGAGAAGAAAGCAATGCACACCCCGTATTTAGGCTCCAAAGGATTGGTGATCAACTGGCTGTGGGAGGTTAAGGGGAGGAAGGCATCAGGGACGACTTCTAGATTTGGGGATAAACTGATGATCAAGATTAGAAATTCAGAATTAGAGAAGGTAAAGGAAGATGAATGATTCCCATTTGGATTGTGCTGAGTTTAAAGGGCCTCAGCAACACACAAGGGCCATCTCAGAGTTCAGACGAAAAGTTGATTTGGTAAAATGGTCATTGAAAATTAAAAAAAGAAGAGAAGTTGAGGCTGCACATATAGATATGAGCATTGTCTATAGGCACCATATATCACCATGTTTACAAATTTGCAAACAGATGCACGTTATCTCGAGGAAGCACATGAGACCACCTAGATGAGAGAGAGAGGACAGATAAAAGGACCTTCAAGAAATCCAACCTTCTAGTAGATGGCAAAGGAAAAGAACCAGTGTAAGCCACTGTAAAAATAGAAAGAAGGGGAAATAAAGAGTTTTCATAGGAATTGAACATTTTTTTCAGTGAAGCAATTACAACATGGGTAATTTAAAAATTAAAAATTCTTAATTAATGGTAATTAATTAATGGGTAATTTAAGAATTAAAAATTAAACTCTCAGGCCAGGCGTGGTGGCTCACACCTGTAATCCCAGCACTTTGGGAGGCTGAGGCAGGCAGATCACCTGAGGTCAGGAGTTCGAGACCAGCCTGGCCAACATGGCGAAACCCCATCTCCACTAAAAATACAAAAATTAGCCGGGCGCGGTGGCGCACCTGTAATCCCAGCTACTCAGGAGGTTAAGACACGAAAATTGCTTGAACCGGGGAGGCAAAGGTTGCAGTGAGCCAAGATCATGCCACAGCACTCCAGCCTGAGTGACAGAGCCAGACTCCATCTCAAAAAAAAAAAAAAAAAAAAAAAAAAAAGAATTAAACTCTCCGTAAAGGCAAACAAGTTCCTGCCTCAGGGTACAAGGAGGTGCATCCTCAGGAATTTTACCTTTGTGTTGAGATTTCACAACCATGAATAGTGGTACAAGTTTTAATTACTTGTCCCCAAAACACCAGCCACTAAAAATGAGGAGGGGGAGTGGAAATGGCTCCGTCCCAAACCCTAATGGCATCAGCATGTGAGAGCTCTGTCGTTAAATCAACACAAAATAAATATGATTGAAGCAGCAGCAGGCCTATCTTTTCAAGTCCAGATGTTTTCTTTCCAAACTTTAATTCAAGATTCAGGGCATCTAAACATAATGAAAATGTTAAGAAAAGCTGCACATACAAAAAAGCATAGTTGTTTGAAAGACTGACATATTTGACCAATATAAAGTACACTCCGTTTTCCAGAAATTAGGGTTTTTAAAAATATGCCTGTCTAGAAAAACCTAAATTATAAAAATATATTCCACAACAAAACATACCATTTCTTAAAACGTCAAGTGGCATACACACAATTAAACTCCTTTCATCTGATTCCAAAGATTGTTGACAATGTAATTCTTAAGGGTTTTCAAGCAATTAAAAATTAGATCTACGAGGTTCAAAGCAAAGAATTCCACAGAGATGGGGAAAAATCAATACAGCTGTACTTTCAGAAATAAGATTATTACATGTTTTGGGCTATGGATCAATCTTTTCCTTTATTTTCAATTTTTTTCATTTTAATTGTGCAACAAGAAAAAAGACACTGTACAAAGCATTATACAATTAGCAGAGATAAATATCACCATGTTTACAAATTTGCAAACAGATGCACAATTAACACCAATAGATGTGGAATTTCGTCAGCTTCAGAATCTGCAAGCCATAGGTAAAGAATCTCTTTCACCTCTTTTGCAAGTCCAGGGAGGGTTTTCAGCTGGACTTGGGCCCCTGCTCTCCCTACCAGCTTCCTCCACAGGCTGTCCTAACTCCTCTTTGTAGGCGGCCAGTACCTGAACAGACAAGGTCTTTCCTCAGCACTCCCACTCCGCCAGCTCCACCTTCCTCCCGAGGCCAGTTTTACTTGGCTTTCATCTGGCTTTCAACTTTATCTCTCCTCTCTTTGCTGGTCTAATTCATGTGTCTGGGTGCTACTACCAGGGGGAAAAAAGTCTGCCATACAGAACTATAATTAATTAATCTGATGAAGGCAGTTCTGTTAATGATGACAATGTGTAGCCCTCCCAGGCAACATTTGCATTTTAACCAAGGCAGTTAAAGAAAGGACACCACCACCAGGAGGAAGGTCCAATCCCTGAAATCATCCTAACAGCAGCTGGCCACCCACCCCACCCACTGTGCCTCCGGCCAGCCCCACCTAGGACTAATTATCTAGACTGGGCATTCTCCCGGCCTCCTGCCCCAATGCTCCAGGGCTCCCAGGAAATCATCCCCGGGGAGGAGAAGGAAGAGCAAGTGGGGGGTGGGGGTGAATAAATTACCAGCTGAGAGAAAAGGGTAAGGAGGTGGAAAGACGCCAATGGGCGTGGAGGTCTCATTTTATATAATAAGTGTGCAGGGAATAGGCTTCATGCTAATTGGACACCCACAGTGATGCTTTCCTCACTCCTTCCAGCATGGGTGTAAAAGAAGCACCGTATATTCCGCCTCTTAAAGCTGGGTATATTTGCTAGAAGGAAAACTTCTGATTTCTCCCAGCATTTCATTTGTGAGAATAGTCTGTTACAGCAAGTAATCCAAAAAACATACAATGAATGGCCCAAACACAGCAGAGGCTTACTTCTTGCTCACCATGGATGGTGACCATAGCATGGGCAGCCACCTCTGCAGTCATTCAGGGATCCACGCTGATGAACTCTGCCCTGCGGCCATCTTCATTCCAGGCAGCCAGAAGGGGAAAAGTAAAATGGCAGGCATGGCTGCAGCTGCACTCCCCAGGGTAGAAGCGTCAGGAGGCCACAGCTAACTGCTAGGGAGGCTGGGAAATGTGGCCCAACAGTGTCTGAGAGGAGGAGGCAACAAGGACTCGGGCAGGCAGCATTTCTGCCACACTTGTGGGTCCCACTCTAAACCCTAACAGATTTTCTACTCCAAAGATTGAAAGAGTGAAGAAATAGAGTCTTGTCACAGGGATACTGAATCTTCATCTTTCCCACTATTGCCACTTCCCAAAACTACTTTTTTAACACCCTACTCTGGCCCAGGAACAGTGGCTCACATCAGTAATCTCAGCACTTTCGGTAGCCATGGTGGGTAGATCACTTGAGCCCAAGAGTTCGAGACCACCCTGGGCAATATGGCGAAACCCTACCTCTACAGAAAATACAAAAAATTAGCCAGATGAGGTGGCATGTGCCTGTAGTCCTAATACTTGGGGGGCTGAGGTGGGAAGACTGCTTGAGCCCAGGTGACTGAGGTTGCAGTGAACCGTGATCACACCACCGCACTCCAGCCTGAATGACAGAACGAGACCCCATATCAAAACAAACAAAAAAACAAATAAAAACCCTACTCTGAATACCACATTGATCTGAAAGAGCTACTCCCTTTATTAATATTATAAAAATAAGAAACACTATTATTCTGGAAAAAAGTTTTTTGGTAGAGGAGAGGAAAGAATCACTTCTGGTGGGCTACAAATAACATAGGAAATGTACTGATGCTGGGCATTAGATGTATTTTTTATTTTATTTTTATTTTTTATTTATTTTTTGTTTTTGAGACAGAGTCTCACTCTGTCGCCCAGGCTGGAGTGCAGTGGTGTGATCTTGGCTCACTGCACCCTCAACCTCCTTGGCTCAAAGCGATCCTCCCACCTCAGCCTCCCAAGTAGCTGGGACTGGAGGTACATACCACCTTGCCTGGCTAATTTTTCTATTTGTTGTAGAGATGGGGTCTCATTTTGTTGCCCATGCTTGTCTTGACTTCCTGGGCTCAAGCAATCCTCCCACCTCGGCCTCCCAAAGTTCCAAATTCTTAATGAATCAGGATTGAGTAGGGAAAGTGAGGAAGAGAAGTGAGGGGGAATTTGAATTTACTAGAGATAGCTTTATGTGTTGCCTCATTTAATCCCCATGATACCACAATAAAATAGGAATGATTCTAGTTGGACAGACAGAGGATTACTGATTAGAAACGGTTAGGAACTGAGAGCAAGATCCAGCTCCGGATGCAAGCAAGCAAGCACTGCCTCCTCTGCCTAGTGGTAACCTTCCCTCCAAACTGGAACCACTACAGCCAAAGTTGGGGGGCAGAGATGATCACCCTCGCCCAGCTGAGCAAAGGAGAGATCCCCTCAACTGGCAGACTTCCCATTACTTTTCAACCTGTACTACACCAGAAGTTTATTAAGTAGAAAAAAAGTATCTGACAAAAACATGGCCGCCTCCCTGCCCCTCCAGAAAAAAAAAAAGAGAAAGATACAGCCTTAGAGGAATACCCAGGGAAACAGCTTCACCTGATCACTCACCCCCATGCACGGAGTGTCCAAACAGCATTTTGGGGAACGCAACCTTCAATACCAGCAGACGGCCAAGGAGCACTAGACATTTGAAGACAACCTCTAACAGGGAAGAAAGCAGCCAAAACAAACAACAAAAGCAGAGCTCAGAAACAATCTATGCAAAAAGAGGACATTTTTAGAGACCAGTTTAATACTGTCACAGATATGGAAGAATCATGAAACAAGATCAGTATGGTATGAAAAAGGAACATTTGAGAAACAAATTTTAAAAGTTTAGAATCTGAGGGAAAAATGAGGACATACATTTAAAACTTAATGGAAAGATTAGAAGATGATGTTGAACAAAATCTTCCAGGAAGAACAAAAATACAAAGAAATGCAAAATAAGAGAGCTGGGCATAGTGGTACACACCTGTAAACCCAACTACTTGGGAGGCTGAGATGGGAGGATCAGTTAAGCACAGGAGTTCAAGGCTGTAGTGTGGCTATAACCGTGCCTGTGAATAGCCACGGCTCTCCAGCCAGAGCAACACAGCAAGACCCTGTCTCTTCAAAAAAAAAAGAAAGAAAGAAAGAAAGAAAAAGAAAAATGAGAGGGAAAAAGTAGACCTAGTACAAAAGATCAAGAAACAAAAACGTCTGATCTCCCTCCAGCAATACTGCACAACAGCAGAGTGGACACCACCTTCAGAGTGCTGTGGGAGAACTGTCTCCATTCAGGACTACGCCCAAACAATTTACTGTCAAGATAAAAATCATGCTGTTTTCAGACAGAGAAGATCTCAAAAGATGACCCCCGGTGTGTCTGAATATATTAAGAGATATTTCATCACTGGGGAGGGTTTGAGGGATGAATCAAGGATAAGTGCACTGAAAATTAAGCAAAGAAAACTATCCTGAACCCTAGTGACTGCAGAAACTTGTGTTGTGGGTACACTGGCTGGGGCCAGAGTCACGGGCAGTAAAAGAATTTACTGAGACAGTAGTCAGTTAAAGAAAAACTAGTTTATGGCTGGGCGCGGTGGCTCATGTCTGTAATCCCCAGCACTTTGGGAGGCTGAGGTGGGCGGATCACCCAAGGTTGGGATTTTGAGACCAGCCTGACCAACATGGAGAAACCCCATCTCTACTAAAAATACAAAATTAACCAGGCGTAGTGGCAGGCGCCTGTAATCCCAGCTACTCAGGAGGCTGAGGCAGAAGAATCACTTGAGCCTGGGAGGCGGAGGTTGCAGTGAGCCGAGATCTCGCCATTGCACTCCAGCCTGGGCAACAAGAGCGAAACTACATCTCAGAAAAAAGAAAAGAAGAGAAGAGAAGAGAAGAGAAGACTAATTTATTAGAGAAAAAGTATGTTGCAAGGGAGCAACAGGCAACACAGCAGAGAAGGGGTTGCAAAGAGGCAGGGGCTGGAGGGAAGTTTTATAGGATCATGCTGGAGAAGCTACACGCAGAGTTGTTTGTGGTTAGCAGTTTCTCAGAACAATTGTTCTCCCCCACCCTGGGGTCCCTTCTTCATTGATGCTAACTTATCAGGACTCCACAGTATGTACCCCCAGACTCAGCAGTGATAGCAATAGCAACCAAAATAAACACTGAATATTGGTAACCCCATGCTCCTCAGAGCGGGGAAGAGGCCAGCCTTAGTTGCTCACGCCTGTAATCTCAACATTTTGGGAGGCCAAGGTGGGAGGATCACTTGAGGCCATGAGTTCAGGATCAACCCAAGCAATACGGTGAAACCCCATCTCTACAAAAAATACAAAAATTAGCTGGGCATAGTGGCATGCACCTGTAGTCACAGCTACTCAGGAGGCTGAGGGGGAAGGATCACTTGAGTCCAGGAGATGGAGGCTGCAGTGAGCTGTGATCATGACACTGCACTCCAGCTTGAGCAAGAGAGCAAGACCCTGTCTAAAAAAAAAAAAAGAAAGGAAGAGGCTAGGTATGCTGCTCAAGATCCTACAATTCACAGGATGGCCCCACACCAAAAAATTATGATGTAATCACATTAGGGGTATGAAGGGCCAAGAATTGTGCCTGAGTAGTTGGGGGAGGGTAGATGAGCAATGAAAAAGAGTGGAAATAAGGGCCAGGCGCAGTGGCTCATGCCTGTAATCTCAGCACTTTGGGAGGCTGAGGTGGACAGATCACTTGAGGCCAAGAGTTTGAGACCAGCCTGGCCATCATGGCGAAACCCCATCTCTACTAAAAATATAAAAATTAGCTGGGCATGGTGGCTCGAGCCTGTAATCCCAGCTACTCGGGAGGGTGAGGTGGGAGGATCGCTTGAACCCCAGAGGTGGAGGTTGCAGTGAGCCGAGATCATGCCATTGCACTCTGGCCTGAGTGGCAGGACGAGACTTTCAAAAAAAAAAAAAGAGTGGAAAAAAGGCTACATCCTAATATCCTACATTGGGAAGAACAAGCTAATAAACAAAAGTTGCAGCAATATACAATATAAGCCATCATTTAGGGATATGGACAGAAATACCAAAAGAAATCAGCTAAGACGTTTTGATAGTTGTCTCTAGGGAGGGGGAAGTGATCAGTAGTCAGGCCAAATGACCAGTAGCATATAAGCACCCTTGAAGAACTACTTGATAATTCATACTGTGCAAGAGCCACTTTGATAAAATAAAACCTCATAAAAGATACACTGACACTCCTAGCGTGTCACGATGGCTCATGCCTATAATCCCAGCACTTTGGGAGGCCAAGGCGGGTGGTTCACTTGAGGTCAGGAGTTAGAGACCAGCCTGGCTACCATGGTGAAACCCTGTCTCTACTAAAAATACAAAAATTAGCAGGGCGTGGTGGTGTGCGCCTGTAACGCCAGGCTGAGGTGGGAGGATTGCTTGAACCCCAGAGGCGGAGGTTGCAGTGAGCCAAGATCATGCCACTGCACTCCAGTGTGGGAGACAGAGCAAGAATCTGTCTTAAAAAAAAAAAAATACGCTATCATGCTTGCCCCTTCCCTTCTATGAGTAAGAAGTGTTACCTTTCAAGGACACAGAGTCTACCCTGCCTGGGTTCTTGTTGACCTCAACAATTTGCCTTTGATCTGAAAGTCACCTTTTGCCAAAAGAAAGATAATCCCAGCCCTTCCTAGCCAAGCCAAGATGCTGTTTTTCTTCCCTTTCCATCCAAAAGAAGCAGCCCTCATTGCCTGCAACTTAATACGCTGGGGATTTAAAACAACAACAACAACAAAAAAAAAAACAACACAAAAAAACAGCCCAGGGGCTCCTTATCTGGGGAAAAAAATGTTACCTTTGCTTTGCAATTCAGAACATCCTAGTTCTAAGGTTCAACCAAATGAGGTTTGTCCAATTTTTTCTTTTTAATGATATAGTATTATCCTTCTAAGACATGTTCCCCCAAAGAGAAGCTGGAACATTCACACCCATAATGGGAACAGGCTGGCTCTACTACAGGACAGCCCAAATACTGCATCACACAAGGTAAAGGACAACAATTCCTCCAGAATACACCCTCCCTGTATCAGATACTGGTGATTATTCTATTCTATTCTATTCTATTCTATTCTATTCTATTCTATTCTATTCTATTCTATTCTATTCTATTCTATTCTATTCTATTCTATTCTATTCTATTCTATTCTATTCTATTCTATTCTATTCTATTCTATTCTATTCTATTCTATTCTATTCTATTCTATTCTATTCTATTCTATTCTATTCTATTCTCGAGATGGAGTTTTGCTCCTGTTGCCCAGGGCAATGGCACGATCTCCAGCTCACCACAACCTCTGCCTCCCGGGAGCCTCCCGAGTAGCTGGAATTACAGGCATGCACCACCACACCCGGCTAATTTTTTTGTATTTTTAGTAGAGACAGGGTTTCTCCATGTTGGTCAGGCTGGTCCTGAACTCCCGACCTCAGGTGATTCACTCGCCTCGGCCTCCCAAAGTGCTGGGATTACAGGCGTGAGCCACCGTGCCTGGCACTGGTGATATTTTTTTAAAGGCCTAAAAGAGCAACAGGCAACCCAGAACTCTTTCAAAATCCTTCATGTGGGTTAAAGTTTTCGGCTTGCATGTGTAGGAAGAGGGCTTGCAGAAACCTGCAGAATTTATCCTTCATGAATTGCCCCACTGCTGACTACAGTGCTTGAAAGTAAAAGAAGACCTGAATAAAAAGTCCATTCAGCTTTTACATTCTAACATTATCGTGTAGAATGTTTCCGCTGCACCCGGTGTGCAAGAAGAAAAGTTCCACAGAGCCCCAGCTTTTCTCCACTGCCCTTAAGAACTTGGCCACAAATCCAGGTTTATTTGCATGCTGATACAAAACAACTCTGGCAAGGGGACAAACAACTCCAAAATGCTTTCCAAAGAGAAAAACCAGCCCTTCCCAAGTGGCAAGCCAGTTTTTTTGACCATGAATTACAAAGGTAGATTAAGAAACCCCCAGCTCATTAGGACAAGGTGAAAACTGCTACTTGTTCTGAGCCTTTCATTATCATACTATTCTACCTTTAGCTCTTGGGCAAACTAGTTTTCTTTTCTTTTTTTTTTTCAAAAGATAAATGTTACGACATGTTAAGAAATACTCATAACTGAGCCATGAAGACCGAACGCATCCTGGTACAGAAGTGAGATGCATAGCTTATGTTTACAGCTTCTCATAATCGCAGAAGGCTCTGGATTCATAGGCGTGAGTCAAGCTGAGTTAATGTCTAAGAGAGGAAGAATCCTCCCAGAGCTGACCCTCAAAGCCTCCAGCTCCCAGACCCTGGAATAGGACTTGAGGCTCACTGCCTGACTCCACACTCTTGCCCAAAACATCGCCGGAGAACAAGGATGAGAATTCAGCAGGGTCACATTAATTCACAGGCTGGGAAAAGGTAATAAAGATAGACTTGAAAGCCAGTTGGCAAGGCGGGCCTACCAACTGAAAGGGTCTTTCAGCACAGGAAAGAAAGCTCACCTCTTGGTTTTTAACCTTACTATTAATTCTTAAATACAGATGGATCTTTATAATGACACTTATCCTAATAGCTGAAGAAAACATGGTAGCTGGCATCAAAAAGTGAGTAAAGCTTTACAACTCGGACATCACTTAGAGATGGCAGAGGCAAGGGAGATCCAAGCCCTCACCCACTGGTTCTCAGACACCTGGAGAAGCAGCAGCACTCCCTCGTGCAGATGTTGACCGCACACTGCATCTGGGCACAAAAATCCACCAGCAGCCACAAAGTTGAGAGTCACCCGCTCCTGACCCACTGCTGAATTCATCAGGTCCCTCTTTTTCAAAACCTTTACTGATATTTCACAAAGAGCTTGGTTGGCTCTTGGGAGCCAATATAATGGCATATGAGACAAGAACTGATCCCGACCAGGGTGGTCACTCTGATCTCCCCGGTCCTCGGGTCACGAGGTGACTTGGCATGGCCCATAATGCAGAGCCCCCTTTCCAAACCAATAAGTAAGGTACATCAGAGGCGCGGGGCCTCCACTCCTGCCCATCACCAACCACCAGTCTCAGCCCTGTGCCCTCTGCAATCAAGGACTCAGCTAACACTTTACATAAGACACTTGCCACCTGGCTGCACGCCCCCCAAAATATGCCCTGATTCCGTCTTTGGCATTCACACTGGAAAGGACATTTCAAAGCTCTGTCTCCAATCCAGAGAAATGTTCTCAGAGTCTGAAGCCCTGGGGTGGGTGAGTCAGGTGGGGGGGACCTCCAAGCGTCCCAGACCACAGCAGTCTTGTCGCACACAACAGCTCTGGTGCCCAATGGCAACCCGAAAATCAATGGGTTCCCAAAGGAGCTGCCCTTGGGGCTAGGCCAGGCCCAAGTTACTGTCTTCTTTGGAGCTTCGGGCTAAGGCTTCTGGCATTCTTTTTGGGGGAGGGAGCGGACTCTAAGAAATAGTGAACAGGAGAGGCTGGGGCTTCATTCCTTCCCTCCCTTAACAAACATTCCTGAGGCCACAGGGGGCTGCTGACACCCAGCTGGTGTATTTAACGCTTCCTCATGAATCCCCCAAACAGCTTTGTGGAATTCAAGCCACTCTAGTGACATTTTAGAAATCAGTCCCCTCCCCTCCCCCCACTGAAGACTTCCACTGGTTGAATGGATGGGAACAGAAACATGCAAAAAACCCACCAGGATCACATATATCCACCATCTCTACTTCCGTTACATAGATTCCTACAGCATGGATGTTATTCCTGCCCCCTCTCTAACAACAGCATGGAAATATGGGTTTGAGTGCATTTTTTCCACCAACTGTAGCAAAATTTCAAGGCAGAAATCAGCAGAAACGTACTGAGGAGTGATGAATCCTGTCGCCATCTGTCAGCGGAGGTTCTGCTGGGCTTCATGCATGCACCCCAAATTCCAAGAATGCTACTCCTCTGAAGTTGGTATCCCTTTAGCTTCAAACTAGACCCAGAGAGTAGTCAGTCCTGATTCTGAACAGCCACTGTGGATGCCCATAAAACACAGCACTTGGGAGTTCCTGCTTCAATTTCCTTTCTCCAGCTACAAAAAATGCAGATGAAGCAAGTATTTGTTTGAGTTTGACTATGTAAATAAAGCCTATTCTCAGGGCCAACGCGTGGGAGGAAAACAGCTCTCCATGCAAACACTGGCAATGCCAGAGGCCTCTAAACACACCACCCTAAAGGCCAGTCTATTCAAAAAGAAACAGAAGTTTTAAGAGCAAGAATCCTTTAAGAGCAAAGGTGATATATGGTTAATCTAACAAAAGAGATTCAAAACCAGGCTAATTTTGCCCCCAGAGGACATTTGGCAATGTCTGGAGACATTTTTGTCATCACACCTGGAGAGAGGTGACAGTAGCATCAAGCAGGTAGAGGCTGGGGAGGCTGCTGAGCATCCTCCAAAGCACAGGGCAGCCCCACAGCAAAGAGATTCAGCTCACAAAGTCCCCAATGCCAAGGCTGGCAAACCCTCACCTAACCGATGTGACGAAGGTATTCAATATGGCATTGCAGGAGATCCCAGACCCAAGCAGATGGCACTGACTGAAGGGGAGCAGCAGGCTTGAACACTGGGGCCAGAGTCTGATTCTTAGGGCCTTTCCCAGGACTCAACAGTTTGTGACCTCAGGATACACCATTTGCCCTGCCTGGGCCACAGCTGTTTCATCTATAAAATGGGCTGATAAAATTCCATCTGAAGACCAGGACCGAACCAGCCTTGTTCTTGACACCCCTCCCAGTTCTACTACACGCACTCCCATGAGGCTTTCAAATGATACCCTCATTATCATAAAGAGAAGGTGCGCTCTTACCTTAATGCAAGCTATCCCCAAATCAGAGTCTGCTAAATAGCAAGTGAGTTGTACAGTATTCCAGGGCTCTAATATGTAACTATTTAATTACAAGTGGAAAAAAAAAAACGATTAGAAGAGCTATTTTTTAATGAGCCCCAGTGACTTTTCAGTAGCTTTTGGGAGAGGAAGATTCAAAGCTTGGATTAATCCACATTCTGAGCCAAGCGCAGTGGCTCATGCCTGTAATGCCAGGACTTTGGGAGGCAGAGGAGTTCGAGACCAGCCTGGGCAAAATGGTGAAACTCCCCGTTTCTACAAAAAATTTTAAAAAATTAACCAGGCATGGTGGCGCACATCTGTGGTCCCAGCTACTCAGGAGGCTGACAGAACAAGACCCTGTCTCAAAAAAAAAAAAGAAGAAAGAAAGAAAGAAAAGAAAAGAAATAAAAGAAAAAAAAAAGAGGAGTGTTCTGGCTGGGCAGAGTATACACACTTTATGACTGTCCACCATGTTTCCAAAGAAGCCAGTGTGATAAAAGATTACACATTGGTCAAATTTATAACAATGGCAACCTCTTTCCTGAGTTCAACAAAAATTTAGTGCAAAGCTAAACAAGGCTTCTCCAAATCCCTCCACAAAGTTTTGTAATCATAAAAGCGACAGAAAATATAGAATGGAAGACGCTGGTGTCTCATTTGCTATTTGAACAACAAAGCCATCCCACTTCCCAAACTGATTACCAGTGCGGCGGGTTAGGAATCACTTAATTTCTTCCTGCTGTGGAGAGGCAGGAAAGCCGAGAAAACCAGTAAATTATCTTCAAACGCTTCTAGTCGCCAAGAATCTTTACATTTTAAAAGGAACTTCGTCCACACGAAAGGTCCGACTCAACCCTTCCCAGAGAAAATGACCACTACACACTTTTAACTAGAACACAGGGTGACTGGACTGTTGTTTATGTGTTTGCTTTTACAAGTTCATACAGGTTCAACTGGTAAGTTTCCAGATGGATTTTGTTTTGAGACAATAAAATTCAATGTTCTAAAGCAAACCACACACACACACACAACATTCCTGATGAGATACATCTGGAATTTCTTTATTATTATTAGAACTCGGGTCCTGCTCTTAGGAAGCAGGCTTTCAGGTTTCTCTAAGTTTGCGCAGGTATCCAGTGCGCAGTGGATCTGGGACTGGAAGCCGAAAGTCAGTAAACATTGATGGGCTGAAGGGAATCGAGAAGTTGCGCTGGCGACAGCTGCTACTCTGGATTTCGTAGTGATCACAGGCACGGGTCCAAGGGGTGCCGAACCAGGGACCCCAGAGAGGCAAACATAGGTGGGGACGGCTCGGGGACACGTTCCTTCGCTGGCCTCCAGGCAGCCCCGCAGGTGCAGGCCGCCACTGGCGGGCCCGGGAGCGCCAGAGGACCCGGCCAGGCCCCTGCCCGGAGGAGGGAGGGGGAGGGGAAAGGGACTCCGGGCAGGAGCCATTTAAACTCTGCGAGGCGCGGGGAACCGCCAGGATCACACGCCCACGCCGGTCCCGGCGCCCAGGCCCGGCAGGTGACCCCAGCAGACGCGCGCGCCAGACCCGGGGGCGCGAGCCTACCGCCCCTCCCGCGCCCCTACCTCGACGCGCCCCGCAGGGCGGCCAGCTCCCGGCTGTCAGCGCCCGCGCCCCGCGGCCGCCTTACCTTGGTGATGACCAGCGGCTCGCCGTGCTCGCGGCCGCCCTTCAGGGTGAAGCCCCACGGGGCGCCGCCGCTCAGCTGCACCTCCACCAGGCGCCCGCCGTCCGCCGCCCGCGTCTCGGCCTCGGCCAGGCGCTCGGGCCGCGCGCGGGGCTCGGCGCCCTCCATGGCGCGACCGCTCAGCGTCCCTGGCCCGCGCCCATGCACTCCGGGCAGTCCCGGCCGTGGGATCGCAAGGGAGGCTCCGAGCGCCGCAGAACTTGCGCCGTAACTTGGAAAGAAAGTGCCGGCCCGGCGGCGGAGGGAGCCCGGAGGGCTGGCGGGGAGGGGGCGGGGCCGGGGCCGGGGCCGGGGCCGGGGCTGGCGGGGAGGGGGCGGGGCCGACGGGGGGCGGGGCGGGCGCGTTCGGGAGCTCGTACCGCGGGGCCGGTCACGGGGAGCGCGTCCAGAGGTCCAGCCCGCGGCCCGAAGGGTGAGGGACGGGGTCAGGTGCGCGCTCAGGGGCCCACGCGGCCGCTCGTACCGGGGAGAGCTGGAGAGGGGCGCGCCCCGGTTCTCTCGCCCGGTGGAGGGGAGCGGGCCGGGAGGGGCGCTCAGGCGCGCGCGCCGTTCAGCGGGTTCGGGGTCGGGGTCGAGGAGCGCGCGCCCCGGGGCTGGCGGAGCCAGCGCGGGCGAGGACGGGGGCGGAGGCCCCGGCGCCAGGTCGGGCCTTTCCTCCCGCGCCAGAGCTCTGCAGTGCTTCGAAGCTCTGGGCGCCCCCGCCCGCCGGTTGGAGGCCAGGACCGGGCAGGTGAGGCGGCAGGTGAGATGGGCGCGGGGTGGCGTGGCGGGAGTCTCCGGCCTCCTCCGTCTCGGGGCGCGCGGCCCGCCGGCGCCCACACTTTGTTCTCGCGCACCGCGGGCTGCCGCGCAGGTGAGAGCGGAAGCGCCGCGGGAGGCCCTGGTGCCCGCGCTGTGGCCGCTGCCCCGGGGCAGAGGGACCGCCCGTCCCGCGCGGCCCTGCGCGCACTCACACTCTGGACTTAGAGAGCCGGGAAGGGCGCCCCCCAGCAGCCTGAGCCGGGCGCGGGTCCGGCCTCTGGAGGGGCTTGGAAGGCGGGCGCAGAAGGACCGTGCCCCGTTTCCACGAGGGCCTTCCCACCTTCCCGCAGAGGCCTCCCACAGCCACCGCGCAGAAAGCCGTTGCGTCTAGATGCTGTCCCCACTCGCCTAGGATTGGACCACAAGGTCTTCAAGTTTCCCAGGTTTACATCCCCGAAAAGGGGAGGTGGAGGTCTGGGATTGGTGAAAGTTTGCGGACAACATGTGTGCCACCTCTTCCTGCTCGGTTTCAGTTTCCATGAAACTCTGGTCTAAAGTACCTGCATGGATAGGTATTTACATGCTTTGCAAAAAAGCTGTTTTCGTTGCTGTTTCTATACGTAGCTGAAGGCTGGTGAACACCTCTTTTCTCTAAGCAGCTCCATCCAGGCCCTTTTCAGAGGTGACGATGCTGGAGTACGCATCCAGGACAGGCCGGGAGAGCACTGGACAGAGAGTCAAGGGTCCCCGGGTCTGGGTTCTGCCACTGTCAAGCTGGGACAAGAAATCTCAGCTCTGGTCTGTTTCTTCAGAGGTCAAGTGAGAGGGGTGCATTCTGTGGAGGTGTCTCATGCAGCCGATTAAATTCAGAGTCGCAGCTCCACTGGGCACCTGTCATGGCGCTGGGCACGTGGTGACTGCCCCATAATTAACTTCTAACTACAGTCTCTGAATGCCTTTAGTTAGAAGAATGAGGCGATTTTTTCTTTTTCAAAGATTAAACGAAGGCTTAAGGAATGTGCCTCTCAGAATCAAGTCGAGTGTATCTTCACTGTGGTGATGGTCACAGGAGCTGCCAAGTTGATTAAGCTAAATTGCACAGAACTAAATGCACGTGAAACGGGAAATCTGAAAAGGCTTGGTGGATTGTATCAATGTCCATATTCCAGGTTGTGACATTGTGCTGTAGTTTTGTAACGTGTTGCCATTGGAACAGGCAGGTGAAGAGTGAAGGGTGCACAGGACTTCCCTGTATTATTCCTTACCAAGAGGCGAAGCCAGTTGGGTGGGGACTCCGAGAATTTTTCTGTCTTACAAGAGGATTGTAAAATGCACCAATCAGCGCTCTGTGGCTAGCTAGAGGTTTGTAAAATGGACCAATTAGCACTCTGTAAATGGACCAATCAGCGGGATGTGGGTGGGGTCAAATAAGGGAATAAAAGCTGGCCACTGCAGCTAGCAGTGGCAACCCGGTCCAGTCCCCTTCCATGCTGTGGAAGCTTTGTTCTTTCGCTCTTCACAGTAAATCTTGCTGCTGCGCACTCTTTGAGTCTGTGCCACCTTTAAGAGCTGTAACACTCACAGCAAAGGTCTGCAGCTTCATTCTTGAAGTCAGCAAGACCAAGAACCCACCGGAAGGAACCAACTCTGGACACATTACAACTACATGTAAATCCAGTTATCTCACAAAGTTTAAGAAATGGATGGATATGATAAACCAAAAGATAAAGAGCTGTATAAATATACCCAGTGTGCTTATTAGAGTTTGCAGACATGTCCGTCTCCCAAAACAGCCCACTCCCTACCTCCCCACCCCAAGCTGGTATAGACTTCAGTCTAAGCTCTTACCTGGGGCTAAAATTCAGACCACTAGACTCATTATAAAGCAGAGACAGTGATTTCATTGTCTCCATAAATCCAGCATTATTCTATATAGCCCCAAAGTCATCTTTAACATTTTATGTTCACCGTACGTAATCATTGTCAGATTACCCATCTGCCACTTGAAAGGTTTATACTTTTTAAAAGGACTCCCTTGTTCTTAAACTTAGCTAGAAATTTACATCCATCCTTACTAAACAGTGTTTAGCTGGGGTGTTTTGTTTTTTTAATCTTCACATTAAGCATCCATCTCAGGATGGTTGGAATATTTATAAGGCTGCTGTCTATAATGATGTTATGCTGTAAGGGACTGAACCAAGATTTGTGTGGCCTGCTATGAGACAGGTGCCTGCTCAGTCATAAATCCTTTTGTGATATTCTTGGGGTTACTATGGTCTAGGTGCGATGACAGCACTTCTATATTGTGTTTGTTTTGTCATCACAAGACACTGTCAATAATCTTGTGAAAATATATCTTGTGGCTGAAAGGCATCACCCCAGTTGATCAGTCTTGCACCCCCATTGGGAGAGTTTTAGTATGACGTTGAACCAGTGTATGGACTCCTAGTAGATGGCTTTCTTTTCTGAGAACTCACAACTCAGGTGGAATTTTCAGAAGCAGAATCCATTTGTCCATGTTAGTCTTTTGTCCTTTTGGAAAGCTGAGGGGCATGTTTGTTCTGTGTAATTTCTCACTGTGGTTGTTCATTGCTCAGAGAATAGGGTGAGCATATACTCTCTTCTGGACCTGCAAGGAGTGTGACCCTATGAGCGCCTGCCCCGGGGATTCAGTAGCCTTAGGTGTTTGTTTCACTTTTTCTTTTTCTTTTCTTTTCTTTTCTTTTTTTTTCTCTTTTTTTTTTGAGACAGAGTCTCACTGTGTCACCCAGGCTGGAGTGCAGTGGCACGATTATGGCTCACTGAAGCTTGACTGCCCCAGGCTTAGGTGATCCTCCCACCTCAGCCTCCTAAGTAGCTGGGACTATAGGCATATGCCACCATGCCTGCCTAATTTTTTATTTTTTGTAGAAACAGGATCTCACTAAGTTGTCCAGGCTGGTCTCAAACTCCTGGGCTCAAGTGATCCACCCACCTCAGCCTCCCAAAGTGCTGGGATTACAGGCATGAGCCATTGTACCTGGCCACTGTTTCTTTTTCTTTTTTTCTTTTTTTTTTTTGGAGACGGAGTTTTGCTCTTGTCGCCCAGGCTGAAGTGCAATGGTGAGATCTTGGCTCACTGCAATCTCTGCCTCCCAGGTTCAAGTGATTCTCCTGCCTCAGCCTCCCAAGTAGCTGGGATTACAGGCATGCGCCACCTTGTCCAGCTAATTTTTGTATTTTTAGTAGAGATGGGATTTCACCATGTTGGTCAGGCTGGTCTCAAACTCTTGACTTCAGGTGATCCACCCGCCTCGGCCTCCCAAAGTGCTGGGATCAGGCGTGAGCCACCGCACCCAGTCCCCGGCCACTTTTGCTAATCTGAGGTTTATTTCCTATGAGAGAAGAGATAGATGAAACTGAGGATGGTTCTGCTTTCACTTCGTCAACAGTGAATGAATTAATTAATGTAAGGCAAATTAACCAACGTTCAGAGACTTCATTAATAGCTAATCTTCTTTATGAAATACAGCTCAAATTATTTTAGCTTTTTGTTCTAAAAAGAAAAGAGATTTATACTCATTACAAAATGTGGTAGAAGATGGAGTTCCAAAATTTTACTTTCACATTTCAAATAGTGGCTCCGTAGGGTCAAGCCTTCCAGAAAACCTTTTAGTGTGGCATTTTAAAAATGGCAATATTAGCCACTTCCTACTAAACCCGCTGTGTTCCTATTAATTCAGACTGGCACAGGATCAGTCAAGATCAGAGAGCACGAGTGATGCAGTTGAAGGAAATCTGTGGGAAGGGCACACTGACTCATACTGCTAACCCCAGCACTTTGGGAGGCCCAGGTGGGAGGATCGCTTGAGCCCAGGAGCTCGACCAGCCTGGCCAACATAGCAGAGCCTTGTCTCCACTAAAATTCAAAAAAATTAGCTGGGCGTGGAAGCATGTACCTGTGATCCCAGCTACTTGGGGCGCTGAAGTGGAAGGATTGCTGCAGGGAATGAAGATCATGTCACTGCATTCCAGCCTGGGTGAGATATTATCTCCCCCACCCCCCAAAAAAAGGAAAACTATGACACGGAACGTTTACCCTTTGTCACCAAGGTTTGGCATCTTCTTGATTTCTATGAGCTATTATTATAAACATTGGGATGACCAGGTGCGGTGGCTTACCCCTGTAACCCCAGCACTTTGGGAGGCCCAGGTGGGAGGATTGCTTGAGCCCAGGAGTTCAGGACCAGCCTGGCAACATAAGGAGACCCCTTCTCTAAAGAAAAATTTTAAAATTAGTCCGACATGGTGGTGTATGCCTGTAGTACCAGCTACTCAGGAGGCTGAGGTGGGAGGATCGCTTGAGCCTGGGAGGCGGAGGCTGCAGTGAATCGGGATTATGCTGCTGTACTTCATCCTGGGCAACAGAGCAAGACCCATAAACAGAGCAAAGAAACATAAAAAAATTGCTTTAGAAAGCCATTGACTATGTTTTGCTTTGTTTTGTTTTGTTTTGTATTTTGGAGACAGGGTCTCACTTTGTTGCCCATGCTGGAGTGCAGTGGTGTAATCACAGCTCACTGCAGCCTCAACTGCCTGGACTCAAGCGATTCCCCCACTTCAGCCTCTTGAATAGCTGAGACCACTGACCTGTACCACCATGCCCAACTAATTTTTTTTTTTTTTTTTTTTTTGAGACAGAGTCTTGCTCTGTCGCCCAAGCTGGAGTGCAGTGGCGTGATCTGGGCTCACTGCAAGCTCCGCCTCCCAGGTTCACGCCATTCTCCTGCCTCAGCCTCCCAAGTAGCTGGGACTACAGGTGCCCACCACCACGCCCGGCTAATTTTTTGTATTTTTAGTAGAGACGGGGTTTCACCACGTTAGCCAGGATGGTCTCGATCACTTGACCTCGTGATCCGCCTGCCTCGGCCTCCCAAAGTGCTGGGATTACAGGCATGAGCCACTGCGCCCGGCCCAATTTTTTTATTATTTGTAGAGATGAGGTCTTGCTATGTTGCCCAGGCTGGTCTTGAACTCCTGGCCTCAAGTGATCCTCCTGCTTCAGCCTCCCCAAGTGCTGGGATTCCAGGCATGAGCCATTGCACCTAGCCTATTTTTTGTATTTTAATAAAATTGCCAGTAAGCATACATTTCTTGAGCACTTTTTACTTGCCCAATACTTGTTGGGTGGGGGGGGGGGGGAATGTAATGGTGCAGGAAATATGAAACATTATCTGTAGCAGTGAGGAAAAGGAAATCTCATGAAAAATCAGTACGATTAACTGCTAAACCACTTTTAACTACAAAAGTTTCAACAGGAGAGAAATTAGAATGTTAAAAACGATAATAAAGCCATAAGGGCCGGGTGTGGTGGCCTGCATCTGTAATCTCAGCACTTTGGGAGGCTAAAGTGGGAGGATCGCTGGAGCCCCAGAGGTCAAGGCTGCAGTGAGTCAAGATTGCACCACTGCACTCCAGCCTGGGCGACAGAGGGAGACCCTGTCTCCAAAGTAAATAAATAAATAAAGCCATAAGTAAAATATTTTAGTTTTCATCTGTCATTGTGGAAATTTCGAATGGACACAAAAGTAGAACTCTTGTTTCATCCTTCACCCACTTTTTATCCTGAAATATTTCAAAGCTCATCCAAGTCTTAAAGACAAAGCTGCATCCTGGTGGCTGAGAGGAAGTGGGGGTGAGGGTTCTTCTGGTGGCGCCCCCACCCCCCAACGCAGGCTGCAGGCTGATAGGAAGCTCCTTCATGGAAAGTTGATCTGCTTAAAGACAGGAAGGCAGAAATCTCTTAGTGAGTCCAGTTCTTACACAACTTCTCAGGAGAATAATGTCAAAATCAGTTTCAAAAAGGCTGTCTCCATGCACAAAGCGACCCTCCAATAGTGCCTTCTCTTGGTGACCACAGAGCTCATTCTTTCAACAAGTCTGCCGTCACCCAGCACGACCCATTCCCACATGGAGCTGAGTGTCCTGGAGAGGGCTTGGAGAGGGCTTGGAGAGGGTGGAGGGACTCAGCTACCACCGGTAGGTAACAAAGACCACGGTGTGACCTCAGCATGGTGGCTGAGTGCAAGGAGAACAAGATCTCCAGTGGAGGAACCAAGAAGCTGCAGAACTGTGAGGCTCATCGATAGGAACATTGGAACTGTCATGATTTATCACTGGAGAATGGTGGAAAAGGGTGACAGTAGGCCAGGCGCGGTGGTTCATGCCTGTAATCCCAGCACTTTGGGAGGCTGAGGCAGGCGGATCACCTGAGGTCAGGAGTTCGAGACTAGCCTGGCCAACATGGTGAAACCCCGTCTCTACTAAAAATACAAAAATTAGTTTGGTGTCGTGGTGGGCGCCTGTAATCCCAGCTACTCTGGAGGCTGAGGCAGGAGAATCGCTGGAACCCGGGAGGTGGAGGCTGCAGTGAGCCGAGATCGCACCACTGCACTCCAGCCTGGGCGACAGAGGGAGACTCCATCTCAAAAATAAAAATAAAAGCAAAGAAAAAGAAAAGGGTGATAGTGAGCCAGGGAATGAAAGGGAGTGACTCTGGAGTCAGCAAATGACTTCACCTGCACAGAGAACAGGGTGGTATGAGCCCAGGACACCAGCAGCCTCAAGGCAGGGGATTTAAGTGGGGAGAAAGCAGGTGGAAAAAGGTGAGTGGGGCCAGGAAGCCGCCTTCACCACCCCCTGCCTGAGCAGGGTAGTCAGGAGGGGTGTGGGGAGGAAAGCAGCCCATGCTCCATGGCTGGAGGAGGCACAGTGCCAGGGAGGGCCAGGTGTCCCTCCGTGCCTCCTTCAGAAGGGGCCACTGAGAGAGGAGGCTGAGGATGGGAATTCCTGGTGATTGCGGGTTTCCGGTGGAGGCGGGGCGCACCTGGAGGCTTGGCTAGCATGAGCAGAAAACAGTGGAGGCTGGGGGCGTGGGCTTCGAGGGCTCAAAGACCTCGAAATGAAGTGTGGGGTGGGGGGGTGATGTTGTGGGGGGTGTGTTAAAACTAACTCCTGGGTTTCTGGGCTAAGTAACTGAGTTGAGAGACAGATAAATGGAAGATTGGAAGTGGAAGAAGTGGAAGAGCCAAGGAGGGGAGGCAATGATTTGTGCTTCAGCAGGTGGAGTTTGACATGCCTTTGGGATACTGTATGAGTTTCCTAGGGCTGTGTGTACAAATTACCATTATGGCTTAGAACAAGAGAAATTTCTCTTTTTTCTTTTTCTTTTCTTTTCTTTTTTTTTTTTGTTGTTGTTGTTGAGACAGGTCTCACTCTGTTGCCCGGTCAGGAAAGTGGCACAATCACAGCTCACTGCAGTCTCAGTCTCCCAGGCTCAAGATGGATACATTTAAGGTCAGATATCAGCTGGGGAAAGGGCCACACTACCTTAATCTGGAGTTACTCAGTGCCAATGTACACCTATCTCTCTCTTTTTTCTCCTTCCTGCCACCTCATCCCACCCTTCTGGCCATGCAGTTAGGAGGACCCCAACTGAGCATGAGCGAGGGGATCAGCAAATGGAAGGTGCTTGGTGTCAGCACTGCAGCTCTGTCAGAAAGACGTGGGAGCGAGTGTTCTTGGCCATAGCTGTGGCTTGCCGTTAGCCTGCTGGGCAGCCATGGTGTGAGTTGGGTCTCTCAGGGAGAGGACACGAGTGGCCAGAATGGGCATCCCAGTGCTAACCAGTGTAAGACCTCAGGAATATTTGGGGCCTTGTTGGTTCTTCCATCCCTCCCTATCTATCTATGGCTCACATACTCTCTGCTTAATGTATGCATCCAACATTTCTTGTAAGCCGCTTGCTTCATTACATGCTGTCTCCTTTTTTCCTTTTTTTTTTGAGATGGAGTCTCACTCTGTCGCCCAGGCTGGAGTGCAGTGGCGCGATCTCAGCTCACTGTGAGCTCCGCCTCCCAGGTTCATGCCATTCTCCTGCCTCAGCCTCCCGAGTAGCTGGGACTACAGGTGCCCACCACCACACCCAGCTAATTTTTTTGTATTTTTAGTAGAGACGGGGTTTCACCATGTTAGCCAGGATGGTCTCGATCTCCTGACCTCATGATCCTCCCGCCTCGGCCTCCCAAAGTGCTGGGATTACAAGCGTGAGTCACCGCACCTGGCCCCCTTTTTTTTTTTTTTAAAGAGATGGAGTCTCACTATGTTACTCAGACTGGAATGGATTACAAAAAGGCCATGTACATAATTTTAGGTGGTACACATCCCAGATGCTTCAGGTACAATGATGAGGCAGAGATGATGATAATTAATTTGAAGTGACTTCTTTCTTTTTCTTTTTCTTTTTTTTGTTTTTTTGAGACAGGGTCTCTAAAAGGAATAGACATGGCATTGTGTCAATAAAACTTTATTTAGAGAAACAGATGGACATAATTTACCAATCCCTGCTCTGTTGTAGAAAACTAAGTAAAACAAAATAACAATAAAATACGATACGTACGGGATTTTGAAATGTGTCACATTCTCTCCCTGAGAGATTCAGTTCACACCATGGCTGCCCAGCAGGCTAACAGCAGGATCACACCATGTCACCCAGGCTGGAGTGCAGTGGTGCAATCATAGCTCACTGTAGGCTCAATCTCCCAGGCTGAAGCCATCCTACCACCTCACTCTCCTAAGTAGCTGGGACTACAGGTGTGTGCCACCACGCCTGGCTGAGTTTCTTTTATTTTGTAAAGCCGAATCAAATACTCTTAAAAATCCAACAAATACACATTTCAAAAGCCCATGCATATTTCTTATTTTATTGTTATGTTTTACTTAGTTTGCTACAATACAGTGGTGGTTGGTAAATTATGTCCATCTGTTCCTCCAAATAAAGTTTTATTGACACAACACCATGCCCATTCCTTTACCTCCTGTCTGTGGACACTTCATGGTTCTTATGGCAGAGTTGGGTAATTGCAACAAAGACCAGGTGGGCTGCAAAGTTTGAAGAATTTACCATCTGGCTCATTTTTTAAAGTTTTCTGACTCCTGTAATAAAGAAATGTCCAGTCTGGGCAACATGGTGAAACCCCATCTCTACAAAAAATAGAAAAAAATTAGCCAGGCATGGTGGTGTACCTGTAGTCCCAGCCACTGGGGAGGCTGAAGTGGGAGGATCGCTTGAGCCTGAGAGTTGGAGGCTGCAGTGAGCCATAACTACTCCACTGCACTCCAGCCTGGGTAATAGAGTGAGACCCTGTCTCAAAAATAAAATAAAATTAAGTAATGTCACAAGTTTGGGCCAGGCACAGTGACTCACACCTGTAATCCCAGCATTTTGGTAGGCCAAGGCAGGAGGATCACTCGAGGCCAGGAGTTCAAGACCAGCCTTGGCAACATGGCCAGTCCCCATCTCTACCAAAAAAAAAAAAAAAAAAAGCTAGGCATGGTTTCATGTGCCTGTAGTTGCAGCTACTGGGGAGGCTGGGGCAGGAGGATGCCTTGAACCCAGGAGCTGCAGTGAGCTGTGGTGGTGCCACTGCACTCCAGCCTGGGCAACAGAGCGAGACTCTGTCTTTGAAAAGAAGAAATGTCACAAATTTAAGAACCTCAGGTTATACACACGTTACGTTTACTCTAGGTCACTAGATGTTCAAACCAGGACAAAGCAATCACCCCGAGGACTTAGGGGTAAAGGGCCACTGCACTTAAACCATCAGGCTCTGCTCTGAGGAGTAACTGACCACACTGGGTATGTTAGTGCCTTTGCATGCTCCTGATCCTGACGTGCGTTCTAGTGAGCATCACAGACAATGTCTCCGCAGGGCGCAGTGCAGTGTTGAGGGAAGCCGTGCTGTCTGCCTGCAGGTCAGCTTTAACCGCAGCCATGCCCCTGAGGTTAATGTGGGTTTCCTATTCTCTACCCAAGGCTACTTGAGTGCCTGGGAAGCAGTCATTGCAAAATTAGCCAAAGTCTATGGTTAAGGAGGAATTGAGTCCTTTTTGTTAGATACATGAGATTTCACAGTCTTGTATGAAGGCGGACTCCAAGGCAGACAGTCATCCCAGAGTCATCTCATTTTAATGTGTTAGTATAATGTGCTAAATATGTAATATGTGTATAGGCATGTCTGTCCTCATCACCCCAGCCCACCCTGCCGCACACACACTTCCTTGAAACCACAGTTGCACTTAGCATCAAATTCGGCCACCTGCAACTGCCTCAGCCTTCTGAAAAGTGGACTTCAAGAAAAGTGCAGCTTCAAGAGGGTGGGGTGAGAAGATGCATTTTCTTGTCGGACTAGTTTGCAGACACTCTTGGTGACTGCAAGGGGCATCCCCAGTCCCCCTCTTGTGGCAGTACTCATGGCATCATCTGCCTGGGTTTGATTCTCAGCTCCACCAGATGTGTGATCTTAGACGAGTTCCTTCCCCTCTGCTGGTGCCTCATGCATTAAGAAGGGATAAAACAGAGGAGCCACAGGGGTGGAGGTGAGAGTTACGAAAGACGATGCATATCTGATGTTCCCAGCCCATGGAAGGCAATCATATAATATCACTGAACTTTCCTCTTCTCAGTACACAACCCACCTCTCTCCGTGGCTCCTGTTGTTCACCTCTCTTCCCATGCTGAGACCACCTGGCTCACAGAATCGTTATCTGCCTGTTGCACAGCTGAAGTTCTACCCTTAGGCACCATTTCTCCATTCATGAATTTCTCATGTTTTCCAGAGGATGGACACAGTCCAAGACTCTCATGTTTCATTCAGCCAGGTCAATACCGAACAACCACCACAGATCAGGCTGTCTGGGTTCTAAGTCTGTGTTCAAAACCCATTCCTTTCACACCTATAATCCCAGCACTTTGGGAGGCCAAAGTGGGAGGATTGCTTGAGGCCAGGAGTTCCAGACTAGCCTGTGCAACATAGTAAGACCCTGTCTTTACATTTTTTTAAAGTTAGCTGGGCATGGTGGCACATGCCTGTCGTCTCTGCTACTCAGGAGGCTAAGGTGGGAGTATCGCTTGAGCCCGGGAGGTCAAGGCTGCAGTGAGCCCTGATCACACCACTGCACTCCAGCTTGGGCAACAGAGCGAGACCTTGTCTCAAAAAAAACCAAACAAACAAAAAAACAATTAAAAAAAATCCTTATGTGGAATATTTGCAGAGCTGCCAAATTCCCCTGGGAGGAGAAGAAGGGGTTCAAGTCCAAACACTAAGCCACTGCAACAAGTTTTACTTTCTCAAAGTTTTGTAATCAACCCTAAGCATTTTTGGCCATTCCACAAGGTCAAACCAAGCACATTTAATTCTGGATGGAGAGGGCAGCAGATGCTACCTAGAGACCCCAGGATGGAGTCCTCCTTCCGTCCATTAAAGATTTCCTTCAGTCTCAGTTGCTGGTCCTTGCCCCTCTTTGTAGGAAGACGTGCTCAGGTGGCAGGAACTCACTCAGGGAGGCTGAAGGGCCAGCCAACCCTGGGTGTTGAAGTGCCCACCCCCAGGGGCAGGCTGGACTGGCTGACTGGCAGAAGTGGGACAGGAACACTGCAGCCCCCTCGCCCCACCAGGCGGCCCTGAGAGTGGCTGTGGTGGACTCTTTCTCGCTGACTGTGAGGAACCAACCGGCCTTGTTGTGAGCTGCCCTGTGGGGAGGCCCATGTGACAAGGAACTACACGGCCTTGGAGACAGCCCACAAGGGACTGAATCCTGCCAGGAAACACAGAAGCTGGCATCCTAATGGGATTTCTGTCTTTTGACTTTGGTAGGAGATAGGATATTCAAGAACATCTATACATTCGGGACATCATTTCAAATTGGAATGGTTTTACTGACTTTTTTTTCTTTAAGAGATGAGGATGGGAGGTGTGGGAAGGGGTCTCGCCATGTTGCCCAGGCTGGTCTTGAACTCCTGGCCTCAAGTGATCATCCCACCTCAGCCTCCCAAGTCACTGAGATTAGAGGTGTGAACCATTGCATCTGGCTGGGTTTGCTGACTTTTGATTGAACAAATCATTTTCATCATTCATGATCTTAAAAGCACAAATAAAACTTTTTTTCTAAGTTCAATTTGGCTGTCAATGAAGTGTATGTAATTTTTCTAAAATTCTTTATTATTATTATGAGACTGGGTCTCAGTCTGTCGCCCCAGGCTGGAGTGAAGTGGTGCGACCTCGGCTCACTGCAGCTTCAACTTCCCTGGCTACAGAGATCCTCCCACCTTAGCCTCCCAGGTAGTTGGGACCACAGGCGTGCACCACCATGCTTCTGTATTTTTGGTAGAGACAGGGTTTTGCCATGTTGCCCAGGCTGGTCTTGAACTCCGGAGCTCAAGTGACCCACCCGCCTCGGCCTCCCAAAGTGCTGAGATTATAGGTGTGAAGCACCACTCCAGGGCAATTTTTCTAAAATTCAATGAAGAGTCAATTTTGTTTGTAGATATGACGAAAAAGTATATGTGTGTGCGTGTGTGTTTATGTGTGTGTGTGTGTGTGTGTGTGTGTGTGTACTTTCAAAGCCACTCCAAAGAGAGCAGATTTATGTAAAAGTGTTTGCTTTTAATGGGCCTTGAGCGTTTGTCAACTGAACTCAAGTACATAGCTAAGCATCAGGTCTCAAAATCATTACATTCCTTTTGTGGATGTTGGAAATTTTCCTTAAAAACTTTTTCTCCTTTTGAGCTGAAAAGTCCAAATATCACCAAATAGGATAAGGTGAACTGAACTGAAACTCTGACATTCTTATAAAGAAATGTAGACAAATGTCTTTAGGCAGACAGATGTCTTTAGGCAGGCAAATGTGAGAACGATTCTCACCATGAAGGCGTGTAGAATTATGCATGCTTTCTTGCACATCAGAAAAAGCACGCGATGTGAATTTACATGTAAAACACCGTACTTGATGTTAATTTAAATAAACATTGAACTGTCTTTAATAGTCTGTACTCGTCCATTTATTTGTGGCTCTGTTGTGGTAGTCATTAAACATTTAATAGCATCAACCACTCATACCACAATCAGCTTTTCATATCTGTCTTGTTTCCTTTTCTTTCTACTTGCTGTTTATTCCATCACAAATGCCAGTTTCAACTCTGAGCTATATGAAAATTGTTACTTTTGGCATATTTACTCCATCAGACTGTTATCAATGTCTTTTTTTTTTTTTTTTTTTTTTTGAGACAGGATCTTGCTCTGTTACCCAGGCTGGAGTGCAGTGACACTATCACGGCTCACTGCAGCCTCAACCCTGGAGGCTCAAGCAATCCTCCCGCCTCAGCCCCCAACAGCAGCTGGGACCACAGGTGCATGCCACCACACCTGGCTAATTTTTTTGAATTTTAGTAGAGATGAGGTCTCACTATATGTTGTCCAAGGCTGGTCTTGGACTCCTGAGCTCAAGCAATCCTCCCACCTCAGCCTCCCAAAGGCATAAGCCACTGCGCCCAGGTCAGTTGTTCTTTTTGAAATAGACGTGTTCTGCCAAATTTAATTGTGAATTGAAAATTGAATCACTGTGAAGCAAACCCTGTTTTACTTTCCATTTTCACCTTGTTCTCACAGTTAACAACTGACTAGTTGACTTTTACGGAGAAAGCATTTAAAATGGAGTGTGATGAGTTAGGAGGTTAGCCATGGATAGGTCCATGGGAGGGCAATGTGCTACTCACTTGGGCAAGAGCTTCTCCTGGGAGTTTATCACAATACTGGCTTCCTATTTTAACAGACCAGGATGGAAATGCTCCCTTAAGTTTCAATAGGAGAAAATTGTCAGGACATCCTATTTTTCAACACAAATCGCGTATTTGCCTCTCTCAGTCCTTATCTGTTGTCTTCCTCTTCCCTTTCTTTTCCTCCCTGCGTCCTGACTTCTGTCCCAGGTTAGTCCCAAACACATCAGAATCCAAGAGGAAGGACATTGCTCACCATTCTCCGACTAATGATTCCCTCCTTGACTCATCCACTGTGTTGAGAATGCTCCAGCCGGGCGCGGTGGCTCATGCCTGTAATCCCAGCACTTTGGGAGGCCAAGGTGGGTGGATCACCTGAGATCAGGAGTTCAAGACCAGCCTGGCTAACATGGTGAAACCCTACCTCTACTAAAAATACCAAAGTTAGCCAGGGGTGGTGGCACGCATCTGTAATCCCAGCTACTCAAGAGCTGAGGCAGGAGAATCGCTTCAACCTGGGAGGCGGAGGTTGCAGTGAGCCAAGATCACACCACTCTATTGCCACAGCCTGGGCAACAGAGCAAGACTCCATCCAAAAAAAAAAAAAAAAGAGAGAGAATGCTCCATGGCTTAGTTGGATGCTAATCAATTTTACTGCATCTATTTTGAACCAAGTCCTCCATAAATTCAAATATGGCCTGGGAGTTTTCTTTGCTTTTCAGGATAAGATACAAGCTCTAGGGTCTTGGCACTCAAAGTAGGAGCCATAGGTCAGCAGCAGCCATGTCTCCTTGGAGAATGTAAGAAATGCAGAGTCTTGGGCCCCACCCCCAGAAACCCTGAATCAGGATTTGCCTTTCCACAAGATCTGCACGCGAATGCACAGTAAAGTTGAACTAGTACCATTCTCAGGCCTGATGCCACTTCACATGTCTCCCTATTTAAAAAAATGTACAATTTGGTCTGGGTGAGGTGACTCAGGCCTGTAATTTCGGCACTCTGGGAGGCCAAGGTGAAAGGATGGCTTGAGACCAGGAATTCGAGACCAGCCTGGGCAACATAGCAAGACCTCATTTCTACAACATTTTTTTTTTAATTAGCCAGACATGATGGTGTATGCCTGTGGTCCCAGCTACTCAGGAGGCTGAGGCGGGAGGACTGCACCACCATGCCTGGCTAGTTTTTGTATTTTCAGTAGAGAAGGGGTTTCTTCATGTTGGCCAAGCTGGTCCTGAACTCCTGACCTCAGGCAATCTGCCCACCTTGGCCTCCCAAAGTGCTGGGATCACAGGCATGAGCCACCGCACCTGGCCTGTGTTCTTCATTAAGGTCTGGTGACACTACCTTATTTATTGGACACAGAATCTATACCATTGCTCAATCAACTTGCGTATGTTACTCATAAACTCCTGTTGAATTGCACTTAAATGAAAGGCAAAGATGCTGTTGGTCATCTGGTGGACCCAAAAGAGGGCTGTGGCTGGAGCAGCTGAAATCCTTTCTCAGGAAGAGCAGCTATCTGAGCACAGAGTTTAAGGCACATTGTGTGTCTATAAGGACTCTAGGAGTGAGCACAAAAGCAGGGTGAGGCAAGGAAGGAAGAAAGCAAATTAAGAGCAGTGCCATTCATGAACTGGCCACAAGATTCCCAAGAAACCCAGCTGGTTACACAGGAACATATGAAACCACTCCTCAGAAACCTCCCTAGGAAGGAAGGGTGAGCAATACATCTGCCAGTGACTTCCTGCTTCCTCTCTCATTGGAATAAGTTTGTCTGCCCCACTAAGTGTTAATCCTCCTCCATTTCTCGGTTGTTGCCCAGCCTTTCAAGCAGCTGCTAGATAAGCCAGAGCCTCAGGTGGTAGACTTACAGGAACTGCAGCCTATGGCCCTTTGCCTGTTTTGTAAATAAAGTTTTATTGGCACACAGCCATACCCATGGACTTATGTATTGGCTGGTCTTCCTCTCTCTCTCTCTCTCTCTCTCTCTCTCTCTCTTTTTCTTTCTTTCTTTCTCCTGTTCTTGCTCTGTCGCCCAGGCTGGAGTGTAGTGAACTCCTGACCTCAGGTGATCTGCCCGCCTCAGCCTCCCAAAGTGCTAGGATTACAGGTGTGAGCCACTGAGCCCGGCTTTTTTTTTTTTTTTTTTTTTTTTTTTTTTGACTGGGGGAGGTGGGGGACAGGGTCTCCCTATGTTGCCCCAGGCTGGTCTTGAACTCCTGGGCTCAAACAATGCTCCCACCTTGGCCTCCCAAAGTACTGGGATTACAGACATAAGCCACTGCACCTGGCCATGTTTTGTCTATATCAATTTAAGTATCAGTAAAACCCACTTGGAAGGCTCATTCTGAATATTAAATGAGATAATGAATGTAATATTCAAAGCATAGTGCCTGCCTACACTCCATAAATTATTTTATTATTTAAATCTTATTTATTAGGCTGGGCGCAGTGACTCACGCCTGCAATCCCCGCACTTTGGGAGGCTGAGGCGGGCGGATCACCTGAGGTCAGGAGTTCGAGACCAGCCTGGACAACTTGGCAAAACGCCGTCTGTACTCTAAATACAAAAAATAGCCAGGTGTGGTGGCAGGCGCCTGTAATCCCAGCTACTTGGGAGCCTGAGGCAGGAGAATCACTTGAACCCGGGAGGCAGAGGTTGCAGTGAGCTGAGATCGCACCACTGCACTCCAGCCTGGATGATATAGTGAGACTCCATGTCAATAAATAAATAAACAAATCTTATTTATTATTTAAATTCAAATTATTGTGAATGGCAGTCTCCTTACTTAGGCTGTTTCTGCCATCCATCTGCCCCTAGCCACCTCCTCTACTGGATTCTAAGGGATATCTGAGTCTCACCATAAACCCCATTCTTTTGGTTGAGACATCTCGATGTCAGGGGACTCACCATGAAAAATAAACTGCCTGGGAGAGAAACTCAGGAACCGTCTTCCAGCAGTTGATCAAGTGCATCTGATCAAGTGGGAATGGTGGGTAAATGGTGGATTGTGGAATGAGAGAAAGCCAAGATGATGGAGCATTTCCAGGGAACAGATGCCCCAGGCAGCCCAAACTGTGAAAATGGAGAGCGAATTCAGGTGCTAAACTGGGAAGGAGGGAAAAACGGAGGAAGGGTTCATGCAAAAACAGATGTACCTTCATGTACTCAAAGACCGATTGTTTCTGCACACATACCTCAAAGTTCATATTCAGCACCGCCATCCCTGTATCTCCCATATCTACGAAACTTCCAGATGTTTCTGCCTCCCAAGTGTGTGCGTGTGTATTTGCTTCACTTTTCTCAGATTTGTAGTTGTACTGTTTCATGAAAAGTTTTGTCAGGCCAGGCATGATGGCTCATGCCTGTAATCCCAGCACTTTGAGAGGCCAAAGCGGGTGGATCACTTGAGGCCAGGAGTTCAAGACCAGCCTGGCCAACATGACGAAACCTATCTCTACTAAAAAGACAAAAAATTAGCTGAGTGTGATGGCATGTGCCTGTGGTCCCAGCTGCTCAGGAGGCTGAGGCATGAGAATCACTTGAACCCAGGAGGCAGAGATTGCAGTGAGCTGAGATCACGCCACTGCACTCCAGCCTGGGCAATGGAGCAAGACTCTGTCTCAAAGGAAAAAAAAAAAAAAAGTTTGTCATCTCAGTTCACCCAAGCTGGAGTTTGGTGGTGCAATCACAGCTCACTGCAACCTCAAACTCCTGGGCTCAAGTGATCCTCCCACCTCATCCTCCCCAGTAGCTGCAACTACAGGTGCGCAGCAGCACGCTCTGCTAATTTGAGATGTGTCGTCTTCCTCTAGGGACAGCAGGACTGGCCTTCCCTTGGGACCCCACAGAAGGCAGGCAGGAGGCTCCACTGCCAGACAGGAAGCAGAGCCTTATTTAACAACAATGAGCTGCAAACTCCACCACTTCAAAAGATGCTGCTCCTAGAGGAAGACGCTAGAGATGGGCTCTCACTATGTTGCCCAGGATGGTCTCAAACTCTTGGGCTCAAGTAATCCTCCTGCCTCAGCCTCCTTAAGTGCTGAGATTACAGGTGTGAGCCACTGGGCCCAGCCTCTCATACCAATTTCTAGTTCCCTCTCACTTTGATGACAGGGTTTTAAATTTAGTCTTACACTCATGCTTCTGCACCTTTACTCTGAGGCTCATCTTTACCATTGTCATCTGTGCCATGGCCCTAGGAATCTGCATTCATATCCATTTTCTCACTGATGAGATTCTGACTACTGAGCTTGAGTAGTGGGCACCAGAGTCAGCCAGAGCCCCCTGGAGAGTACTCCCAGGTTATCACGTAGGAAGCAGAGAGGCGGAGTGTGTTTTCTGGGGCATGAAACAGTGACTCAAATGCAGGGACCCCTTTGCCTGGCCCACTGGCCCTCAACCTTCAGGCAAATGTACAGACACTCTTCATTTTTATCTTTTAAAGCACTTTCCATTACACTAACCTCCAGAAGCAACTCTGCTTACCAAGGCAGAAGGAAAGAGAGCCACTGTCCAAATTAGATATTAGAATTCAAGCTTTTAAACATTAATGCTTGGGGAGTAGTTCTATGGTGCTTCTGACTGTTTTTACAATGGAGTGTGTAATCCAGCAGAGCTGTTAAGCTTTCTGAAGATGTCAGTCTGTTCTGACTTCTAGGAAGGCAGCTGTGGAGTGAACAGGCTGCGTTTATAGACGTGCCAGATCTGGACTCTTTTGAAGTGGTGGAGTTTGCACCTCATTGTTGTTAAATAAGGCTCCGCTTCCTGTCTGGCAGTGGAGCCTCCCGCCTGCCTTCTGTGGGGTCCCAAGGGAAGGCCAGTCCTGCTATCCCTAGAGGAAGACGGCACAGATCATGCCTTCCTTAAAACCGCAAAGCTGGTGGGGAGAACAAGTGAGGAAAGTCCATGAACACAATGGGGACACCTGCACCTTGGTTGCTTGAAAAAAACCCAGAGAGGGGCCCATTTTACCAGGAGAGAGGAGGAAGGGTGTCTCTTGTGTGGTCACAAAGAGCCAATGAGGTTTGTTGAAGATGATAAATATGATGGAGCTGGATTTTTTTTTCTTTTCTTTTTTTAAAATAAAGGCCATAATCTAGAAGGAGCACTTCTATTTTCAGCCTTGAAGAACTTAAAAAAAAAAATCTTAGTATGCTTACTGTAATCATTAACACAATATTACTTGGAAACTTACATGTATAGAATAAAGCAAGATTTTCAATGTATGAGAAAACATAGAAAAATTAACGCAGTTAAGAAAAATCCAAATAAATAGAACTGAAAGTTAAGGTGCAAAATGTGTCTGTGTGTACTTATGCTGAGTACTTTTCCCTTTATTTTTTTAATGTTTTTAAATTTTAAACTTAATTCTGTGTGTGTGTGTGTGTGTGTGTGTGTGTGTGTGTGTGTGTGTGAGAGAGAGAGATAGGGTCTCACTCCATTGCTCAGGCTGGAGTGCAGTGGTGTAATCTCTGCTCACTGCAACCTCCACTTGCCGGGCTCAAGTGATCCTCCCACCTCAGCCTCCCCAGAAGCTAGGGCTACAAGCACGCCCCACCACATCCAGCTAATTTTTGTTTTGTTTCGTTTTTTGATACAAGGTCTGGCTCTATCGCTCAGGCTGGAGTGCAGTGGCACTATCTTGGCTCACTGCAAACTCCACCTCCTGGGCTCAAGCGATCCTCCCACCTCAGCCTGCCGAGTAGCTTGGATCACAGGCCTGGGCCACCACACCGGGCTAATGTTTGTATTTTTAATAGAGGTGGGGTTTCGCCATGTTGCCCACGCTGGTCTCCAACTCTTGAGCTCAAGCGATCTGCCTGCCTCGGCCTCCCAAGGTGCTGGGATTACAGGTGTGAGCTACTGCTCTTTCTTTAACATTGATCTGTTTGTTTCATTCATTAATTGTAAACGAAAATCCTGCCTCTGTGGGATTATATCCATGAATGAGAGAGGCCATAAAAAAAAGCACTAATTGGACAACCATCTCTACTTAGGAAAAAAGCAGTTACAGGGATCAGTCACAGTTTATGAACATGTTCTGGCGCCTTAAAGGCATCAAAATCAGGATGTCAGAGTCCCAAATAGGAAAGATCTAGTCCACGAGGCCTGTTTCTCTAGAAGACCAGTAAAGATGGCAGGTTTGGCGCTCTAGGTGGCAGAGAAACCACCAGGAAGGCTTGGTGAATGGGGAGAAAGGTAACCTTCCCAACCTTTCTGCTTCTCCTTCCACTTCCCTCCTCCTCCTCCCTCTTCCTCTCCTCTCAGCCCTCCCTCTCTCTGTCCTCCTCCTCCGCCCGCCCAAGCATCACCTCGTGAGGCCTCGTGGCGTTAGCCCAGTGCTCTCGGCCCCCACCGAGCCTGGCTCTACTGCAGGCGCTGGGGGTTGGGGTGGGGGAGAGGCCCAGGGCACATGATGCCGCCCCCAGCCCGCCCAGCACATGACCCAGGCAGGCCGGCGGGGTCCTGGCACACCCGAGCCGCGTCCGCGAACACAGCCCATGGCCTCCCCGCGCCTAGGGACCTTCTGCTGCCCCACGCGGGACGCAGCCACGCAGCTCGTGCTGAGCTTCCAGCCGCGGGCCTTCCACGCGCTCTGCCTGGGCAGCGGCGGGCTCCGCTTGGCGCTGGGCCTTCTGCAGCTGCTGCCCGGCCGCCGGCCCGCGGGCCCCGGGTCCCCCGCGACGTCCCCGCCGGCCTCGGTCCGCATCCTGCGCGCTGCCGCTGCCTGCGACCTTCTCGGCTGCCTGGGTAAGGGCGCGCGCGGCCCGCGGGTTGGAATCTGATCAGCGCCTGGGTGAGGGCGCGTGGCCCGCAGGTTGAGACCCGACTGGTGCCCGGATAAGGGCGCACGGCCTGTGGATTTGGACCTGTTCCGTGATGGAGTGAGGACGAGAGGCCCGCGGGTTGGAACCTGCCCGGTGCAGGGCTGAGGGCGCGTAGCTGGCTGGTTGGGACCTGCTCGGTCCCCGGCTGAGGGCTTGAGGCCCGCGGGTTGGGACCTGCTCAGTGCTGGGGTGAGGGCGTGAGGCCCTGGGGTTGGGACCTGCTCAATCCCCGGGTGAGAGTGCGTGGCCCGCAGGTTGAGACCGGATCGATGCCCGGGTGAGGGCGCATGGCCCGCAGGTTGGAACTCGATCCACTCGGGTTGGAACTTGATCGGTGCCCGGGTGATGGCGCACGGCTAGCGGGTTGGGCTGGCCGTCTTAACACTTGAACCACAGAGAAAAGAGAAAGCGGAGGCTGTTCCCTAGGGACCGGATGGGACAACTAGGTAATTTTTTTTTTTTTTTTTGAGACGGAGTCTTGCTCTGTCGCCCAGACTGAAGTGCAGTGGCGCAATCTCGGCTCACTGCAACCTCCACCTCCCGGGTTCAAGGGATTCTCTTGCCTCAGCCTCCCGAGTAGCTGGGGGAGGCGCGCGCCACCATGCCCGACTAATTTTTGTATTTTTAGTAGAGACGGAGTTTCACCATGTTGGCCAGGCTGCTCTCGAACTCCTGACCTCAGGTAATCCACCCGCCTCGGCCTCCCAAAGTGCTGGGATTACAGGCGTAAGCCACCGCGCCCGGCCGACTAGGTAGTTTTGCAAACACATGGTCGGTAAAATTCCCATCCAAGGGACGTTGGGTTTTAAAAAATCCGTTTATTGTGTTTGTTATATGGAAACTTCAGATGGCGCAGTTAAGCAAAACCCAGACCAGAAAAGATTTCCTCATTTTTGCCCAACTGCACCAGGGAGAGACTAACAATTAACTTCTCTCTGTCTCGCTCTGTGTGTGTGTGTGTGTGTGTGTGTGTGTGTGTGTGTGTGCGCGTGTGTAAATTCTTTTCTATTGTGCACTATATATTCTCTCGAGTATTTTGTAAGCTGAAATCCCTTCCCTATCCAGGCTTTTTGGGTATGGTTTTTACACCACAGGTGCGCAAACTGCAGCCCTCAGACCAAATCCTGCCCGTTTTCTAGGGTCCACGAGCTAAGAATGGTTTTACATCCTACTTTTTAAAAAATTAATGATTTTGTTTTTTGAGACAGGGTCTCACCCTCTTGCCCAGGTTGAGTGCAGTGTCACAATCACAGCTCACTGCAGCCTCGACCTCCTGGGTTCAAGCGATCCTCCCACCTCAGCTACCCGAGTAGCTGGGACTACAGCCACACGCCACCATGCTAGGGTAAATATATGTGGGGTCTCACTATGTTGCCCAGGCTGGTCTCCAACTCCTGGGCTTAATTAAAAGATCACCACCCTTGGCATCGTAAAGTGTTAGGATTACAGGCGTGAGCCACCTCACCCAGCCCTAAAATGTTTTTAAAAATCAAAATTAAAAAATATTTCCTGGCATGTGACTATTACTGAAATTTAAATGTTAATGTCTACAAATAAAGTTTGATGGGAACGCAGCTATGTTGTTCATGTGCATTTGTGAATTATTCATGGCTGCCTTTACCCTACAAGGGCAGGGTGAATATTGGACTGAGAAAGTATGGCTCCCAAAGCCAAAAATATTAAGAATGAGTTTGCCAACATCTGCTTTAAACTATTATGTGACACTTTATACAGACCTCTCAGCTAGATTTGGCCATTCTGTTTAGCTTTTTGGAACATTTCCACCATGCGTAAATGCAGTCTATAATAGAAACACTTACAGTGAATCCCTGTACGTGGGATTCGTGAGGTACGGGTACCCGGCTCATCTGCTCCCCTCTTCACCCTCCTCACTGGATTAATGTGAAGCCAATCTCAGGCTCCATCATCCTGCCCATTCAGATCTCAGAGAGAGCCCTAAAACATAATAATTCTAAACATTTGCAACCCCAATATCATTATCACTTTATTTTTGAGACAGGGTCTCACTCTGTTGCCCAGGTTGGAGTGTGCTGGCATGATCATAGCTCACTGCAGCCTCGAACTTCTAGGCTCAAGGGATCCTCCTACCTCAGCCTCCTGAGCAGCTGGAACTACAGGCATGCATCACCACACTGGCTAATTTTTGCATTATTTTTTCAGAGCTGGAGTCTCACCATCTTGCCCAGGCTGGTCAAACTTCTAGGCTCAAGCGATCCTCCTACTTCGGCCTCCTAAAGGTGCGGTGGCTCACGCCTGTAATCCTAACTACTCAGGAGGCTGTGGTGGACGGATTGCTTGAACCCAGGAGTTCAAGACTAGCCTGGGCAACGTAACGAGACCCAGGCTCTACCCCCAAGAAAAAAAAAACAACAAAAAAAAGGCCCGTCATGGTGGGATGCACATGTGGTCCCAGCTACTCACCAGGCTGAGGCAGGAGGACCATTTGAGCCCAGGAATTCCAGGCTAGAGTGAGCTACGATCCAGCCTGGGTGACAGCCAAGACCCTGTCTCTAAAAAAGTAAGGTGTACCCAAACATCTTTTGAGGGTTAGTGAATAATACTTGCATATCCTTTAGCCTTTAGAAGGGAAGTGGATGAGGTTGCGAGCAAATAAGCAGAAGTCAGGAAAAGGCTGGGTGATCGGGACCCCTTACTGAAAAATAAGAAATTTCAATGCCCATGGGATAGGGCTTTTATTAAGCTCAAAGGAGTGATAAATGCTGAAAATTCTAAGGCACCGTACAGAAGAAAGGCATTGTTTTTGTTGGCAGTGGCTTGATAATGAGAAGATGTCTTGAGCTTTTTAGTGTTCACAGTTGTCGTTTAGTAGTGTATTACATAGTGTGTGTTTAGTGGTATATTACATGGTATGTGTTTAGTAGTATATTACGTAGCATTTGTTTAGTGGTGTATCGCATGGTGTGTGTTGCATATTATATGGTGTGATTTTAGTAGTGTATTGCACAGTGTGTGTTTAGTGGTGTATGGCATGTTTACCAGTGAGCACTACTACATAGTATGTAGCTTGGTGTTGTTTACAGTTCTCCCCTTTATATTACCTAGCATACTTTTTTTTTTCTCAGATGGAGTCTCACTCTGTCGCCCAGGCTGGAGTGCAGTGGTACAGTCTTGGCTCACTGCAACCTCCACCTCCCAGGTTCAAGCGATTCTTGTGCCTCAGCCTCCTGAGCAGCTGGGATTATAGGTGCCCACCACCGTGCCTGGCTAATTTTTGTATTTTTAGTAGAGATGTGGTTTCCCCATGTTGGCTAGGCTGGTCTTAAACTCCTGACCTCAGGTGATCCACCCACCTCAGCCTCCCAAAGTGCTGGGATTACAGGCGTGAGCCACCATGCCAGGCTCTTTACTTTTCTTTTCTTTTTGACACAGGGTCTCACTCTGTCGCCCAGGCTGGAGTACAGTGGTGCGATCTCGACTCACTGCAACCTCCGCCTTCCGGGCTCAAGCGATTCTCCCACCTCAGCCTCCTGAGTAGCTGGGACCACAGGCGCGTGCCACCACCTCCAGCTAATTATTGTATTTTTGTAGAGATGGGGTTTTGCCAGGCTGGTGTCATCTCCTGGGCTCAAGTGATCCGCCGGCCTTGGCCTCCCAAAGTGCTGGGATTACAGGCGTGAGCACCGCGCTCAGACCCTAGTGTACTTTTAAACAACGGATATTGCATTACCTAACAAAGAACCATAATATGTACCATGAGTGTGCATACTGTTTTGAGGATATTAGACATTTGGGTCTAATAGCAAGAGAAACTCACAAAGAATAAATGTTAAAGGCAAATTATTGAGAATTAATTTGTGAAAATTTTAAATGTTGTGTTTAAAAAAGAATGAAGGAACTATATATTCAAACTTCTAAATTGTGCTTTTTGAAAAATTCTTTTTTATGTGAGGAATAACTAATATGGCCACTGAAAATGCAGCCGAGAAATCCAGATTGCTAGTCACATATTGCAAGTAAACCAACAGACAAACAAAATAGGGATGAGACTGTGGCCAACTATGGTTTGCGTTAAAGTGCCTGCGTTTGTTTTGCTACCATAAGTTATTTTCTGAGTTTCAGGCCAGGCGCGGTGGCTCACGCCTGTCATCCCACTTTGGGAGACCAAGGCGGACAGATCACTTGAGGTCAGGAGTTTGAGACCAGCCTGGCCAACATGGTGATACCCCGTCTCTACTAAAAATACAAAAATTAGCTGGGCGTGGTTGTGGGTGCCTGTAATCCCAGCCACTCGGGAGGCTGAGGCAGGAGAATTACTTAAACCTGGGAGGCGGAATTTGCAGTGAGCAGGGTTTTTACCACTGTACTGCAGCCTGGGTGACAGAGCCAGACTCCGTCTCAAAAAAAAAGATAAATAAAAAATAAAAATAAAAAAAAGTTATTTTATGAGTTTCAATCTTCTTTTTCTCTCTCTGCACACACAAATATGTATGTTTTTTCTTCCTTTCTTCCTTTTCCCTCCTTGTCTTTTTCCCTCCCTCTCTCCCTCCCTCCTTTCCTTCCTTCCTTCTTCCTTCCTCTCTTCCTATCTCTATCTATTATGTATCTATCATTTTTCCAAAGCAAGAAGTCAGCTTTATATTTGATTAGGATCAGATACAAAGTATTATCCAATTCTCTCTTAGGTATGGTGATCCGGTCCACCGTGTGGTTAGGATTCCCAAATTTTGTTGACAGCGTCTCGGATATGAACCACACGGAAATTTGGCCTGCTGCTTTCTGCGTGGGGAGTGCGGTGAGTCCACCCCCTCTGCATGCCCTCTCCTCCCTACTTATGCTCCTCAAATCGCAGCAGCAGCAAACCCTGGGAGTCTGTTAGAAATGCAGGTTCTCACGTCCTGCCCCATCCTGCTGATCAGGAACCCAGCCCTCTCTGTTTTAACAAAACCCTCCAGGGGATGCTGCCCAGACACTCAAGTGTTGTTTCTCCCACCTCTTCACAAATGCATCCTCCGCTTACATGGGGCCACGAGCAAAACCAGCTGGCACAGAAAAAGTTATCAATCCATTGGATGCATTTTGTATAAATATATACATAAATATATTAAATAAAACATACAAGCCGGGCACGGCAGCCCACACCTGTAATCCCAGCACTTTGGGAGGCCAAGGCAGGTGGATCACTTGAGGCCAGGAGTTCCAGACCACCCTGGTCAACAGGGTGAAACCCCGTCTCTACTAAAAATACAAAAATTAGCTCGGCGTGGTGGTGTGTGCCCATGGTCCTAGCTACTCAGGTGGCTAAGACAGGAGAATTGCTTCAACCCGGGAGGCGGAGGTTGCAGTGAGCCAAGATCGCGCCACTGCACTCCAGCCTGGGTGACAGAGTGAAACTCCATCTTCAAAGAAAAAAAATAAAACCACATAATTATATATAAACAAATTATTGAAAAAGTAAATAGATATCATATATACACAGACACACATACACATGTATGTTATGCTCCATCCGTCACGGTGGTGCTCAGGTGAGTGATTTGAAGCACATTCCCTGATGCTGTGTTGATTGCCCTGTGCTGGAGCAGAATTGCCAGTTTCCTTGCTTCCCTGTCCTCAGTGGCTTCCTAACTGCATCTATGGAGGCTCTGTCTCAGCCCGCAGTGGCGAGACATCTTGACCTTGTGTCGTTTCTAACACTGGAGTCCCCTTACTCCATCTTCTCTTTGGAAGGACTGCCTGAGTCCCTCCTCCCCGTACTCATTCTTCCTCAGAACAAGAGCTTCTATCTAGTTCAAAGCCCCCTTGAGCCTGCACCTCAGTTTAAATGACATATCTTGGAACTTCATCCTCCCTGCATACAAGTGGAGCAGAAGGCATAGTTCCTTAGTCAAATCTGAATGCCTACACCTATCCCAGGCCACACCCTCCTTGGTCCCAGGAACTGTGCCCACTTGTGTCCCGAGAGCTGTCACGTGCGGCTTCCTGACGTCAGAGGAAGCCAGTGTCTACCCTGCCGTCTCAAGGATGGGCTGGGCTTCTTGTACCTGTTTCCAGACATTTTGATGCAGGCTCTTCCCGATTGCAGATGTGGATCCAGCTGTTGTACAGTGCCTGCTTCTGGTGGCTGTTTTGCTATGCAGTGGATGCTTATCTGGTGATCCGGAGATCGGCAGGACTGAGGTATTCACCGAGGAAATGGGATTTCTGCCCTAGTTCTATTTTAGAGGGAAGATAAGAGATGGCACTGAGCGTTTAAAAGTATTTTGCAGTGTTGCAGACACCGTCATTCAGAATCTGTCAGCTGGCCCCTCCGCCTAGAAACATCCACAGCAGCTCATTTTTATAAGAGGCCAAAGGCACATTTAAAATATTAGCCAGGCACAGTGGCTTGTGCCTGTAATCCCAGCTACTTGGGAGGTAGGAGGATTGCATGAGGCCAGGAGTTTGAGACCAGCCTGTGAAACTTAGTGAGAGTCCATCTCCAAAATAATAAAAGAAAATCTTGAGGATTTTAAAAACCTTGAAAGCAAGTAATTCAATAAATGAAATATTTGGAACTGGACAAATACTAAAACAGAATGGGCATGTACATAAACAATTTTATTGTTTATTTTTTACTTTTTAGAGGCAGGGTCTCGCTTTGACACCCAGGCTGGAGTGCAGTGGTGAGAGTATGGTTCACTGCAGCCTCAACCTCCCAGGCTCAAGCGATTCTTCCACCTCGGCCTCCTCAGTCTGTAGCTGGGACTACAGACATGTGCCACCAAACCTGGCTAATTTTATTATTTTTGTAGAGATGGGGTCTTGCTATGCAGCCCAGGCTGGTCTCAAACTCCTGGCTTCAAGTGATCCTCCTGCCTCGGCCTCCCAAAGTGCTGGGATTACAGGCATAAGCCACTGCATAAACAATTTTTTATTATATTTAAAGGTTCAAAGGATGTATATATTGACACTTCATGCTAAATCTGGAACCTGAGAATGCCGGGGCTGGAGGTGGCTGCTTGGCAGGGAGTTACTCAGTGGCTAGTATCTGGGGCACTGGTGTGTTTGAACTGATGCCCAGTCACTCGTGAGCTGTGTAACTGTTGGCGAGTTGTTTAACTTCTCTGGACTTCTGTTTTCTCAGCTGTGAAATGGTACCCACCACACAAGGTCACTGTGAAGAGTAAATGTGATAACCCCTGTATATGGTTAAGAACAGTCCTGAAACGTTGCCAGCTCTTGATACCTATCAGCTGTTACAGTAGGTGGGCTGCACATGTGTTGAGGAAACATCCACATAGAAAGCTGAACTGACACAGAGAAGCTGGATGTGGCATGGCAGGGCTCCAAATCCAGGAAGCATTTGCCCCCACCAAGTTCATGGTCCACTTGATTCAGGTCCCCTTTGAAGGGAGCCCCTCCTTGCCTGTTTTTTGTTCTGGTTTTTGTTTAAATACAGCTTTGTAGGCCAGGCACAGTGGCTTACACCTGTAATCCCAGAACTTTGGGATGCTGAAGCAGGAGGACTGCTTGAGCCCAGGAGTTTTGAGACCAGCCTGGGCAATACAGTGAGACCCATCTCTACAAAAAATAAAAAAAAGATAGCCAGGCATGGTGGGGTGCAACGGTGGTCCCAGCTACTCGGGAGGCTGAGGTGGGAGGATGGCTTCAGCCCAGGAGGTCAAAGCACATGATCGTGTCACTGTACTCCAGCCTGGGCGACAGAGTGAGACCCTATCTCAAAAAACAATAGAAACAAACAACAACAACAACAAAAAACCCAGCTTTATAAAGGTCACCTGTTTAAAGCCTAAAATCCAGTGGTTTTTCGTGTATTCACAGAATTGCATAACCATCACCGTTATCGATGTTACACCATTTTAATCATCCCCTCTACATCTCTGTGGTGGTTATTAGTCACTCCTCACTGCCCCCTCCCCACAGCCCCCAGCAACCACTTATCTACTTTCTGTCTCTGTGGAGCTGCATGTTCTGGACATTTCATAGCAATGGAATCATACAGTACGTGACCTTTCGTGTTTGGGTTTTTAACTCAGTGTAACATTTTCACGGTTTATCCGTGTTGTCACATGTCTGTGCTTCATTCCTGTTATGGTCTGAATGTTTCTGTCCCTCCAAAAATTCCTGTATTGAAATTCTAACCCCTAAGGTGATGGTATTAGGAGGCAGGGCCTTTGGGAAGTTATTAGGTCATAAGTGGGATCAGTGCCCTTGTAAAAGGGGCCCCAGAGAGTTCCCTCACCCCTTCTACCATGTGGGGACACAGCAAGAAGGTGCTATCTATGAACCAGGAAGCAGGGCCTCACCAGACATCACATCTGCTATACCTTGATCTTGGACTCCCAGCCTCCAGAGCTGTGAGCAATAATTGTTTATAAGCCACCTAGTGTGTGATATTTTGTTATAGCAGCCTACATGGACTAAAACAACCCCTTTTCATTGCTAAATAATATTCCAGTGTAAGGCTATACTACATTTTGTTTATCCATTTATCAGTTGATGGACATTTTGTGTGCTTCCATTGTTTTGACTACTTCCATTGTTTGGCTACTAGGAATAATGCTGCAACTGACATTTGTCTGCAAGTGTTTGTGTGGACATATGTTTTCATCACATATTCCTGAGTATATATCTAGGTGTGTAATTGCTGAGCCATGTGGTAACTCTAGGTATAACCAGGTAAGAAACTGTTAAACTGCTTTCCAAGGTGAGTGTACCATTTTACATTCTAGCAGTAATGTGAGGGTTGCAGTTTATCCACATCCTTGTCAATACTTGTTATTATCTGTTTTAATTTTAGCCATCCTAGCATGTGTGAATTGGTAGCTCCTCATGGTTTTGATTTCACTGATGAGTAATGATGCTAAGCATCTTTTCATGTGCTGATTGGTCATGTATATATCTTCTTAGAGAAATATCTATTCACCTCTTTTGCACATTATTTCATTGGGCTATTTGGTTTTTTATTATTGAGTTGTAGGAGTTCTTTATATATTCTAGATACAAGTAGCATATTACATACGTGATTCACAAATAGTTTCTCCCATTCTGTGGTTTGTCTTTACACCTACTTGATGATATCTTTCAAAGCACAGAAGTTTTTCATTCTGATGAAGTCCAATTTTTCTATTTCTTTCCTTGATTTCTTATTCTTTTGTTGTCATATCTAAGAAATCATTGCCTAACCCAAGGTCACAAAGATTTAGACCTATGTTTTCTTATGGTTTGAATGCTTAAATTTAGGTCCACTTAGAATTTTTGTGCACAGGTGACTAATGGGTCCATCTTCATTATTTTGCATGTGGATATCCAGTTGTCCCAGCACCATTTATTGAATAAATTTACTTTTAAAGCCAATATCAGTAAATAGAGATCATATGTAGGCTATAGAATATATTGGGTAATCCCAGTAGATCCCCGCTCTAAAATCATTGACATTCCTTATGTAGATCACATCATCAACTTTGGTCTCTCTGGCCTGAAGTTTAGTGCTTACTTCATTTTTATGCTTGTTCCTTCCATCTTTTTACCTTAGCTCCCAAACTCTTACACATCTGAACCAAACTGAGATATGCCTGGTTGTGAAAATTCTCCAGGGAAGATAGTCAAGGTCAGAGCCAGCCAATTAGGTGTATCAGTGAAGATTCATTTTGGCTACATAAAATATATATAATAATAATGACTTAAACAAGGTAGAGATTTCTCTTTCATGCTAAAGATGTCCAGAGGTAGGCAATCCAGGACACTTGTGATGGACATCAGGGACCCAGGTTCCTTTGATTTTCCTGCGTCACTATCCTATCGTGTGACTTCCATCCTCAAAGTGTCATGGCCCAATATAGCTGCTGGTGCTCCAGTCATCACACCTACATTCTGGGCATCAGGAAGTGGGAAGAGAGCAATGCAATGCAATAGAGGCCTGTGTTCCCCTGAGCCAGCTTTAAGTAGTGTCTTGGGAGTTTCATACAATGCCAGTTACATATTATCGGTCAGAAGTTAGTTTTTTTTTTTTTTTTTTAGATGGAGTTTCACTCTTAGTTTCTTTTTTCTTTTCTTTTTTTTGAGATGGAGTTTCACTCTTAGGGTGAAAAAGATAGAGTTTCACTCTTTTTGCCCAGGCCAGAGTGCAATGGCACGATCTTGGCTCACTGCAACCTGCACCGCCTGGGTTCAAGCGATTCTCCTGCCTCAGTTTCCCACGTAGCTGGGATTACAGGTGCCTGCCACCATGACCAGCTAATTTTTGTATTTTTAGTAGAGATGGGGTTTCGCCATGTTGGTCAGGCTGGTCTCGAACTCCTGACCTCAGGTGATCCACCCGCCTCGGCATCCCAAAGTGTTGGGATTACAGGCTTGAGCCACCATGCCTGGCCAGAACTTAGTTTCATGCCACACTTAGCTGCTAAAGGAGGTAGGAAATAGACTCTGTGAGCCGAGCATGCAGCTGCCCTCATGACATCCAGGTTATGTTACTGAGGGAAAAAGGAAATATGGCTTTGAGTAGGTAATCAGCAGTGTGATACAGCCATGGCCCTGCAGCTCTCATGATTGGCATGTCTCTGAGCATCCCTCAGTGTTGGAGAGGTCGGAGGTCTGACACAACTGTAGGTCTTATAGATGCCAGTTATGGGTAGAAGAAGCGTCTCAGAGTGCTGGAAGGAAGCTGGGAGAAAAGTAATGCCCTCTGCTGCCATAGAGGATATATTACTTCACCTCCACCCACGGTGGGGATGTGGGGGAAAAGGGATGGGGTCCCACAGGGCAATCTGAGAACTGTCTGGACCCAGAGGACAGACAGGGCCCTGAGAAGCTGGGACAGGCAATCATGAAGCCCTCCTTACCCCAAGGATAGTATTTGGGAGTTCATTTGGAGCTCAGTGATCAGAAGGCAGGATGTTGGGACCAAGGGTCTTCAGCCAGTGGGGGGCGCAGGCTTCTCCTGATCTGCTGTGGATTGGGGTTCAGACTTCTGCCCCGGTGTGGGTTTCAGAGGCCCAGCCCGAAGTCAGGGTCTGGAATGCAGAGATTCTGCACTCTCAAACACCCAGCCCTTTGCAGAAAGCCTCTCCGTTAGTTATCTGAGTCTCATACAGAGCTTCTGGTTCCTGGCCCACATTGCTGAGACATACCCCCAACCCTCACCCGCTCCCAGCCCAGCCAGGCTAGGGAAGAGCCATGCCAGGAACCAGTCACAGTGTGGGAGGCAAAACATGCTGGAAGTGTTTCTTTTCCTCCCGAAGCTCTTTGGGCTTGTTTCTTTCCTCTTGTCTCATTGTAGAAGGGTGTCCTTTCTCACTCAGATCCCTTTGTCTACACAGCTGATCTTCCAAGTTGAAGTCCCGATGGGGTGGGGGTTGTGATATTTGCCAGGAATCTGGTAGGGTTTTGAGTGACAGCCATGCATCCCATGGAGCTCCAGCCCCCTACCCCACCTCGTCCCATCAGACAGGAGAGGCAAACCCAAGACTGGATGGCACCAGTCAGCTCTGCAGAGCTTCCATCTTCAGTCTTCCTGCGGCATCTGGAAGGCTGCGGCCTCAACTCCTGGGGGAAACGGGGTGGGGTGTATGGAAGTACAAAGATGAAAGCTAGAGACTGTGCAAGAATGCCAGCTGTGCAGGGAATGGGGAGGCGAAAGGCAAGTCCCCCGCTCTCCTCTCGGGAAGCATGTAGTAGCTGCTGTTTCTGCAGAGACAGCCTTCCCAGGTGGGACTGAGCATTCAGACTTGGCTATTAGGTGTGGAGGTGACTCTGGAAGGGCTTGGGGATAGGAGCTCCTTGCTTATCGGGTGAGCCAGGTATTCAGGAGGCATAAGGCCTCTCTCGCTGGGGGGCTGTGAGGGCCCACACAGCTGAGAAGGAACCCCACGTTCATGTCCTTCTGTTGGGAAACCTCAGGTTCAGGTTTGCTGCAGATCCACCTGGATTCGCTTCCATGCCAGAGGATCAGGTAGGAAAAAGCAAACCAGACAAGCCCAAGCACAGCTCCTCCTCCCTTTCTGACATCTCCATAAAAAACTTTGCAGTCACAGCCATTGGCTGATTTCTTCTCTAAGCTATCCCCTCATCTTTTATAACTGGGTTTTTTTTTTTTTTTTCAGATTCTGTTTTTTTCAATTATTTTTATTTTTATTTATTTATTTATTTTTTTGAGACGGAGTCTTGCTCTGTCGCCCAGGCTGGAGTGCAGTGGTGTGATCTCGGCTCACTGCAACCTCCACCTCCCAGGTTCCAGGAACTCTCCTGCCTCAGTCTCCTGAGTAGCTGGGACTACAGGCACCTGCCACCACACCCAGCTAATTTTTGTATTTTTAGTAGAGATGGGGTTTCACCATGTTGGCCTGGCTGGTCCTGATCCACCCGCCTTGGCCTCCCAACGTGCTGGGATTATAGGCATGAGCCACTGCGCCCGGCCTTTTTCAAGTTTTAAGGTTTATCTTGTTGCAAATTTTTTTTTGAATAGATGAAAAGAGCCCTTCAGTAGGTTATCAGACTTACACTTAAACTGACATGGTCCTGTGGCCCACAGAGGCTTCTGTGACCCAGTCCTCAACACACGGCGCTCCCTCTGTCGTCTCTCACCCTCCCCACTCCAGCCACGCCCAGCTCCCAGCTTCTAGAAGGCGCCTGTATTCCTTTTTTTTTCTTTCTTTCTTATTTTTAATAGCTGCATCTCACTCTGTCATCTAGGCTGGAGGGCAGTGGCATGATCACAGCTCACTGCAACCTTCAACTCCTGGGCTCAAGCAATCCTCCCGCCTCAGCCTCCTGAGTAGCTGGGGCTACAGGTGTGCACCTCCAGGCCAGGCTGCAGCTCACATTCTTTGACTTGTGGCCTTTTCCTCCATCTTCAAAGCCAGCAATGGTGGGTTACGTCCTTCTCAAATTCCCTCCTCTCTGGTTCTCTGCAGCTGATAGTCTCTGCTTTTCTGGATTCTGGCAGTTACATTGGCCCAACCCAGATAACCCAGGATGACTTCCTTATCTCAAACATCCTTAACTTCATCACACCTGCAGAGTCTCTTTTGCCATATAAGGGAACATATTCACAGGTTCCAGAAATTAGGACAGGGACATCTTTAGGGAAATGTATTTGGGCTATCACAAGTGTTTATCCACTCTAACTTATAAACATAGTCTCTGCCAGGCATGTTGGCTCATGCCTGTAATCCTAGCACTTTGGGAGGCTGAGATGGGAGGATTGCTTGAGCCCGGGAGTTTGAGACAAGCCTGGGCAACATAGCAAGACTCCATCTCTACTAAAAATAAAAATAAAAAAGTTAGCTGGGTGTGGTGGTGAGTGCTTGTAGTCCTAGCTACTTGGGAGCCTGAGGCAGGCTTGAGCTCAGGAGTTTGAAGTTACTGTGAGCTATCATTGTGCCATTGCATGCCAGTATGGGTGACAGAGGGAAACCCCATCTCTTAAAACAACAACCACCACAAACATAGTCTCATCTTTTAGATTAATCACAGCTACGAGCCTGACTTCATGTAAAATCTTCTCCATCCAGCTATGGCCTCTGGGGCTGGCCCCCAGCAGGGGCACAGGCTGGAACATTACACTGATTCTTCTATGTCATCCTCTCAAGATGGTCACTCCCATGCAGGCAGGGATTCTGTTTTTTGTGCCTAGAACAGGCATGATCTTTGCTCAATAAACATTCAGCCAATGTACACTGAGTGAGACATACTGCGCTGATACAACTCTGTGATTCTTTTAGTTGAGACGTAACTTAAATACTGTAATATTTGCCCTTTAAACGTGTGCAGTTCAGTGGCTTTTAGTGCCATCTGCAAGGTTATACATCAGTTAGCCTCACTATTACTAGTTCCAGAACATTTCTACCATCCCAAAAAGAAACCCTGTACCCATTAGCAGCCACCCCCATGTCTGCACAATCACACAATATGTGCACCCTTTGTGTCTGGCTTTTCACTCAGCATTGTTGCTGAGGTTCACCCATGGAGTAGCATGCATTAGTACTTCATTCCTTTCAACTCGATATTACCTTCGCACGTGCTGACAGCCATCTTGTAGGTTAAGGGTGTGGGAAGTGTTTCCTATCACTGGCCCCTCTTCTGTAGAGAATGTGCACCGGAAGGGAAATCCCAGAGTAACAGCGCTGATGGTCCAGTACATGTCTCCACCTCCCTGAGCACAGGATGCTGGTAAATCCCATTGCTGGGGCCGCCTGATTGTCCTCAAAGTGAAGACAGCTGGGCATCCAGGGCAAGCCCAGCCTTGTAGGAAAGTGGAGGTGGGCGGGGACGGCCAGCCTGCCCTGGAGGGCAGCGTAAGTAGCAGAAAGCAGCCAGGCCTGACGTCCACCTGGCCCCTTAGCGTAGTGGCACAGGAAGGCCGCAGAGGGTTTCCGTGTTCACCCAGCTGAGAGGAGCAACTCACGGCTCTGAGAAGTGGGTCTGGCCGAGGTGATGCAGCTAGTTAATGTGCCAGCTGTTTGCATTCGGTTCAAACCTGTTGAGCCTCAGAGCATCCTCCTGGGATGAGGCTGTAAGAGGAGTAAGTGGGGAGGCTGGGAGGAGCACCTGGCGAGTGCTGTGCCCGTGAGGTGCAGTCTTAGTCCGTCCAGGCTGCTATAACAAACATCACAGACTGGCGGCAGCTTATAAATAGCAGAAATGTATGGCCGGGCACGGCGGCTCATGCCTGCAATCCCAGTACTTTGGGAGGCCAAGGCAGGTGGATGACTTGAGGTCAGGAGTTTAAGACCAGCCTGGCCAACATGGTGAAATGCTGCCTCTACTAAAAATACAAAAATTAGCCAGGTTGGTGGTGGGCGCCTGTAATCCCAACTACTCGGGAGGCTGAGGCAGGAGAATTGCTTGAACCCGGGAGGTGGAGGTTGCAGTGAGCCGAGATTGCACCACTGCACTCCAGCCTGGGTGACAGAGCAAGTCTCCATCTTGAAAAAAAAAATGCCATCTGACCCAGCAACTCCACTCCCACGTATACACCCCAAAGAACTGAAAACAGGAACCCAGCCAGGTGCAGTGGCTCATGCCTGTAATCCCAGCACTTTGGGAGGCCAAGGTGAGGGGATCACTGAGGCCAGGAGTTTGAAACCAGCCTGGGCAACATAGTAAGACCCATCTCTACAAAAAAAAAAAAAATTAGCTGGGCATGGTGGTGCATGCCTGTGGTCCCAGCTACTTGGGAGGCTTAGGTGGGAGGGTTGCTTACGCCTAGGAATTGGAGGCTGCAGTGAACTATGATTGCATCACTGGACTCCAGCCTGGGCCACAGAGTGAGACTCTATCTCAAAACAAAACAGGAACTCAAACAAATACTGGTACATAACACATGTTCATAGCAGCCCTACTCACAGTAGACAAACAGTGGAAACAACCTAAATGTCCATTGATGGGTGAATCTTGGCCCATGTATACAATGGAATGGTATTCAGTCAGAAAAAGGGAAGAAAGGGCCGCCGCTATGGCTCACGCCTGTAATCCCAGCACTTTGGGAGGCCGAGGCAGGGGGATCACTTGAACTGAGGAGTTCAAGAGCAGCCTGGCAACATGGCATAACCTCATCTCCACAAAAAAATACAAAGAAATAGCTGGGCATGATGGCGTGTGCCTGTGGTCCCAGCTACTCAGGAGGCTGAGGTGGGAGGATTGCTTGAGCTCAGGAGACAGTTGCAGTGAGCCGAGATTGCACCACTGCACTGCAGTCTGAATGACAGTGCAAGACCCTGACCCCTAACCCCTACAAAAAGAGGAAAGAAAGGGCACAGTGGCTCATGCCTATAATCCCAGCAATTTGGGAGGCCAAGGTGGGAGGATTGCTTGAGATCACGAGTTCAAGACCAGCTTGGGCAACATAGCAAGATACTGCCTCAACAGAATATTAAAAGAAACAAGGGAATGAAGAAACTGATCCATGCTACAACGTCAGTGAACCTGGAAAGCATTATGCTGAGTGAAGGAAGCCAGGTGCAGAAGGCCACGTAGCATATATTTCCATTTACATGAAATATCCAGAACATGCAAATCCACAGAGACAGAAACTAGATTAGTGGTTGCTAGGGGCTGGGGGATGGGCAAAGGGGAGTGACCATTTATATTAGCCTCTTCTCACACTGCTATGAAGAACTGCCTGAGACTAATTGATAAAGGAAAGAGGTTTAATTGACTCACAGTTCAGCGTGGCTGGGGAGGTCTCAGGAAACTTACAATCGTGGCAGAAGGCCAAGGGGAAGCAGGACACCTTCTTCACAAGGCAGCCGAGCGATTGGGGGCCGGAGGGGGTTGGGGGGGGAGGGAAATCCCCTTATAAAACCATCAGCTCTCGTGAGAACTCACTCACTATCACGAGAACAGCATGGGGGAAACCGCCCCCATGATTCAATTACCTCCACCTGGTCATTTCCGTCCTCCAACCACCTAACCAATTGATTTCCATCCAACAGTGATTAGTTCAACTTGTTCTATCCCTTGGGATTTTGGAGATTACAATTCAAGATGAGATTCAGGTGGAGACACAAAGCCTAACCATATCACCAATTAATGGATATGGGGTCTCCTTTTGGAATGATGAAAACATTTTGGAAGGAGACGCTGGTGATGGCTGCAGAGCATTGTGAATGTACTAAATGCCACTTTGTTGTTCACTTTAAAATAGTTAATTTTATGTGATGTGAATTTCACCTCAATGGAAAACAACCAACCAACCTCAGCAGCACGAGGAAACTCTTTGCCGAGGGGCTTTCCTCTGTGTACATTTTCCTGACCTTTCCAGAGCGCAGGAGCTGGCCTGGCAGTTCCAGGCAGGCCTCTGTGCCCCACTGAGCTGTGGCTGCTGTTGTGCTTGTCCCCTAGCACCATCCTGCTGTATCACATCATGGCGTGGGGCCTGGCCACCCTGCTCTGTGTGGAGGGAGCCGCCATGCTCTACTACCCTTCCGTGTCCAGGTAAGTTGGGACTCCAGCGCCCCAGGCAGCCCCATCCTTGGCTCATAATGTGTTGTCTTGCAGGGAATACATGAGCCCCGACCCACAGAGTGGGTGCCTTGGAGGTTAGGCCGTTGTCTCAGGGCCACATGAGGCCATGCTCACGGCCCAGCCCCAGAGGGCTGACTACAATAGCTTGGAGAATGACCCTGGAATCATTCTCCCTGGCTCTGCCTTTCTCGTTTGTGTGCATAGGCACCCATGCACACAAGCATGTAGGCAAAGCTTTCCGCATATTTCCCTCCACGTAAGGTGTATTCCCAGCCCCTGTATTGGTACAGTTTTCTCATGCCCACTCTTAAGTATTTGGTCTTCAAGCTTCCTCTGGATGAGCAGGTGAGCTTAACATTCTAGGAATGAGTGTAGGATAATGTGGAAGAGGCCATAAGGATCCCTGGGCAGAGCTTATTCTCTAGCTTTGCTTCCTACGCTTTCTCACTTCTCTTCTATCCTCCACACAGAGGGAGATGTGGCCGCTGGAACTGTCTCAAGCATTTCCTCAAGTTTACATTCCTGTCCATGCAACCCTCAGTTGCAAAGCCAAGGTCTTTCCAAGGATATATACTCTAACTTCCAATGGAAAACTGGAAAATGGAAGTGGACAGTGTCTTTGTCTGTGATTTTTATACCAGGGATCAACACAGTGTAGCCCTCAGGACAAATCCGGCGTTCTTCCGTTTTTGTAAATAAAGTTTTATTGGAATATAGTCACACTCATTTCTTTATGTACTGTCTGACTGCTTTTGCATGACAACATCAGAGTTGAGTAGTTGCCTCAGAGACCACAGTGTGGCCCATGAAGCTGAAAATATTTACTATCTGTTCTTTTACAGAAAAAAAATCGACAGAAAAAAATTGGTGTAGATAATTTATCTCCCTCTTCTCTTGCTTCTTGCGGCTACTCAGTGAGGATGTCTCCAAATTGGTGTTGCCTTGTCAACCATGAATACAAGCAGGGAGCTCTGTATAGATCCATCCATACATTCTGCTTTTCTGGGGAACTTTAAAAGGACAGATGCACTGTCAGCAGCTGTTATAACGGAATGCACTTAGTTGGAAAGGGAGTTTCTGTGACTCTCCCTCGCCTGTGGGACCCCGGAGACTCCTGGCAAAGTTGCATCTGAGCCTTAGGGTGCCATTGCTGCAGGGCGCACAGGGAGCCTTGAGGTGCTCCCAGGGTCTTTAGGAGCTGTACCTTTTAAGCATCTTATCCTTAATCATCTCTTCATTTTCACAACGCCTGACCCAGGGCGCTCGGTGTTCTTCATGCTCACAGTCTCACTCTCTTATTTGTCATTTCCTTTCTGTCTTTGCATCGGAGTCACTTCTCTTTCTCCTCTTGTTTCTCTTTCTCCTTTCAAGCCTTTCCAGATTGAATTTTAGCCTCTACAGCTAAAGATAAAACCGCCTGTTAAAAGAAAGTGGCAGCGTTGAGAGGTGGTATAGTAATTCTTCCTATGGCAAGAGGAGACGGGTATTGCATTTTTCCCACCTGATTTTTTTTTTTTTTTTTTTTTTTTTTTTTACATTTTCTGCCACTTTCCCCTCTGGTTTGACAACTCCGTCAATATTAAGGGTGTTTAATTTATTTTTTGTCATTCCCCCTTCCGTGGCCATGAGGCTGTTTGGTTAGCCCCTTTTCCACCTCCCTCTTTGGTTGAGCTGGAGCAGACCTCCCTCCCCTTTGCCTTCAGTTTCCTCTTCCTCTGTGCCATTTTGCTTCTCTCCTACATTAAGCATTTCGCAGCTGAGAGTTGTTACCTTGGTAACATATGTTTGTGAGGCCCTCCAGCACATTCTGTGGTGACCAGTGACTCCTATGACCCCTCAGTAGAAATCTTTGTCCTTTTCTCTGACAAGAACCTCTGAAACTATTGTTATCCATAACCATGAGAACACATTTCCTCTGAAATATGCAGCTGGCATATTTTGAGTTGTTCAAGCCCAGGGACAAGATTTTATTCATGTTATTGCCCAAAACCATGTAGTAAGTACTCAAAACCTCACTATTTAATGGAGTGCCTTTGTCTCTACTTGAATTGCGTTTTTTCCTTGAGACCCAGTGCAGGGAATCCCCCATCCCAGGGTGTTTTTCTTTCCGATCTTTTCCCAGCAGGAACCTTTAAAAGCTTCCTCCAGTGGAATGCCTTAGGGGTCCTCCCATTTCTGAGACAGAAACATGGTTGATCTCCCTTACTCTCCTGCAATTTATGGCTTGTTCCAGACATGAGAAATGACTCACATTTCCTTTGGGCAGTCAGCAGCAGATTTATGCATTTCCCTTTTTGTTCTCATCCTCTTATCTTGACTTCCAGATAAGTAGATGTCTTTTAGCCAAAACTTTGCTTTTGAGAAGAATGACTTTGGTTTTCCTCTCTCAGGTGTGAGCGGGGCCTGGACCACGCCATCCCCCACTATGTCACCATGTACCTGCCCCTGCTGCTGGTTCTCGTGGCGAACCCCATCCTGTTCCAAAAGACAGTGACTGCAGGTAAATACTAGGGAAGCTCTCTGGGTACACGGCCACTGGGAGCGGCCCCATGCCTCGGGCTCAGACAGTGACACATGTTGTCCTGGAATTCTCCAGGACAGTTGACCTCATTTGTCATCCTCCAGAGACATCAGCAGAACACAGCTGCAGAAAGTAAGCAGGTTCAATAAATGAAAATGTGCAGGCCTCTGCCCGCACAAGTTCTGTACCATCGTTTGTTAGCTCAGTGCCAGGACTAGTTGACTTTTCACTTCTGTACTGGGCTTCTCCTGGGTCGGCTGCAGGAGTGCCCTTGGACGACTGTGGAGGTGTGAGAGGAACAGAAGGAGAAGAGAAGGGAGGGGGAAGGGACTGAGTCTGTACTGAGGCGGCTCCAGCCCCATAATGCACTTGGCTGATGTTTTTTCTCAGATGGGCAGGAAACAGGAAGTGGAGCACAGGAAATGAGTCAAGGTCAATGGTTAGAAAAGGATAAGAGTAATGAAGTCGTTGGCAACATGTCTGGGAAAGACTTCTAGGCTGGGGCTGGAGACCTGCAGTCCAGCCCCTACTTTCCCCTCAAGGAAGTGTGTCCTGGAGTGAGCCTCCCACCTCCTCAGGCTGCCAGAGATCTCTCAAGGGGAGAATGGGAATAAGGAAATTTGCCTTAACTGAGAGGTCCTTTGAAGATCACCTGTTGATTGTTGAACTTTTTAAAAACATTGTTGAGAGTACTCTATCATTGGTAATAGGAAATTATTGTGATTCTTCGGACCATTCTCTTCATATCTACACTTTTTGTTTTCATTGAGACGGAGTCTCGCTCTGTCACCCCAGGCTGGAGTGCAGTGGCGTGATCTCGGCTCACTGCAACCTCTGCTGCCCATGTTCAAGTGATTCTCCTGCCTCAGCCTCCTGAGTAGCTGGGACTACAGGCAAGCGCCACCACGCCCGGCTACTTTTTTTTGTATTTTTAGTAGAGACGGGGTTTCACTATGTTGGCCAGGCTGGTCTTAAACTCCTGACCTCGGGTGATCCACCCACCTTGGCCTCCCAAAGTGCCGGGATTACAGGCGTGAGCCACCACGCCTGGCGCATATCTACATTTAAATATAGTGTGTTAAATATAGCATTTTAAGACAAAATCTCATCAAAAATAGTGATTTGAGCTGATGGAAATGACTTATAGAAAAAAGACTGAAAAGAAATACACTAAGATGTTAACAGTGGTTACCTCTGGGTGGACGGACCATGGGTCATTCATACTTCTCTAAACTTTTAAATATTTTCTAACTTGTCTATAAGAAGAAATTAAATTTTTTTCAATATTTTAACAAGCGTGCACTATTTTTATTTTTTTGAGATGGGGTTTCGCTCTTTTGCCCAGGCTGGAGTGAATTGACGTGATCTCGGCTCACTGAAACCTCCGCCTCCCAGGTTCAAGCGATTCTCCTGCCTCAGCCTCCCGAGTAGCTGGGATTATAGGCATCTGCCACCACAGCCAGCTAATTTTTGCATTTTTAGTAGAGATGGGGTTTCACCATGTTGGCCAGGCTGGCCTCGAACTCCTGACCTCAGGTGATCCACCTGCCTCAGCCTCCCAAAGTGCTAAGATTACAGTTGTGAGCCACTGCACCTCTATTTTTATAACAGAGAAAATGAGCTTTTAAAAATATAGTTTCTGAACTAGGAGCATTCAAATAAAATTGGGAATTTATTTATTTAGTTATTTTGAGACGGAGTCTTGCTCTGTCACCCAGGCTGGAGTGCAGTGATCTTGCCTCACTGCAATCTCTGCCTCCTGAGTCCAAGGGATTCTCGTGCACCAGCCTCCCGGATAGCTGGGATTACAGACGTGCACCACCATGCCTGGATAATTTTTGTATTTTTAGTAAAGACAGAGTTTCACCATGTTGGCCAGGCTGGTCTCGAACTCCTGACCTCAAATGATCCACCCACCTTGGCCTCCCAAGTGCTGAGATTACAGGTGTGAGCCACTGCACCCAGCCAAAATTGGGAGTTAACATAGTAATGTACCTGTGTTAATTTCATAGTTGTGAAGAACATCCCCATGGTTGCATAAGATGCTTACATTGAGGGGAATCTGGGTAAAGGGTAGGGATATACAGGGACTCTCTGTGCTATCTTTTATCTTTGCAACTTTTATGTAAATCTAAAATTATTTCAAAGCAGAAGTTTAAAAATATGTATATTCCTTAGGGTCTATGAGGACTCCAACCTGGAAGTTGTGAGGAATGAATGTCAGTGACTTGCTTTGCTTCCTGCCCCTCTGGCCTTGCTTGTGGGCTCACACCTGCTTCCATTGCCTTCTCTGTCACTCCGTAAACATGAATAATGAACACCATACATAGTTCCTTCTGTTCTTCACAGTGGCCTCTTTACTTAAAGGAAGACAAGGCATTTACACGGAGAACGAGAGGAGGATGGGAGCCGTGATCAAGATCCGATTTTTCAAAATCATGCTGGTTTTAATTATTTGGTAACCTTTCTTCTATATATGTGTATTTTTATTGCCAGTGGGAAGGGCTATGGAAACAACTTGCCATGTTGCATGCGTGACCAGAAGTTCCAAAGGGAAGAGCCTTTGGGAAGGAAATCTTTGAGACTGTGCTAGGTGCCCTTTGAGGAAAGGCACAGAGGACAGGGGAGCAAGTCCAAAATTCATGAATTTCTGGAAAAACATTCAAATCTACTCAAATTATATATAAAGCCCTTAGAAAACGAACACCCAAGTTTAGTTTTGAAATGTCCCAACCATGTGCATTGCTGGGGTTAACCAAAACAAAGGGGTTGCGTATGCTTTTTTTTTTTTTTTTTTTTTTTTTGAGACAGGGTCTTTCTCTGTCACCCAGGCTGGAGTGCTGGAGTGCAGTGGCTCAATCACAGCTCACTGCAACCTTGATCTTTAGGGCTCAAGTGATCTTCTCACCTCAGCCTCCCAAGTAGTCTTACTCTGTCACCCAGGCTGGAGTGCAATGGCACGATCTCAGCTCGCTGCAACCTCCGCCTCTCAGGTTCAAGTGATTCTTCTGCCTCAGCCTCCCGAGTAGCTGGGATTACAGGTGTGTGCCACCACACTCAGCTCATTTTTGTATTTTTAGTAGAGTTGAGGTTTCACCATGTTGGCCAGGCTGGTCTCAAACTCCTGACCTCAAGTGATCCACCCGTCTAGGCCTCCCAAAGTACTGGGATTACAGGCGTGAGCCACCACACTCAGCTGGTCATGCTTTATAAACTCACCCATTTGCCTCACTCCTGACACCAGAATTCCTGTGCCTGACAGAGGGGCAAGGGCACGTCTTTGGTCAAGAAGGTTGGAGAACGGCCTGAGCAGTTTGTCTCTCCTCATTTTTCCCCACCACTGGTATCCTGTCCAAACCTTTCAGGTGGATACTTTGAAAACAGACCTGTAACCAATGCAAAAAATAAAACTGGAATCAGAACATGCTGCACTGTGGTGAATCAGTACCTTGCAGGCAGGGCAAGTACTTATGATGTTAAAAATTCACCTGCGCGGGTCGTGGTAGCTCACACTTTGGTAGTTGGAGGCAGGAGTATTCCTTGAGGTCAGGAGTTCAAAACCATCCTGGGCGATACAACAACAACAATTAGCCAGGAATGGTGGCACATGCCTATAGTCCCAGCTACTCGGGAGGCTGAGGCAGGAGGATCACTTGAGCCTAGGAGTTCGAGGCTACAGTGAGCTATGATCATGCCACTGCTCTCCAGCCTGTGTGACAGAGCGAGACCTTGTCTCTAAAACATAATAGTAATAATAATTCACCTGATATGAGCTTTGTTTGGACACCTTTCTTGGAGATACATAAATCATCTCCTACTAAAAATACACTCAGTTCAACATTTCATATTTCACTGAGCCACCTAAAATAACATTGAAAAATACTATTATAAAATGGCAAGAAAAAATTGTTTTGATCTCCATGAAAACTGTACGTTGCTCTTCAAACAAAAAATGAATTCTGGGTTATTTGATACAGTGCTAGAACCTTACACCCTGATGTGGTGTTGAGTGGTACCATTGGAAGGATTTGCTGATCTGTGCTTTAGACTGAGAAAACGAATTATGTTTTTTAAATTAAATTCTTAGTGTGCTGGTTCCTCTTAGTCTCATTTCTTTTCTTTTTCTTTCTGAGACAGGGTCTCACTTTGTCCCCCAGGCTGGAGTGCAGTGGCACATTCATAGCTCACTGCAGGCTCGATTTCCTGGGCTCAAGCGATCCTCCCACCCCAGCCTCCCAATTAGCTGGGACTACAGGTGCACACCACCACACCTGGTTAATTTTTTTATTTTTTATTTTTAGTAGAGACAAATTTCACTGTGTTGCCCAGGCTGGTCTCAGACTCCTGGGCTCAAGCAATCCTCCTGCCTCAGCCTCCCAAAGTGCTGGGATTACAGGAGGGAGCCATTGCACCTGGCCCTCTTAGTTTCTTACTGCAGAAGTGGCCATGTCTATACCGGGAGTTGGTACTTTTAGGTCTTGGTAGAAATTCTTCTCTGACTCTCCAGCATTTAAAAACGAGTTTCATTGCATGTTCTCTTTACCTGCTGCCATTTTCTTTCTAACAGTTGGTTGTCGAATATCATCAATGAAAGCCTTTTATTCTATCTTGAGATGCAAACAGATATCAATGGAGGTTCTTTGAAACCTGTCAGAACTGCAGCCAAGACCACATGGTTTATTATGGTAGGTCAATCTATATTTTATTTTAATTAGTTAATTATTTAATTAATTTGCTTCAGAGACAAGGTCTCACTCTGTCACCCAGGCTGGAAAGCGGTGGCATGATCATAGCTCACTGCAGCCTTAAACTCCTGGGCTCAAGCAATCCTCTGTCTTGGCCTCCTGAGTAACTGGGACTACAGGTGTATGCCTCCACCCTGGGCAATGTAGGGAGACCCCATCTCTTTTTTTAATTATCTATATTTAACACTTTCTGCTTGAAAAAAAATCAGAAGAAAAAGAAGCAGTCAGAAGTACAATATATTATATTTAAATACAGGATGAGCAAAATAGGCTCCTGGCCTTAGTGTGCTAGCTGGCTGTTTTGTTTGTTGTCGGGATCCTTATTAAATGCTTCAACTCTGGTCAAACAGTTTGGTGCAGTGTATCAAAGCTCCTGGCAGTCTCACAATATCAGAGCATGGATCTTGAAGGAATGCTTCAGACCATGAAAAAGCCACACAGATGAAGATATTCCTGGTAGCATTATCCTTCATAATTGTAAAGCATTATAGGCAACCTGGAGTTCCAAAAAAAAAAAAAAAAAAGAAAGAAAGAAATGTTTAAGTAAATTATGGTCTTTCATCTTGATGGACTATTACTCAGATGTTAAAAATGATGATTATGAAATCTCTGGTATTAACTGGGAAATCAAATATATACAATTATACCAATTACAAGTACAGAAAAACATGTTTATCTTTTTTCAACGGGGAAACAATGAAAAAACACAAGAAATGAAACAGAAAAAAAATTCATGTATTGGATGGACATACATGAAGAGAATGATGGGGTAGAAGCCCCATGGGCAAGTTGCCCCAGTGCTGCCATTCTCTCACCTTTATAAGAAGAAATGCACACGTGTTGTTGGCAGGGAGGTGCATATTGTACTATACAGAATCCATATTTATATTGCTTTTGAAATGGGGAAAGTCTCATTTACAAAGACTTTCAAATGGAGCCAGCACCGGTCCTTCCATCCCTGCACGTGGTTTGGAGCTTGGCTGGGTTCCTCTGGTGAACTTTATGTGTCCTTAGCACACAAGAGTGGAGGGATGTTTCCCAGACTCCGTCTGAGCCTCAGGAACCTTTATTACATCAAGTGCTCCCTTGGCAGCACAGGGTGGCAAACTGGGGAGAACAGAGGCCCCCAGGCTGCAGGAGGAGCTGGCTGTTCAGTCCCTGTGCTACAGCGCTCCCTCTCCCCTTCTCCCACTGCTGCCCTCTTCTCCTCCCCCACCCTCTCCTCCCACTTTCTCCTTCTCCTGTCTTCCCTCCTCTCTCTTGTCCTCTGTCCCCTTTCTTCCCTTCTCTACTCCAGCTCCTCCCCGTCCCCTCCTCTCCCCACTCCCCTCTGCTTTCAGGCACCCTTGAAGGTACAGCACCTACTGTGGCCAATCTTCATCTTGCCCCAAACCAACCCACCAACCAGTCAACCAGCCACCAGCCAACCCATGGTCCCTTCCAAGCGAGTCCAGCCCTGTGGGCATCCTGGGGGGAGTGTGTCACTCTGTGACAGCCCAGGGCTCTGACTTCTGCTACGCTGCACTGACTGCCATGTGTCTTTCTGTCCTCTCTCCAGGGAATCCTGAATCCAGCCCAGGGATTTCTCTTGTCTTTGGCCTTCTACGGCTGGACAGGATGCAGCCTGGGTTTTCAGTCTCCCAGGAAGGAGATCCAGTGGGAATCACTGACCACCTCGGCTGCTGAGGGGGCTCACCCATCCCCACTGATGCCCCATGAAAACCCTGCTTCCGGGAAGGTGTCTCAAGTGGGTGGGCAGACTTCTGACGAAGCCCTGAGCATGCTGTCTGAAGGTAATGCCCTGTCTGCCACAGCAGGTAGACTTCGGGGTCCCAGGGCTCCCCTTGGAAAGCCTTAGAGGATTCTTTGTCCCGGGGGCTGTCCTGTGCATGGCGGGGTGTTCAGCAGCACCTCTCATGTGAACTCACTAGCTTCCAGTTGCACCTCCCCAATTGTGACAACCAAAACTCTTTCTAGACATTGACAAATGTCTCCTGGGGAGCCACAGTGGCCCCCAGTTCACAACCAGTGTCTCAGAATAATTAGGCTTGGATCTAAAAATGTGATTTTTTTCCAGATGTTGTCTGAGCTAAATGCACACAAACACAAAACCAAAGACAAACACCACACAATCCCGTGATGGGGTGTACCAAAATAATGTTGAAATTTGGAGTAAGAAAAATAATATGCAGAAAGATGTTTGGAAATGGCTTAAGGAGTTCCGTTTTCTTTTCCATTCCTACTATTCAAATACACTGAAGGGAGGCCAAGGCAGGTGGATCACTTGAGGTCAGGAGTTAGAGACGAGCTTGACCAACATGGTGAAACTCCATCTCTACTAAAAATACAAAAATAGCTGGGTGTGGAGGCTCATGCCTGTAATGCCAGCAGGTTTGGGAGGCCAAGGTGGGCGGATCACCTGAGGTCAGGAATTCGAGACCAGCCTGACCAACATGGTGAAAACCCGTCGCTACGAAAAATACAAAATTAGCCGGCATGGAGGCACACACCTGTAATCACAGCTACTTGGGAGGCTGAGGCAGGAGAATCACTTGTACCTGGGAGGAGGAGGTTGCAGTCAGCTGAGATCGCGCCATTGCACTCCAGCTGGGGCAACAAGAGTGAAGCCCCGTCTAAAAAACAAAACAAAAACAAAAACAAACAAATACATTGAAGGAAGTTTCACTTTCAGGTGACAAGCTTGGTTTACTTTGAAGACCAAAAAATATGGTGATGAACTGATGAATTGATTCCATGATACCGTACTGTCTGGTTGAAATTGGGAGCCATGAAGAGAAAGAGATAGTTCTGGCTGAAGCTAAAAGACACAGAGAGAAGATTTATTTACAGACTTTCCGTCTGGTACAAATAGTTCACGAAGCATGAGGGACCCACCAGCTGGAACTGCTGTTAGTCTGTAGAGTTACTGATACCATCTAGGGAATGAAGCAAAAAATGTTATCTTGAATTATTTGGCTTTGCATTCCCATCCTGCTGTTTTAAAGTGGCTGAGCAGATATTTGACAGTCAAATAAAACACTAGAAATAACAGTAAAAGTCCCCTGCACCCCACCCCAATCACCACCACCAAACAAAATCCATCAGCATTTCCTTACTTCCACTCCCTCCGGCAAGCTGTTGCATAGATCTTCTGCTCAAAGGTTGGATGTTTTCACATAGAGGTTTTAGAAAAAGCAAATACAGATCCAATAGAAAAATAAGCAGGGCAGCCATCCCTGGAGGCTGCTCTCTGTGAGGGCTCCCTGTTTTTGTTTTTTGAGACAGGGTCTCCCTCTGTCATCCAGGCTAGAGTGTAGCGGAAGGAACACGTCTCACTGCAGCCTCCACCTTCTGGGCTCAAGCAATCCTCCCACCTGAGTCTCCTGAGTAGCTGGGACTACAGGTGCACACCACCATGCCTAGTTTATTTTATTTTTTAGTGTTTGGAGACACGAGGTCCCATTATGTTGCCCAGGCTAGTCTCAAGTGGTCCTCCTGCATCGGCCTCCCAAAGTGCTGGGATAATAGGCTTGAGCCACTGCACCTGGTCCCTTGGCTTTTTAAAAAATTTCAGATATAATTAACGTACCATAAAGGTCACCCCTTTAAATGGCACATTTCAGTGGTTGTGCACACGTCACCACTATCTAAGTCAGAACATGTTCATCGTTGCAGAAAGAAACCCTGTGCCCCCAGGGAGTCATTTCCCTTCTCTTCTCCCCAGCCCCTGGCAACCATGAATCTCCTTTCTGTCTCTATGGCTTTGCTGTTCCAGACCTTACATGGAAAGGGCATTGTGTAATATTCGTCCTGTTGTGTCTGGTTTCTTGTACTTCGGATAGTGTTTTCTAGATTCGCCCATGTTGTAGCAGGTGTCAGAACTTCATTCTTTTTATGGATTGATAATATTTCGTTGTATGGATACACCTATTCTTTGTTTTATTTATTTATTTTTGAGACAGGGTCTCACTCTGTTGTCCAGGCTGAAGTGCAGTGGAATGAACATGGCTCACTGCAGCCTTGATCTCCTGGGCTCAAGCTATCTTTCCACCTCAGCCTCCTGAGTAGCTAGGACAACAAGCAGGTGCCAACACACCCTGCTAATTTTCTTTGGTTTTGTGTGTGTGTTTTTAAAATTTATTTTATAGAGCTGGGGTCTCCCTATGTTGCCCAGATTGGTCTTAAACTCTTGTAAATGATCCTCCCACCTTGGCCTCCCAAAGTGCTAGGATTATAGGCCTGAGCCACTGCACCTGGCCCACTCTTATTCTGTTAATAACTACTTATGACTGCCCCAAACTCTACCAGGCTGTGTACTAGGAGCTGAGTGGGGTGGAGATACTGGAGATGTGTAAACCTGGCCCTCAAGGATCTCACAGTCTATTGGAGAAAATTAAAATATTTTAAAAAATCATTCTATTCTAACAATAGAACACTCAATGGAAATACCAATTGGAGAAAACACTGGAGGAAAAGGAAAGAACAAAAGGAAAGCCTTTTGAGAAAAATGAGAAATACAATCGGTATTTTTTTATTGTGGGAAGAATTCCTGTAAAAATGGCAGCTGCCAATTTAGAACTCCAAGTGACATATTATTAGGTAACATCTGTCAGGGTTTTTGAGGATAGAGCTTGAAGCATAGAGTGAGTTTTCAGAATTAACAACAAACATCTGCAAAAGTATAAAGTGGCCTGGCCTGGTAGTATGAACCTGTATCCCCAGCTACTCAGGAGGCTGAGGAAGGAGGATCGTTTGAGGCCAGGAGTTGGAGTCCAGACTGGGCAACATAGTGAGACCCCATCTCTTTAAAAAAAAGTATAAAGTGGCGGTGCTACTGAGGTGGTGGTTAGGGTCATAAGTTTACATCTAGTCACCCTTTGAATATCTTAAAATTGCCCATAACATGCAGTCATCACCATTTTGTATGGTAACCCTATGCAGGAATTTGCATACATTAATCTAAAAAGAATTGAAAAGGCTTTTATTCAGAAATTAATTTGCTGCCTAGGACACCTCACATTTTTTAATATTTCCACATCGGACTTTTGGCTCTCATCACCATTGTATTGTTTGGGGACAATTTTAGGATCCCTTCTAAATCTTTCCTGGTCGGTATGTCTCTGGGGCCACTTGCCTGTCACCCCAGAATGTGCTTCCCTTCTGTCAGTGGCGGGGGAAACGCAGGTGTCATTCCGATTTTCCTACCAGAGCTTTACCAGCTTGCAGGCAGCAGGATCCCTGGGACTATGTAAATCCTCACCTACTCTCCCTGCCATACCTCCCCAGCCCCTCACTAAGTAGAGGTGAATTTGGGTAAGTTAAGTGTGCATCGGATACTACTTCTGTGCGTAAAGTCAAGGAAAACCCCTTACCAGGGCTGCTTTCCTATTGGCTGCACCTGATTACTACGATGGCAGATACAGAAAAAACTTAGCCATGGGCTTCTCCCTATGTAGACAGTGGATATAAAGCTCAACTTGTTCATCATACCCTTCAGACCCTACTGCTTCGGGTTTCACTACAAGACCAATAGGCTGGCATGGAGCTTTATTAAGTATCTGATATGGTGTCTGGAACTTACTAGGTACTTCACACAAGTTAACTGAATTTTGTCTTAAGCAAATATTCAACACCATTTTAGCCGGGATGGGTGAGTGTTCCTGAGAAGTATAATTTGTGAAACTCCCAAGTAAGTAAGGACAATACTGTTTTTTTTTTTAAACCTGTGAAGGGTTAAAGGAACACAGGCAATGCAGGACTAAGTTGGTTTTGGAACACTGGTGAGAGTTCCTGGAGAAGGTGATGTGCGGGCTGGGTCTTAGATGATAGAACAGCATAGGCAAAGAGGAGACAGAAAATCTAGATGAGGAAGACGCGGTGTTGAGAGTTAGCATAGAAAGTCTGCGTCTTGTTTGGGGACGGTTGTGGCTCAGCGTGGTATGGAGGCGTTGGGGGAAGCTGGAGAAGTGGTGAAGGGTTTATAAAGATTCTGCTAGGGCGTTTGGGCTTTATCCGGTGGCCAGCGAAAGGCCAGTTAAGGTTTTTAAGTGGAGAGACACTGCAATTTGCTTGTAGGACCAGCCCAGTGCATGGGCGTGGAAGAAAACACGTAATGCATCGCGTTTTGTGATTGTGGCAGCAGTTTCCATTGAGGGGATCTGTGTCTCCGCTTAGGGAGGCGGAGAGCCGCTGGATGGAGCTCGGTTCCACGCCCCGTCACCATTGTGCCTCCTTGCTGAACACTCTCTGCTCATCAAGTCGAGGTGTTGGGATCTGGGACAATCCTGAAGAGAGTCATTACTAGGGGAGGATTGTGCACCTGAACCGCTTTTGACTCCCTAGATGTGCAGGCACCCAACTCCCGGGCCTGCGCTGGCTCTCAGGAGACCCAGCCCCTTGGTACCTCCCGGTTTCCCTCCAGGGAGCGAGCCAGGGGGGCATGGCCTGGCAGGAGGGGTGGGGACTGGGTGGAGCTTATAGAGCCTGGCCGGGGCTGTGTTTTGGGGTAGGGCCTGGTGAGAGCGAAGGGGCAGAGTCTGGCAGGAGGGATGTGGCTACTAAGAGCAGGGCATTTCTGATGGGAGCAGGAGTATAGATCTTTCCTGGAAGACGAGTGTGCTAGTACACAAACTTGCAAGATTTAAGGATCATCCCGGGGAGAAGCCCAGGCCGGTGAGGCTGAGGCTTAGGGCTTGTTGGGAGTGGAGGGGTCGTGGTTAGGATAGAACAGAGGGGCTGTGTTCCCACACAGGTGGGGTGAGGCCCATTCAGAGCCCAGAAACATGGCCAGAAAGGAGCGTAGCTGTATCTCCCACAATGCCTTTTATCTCCCCCAATTCCATATGACACCCACCCCGCCATTCTTGGTTTGACCATCAATCCTCTCTACTCTCCACAATTCTGTTTCTCCCATAATTCTCTGTCTCTCCCACAATTCCGTGTATCTCCCACAATACCCTGTATTTTCCCCGATTCTGTATTTCTCCCAGAGTTCCATGGCTCTCCCATAATTTGGCATTCTTCCCCACAGTCCCCTGTCTCTCCCACAATTCTTTTTTCTCTCATAATTCCCTATTTCTCTCACAATAACATTCTCCTAACAATTGTTTTCTCCCACAATTCTCCATTCTATTTTTTCTTGAAAATCTGTTTTCTTCTATAATCTATTTTATTCTTCTTCTTTTTTTTTTTTTTTTTGAGACAGAGTTTCGCTGTTGTTGCCCAGACTGGAGTGCAATGGCGCGATCTAAGCTCACCACAACCTCTGCCTCCTGGGTTCAAATGATTCTCCTGCCTCAGCCTCCTGAGTAGCTGGGATTATAGGCACCCACCACTACGCCCAGCTAATTTTTGTATTTTTAGTAGAGACGGAGTTTCACCAGGTTGGCCAGGCTGGTCTGGAACTCCTGACTTTGTGATCTGCCCGCCTCGGCCTCCCAAAGTGTTGGGATTACAGGCGTGAGCCACTGCATCAGGCCTCTTCTATAATCTATTTTCTACCACAATCTGTCTCTCCTACAGTTCTCCATTCTCCACTCTAATTTGTTCTCTCCCACAAGTCTCCATTCTCTACCACAATTCCCTGCCTGTCCCTCAATTCCTCTTCTTTCCCATAATTCTCCATTCTTCCCAATAATCCTTTCTTTTTTTCCACAGTTCTCTTTCTCACACTACCTTGAGTCCCCCACAATCCCAATCTTTCCCACAATTCCTTGTTTCTCCCACAATCCCTTTTTACAATTTTTCATAATGCCGTGAATCTTCCATAATACCTGGAATCTCGCACAAGCCTTGTCTTTCCCACAATTCTGTTACACAGTACCTTGAGTCTCCCACAATCCCCATCTTTCCCACAATTACTATTTTCTCCCACAATATGGCTTCATGGTTTTCCATAAATGCCTTGCATCTCCCATAATACCTGGAATCTCCCACAAGCCTTGTCTTTCCCGCAATTCTGTGTTTCTCCCATAGTACCTTCAGTCTCCCACAACCTCCATCTTTCCCATGATTCCTTTTTTCTCCCACAATACGGCTTCACAATTTTCTATAATGCCTTGCATTTCCCATAATACCTTGCGTCTCCCACAATTCCTTTCGTCTGCCACAATCCTTGCCTTTCTCCAGCAATTTCCTGTTTCTTTCTCCCACAATTTCTTTCTCCCACAATCCCCATCTTTCCCACGATTCCTTTTTTCTCCCACGATAAAGCTTCAGAATTTTCCATAATGCCTTGTGTCTCCCATGATATCTTGAGTCTCCCATAATTCCTTTTGTCTCCCACAATCCTTGTCTTTCTCCAGGAATTTCCTGTTTCTCCCACTGTACCATATTTCTCTAACAATTTCTTCTTTCCCACTCGTCTCTTCTTTCTCTCAGAATTTGCCATTCTTTTTTTTTTTTTTTTTTTTTGAGATGGAGTTTCATTCACTCTGTCGCCAAGGCTGAGTGCAGCGGCACGATCTCGGCTCACTGCAACCTCCACCTCTTGGGCTCAAGTGATTCTTGTGCCTCAGCCTCCGGAGTAGCTGGGACTACAGGTGCACACCACCATGCCTGGCTAATTTTTGTATTTTTAGTAGAGATGGGGTTTCACCATGTTGGCCAGGCTAGTTTCAAACTCCCGACCTCAAGTGATCTGCCCACTTCGGCTTCCCAAAGTGCTGGGATTATAGGTGTGAGTCACCGTGCCCAGCCAATTCTCCATTTTTCTATTTCAGAAATCTTTCTTTTGTAATTGTATTCTCTCTATACCATATTCTCTCTGCCCTGTAATTCCATTTCTCCTACAACTAATTCTGCACCATAATTCCTTTTCTCCCAAGATACAGTATTCTCTCCCGCCATTTCCTGCTTTTCCCACAATTGCAGCTCTTTCCCACAATTCTCTATTCCCACCCATAGTCCTGTATGTTTCTTACCGGTCTGTCTTTCCCACAATGCCTTGTTTTCCCATACTTCTTTGTTTCTCCCACAACTCTGTTCTCCACAGTTCCTGTCCTTCACACAATTCCCTGCTCTCCCAGAATTCCTTATTTCTCCCACAATTTTGGTCATTCCTACAATCCTCTGTTTCCTCCCATAATTCCCTATTCATCTCACAATCTCTGTCTTTCCCATGGTTCTCTGGTCTCTCCCACAGTTCCGTTTCTCTCTTAAGTCCCCATTTATCCAATAATCTTTGTCTTTGCCACAAATTCTCTATTTCTCCTACAATTTTTTATTCTTATCTTTCACAGATCTCTTTTTCTATAATTCTACTCTCTATTAAATTGTCTCACATGCAGTTCTTTTTCAATTTTTCATTTTCTGCCATAATTTCTCTCCCCAAATTCAACATTTTCCTCCACAATTCCTGACCTTTCTCACAATTTCATCACTTTCCCATAACTCTCTAGTCTTTCCCATTAATCCTTTGTGCCTGGCACAGTTCTCTTTTCCACAGTATCTTGCCTTCCACAATTCCTTCCCCCCCCCCCCAATTCCTTATATTGCCCACAATTCCCTATTCTCTCTCACAATTCTCTGTTCTCTGTTCTCTCTCACAAATCTCTGTTCCCTCCTACAATTCCATTTTCTCCCATGATGTTTTGTATTCCTCACACTTCCCTGGCTCTCCCCAAATTCCCTTTCTGTCCCATAGTGCCTCATTCTCACTAAAATTCTTATTTTTTTCTACATTTTTCTGTTCTCTCCCACAATACCCTATCTTTCCCATAATTCTTTTTCTCTTGTAAGTCCCAGTTTTCCACCATTTTTTCCCCATGAGTCTGTCCTTTCCCATAATTCTTGGCTCTCCCTCCAAATTCTGTTCCCTTCCGCACTTTTCCATTATCTTCCATATTTCTCCATCATTCTTGTACATCTCCACTGTTTCTCTTCTAAGATTCTCCTTCCCTTTTTTTTTTTGAGACAGAGTCTTGCTCTGTTGCCCAGGCTGGAGTGCAGTAGCATGATTTCAGCTCACTGCAACCTCTGCCTCCTGGGCTCAAGCGATTCTCCTGCCTCAGGCTCCCTAAGTTCCAGCTACTTTTTTTGTATTTTTCGTAGAGATGTGGTTTCCCCATTTTGGCTAGGCTAGTCTTGAATTCCTGACCTCAAGCTTTTTTATTTTTTAAATTCCATATCCCAACAGGCCTCTGTTTTAGTAGGTTATTAAAATCCAGCTTTTGAAATATAAATAAGTATTCTCTCAGAGCACTTCTTTCAAGACAGCAAACACCCAAAGCCCCAGCCCTTCCCCTTCCCGTGCCTGTTACCCTCTCATAGTTTCAGTGGAACCCTGCTGATTCATTCAAATACTGACAGCAACAAGTGAGTGGGAGAGAGTGGGGTGCTTTGGACCAGTTGGGGCTTGTTTCCACAAGTAAGCTGTAGAGATAAATGTGGGCATATGGAGGAAGGTAGGGAAGGCAGGAGTACCTGTGAGGGACAGACCCTTTTCTGGAACAGGAGGAGTCATGCTTCAAACAAGAGCCTTTGGGGCACTCAGTGGCTGCCTTTCAAGGCTGCTTCTTTTCACTGCCTCTGAAAAGCCATCATGTTAGCCTGGACTTCTCTTCCCCTCCATAATTTGCAAAATTTCTAGTAAGCTGTTAGACCAGCCACCTCCCAATGGCAAGGCCCCTTACCTAGCACCATGCATACACAGAATTTTTTCAGCAGCCTGTTCTCCAAGTAGCACCCTGAGACACTGCCCAAGAATTGGACATTATTCCACTCCTCTGCAAAACCCACCCAGCTCAGGTGAAGTCTCAGCTTGGGCTCTGGGAGATCAGCTTTCCCCTCAGTGGTCTGCTGTTACCTTCCCCTCTCCCTAAAAGTAACACGTGGTGTCTTCATCAACTGTAGTTGCTTTGAGGGTGTGGAAGAGAAAATACCCTAGGGCCTTGGACTTTGTTGAGCTGGCGAGATCAAATTTAACACCTTGAAGTGGAGTTGGGCCAGGTGTCATGTTTTCTATGGTTCATGCTCAGTGCCCACTGGTTGGGGTTTCAGTTCTAGGACTTCAAAGATTTCAGGGGATCTGAGAAAGGCAGTTGAGGGCACAAGGGACATCCAATATACAGTCATGCAACACTTAACGATGAGGATACATTCTGAGAAATGCATGTTAGGCAATTTCATTGCTGTGTGAACACCATAGAGTTTAAACAAACCTAGAGGGTATACCCAACTACACACCTGGGCTAGATGGTACAGCCTCTTGCTCCTAAGCTACAGACCTGTAAAGCATGTTACTGCACTGAATACTGTAGGCAACTGTAGCACAGTAATACTTGTATATATAAACATGGCTAAATATAAAAAAGGGACAGTAAAAATGCAGTATTATAATCTTATGGGACCACTGTCATATATGTGGAATGTTGTTGACCAAAAGGTTATTATGTGGTGCATGGCTGTATGTCCAAATCTCAGATCTGCATGGGGCTGAGAGAATCCAAACAACCTACCTGGACTTGCAAGGCTCATTAAAGAGGGCCAGTTGGAAGGGGGTTGGCCCTTGGGTACCATGAGGTCACTGGGACGTGCATTTCCTGCAGGGACGTTAGATCTTCACAGATTTTGCAACAATTGGGAATTAGTCAACATCTTCCAACAGCCTGGTTGAATTATCTTCTCAGAGACTTGCTCAGCCAGCACGTTCCCTGCTCACAGAGACCTTTAAGACCAGCAGAGAAACCCTTGGAAATTCAAGGCTGCTGGAAAGCACTCATTGAGCTGAGCACAGGCAGGCTGAACTTGGGCAGCTCCCTCCCAGCAGAATTTACTTCAAGAAAGTTGTCATGCATAAATATTCTCTTCCATGGAGCCCTAGGGAGAGGATGAAAGCACTAGAAATTCTTCAAAGCCACAGGACCCAGAACATGTCCCAGAGTGTGAGGTCACGGGGGAGTGTCCTCAGTCCAGACCTTGATCACAAGCCACCATGTGACATCCCAGCCCAGAGTCTATTTGAAAAGAACCACAGAAATCACAAAGGAGTTCCCATGAATCCAGATGTCCTCATAAACAGTGTGTGACCCTGTTAGAATCAAGTATTTTTGAAGTGCCACCAGCCCCCTTCCAGCAAGAATGTTGCTCCGGAACTGGAAGGCTCCTTTAGAAGTTTTCCCAGCTGGTGTCTGGGCTCCAGAAAAAGCAGATTCACCACACTGACAAAACCACCCTCTCCACCATCCTTGTCGGCTACCCAGACTCTCCTCAGGATCTGGCTGGGCGATCTACGGCCAGATCCATCCTCCCCACATCCTTGAATCCCTTTACCTGCCCTTCAAGCAGCTCATCACACTTGATCTGAGTTACTCAGACCAAGATTATCCAGGACTCATCTTAATCCAAACCTGGGAGGAAGATCTGAGTGTCGTGTCCTCCCACAGCCCACAGTGCTTGTGTGTGTGTGGGCAGGTGCATGTGTATGTGTTGGAGGAACACCACAATATTGCACTTGCCTTTTTTTTTGAGGTGGGATCTCACTCTGTTGCCCAGGCTGGAGTGCAGTGGCATGATCATGGCTCACTGCAGCTTCAAACTCCTGGGCTTAAGAGATCCTTCCACCTCAGCCTCCCAAGTAGCTGGAACCACAGGCACACGCAATCATGCCTTTTTTTTTTTTTTTTTTTTTTTTTTTTTTTAAGAGATAGGGTCTATGTTGCCCAGGCTGGTCTCACACTCAAGCACTCCTCCTGACTCGGTCTCCCAAAGTGCTAGGGTTACAGCTGGAGCCATCGTGCCCAGCCCACACTTGCCTTCTTGGTAATATTGTCATCTCTTGCTGTAGCTCAGGCTTCCCTAATCCTTTCCAAGTACATCTCTCCTGATGTCACAGTTTCTCACTTCCTCTTTTCTATATAACTCTAATTTTTTTTTTTTTTGTTCCTTAACATGTCCTCTCAAACTCTGCATGTATCTCTTTTAAAATTGTGCTTGTTCCTGCCCTTTTCTTTATACTCATGTCTTAATGAGTGCTCCAAGGTACTAGTGCTGCATCCCGTTGCTGTCAAGGCACCTATGTGACTGTACTGACCCATTCCCCATGTTTATTGGGCACCCTCTACATGCCAGGTGTTGTCTGGGGCATTAGGTACACTATGGTGACCAAGACACATTCCCTGTCCACTGAGACTCCACTCTAGTGGCAGAGACAGAAAGAAAAACACAAATAATGACATCATATTCCAGCCAGGTAGTGGGACGTGCCATGAAGAAAAATCAGGGAGGAGGTAGGAGCATGGTTTTAGAGAGGGTGTCCTGAGAGTCTTCCTGAGCATGACGTAATATTAGAATTGAGACCTTAATGAACTGTAGGAGCCATGAGAAAATCAGAAGAGCTTTACAGGCAGAAAAAGAGAGGCACCAATGCCCTGTGGCAGGACCAAGCCTGGAGTGAGAGGGAGAGAGGCAGTGTGCTTAAGGGTGTGAGGGAGCTGAGAGGAACACAGAGTAAGCTGCAGTTGTCAGCAAGGCCCATGGGTGGAGGGCTTTGGAGGCTTTTTGGAGTGCAGTCACTTGCCCCATCTGTTGTTAGGAAGGCCACTCTCTGTTGTGTCTTCCACCTGTGTATTCCCCATGTGAAAGCCCATAACCTGTGTTGCGGCTGGAGCAAGTACTCTAGGATATTTGGGGATTGGAAGAATAATTCTGACATTGGTTCCAAAGGGTCTCACAGATTCTGAAGGAAGACATGTTGCTGGAATTGATGCAGGATTTTATTCTTGGTCACTTTGCAAGCTGGGGACCTCTGGCTGGTGATGCCCCGCCCAGGCCTCGCTCGGCCATGCTACCTGTTGCAGGAGATGGCCTGCCCACCCAGCTTGCATGGGCCAAGTCTGGCTTGCACACCAGTTCTCAAGTTCTTGTCCCATGCCCAAGAAGAATGAGGATGCACTGACTATAGAAGAGTGAGCAAGGCAGGGAGTTTTGAGTGATGAAACTGCTTTCAGCAGAAAGGGGACACAGGGGTGGTCCCCCTACCAGAAGGTGGGAAAGTTTCCCTAATATGGCTGAGTCTGGGGCTTTTATGGGCTCAGAATCGGGGAGGAGCAGGCCTTAGGTAGTACTGGAAAAGGCAATGTTCGATTGGTTAAAAGGCATTATTCAGAAAGAATCAATTGAGAAAGGGCAGGAACAGAGGTTCTCCCTTTGGGTTGTGGATTTCATCCGTTACCAGCAGTCCAGTCTTTCAGACTTCAGGCTGTTTTTGGCTTGAAGGTGGGGTCGAAACCCCAAACCAGGGACCCACTCCTATCTGCCTAGGCATTTGGCTGCCTCCTGTCACTATCAGAATGATGACTGACATCCAGGATTACTCTTTCGATGGGAGTGATGTTAACTTTCATACTGCTGATTGCTGCCTACGTTTTTCTCCCTCTTTGTATTGTGTCTGCTTTTTGTAAATCTTGTCACATTCTGGAAGGACAGGAGAAAGGGGAAGATTGATTAACAAATAAAGAAAACAGGACCAAAGGAAATAATGAAATCAAAAGAAAGCCAGGTAGAATTAGCCCCACATAGTTAAAATGGATTAGTAGTTTGGCTTTGGGCTTTCTAAATGGGGAGTAAAGAGAAAAATGTGACCAGTTACAAGATTCTTCATGATTTAAAAGAAAACATTGGGCACGGAAGCAAACTGCCATGAAATCCAGGCCTGAGAAAAATGTCTCCAGCGATTTCTCATGAAGGGAATGCTGAGCATATTTGGACAAATATATTCTGGTATTTACAAAAATATCATTCATCACTTTATCATCATATCTAGGGTCACAATCAGAAAAAATGAGCCCAATTTGACAGAGTTACCAGGCATGTACTACTGTGTATTTAGTTGGGCATTGAGAGATGAGTTTTCCATGAGTAGAGTTAGATGCTGACAGGGAGGAGCTACTTGCTGAAACCATATGGCATCGTCCATGAAAAGACAATTGGGAGATGGCATAGTTTTACAGAGCGGTGGTCTCCCTCCCTTTGGGCACTTCCTAGAATTGAGTGTAGGTAGCCAGGCAACCATAGGGTCCCTGTTGTGTTAGTTACCATCCTCAGTAGAAGCTGCACCAGTGGTCACAAGAGTGTGTTCTGCTCCTGCATCAGACAGCACGTGTCCTGGGGCTCTGAAATCTTCCTAAACCAACAGTTGTGTCACCTGCAGCATCTGTGCCGCAGTCACCTATCAATCAACTGGCCTAGATGATTCTGTAGGGCTTGTGTCATCCGTTGTAATGATTTAATAAAATGTAGATGGAAAGTTGATGTAGATTTCCACCCCTCCCACCTTTTTTTTTTTTTTTTTTTTTTTTTGCAGATGAGATGAATGCTAGGACTTTGACCAAAGTTGGTCCATGAAAAACTCCATGCACTGAATACTGAGCATTTTCTGAAGCTGATGACAAACCTGCTAGGACACAGACACAGTCAGTCTTTTGTCTTTTCCTCTCCAGGTTCTGATGCCAGCACAATTGAAATTCACACTGCAAGTGAATCCTGCAACAAAAATGAGGGTGACCCTGCTCTCCCAACCCATGGAGACCTATGAAGGGGATGTGCTGGGGGTCCAGACCCCATATTCCTCAGACTCAACAATTCTTGTTCTTTAGAACTGTGTTCTCACCTTCCCAACACTGCACTGCCGAAGTGTAGCGGCCCCCAAACCTTGCTCTCATCACCAGCTAGAGCTTCTTCCCGAAGGGCCTTTAGGATAGGAGAAAGGGTTCATGCACACACGTGTGAGAATGGAAGAGCCCCCTCCAGACCACTCTACAGCTGCTCTAGCCTTAGTTGCCACTAGGAAGTTTTCTGAGGCTGGCTGTAAAGTAAGTGTAAGGTCCACATCCTTGGGGAAGTAGTTAAATAAAATAGTTATGACTGAGCTCTCAGCCTGACTTGGATTCTGTCTTAACACTTCTAGCAAAAGAAAATAAATACATGTACAGTTATGCATTGCTTAATGATGGGGATGAGTTCTGAGAAATATATCGCTAGGTGGTATCACTGTTGTGTGAATACCATAGAGCACAGTTACACAAACCTAGATGGTACAGGCTACAGCACACTTATGCTATACGGTAGAGCCTATGGCTCCTATGCTACAAACCTGAACATCATGTGACTGTACCAAATACTGTAGACAACTGTACCACAGTGGTAGTTTTGTATCTAAACATACCTAAACATAGAAAAGGTGCAGTAAAGATGTGATTTCTAGAGGAAATGCTCTTGACTAAGCTTATTGATGATGCCAAACAGCAGCAAGGTAGAGATGCAGCAGGATGAATAGGGAACCAGGGCCCCGTGGAGCAGCAGCACAGCCTGGCCTCCTAACACACACTAGGGGGCAGAGAAGACAGCATGACTTTGCTCAGGAATTGAGCTTCATGCTGTGTTGAGTAATGACATAGTCTAAGGAATACTTGGAACCTGACTAATGCCCATATTTCCATCAGTTAAGATATATGAGGGAACTTCAAAAAGTTCATTGAAAAATGAAATGAAAAGATAAAAAACAAACGCTATTTCTCAACATAGGCTCCATCAAGGTCAAGATACTTTGTAAGTGATGACACCAGCCATGTAGTCCATCCCTAAAGAACCGAGGGTCCTGGGAATTTAACCATGTCAGTGCAGTCTTTTTTACACTATTAACTGAAGAAAAATGGGTGCCCTTTAAGGATTAGGAAAGAAAAATAAGTCAGAAGGAGGCAAATCAGGACTGTAAGGTGGATGTCTAATGATTTCCCACCGAAACTCTTGCAGAATTGCCCATTTGATGAGAGGAATGAGCGGAAGCATTGCTGTGGTGGACTCCCTGGCAAAGCTTTCCAGGACATTTTTCTGCTAAAGCTTTGGCTAATTTTCTCAAAACATTCTCATAATAAGATGTTACTGTTCTTTGGCCCTCCAGAAAGTCAACAAGCAAAATGCCTTGAGCATCCTGAAAAACTGTTGCTCTGACCTCTGGTCTTGGCCAGTCTGCTTTGCCTTGACTGGACTACTTTTGCCTCCTGGTAGTCATTGCTTTGATTGTGCTTTGTCTTCAGGATGGTAATGGGAAATCCATGCTTCATCTCCTGTTACAATTCTTCAAAGAAATGCTTCAGGATCTTGATCCCATTTGGTTAAAATTTCCATCAAAAGCTCAGCTCTTGTCTGCAGCTGACCTGGGTGCAACAGTTTTGGCACCCATAGAGTGCAAAATTTGCTCAATTTTAATGTTTCAGTCAGAATTACATAAGCTTAACCAGTTGAGATGTCTACGGTGTTGGCTATTGTCTGTCTGTACTGTTAATTGCTGGTCCTCTTCAATTAGGGCATGAACAAGATAAATTTTTTCATCACAACTTGATGTGGATGGTTTGCCATGGTGGGCTTCATCTTCAACATCATCTCATCCATTCTTAAAATGAGTTATCCACCATTTGTAAACTGATGTCTTTAGGGCACTGTGCCCATAAACTATTCATCAAGTCCATTCAAACTTCACCATAAATTTGATGCTTGTTCTTGTTTCAATTTTAACAATTTATGTTGCTCTGATAGAGGCTCTTTTCAGGTTGATATCTTATCATTCTTAGTGCCTCAAACTAGATCCTGTTAAGAGAGGTTCTAACAAATTAGTATGAGTTTATTTTGAGGCAAGACATTTTTGAAATCCATGTATAGTTTTTCCATAATATGTATGTCCATGAACTTTTTGAAGCTTTTTTTTTCCCTCCCCAAAATGTTGCAGCATGCAGGGGGATTACAATCCACCAGCATGTATATAGAAAAGCAAGACACACTATCTTCTCAGGACACTGCAGACAGCTCTGCCATGTGACACCTCGCTTCATATCAAGATTAGGACTCCTTTTCTTCTACAAGAGTCCAGCAAGGTTCTGCATTTGCACGTCTGAAGTCAACAAGGCTGTAGATGGATTGTGAACACACCATGAGGTAGTGTCTGCCCAGGGCTGTCCCAGCTCTCTGGATAACCATTGCTTCACTTTCCCAGGACGAGCCTGGGCTAGGCCACACTGACGTTGATCAAAGGTATCAAGGAGATGTGAAGTTTTAGATTTTCTAGGGGAATCTGCATCCTTCAGCTCAGTAGTGCCATTCTGTCTGCCCTCTCCCTCAGGATCAGAAGCCCTTCCTCTGTTTGAGGATCCCCTCTTACCTGATGAGGCAGTCCCACCACCCCATTCAAAAACCAAAGAGGCCAGCTGCTGGCTTTTCCAGCCTCCCTTGCAGCTAGAGCAAGGCACGTGACCTGACAGAGCCAATCAGGCATGTCTTACATGTTAGAAGCTTGTGCCTCAGGGAATGGACTGCAGAGAAACACTTCTGAAGCCTTGGCAGCAGGCAGGCCCACTTTGGCAGGTAGCATTGGGTGTGCCTCCAGGGCCAGTCCAGCATCCAGTATCGGGGTGTGGGCAGCATCCAGTATCGGGGTGTGGGCAGCACCCAGTTCCATCTCTGTCATCTTCATGAGCCTAGTCCTGCAGCCTGCTCTTGGCGGTTCCTGTCTGTTTGGCCTCTGAGCCCAGTTCTCCAGTTTCTTAAAGCTGCCCAATATCTGGCTCATTCATTCCTTTGGGCTTACATTAGCTAGAGTCAGGTTCTGAAGCTTTCAAACAAGAACCCTGAGATCTGAGTATCCAGCCAAGATAAGGACTCCCAGATGGGGCACCAGGCATCACCAGCTGATACTCATGCATATGTCTTTAACCTGGTGAGCTGAGCTGAGTGAGAGGGTGAGGCACTGGGCCAGGCCTAGGTACTGGGGACAGAAACATTATCATCAGGATGTGTATTAAGGCAATCTAGGGAATGAGGAGACAACTGAGCAAACAAATGATGAACTGAGATGATGGCCAGCCTTGGTTCTGAGTGACTTCCCTGTAAGGCTGGTTACTGCAGGGGATGTGCTTGTTCTGTTACCGTTTAAAGATGGCAGGTGCTCAAGTACCTTGGGGTGCTACAGGAATGATCCAGTGGAGAGAAAGCGATGATGATGATGGAAGGAAAGTTCTTGAAGAAGTGAGAAGGAACTAGGATCTACAGCCAGGAGTTTGGGTTGGCCTGTGACAAGGAGGCAACAACAGAGGTGTAGCTGGGAGCAGAGTTTGGGTGGAAAGGGGAGACTCTTCCCATCAGATAGCTTTCACTTGATTTTAATTTACTGGCCAGTTTATCAATCCCACCATCAATTTCTTTTAAGAGACAGGGTCAGCGGGGCACGGTGGCTCACACCTTTAATCTTAGTACTTTGAAAGGCTGAGGTGGGTGGATCACTTGAGGCCAGGAGTTCAAGACCAGCCTGGCCAAGCTGGCAAAAAACCATCTCTACTAAACATACAAAAATTAGCTGGGCATGGTGGCACACACCTGTATCCCAGCTACTTGGGAGGCTGAGACACTAGAATTGCTTGAGCCTGGGAGGCAGAGGCTACGGTGAACCAGGATAGCACCACTGCAGTCCACCCTCGGTGACAGAGCAAGACCCTGTCTCAAAAAAAAAAAAAAAAAAAAAAAGAGGAAGACAGGGTCTTGCTGTGTCACCCAGGCTGGAGTGCAGTGGCGCCATCATGGTTCGTTGCAGCCTCGATTTTCTGGGCTCAAGTGATCTTCAGCCTCCCAAGTAGCTGAGATCACAGGCACTCGCCACCATGCCCAGCTAATTTTTATGTAGAGATGAGGGTCTCACCATGTTGCTCAGGGTAAAAAACTTTTTAGTAGCCTACTAATTTCCCCCATTTCACAGTAAGATATCATCACGTGCAGGTATGTTTTTACGGAAGAACGCATACACCCAGCTGTTTGTTTCCCACAGTGTCTCAAGATAAGTACCTTTTGCATAAGGATAACTGTTCCTAACCAAAGCGTCCATTCTCCAGAGCATTTGCTTCACATTCTAGCTGAAGGGTGGTCCTACAGACAACATCCTCCTCCCCGAACCCACTGTTCCTTCTCTATTCTCCAGACTGAACTTCTTGCCTTACTTACCGTGCTGTGGATGAGACACTTCAGAGACAAAGGACCCAGACTGGACAAAAACTGGCTCAGACATCTTTTTTAAGGGCATAAATCTGTTCTCCTCCCCCTCCTACCCTTTTCCTGTACTTCACAAGGGACTTCCAGGTTTCCACCAGACAGCCATCATCAACAGCCAGCTTCCAGACAGAACTTGTGCAGAGAGCTTTCTGTGAACATGAATAATGTTCTCTGATATCCTTTTGAAACAGCACCAAGATGGGGCAATTTAAAAAAAAAAGCGAGATCTCTGTTTAGTGAGTTGAAACTTAGATTCCTAAAATAAAGGAGGAGCTTCAATGGACTGGGGGAACCTTTTGAGACGCACTGCGGGGAAGGGTTCCATCCATCTGAAGATTTAAGTTATATAAATTCTGGCAATCGTGGTCCCAATCAACTTTCCTCTATATCACAAAGAAACCCACTTAGAGCCAGTCATACGTCAACGGCATTCTTAGGGGAGCCACCAAAGCCACCCGCCACACGTGCATTTATCCTGGGAACTGCCGCATGCTTTGTTGTCTGCCCACTGTTTCCATGCGGTTCTTCCCGAGCTGTCCCAGGGTTCTGCAGTACCCCTCAGGGTGCCCCAAATCCACCACCTGGCAACACACTTGCTCCACTTGGCAGGGGCTAAAGAGAAAAATGAAAATGAGAAGGTGAACCCCAGAAAACACCGGAAGATAGGGTAAGTTTTTCTCTAAAGGTGACAACTGCTCATATAATATTCAGTCTTCAGTTGCCAATTCAAGACTTGAATTTGGGATTTGGTTCCTGCAAAAGTCCGGATCATCAGTGAAGGTCACAGGCACACTTGGATCTTTCCCAGGGAATCACCACAGAAGCCTCTACGCCCCTAGCCATCTGCTTTGTCCTAGTGCGGAACAAGCAGGATTAGAGGGAAATGACACCGTGACTTTGTCTGGGACTCATCTGCAAAGTGAAACCTTAGACTAAGAGTAAGGCCATCTCTTCGCCTCTCGGAATCTACAGCCTCCTTCATAGAATGCCGATAGCAATATCCATTCACTAATTACATTATTTAACAGCCACCTAATTAATTAAAGCAGCATAAATGAAGACATGCACAGAGCAAATGTCAATAAATGTTTGCCACATGTTGGTTTGCACCATGCAGACGTCCATGTCCAAAGTCACCCCATCCTGTTAGGTTCTGCAAATTACTCGGGGGTAATTCGGGAACTCAAACTCCCGGTCAACCAATCCGCTGATGAGAGAACATTCATTTGCTTTGTCTTTCTCCAACAGCCAGCCTGAAATAAAGAATGAAAAGGAAACACACTAAAAAACATGATCCCTGGACAGAACCACCTTTCAGAACAGCAGGCGGCTGCTGTGACTGCCATGTCACTGCGTTCTGCTCCCAGCTCCCTATCTCACACAGCAATCCTAAACAGAGGCTCAAGGTACTTCCTTCTGGAGAAAATACAGAGCTCTGTCTTCAGTCATTCAGTCAACGTGGGCCCAAGAGTTCCAGAGCGAGAGGAAGAAAGCACACCCACCAAGTTCTCTAATATCAAAATAGAGCAATTTATTCAAGACACTGAATATGATCTGTTGATTCTCTCTTGAAACAAATGAGCTACAACACACAAGGTGATTTTTTTTTTTTTCTTCAAAGAGCGTGAGGGTGAGTACAGGTGGCGGGGGGAATGAAAAGGCGGTCGCTGTCATCTGAACAGAATCGGAAAAATGCCAATAGAGAACATGTCTGGCTGTACGTCTGACACAGACAATAAAAACTGCACAAGCCAGAATGCAAAACTTCAGTGAGTGGCGGAAGGAACATTTCTGCATTTGACAAGAAACATAAGCTTTTTTTTTTTCTTTTTTTAAATGGCGGAACAAAAGGTTAAAAAACAGAAAAGCAACAAGAACAAAGCAGACCCTTACATTTGACAAAGTGCACTTCACTTGGCTCCATGATCTATTTCTTAGAAAGACTAAACAAAAGTCAAGTCCTACGGTGTCGCGAGGGGTCAGAGGGTTTCACCCTGTAACGTCCGGCCCTTTTGGTCCCCCTTGGGGCAGCATCCCTTTCCCAGGTGTGTGCTGGACCTGACTCTCGGTCACTGTGAACCCGACCAAACACTCTAGGAAGGTCTGTCATGCTATGTCTGCTTTCAAGGTCACGTTTGGTCACTAAGACTTAGGCATTCCTCACCATGTTTTAAGAGCTGTAAACAACGTTGAACAATAACATTCCACAGGCCATTTCTTGATTACAGGGATGACTCTACCAACATGCCAGCAGCAGAGAGGGTGAGTAGTGGTGTGCAAATGCTGGAGGCTCTGAAAACGGCTGTCCATGGTGTTGTCCCGCTGAGAACGGGGATGGATATGAAGGGTGCTAGCTGCATCTCGCGCTTGGTTTTGCTTGCGGCCGCAGGCTGGGGAAGCCAGGGATGGAGCCTGGGGTCCGAGGCCTCCCAGCCCAGGTTTCTACCTAACAATTCCGACATGGTTCACATTCATCAAGACTAAAGCCATCCCTCGGGAGAGACCCTGGCTACCGACATTCATGTGAAGATTGTCTAGTGAATTGCTTGCGACACATCCCACCATCGCCATCCCACAGTTGTTACTGGTTTGTCAAGCATAAGCCATGCCCTAACGACAGGCTGGCCTTTGACAGCAGATGTTCTACAGAGATGAGTGCATTTTTATTTGGGTGGGGTAGAGATGGTGTCTTTTGGACCCCAACAAACTGTACTCTAAACTTCACAGAGTCCTTGGGACGGGAAATCATCACCTCATCCAGGGACACTGGCTATCTTCAAAGATGGGTGCGGCGACTCCACATCACTGTGACCTTCTTTGCTAAGTGTTTCGGAAACAGAACACGAATAAAATACTCATCTCAGAACCAGAGCACTTTTTGGTCTTCTGGGACATGAATAATTCACATACCCAAGTGGAGGCCAATCAATGATCTGAGAATGATCAACGCACCCTGGCTTTTGCAGGTGGTCCTGGCACGTTCCAAGTTCCACAGAAGCCCTGACCCTTCCCCGATGGCTGGGTTTTGGCTCCGCAGATGAATGCCACCTTCACAATAACACCGTCTCACTGCTGGAACACACACCAGATTGCACCCTACCCACTGCTGGTGACCCAGCAGCCCCCACGGGCTGGGCCATCTTCCTCAGCCCTTCTGCCCACAGGAAAACCAATGGGAGAAGAGGCCCTTGTCCTTTGGCCTTTTCCCCCTTGCTAATGACAAAAATAAGTCCGTGTCGGGTTATGACAGCAAGCAGATGGAGGTCACCAGATTCACTGAAATGAAGCTCTTCTAGGAACACAAAGCCTTGTTTAATTTTTTAAAAACAGCAAAAAGATTATTTAAAAAAGATCTTTCTCCTAGTCTTCTGTGAGACAAAGAAATTATAAAGATGGCAGAAATTATTAGCGACGTTCTACCTCTATAATTCACGTTCAGGACTGAAAATCTTCCTTCTGCATTCATTTCTGTCAGCGTTAGACTAAGTGACATGCGGGCGCCTCTATGTCAGCTCTGCAAGGACTCGCCAAGCCTGCTCTTGGAGAAATGACCATCGGTCGTTATACGGTTGTGGGAAAGATGTAGCCAACACGCCTAATCCAGCCGAGCAGTCGGTTTCGACGGCTTCTGCAGTACCTTATGGTTCTGCCAATGCTCCCTTGAGGCCAGAGGGCGCGCGGCTCTTCGCTGCTTTCCTGCTGGCTGCCAAGGTGCATACACACCAAAAGATGCGAGGTTCTTCTTCCAGCCGGCATGGCGGGGACCTCCCTCACTGGCTGCAGAGCAATCTCGCTGCTGACCCCGAAGACTGACCCTTGTCCAGCCAGAGTTTTCCTGACCACCTTTCCTGAGGCTGAGGGGAAAGCCAGGGGCTCCCTCAGGCCCTGCCTGTGGCTTCTTCGGTTCTTTTTAAAACATGAATCACACAAAGCTCTCTATGTCTGATGGCCATTTTAAGATTTTAAAATTGTTTTAACATAAAAATATTATTTTTTTTTCCAAAAATACTCCAGGCTCTTTCTCTTATAAGTCATTTTTTTTTCTCCTGTAAAAAGCCCCCCTGCCCTGCCTTCTTACATAAAGCACTTACTACGCGCCAAAGTGCCCTTGAGACCTAAGATCTGAAGCAACTATGAGAAAGGTACAGAGGGAGAGAGAGAGAGAAAGAGAGCACGCCAGTGAGAAAGCGAGCGCGAGCGCGAGCGCAAGGGGAGGAGAGGGTGGGAGAGGGCGGAAGGGGGAAAGCTGTCCGTGGGAGATTGTGTCTTCATGTCCACGGGGCTGCATCTCTTGATGGTGCACTGAAAAAGCAGAGCTCACCAGACAGAGTGGAAAGGCAGGGGGAGGGGCAGGGAGCAACAGAAGGAAGAGACAACAAGCCCAAGACAGCTTCCATCTCAGACGGAAGGCCCCCAGAAGATAGAATTCCAGCCGACTGAAAAACCACCCAATGAACAAAGAAGATTCTAGAAAATAGAAAGTGTTGGGATTACAAAGTTGCGCGTTTCATCGGTACAAACTGGTCTTTGAACCTCCTTTGTGAGAGCAATTGTAGTGTCCAAATTGTTAGGGAAAACAAAAAAAAAAAATCCCAAGGAGGAGGGTTTTTCCCCCTTCCCTGTTTGGTTTATCACAGCATTTTGCTTTTTTTTTGGCACAGCTTTTTACGTTTCTTTCCATTCAGCCATCACAGAGCCTGTTCCGGGTGGAAACCAATCCACACGCCTCGAGCTGGTGACTTCCTCCTTCCCAGGCTGAATGTCCTCAGTGGAAACCATTCTATCCCCGTTTGATATGATTTGCTTCTGTTTTTGCTTGCCTTTTAAAAACTTCTTGATGAAGATTACGAAAACATATAGACTCCTGCGGCCAGAGACGAGTTGGTTTCAGAGTACACTCTAACGCAAGTCAAGTTCCTACAGTTTTGGAGAATAGAGCTGCAACCCTACACATTCACGGCTGGTCATTAGAATTCTTTTCTTTTTTCGATAATATTTTGTGGTTACTTCCGCAGATCCAAAACACACACCTGGAAGGAAAGATAAAGCACCTGTCATCTTGAGAGACAATACAAAGATGCCTTTAGAGTGAGAAGTCGGCAAGCTACGGCCCCCACGCCCAATCTAGCCCTCCACCGATGTTTGTCAGTAAAGTTTATTGGAACATCGTCATGAAGGGTCAGAGAAGCTCTCATAACAGACTGGCATCTGGACATCGGACCGAGCAAACTGAAGCAAACAGCACAGAGCAGAAAGGCCAGGTTAAGGGTAATGATAGGAATTAACAGAGTGGCAGAGGTCCCAGAAGGGACACCTGCAATCGTGGGGCAGATGACAATACGAGCCCAAGTACACAGCCTCTGACAACATTTGGGGACTACTCTGACCCTTGGCCGTTCAGCCAGAACGGCCGCTTGCCCCAGAGGTCAGGGCAACCTCAAGTCCAGGGGAAAATAAGAAATCCAGATGCCCCATGGGAAGAGAAGAGGGCCCAGGAGACCTGCAGGATGGCCACCAGAGGCCCGGGCTTCTCAGCCACAGCATGGGTGACAATTGTGGCCACCCTGTGCACAGTAGGAGGTTTAGCAGCATCCTCATCTAAGCACAGTCACGCGTCACATAATGACGTTTCCAGCAACAACGCACCGCACAGACCGCAGTGGTCCTGTAAGATTATAACCATATATCTGCTGAACCTTTTCTATGTTTAGATAGATCCGGACGCACAAATGCTTACCATTGTGTTCTGGTTGCCTACAGGAATCAGTATGGTCACCCGCTGTCCAGGTTTGTAGCCTGGGAGCAATAGGCTGTACCACACAGCCTCGGTGTGGGACAGGTATTATCATCTAGGTTTGTGTCAGTCACTCTATGATGTTCAGACAAAGATAAAAGTGCCTAATGACACATTTCCCAAAACGTTCCCGTCATTAAGCGACACATGACTGTAGTGACAACCTAAAATGGCTCCAGATATTGTCTAATGTCCTTAGAGGTGCAGAATCACCCTGGTTGAGAACCACCAATTTGACTGAGAAAATGTTGACTAGAAGGACACTCTGGAAGGGACAAGGAGAAGGCCATTCCCAGATGTGGTACCAACTCCGATGGGATCCAGCCCAGAAGCTTCCTTTGGCACTGGGCTAGGCCCTTCAGGACACGAATGCTGCACACGCCCTGGAAGCTCACTTAGGCATCAGCTGCCCCCAACACCCCACTCCCCAGCAAACCAGAGGTGTTGCTTACAGAGCCGTCGGACGCGCTGGCACCCACTTTGTCTCCTCGGGCGTTCCAGCACACCTCGAAGATGCCGCCAGTGCCTCGGTAGCTGTGGACAAGATTTCCACTCTGCAAAGCAAAGCAGCTGTCACTTACAACGCAAGGGGCGCCTGCGACAGATGCAGGTGTGGAATGTGCGCTCCTCCGGCCCTGACGTTTCGTCATGAACATTTTCAAGCATGGTGAAATTTAAGGGTTTTCAGTAAGGACTCTGGGGGCCATGGAGATGTGCCTCTAGGACTTCCCACCACGAGGAGTGAACCTGATTACTTATGCCTGCGGAATCTGCCACATTTGCGTGGATTCTGAGGCTGCACCCAGCTGAGGACTGATGGAGGCGGGAGACCATGGCAGTCACCTGCTGAGACTCAGACTCATCTGGTGGGTAAGTGGCTCATGGACTCTCCATCAGCACGACCAAAACTTTCTACAGACCTGTAAGGGCCATCCCTGACTCTTCCTACCCTTCCCGTCTCCTTCCCAGGGTCAGACTGGCCTTATGGTCTGAATTCTCCCTTCCCCCTACCTTCCTCCCTGTTTCCATCACAGCTCTTTCCCCCAATAAATCTCTCGCCCATCTAATCCTGTTCTGGTGTCTGTTCTTTGGAGGACCTGAATGAATACAACATAATGAATACACCCACCCCAGTAGCAATTAAATTGACTGTAATTCATGATTAAATGTAATAATATGCCATGACATTAAAATGTACGTATTTTTGGACATTTGAAAGAAGAAATGCATAATATACATGTAATGGAAAACACCACAGACCATTGGTTTCCGGTTTAAAACAGCATTAACTTGACAAATCTAAGAGGTAGGGGAAGTTGAGGCCTTTGAAAGAGTTGAATAAGGCCAGGCGAGGTGGCTCACCCTGTAATCCCAGCACTTTGGGAGGCCGAGGCGGGAGGACGGATTGAGCCCAAGAGTTCAAGACTAGCCTGGGCAACACAGTGAGACTTCGTCTCTACAAAAATTAATTTTAAAAAATAAAAAAGAGAGAAAGAGTCGAATAAGCCTTCACTCATGATTCACTATGGTGACAGGCAGGAGAAATCTGAACACCGAGACCAGGAGGGCTGTCCCAAATCCTCTGCTCAATTGGGCCCCTTAAAGGGTGGTGTTCCATGAACTGAGAAAGGTGTGTGTCGGCAGTATTACAGATAAGTATTTTTATACTTGGAGAAAGATTAAAGTGGGCTTTAAGATTTCTCTTAAGAAAATTCCTAAGGATTTCTTGGCCGGGCGCGGTGGCTCATGCCTGTAATCCCAGCACTTTGGGAGGCCGAGGTGGGTAGATTGCCTGGGGTCAGGAGTTCAACACCAGCCTGGCCAACATGGTGAGACCCCGTTTGTACTAAAAATACAAAAGTTAGCCGGCTGTGGTGGTGCGCACCTGTAATCCCAGCTACTCGGGAGGCTGAGGCAGGAGAATCGCTCAAACCCGGGAGGCAGAGGTCGCAGTGGGCCGAGATGGCATCACTGTACTCCAGCCTGGGTGACGAGAGTGAAACTCCGATCCAAAAAAAAAAAAAAAAAAGAAAAGTCCTAAGGATTTCTTTGATTTATAAAAAAGGGTTGAAACAGTTCAGTGAGTTCCTGACAACAGGCTGTACCTAACTGATCATGTCATTGTTTTGATAATTGATGTGTTCTTTTTACAAATCCACCCATTACTATTTCTAGCGAGGATTTCAGGAACGGAGACTCTTGGACACTAGTGCTGAGATGCGTGCTTCCCGGAGAGCTATCTAGGGCTGTGGGGCTGGGCTTGGCGTCGGGTTGGCTCTACGCAGGGTCCACCATTTCCCTTCCTTCCCTGAGAGGATGTGGTTCACATGAGGTCCCTGGGAAGCCTGTGATCTCAGTGGACCCCTTGCCAGTGAACAGGGCTCATCACCATTGAGTCCACAGGGGGAATGAACTTGAGGGTATAAATCCACCTGAATGTCAACCAAGCCAAAAGGAACCAAGAAGGCAGTGCAGATGAAAGGGGGCAGGGGGAAGGCTGTGTGATTCCTCCCCTCCTGAGGCGAAAGGGACCCCTTCCTTATTTTCAACAGCTCCTAGCATATTATCACCTCTCTCTTCCCTTAGACTAGAATCACGTGCTGATGGCCCTATACAATCCTTTATGCTATGCAGTGCTACTTCCCATCCATTTCTACACTTTACAGCTGGAATTCTTCTATCCTCAGGTGTGGCCCAAGATACCCACAGCAGCCACCTTTATTTAAATCCTATGTCCTTTCAATCCCTGCTAAAAGGACAACCCAATATTGACATACCTTATGTCCTCAAACAGAACCTACTTTGATTTGAAAAATTGAGGCTAGGCACGGTGGCTCACACCTGTAATCCCAGCACTTTGGGAGGCAAAAGTGGGCGGATCACCTGAGGTCAGGAGTTCAAGACCATCCTGGCCAACATGTGAAACCCTGTCTCTACTAAAAATACAAAAATAAGCTGGGCATGATGGCGGGTGCCTGTAATTCCAGCTATTCAGGAGGCTGAGGCAGGAGACTTGCTTGAATCTGGGAGGCAGAGGTTGCAGTGAGCCAAGATCGCGCCACTGCACTCCAGCCTGGGTGACAGAGTGAGACTCCGTCTCAAAAACAAAAACAAAAACAAAAAACAACAACAACAAAACAAAACAGAAAAGAAAAATTGAAGTGGCATGACAACAGCAAGAGCACATTCCTTCCCACTCCCTGGTCTGCTCCGTAAGGGAGCTGCAGGAGCTGGTGTGGCCTTGACCCCGTTAGCTGGTCCCCCACTCCCACCTTCTAACCTCAGTATCTAGAGAGCAGCACTTCGGTGATAACTGCTAAGAAGAGGAAGAGGCAGGTGGAAGGTTTCGTGCCATGGACTCAGAAAAGTGAACAGAAGACAGCGGCTCCTTCAAGGAAGAACGTGTGCCAAGGTGAGGGTTTGGAATCAAATGGCCAAGAGCCATGATTACGGTGGACACGACGCCCTTCCTCAGGGAGGGGAGCTGCCGGAGGTGTCTGGTGGGGGAAGAGCTGACAGCCCACGTGGGGTGCACGTGGACAGCATCCACTGGGTCTGCCCGGGGAGCCTGAGCTTGCTCAACTCCCTCCGGGGCACTGCTCTGAGCCAAGGGCACTGGAGTCGTGGCTATTTGGGCATCCCTTACTAAAAGGATTTGGTGTAGGGGTCGGGAGCTTACCTGAGTATTCCAGATATGGACGCACTTGTCGAAGGATCCACTGGCCAAGTACTTCCCATCAGGGCTGAAAGCTACGCTATAGACAGGCTCCTGATGCTTCGTGAGCGTGTGGGTGCAGACGCCTCGTTCTATGTCCCACAGTCGCACCGTAGAATCAAACGAAGCACTAGCAAGGTGGGAGAGAAAGCAAAATCACATACACACGGTGGTTTCAAACAGTTCTCCATAATGTGTATCAGATCTCCAGGAGTTGTTTTTCCCAGCTTTTACGTTTCAAAAGATAATAACTAAAAAGCTTTTTGTCTTCTAAACTGTAACTACTTACAAGTATTAAAAACAAAGCCATAGTCATTAAACAGAAAAAAAGCTTTAATGGTCTTATTAGGGAAACAATTTGATATCTACATTTGTTTCTGCACCTTTTTTTTTTTTTTTGAGATGGGGTCTTACTGTGTTGCCCAGGCTGGAGTGCAGTGGCGTGATCATGACTCACTGCAGCCTCGAACTCCTGGGCTCAAGTGATCCTCCCGCCTCAGCCTCAGCAGAGAAGCTGCAACCATAGGTCCACACCCGGCTAATTTTTATTTTTTTATTTTTTGTAGAGACGGGGTTTCACTGTGTTGCCCAGGCTGGTCTTGAACCTCTGGGCTCAAGAGATCCTCCTGCCTCACCCTACCAAACTGTTGGGATTACAGGTGTAAGCCACTGCGCCCAGCCCTGTTTCTATGTTTCCTATAGACGTAAATGGTAAATATTTTTGTAGAATATTTATCAAGTTTCCTAAAATGCCCCTACAATTTAAAACATGACATCTATTATTACCAACTAAATTAATACAGACAGCCATATTTGGAAAAATAGCAAATTAAGTGAATAAACATTTAAAAAACTTTTTAGGCCAGGTACAGTAGATCATGCCTGTAATCCTAGTACTTTGGGAGGCCAAGGTGGGAGGATCACTTGAAGCCAGGAGTTCAAGACCAGCCTGGGTAACATAGGGAGACCCTGTCTCTAAATAGAAAATAAATTTTAATCAAACAAGAATTAAAATACAATCACATCCACATACGTAATCACATTATTGAAAGCTGCAAATTTTAGTTATTTTCAAACTTAGAACAGTAATATCTATCACAAAGCTATTGTCTGGCTTGCTTTCTTTCAACAGGGACCCATTAGGTACCGGGATGCCCCTTTTATACTTGCTGACTAAAAGGATAATTTATGCTCCTAATAGTACCACGCGACGCAAAAGCACCTTCTGAGTCATCACAAAACAACTCGAGTGTGTAGTACTATATCACACTATATCACAGTACTTTAAGTGGATTTTATGACAATTACTTGAAATATGAGAATTACGGCCTATGTGTTCTTTGTTTTTTTGGTTCCGTCTCTCAGTGGATGCAGGAATTCCATCCTGTCCTCTCTAAGAGATGACCTTAATTCGAGCACCGTCAACAGGAGTTGGTGCTGCCTGGCTTGCTGTCCCTCAACTGTGGCTCTGCAGTCATGTTGGGTGGTTTTTTTTCTTCTTCTGTTTTTTTTTTTTTTTTTTTTGAGACATGGTCTTGCTCTGTCACCCAGGCTGGAGTGCAGTGGTGTGATCACCGCGCACTGCAGCCTCAATCTCCTGGGCTCAAGCCATCCTCCTGCCTCAGCCTCCTGAGTAGCTGGGACTACAGGCACACGTCACCACGCCTGGCTAAGTTTTTGTAGAGATGGGGTTTCACCATGTTGCCCAGGCTGATGTTGAACTCTTGGGCTCAAGCCATCGTCCTGCCTTGGCCTCCCAGGGTGCTGAGATTATAGGCGTAAGCCACTGTGCCTGACTCAAAACCATCCTTACCTCAAAGGCAGGTGTTACTCGGTAATTCTATCCTGGCCCCTTCAAAGTGAGCTACCGCTTTGCTTCCTCTGAAGGGCTTCAACACACGTGCATGGACGCGCTTTAGCAGAATTTCCTGTTGTCTTTGTGTAACACCGAGCTGTGCCAGCTGTGTTGCCTGCCCTTACCTTGCCAACATGATGTTGGAGTTTGGGTTGCTGGTGGCGGGCCCAGTGGGGCTCCACTTGATGGTGTAGATCTCTTTATTGTGAGCCTGAAGATCATGGATGCACACCTCCTGTTTCATGCTCCAGATCTACAGAACACACCAGACACAACATGAGCAAAAGCCATTCCTGCATCCGGGAACGATGTGGAATCATTCCTCCCGGGGGTGCACACGGGGCCCAGGGCAGGGTGGAGGGTGCACAGTGGTGAGAAAGGCTGCAGGGAGGCTGCGATTCTCAGTGGGACTATGACTGAGAAATCGTAGCTCACCGGATGACAGAGGAAGGGAGGGTGGTCAGTAATAAATAATCCTCATGTAAGAGTGACCGTGAGACTGGCATCAAGTGCCCGGGGTTGTCTAGGATTAAACAGCCCACCCCTTGCCATGCCGACTCTACCTTCAATGTCATGTCATCCGAGCAGGATGCCAGCAACATTCCAGACGGATCCCATTTGATGGCGTTGACCTCGTTCTGAAAGAGAGCAGAAGAGTGTGAAAAAGACATCAGGGCCTGTGAGTAGATGAGGTCACCTTCCAGCAGGGGGCAGCAGCGCGCCACCGGCGCTGCAGAAGGTCTTCGGCTTCAGCCTGACATCAAAGGGCACAGCCCAACCAGCCATCTAGTTTCCTCTTTTTCTCACTTTGCCTTTTTCATTTATATAAAACCACAGCCCTATACCACACAACACCAGCCACTCTCATCCATACTTCATTAAGAAAAAAACCTTCCCTGCTAGGAAGGAAGGCAAGTGAAGAAATCACATACCATAAAACGCAGCAAATAAAACCAGTAAAACCAGTTACTTTTTAAATTGGCCTTTGAAAATCACTTTCCTATGCACTTTTCTTTTTCAGACAGGGTCTCACTCTGTCTCCCGGGCTGGAGTGCAGTGGCAGGATCACAGGTCCTTGCAGCATGTACCTCTTAAACTCAAGCAATCCTCTTGCCTCACCCTCCCAAGTAGCTGGGACTACAGGCAGGCACCACCATGCCCTTTTTTTTTTTTTTTTTTTTTGGGATTTTTGCCCAAGCTGGTCTTGAACTCTTGGGCTCAAGTGATCCTCCCACCTCGACCTCCCAAAGTGCTGGGATTACAGGCGTGAGCCACCATGCCAGGCCTCTTATGCACTTTTAATGTAACAGTTCCTCCAGTGTCCACACCCATTAGAAGGTATTTCTCTCCTGCAGGTGAGTGGAGGCGGAGGGAGGGGTAAACATGAGAAGTGAACCCTCACCTATTACGGAGTTCAAGCGGGGTAAGGGCTGATCCAGGTGGAAGATGGGCGACCCAAATGCACACACAGGCAGGCACACATGTGCAACACAAGTGAGAGGCAAATGCTGAGTGGCACAAACACACATGACACAGGCAAAATCCTGGCTGGGGGCTCGTGATCGGCACAGCCAGGTAGCGAAAAGCACAGGCTCAGGACACCTGGGGACCACGAGGCTAAACCCTGGAGGATAAAGGTGAATGAATGTACCCAGGGGCCAAGGGAGACGGGGACACTACCGGGACAGGCATGTGTAAAAGAACCACCTGTGGCAAAGGTTCAGCTGGGGAACAGCCTACCCAGGAGAAATGAGGGGACATGGCGTACCAGCTTGGGGCTCCCTCAGGGGTGACTATAGGGCCCCATATGTCCAGTCCAGTCCCACCATGTGACACCTGCTGTCCCGGCCTAACAATTAACTAATGACACACTCATAATGAATTTTCTAAATTTCATACTCCTAAGGGCTCCGGTTTGGATTAACTGTATGGTCAGGTTGCTTTCTAAGAACATGGAGTTTTGAAGGGTGTGAACTGGACAGTGACAAGGCCACATCTGTGTTCCATGAGGCACACGTGGCCCAGGAAAGGGAGGAGGAAGAAGTTTCGCGGCCCAGGGGCAGGCTGCTGCGAGAGCCCGGGAGGGTGGAGGGGGCCGACTGGAGAGGGGGCTGAGGGTTGTGAGTGTGCACACGCATGGGTGTCTATGAGTGTGAATGTGTATGCAAGGCCAGCAAGGGTGGCTCTGACTGCAGCTGTTCAGAGGAAAACTCATGGGCCCAGGAATGTAGAGCTGGTCACCACTGGCTGTCCCTAGCCAAGCCCATGCAAAGGAACAAATAACTTCCTGGGAGCGGATCCCTAGCTCTGCAATGCAAGCCCCGGTTCCTGGGCCGCCTCCAGAGCCGGCTCATGGGTCTCCACTCAACCCCACTGAGCTGGAGCTTTGTTCAGGGCCATCAGCCACATTAAGACCCACTTAAAGGGCCAAGGCCTGTGCTGGTGGCAAGGTCCTGGGCAGGACACCTGGGAACTGCAGATAGTGTGTACAGCTCTATTAAAAACTTGTGGATAGTCCAGGGTTAGAGGAGAAATAAGTTTAGACCGGGAGAAGAGAGTCAGTTTGGAGCCAAACAGATGTTAACAGGACGATAGGTGCCTGTGCTCTAAAAGCGCCTTCCTTTGGGACAGGGACCCCTGGGCCAGGGGTGGGGAGAGGTGGGCATTAGGGGAATCAGGACAAGGGAATTTACATCAGTTAAGTTAGTGGCACAATGGCAAATCTCCAGGGACTGTGACCATCCTCTCCTGCTTTAACAAGGGACCCCCACCCTGCCCCACCACAGAGATATCCTGGGTGCTGGTGAGAGAAAGGCAAGATGCCATGGTCCCAGCATTGATGCACTCTGCGTTTTCTGGGAGAGGCAGACACGCAGGCCAGCAGCTACTGCCAGGGCTGTGGCATTCATGTGGGCAGTAGGAGCTCAGGGGGTGCCGTGAATCCTCCCCAGGGCGTGCAGAGGATACGTGAATGGGCCTGGAGACTGGGGAGGATTCTGTTTTGGACCGAGAGCTGCTGTGGGGGTCTAAGGCAGGGAGCATTCCAGGCAGGGCTCAGCGCGGGGCAAGGTGCTTGGCTGCACGTGTCTTTAGGAGGACAGAGGCACAGGGAATTTTTGGACACTAGCCCAGGAGGTCGAGGCTAGTAAATGGGTTTACCAGCAGACTGGAGATTGCAGAAGGTTAGAGACCATAGAAATTGGCTAATCTGAGGGAGATTTGGTGAAAGACCGGGAAGCGCCTCAGAGGCCAAACTAAGGAATTTGCTAAGTCAGCTGTTGTTCCCATTGTTGTTCCCTGGTATATAATGGATTTGTCAGCCTCTGCTTGCCTTTAGGATTTTCTCTGTCATTGATTCTGGTGTTTGATGGCCATATGCCTAGGTGGATATGGTCTGTTCTGTTTGTGTGGTTCTGTTTATATTTGTTCTGCTTGAAATTTGCTGAGCTTCTTGGATTAAATGTTGATGTTTTCCACCAAATTTAGGAAAACTTGGCTGTTACTGCCTCAAATGATTTTTCTGTTCCATTCTTTCTTCTCTCCCCATCACGCATATAGGTTTAGGGTCTCTGATATTGTTCCATAAGCCATTAAGCCTTTATGCATTTTTTCGATCTTTTATCTGTTCTTCAAATTGGCCAATTTCTATGCTCTCTAACCTTACTTCCGCAATCTCCCATCTGCTGGTAAATCCACGGATGTGGTTTAGGATCGGTGTCCCCACCCAAATCTCAGGTGGAACTGTCATCCCTGATGCAGAGGTGGGGCCTCGTGGGAGGTGTCCGGATCATGGGGGCAGATCCCTCGTGGCTTGCTGTCTTCGTGAGTTTTTGTCCTTTAAAAGTATGTGACACCCCCCCCACTCCTCCCACCTCTTGCCCCTGCTCTGGCCATGTGAGGTGCCTGCTCCTGCTTCACCTCCTGCCATGGTTGGAAGCCTCCTGAAGCCTCCCCAGAAGCAGATGCTGCCATGCTTCCTGTATAGCCTAAGGAACTGTGAGCCAGTTAAACCTCCTGTCTTATCAATTACCCAGTCTCAGGTATTTCTTTAGAGCAATGAGAGAATTGAGAACTGCCTAATACACCCACCTATTAAGACTTTCATTTCAGACATTATATTTCTCAGTTCTCAATTTCTTTTCTTTTTTTTTTTTTTTTTTTTAAAGAGACAAGGTCTTGCTCTGTTGCCTAGGCTGGAGTGCAGTGGTGCTACTGTAACTCACTGCAGCCTTCAGCTCCTGGGATGTGACTACAGGTGTGCATCACCATACGCAGCTACTTTTTAAAATTTTTTGTAGAGACAGAGTCTTGCTATGTTGCTCAGGCTGGCCTCAAACTCCTGGCCTCAAGCAATCCTCTGGCCTCAGACTCCCAAAGTGCTGGGATTATAGGCATAAGCCACCACACTTAGTCTCCATTTGTTTTTTAATGATTTTTTTTTCTATTCACTGCAGATGTGCCCCGTCTATTCATTTATTGTGAGCATCCTTTCCTTGATGTCCTCTACATGTTTCTCATGGCTACCTTAAAGGCTTTGTTGCCAAATCCACCATCTAGGTCATTTCTGAGTGAACTGTTCTCACTGCCAACCCCAAACTGAGTCAATCCAACCACCATGGTTACCATGGGGTAACCATGACAGCTCAAATAGCCAAGGGGCACATTAGAGCTGGTCTGCTGCTGCAGTAGCTTTTAATTCTAGGCACACAAGAATCGGCTCCCACATCACATTCTCACAAACTCGAGACCAGTGACAAGAGCTCTCACTTACTGTGTGTCCCTGGAAGGTTTTGACTGGGCGGTCACAGCCGAGCCTGCACACATGGATACACATGTCTGTGCTACAGGAGGCAAAGGTCGTGTTGTTCTGCCAGTCCACATCAAGGGCAGGGGCTGCAGTAGGGAGGGAGGACATCTGGAGTTACTCACTGTTGCACAGCTCCATGGATTTACAACAATGAACAGCACAATCAAGAAGCCTCTTTAGTTTACTTATTTATTTATTCTAGAGACAGGGCCTGCTCTGTCACCCAGGCTGGAGTGTAGTGGTGCGATCATGGCTCAACGCAGCCTAGAATTCCTGGGCTCAAGGGATCCACCCACCTCAGCCTTCTGAATAGCGCATGCCATCACGCCTAGCTAATTTAAATTTTTTTTTTTTTTTGCAGAGACGAGTTCTTGCTATATTGCCCAGGATGGCCTTGAACTCCTGACTTCAAACTATCTACCCGCCTCGGCCTCCCAAAGTGTTAGGGTTATAGGCGTGAGCCATTGCACCCAGCCAAGAAGCCCCATTTAGTAACATGATAAAAACGTCTCAAGCGTGAACACAGTCTCTTTCTAAGACCTTAAAGACCCTCTCCTGCCACGTTGGCAGGGATGACAAGATGTCCTGGGAGAGAGGCTCCGTGACACTTCTTGCACCCCACAGCCTGCAGAATCTCCCGCTCCCATGGCACAGTTAAGAAGGGCAGGTGAGAGGGCCGCCCTGCCTGCTCTGTACCTTGCTGCTTCCAGCGGCATCTCTGCAGTGAGCTCATTTGATTTAATTTTGGACAAAGAGGAGAAAAAAGGAGAGGAAAGATTTCATGTCCTATGTTCAAGATACCTCAATATGAAAAAAACTCTCCTGTAACACATTAAGGCATCCCCTTGACTAGGGGATAATTAGGGTCAATAAAAACCCCTTTGGGATGAAACGGAACGCACACTTCAGGGCCTGTGACCGACACCCTCCCTGACTTTGGGCCTTTCTCAGGTCCAGGTGGTTCAGGGTCACAAAGACAGAACAACGGGGAGCTGACCTCCCCTTGTAGTTTAGTTACAGCTATGGGTCTCATTCTCTACCTTCTGATTTATTTTCTAGGATGGCAGCTGGGAATCCAACAACTTCCCAATGTACCAAAATGGCCAAGGCACTCGCTAAAAGCCAGGCCCTGGTTCTGTCCTCAGAGCGTCTGCCTCCACAGGGCTGGACCATGCCCTGAGAGGCACTGGAAGCACAGGTGACAGCAAGGGCACTGAAGTCCTAGCAAATGGACCTCATTCCTCGTTCTGCCTCTTTACTGATGTGCAGCTGCAGGTTGACGGCTTCCTGGAGTCTCAGCTACAGATGTGGATGTTGCAAGCAGCCCCAGACAAGGGGGAGAGAGCCGAGGCATCTCAGGAGATCAGCAGTGCCCGGGACAGGGAGTGCGCTGGAGGTGTGGAAGTTCCCACGGTGGGGGCCCCCGTGCACTCTCATCCTCTTCTGCTTCTGGGGAAGCATGGCTTCAACTGCTCACTCCTGTCCTCTAGCAGAGAGTGGGTCTGCGGCTGGGAGCGAGCATCTGTTCCACCTCCTCTCAGGCGTCCACGGACTGCAGGGGTCACCCGCCTTCCTAGGGGCCAGGAAGGGCGCTGTGCTCAGGTCTCCGGTCTCTTTCCACTGCGGGGGCCACACCAGCAGATCATGTTCCCTGGGCTTCTTCCCACCTCATGCCAGAGAACTGATGAGCAGCAGAAAAGGCCATGCGATGCCGAGACAGAAGGGCACAGGGGAAGAGGCGGCTTCTCTGGTGATCTCTTCCCTTCCCTTCTCTGGTGATCTCTTCCCTTCCCTTCTCTGGTGATCTCTTCCCTTCCCTTCTCTGGTGATCTCTTCCCTTCCCTTCTCTGGTGATCTCTTCCCTTCCCCTGAAGGTTCTGAGCAACCCCACCCTCTTATTAAGGATCATCATGAGGCTTCTTGTGTGGAGAGGACCTCCACAACCAGCCCCGTGTCCGGAACCCTGACTATCAAAAGGAATGATTTAGGGGTGTGAAAAGTACTGTGCTCCATTACATGTGAAATGGAGGGACAGTGCCTCCCTTCCCAGGGTTCATGCTAATTTAAGGGGGTAATGCCTTACGGGGCAGAGAGCTTGGGACTTCGAGAGCTAGTCGTCCGCATCTGACCACCTCTCGTAACCCTGCGCTTCCCATGCAAGCCCATGGAAATTACTTTTAGCTACTGAGTGGGCTCCATGATGCCCCCAGGAGAGGAGGCAGCAGGGTTAGGGCAACTCTACAAGTGTGCCCAGCCAAGAACTCTCATTGGTTTTCCTAGATACTATGGTCCATTCTGTTATTTGCCAAGTTATGTTCTCCAAGGTAGCTGTAAACACTGAATTAGCCAATAATGAAGCATTGCTTCTAGGGGAAAGAGAGGGTTAGCTTCTGCCAGGCTCTGGCCACCATGTCCTTACCAATCGACCAATATAGAAACTCATCTTATGTGAGTTTTTTTTTTTTTTTTTTCTTGGAGATGAAGTCTTGCTGTTGCCCAGGCTGGAGTGCAGTGGCACAATCATAGCTCGCTGCAGCCTCGAACTCCTGGGCTCAAGCAATCCTCCTGCCTCAGTCTCTCGAGTAGCTGGGACTATACATGTGTGCCACCATGCCCAGTTTTTTTTTTTTTTTTTTTGAGACAGGATCTCACTCTGTCACCCAAGCTGGAGTGCAGTGGCACAATCTTGGCTCACTGTACCCTCAATCTCCTGGGCTCAGGTGATTCTCCCACCTCAGCCTCCCTAGTAGCTGGGATGACAGGTGCACGCCACCAAGCCTGGCTCATTTTTTCAAAGATGTTTTTGGCAGAGATGGGGTTTTGGTGTGTTGCCCTGGCTGGTCTCAAACTCCTGGGCTCAAGTGATTCTCCCACCTTGGCCTCCCAAAGTGCTGGGATTACAGGAATGAGCCAACGCACCCAGCCATGTGTGTTTCTTAAAGGCAGTCAGCGCTGAACTGAGAAGAATCCAGCTTTCTCTGAATACTAACCATCAATTGCCCCTATTCTTCCTCGGTCTTCAAATAAGAGGTGCAAGCCTCCATGTGTTTATCCTCCATAAGCACAGGGACCCCATTCGCTTCCCCATCCAGCTCCCCCTGCAGGCGGAAGGTGTGGGTGGGAGGACGCGGGTGTCAGCAATGGTCTTTTCCACATCTGAGATCATCTCTTCTGTTCCATCCCCAGCAGCGTGTTTCATGACAGCCCCACAGTTCTTGACGCATTTTCTTCGTTCTCGTTTACAACATCGCCTGAGCTAAACAGCAAACTTCTGGTCCAGCCTCTGCATTTCGGCATGTGATTAATATACCTGGAAATGTGACAATCTGGTGAGCGGTCCAAGAGATGGCGACCAGCATCTGATGACTCCTCCATCTAAAGCAAGCTGGTTCAACCCGCGGTCCAGGATGGCTTTGAATGTGGCCCAACACAAATCTGTAAACTCTCTCAAAACATTAAGAGTTGTTTTCTTTTTCTTCTTCTTTTTTTTTTTTTTTTTTTTTTTTTTTAGCTCATCAAGCTATTGTTAGTGTTAGCGTATTTTATGTGTGGCCCAAGACAATTCTTCTTTCAATGTGGCCCAGGGAAACCAAAAGACTGGACATTCCTGATCTAAAGAGAGGCTCCCCCGTGCTCAGGTGGTTAGCCCCACTCTGAGTCAGCTCCTGCAGCCACAATGCTTGGAACCATGTGGGTGAATGGCCGGTAAGAGGGCTGAGCTACACTGGGGGCCTCTGTGCCCTCCCTCCCATGCATAGGCCAGTTTGGTTCAATAGCCCTCATTCTTCTGGGCCCAGCCAGTCAGTTTCCTTTTGAAATACTTAGAGATTTACAGGAAGCTGCAAAGGTAACACAGAGAGGTCCTGTGTCTCCTTCACCCAGGTTCTCCTGAGGGTTACATTTCGCGTAGCCGTAGCGTTGTATCGACGCTGGCAAGCTGACACTGGTGCAATTTGCCTGTAGAGTGCTGTCATTTTATCACATGGGTAGATGTGTATCGCTGCAACTGAGACCCAGAAGTGTTCCGTCGCCACTAAGATCTCCCTCAGCTACTGTATCGGCACACAACCTCCTCACATGCTCCCTCAACTCCCACAGCACTGACGGGTCCCAGGTTTCTAGCATTTTAGCATTATGAGAACGTTACATCAATGAAAGCACAGAGCATGCAACCTTCTGAGACTGGCTTTTGTCACTCGGCAAAATGCCCTTGAGATCTCTCCTGGCTGTCGTGCATCAATAGTTCATTCCTTTCTGCGGCCGAGTTTCACTCCACCACGAGGCTCTGAGCTAAGGCTTCCTGCCGACGGTGACCAAGGGCGCCCCCACGAGGTGTTACTGGGGAAAAGCTAGTGGGGCAAGGCAATGTCTCCTATCGCCCCATTAAACACCAAACCTGCCACAGCCACAGAAAGGCGCTCCTCACAGCTCTTCCCAGCTGCGTTTCACCTGGAAGAGCGAGCTTCTTTCTCTTCATTTTGAACGTTCTTTAACACACTGATTGACACCAAAAAGAGAGCAAGTAACGCCTAGATATGTCTGACCTGCCGACGGGAATTGGGTCTACCTCATGGCCAGCCAGATCACAGGTGAGAAGCTCACGCAATTCAGAACAATGTGGTTTGTGGTCTTCCTGGGTCAGCTGGGTAGGAAACCCTTCCATAGGGCCTGGGGACACTTTGGGAAAGATTATTTTCTGCTGAAATACTTTACAGATGAATTCTTAAGACACAAGTGTTAGAGGAACCTTATTGATGTTTACCTCGGGCATATTTTTCTCTGAAAAACAGAAGCCAGAGCTTTCTGCATTAGACATCCCTGCCTCACCCCCCGGGGTCTGCGTGTCTAGGGCTGTGAACCTGTCATAGCATCCTTCCTGCCTACAAAGGTAGGTTTTGGCACTTAAGCCAAACGTGACGGAACTCCATTAGGAAGGCTATTCTCACTAGCCACCTGCTTTGATTTGCAGTCTAGAGCACAGAGTAGCAAGTGTCTGGCATGGAGATGACACACAGATCACAGGCTGTAGGTGGAGTTGCCAGGGAAAGATGGAATGGGTACAGGGTTTCCCTTTGGGGTGAAGAACACTTTCTGGAGGACCTAGTACACGTGCTACCTGCATTGGGAGCCTTTTGTCTCTCGTATGCTCAGCACCTTCATCAACAGTGTCAATTAAAGCAACACCAGTAACAAATTTCACCGGCAACCCTGAGAGGTGTGTTTGGTGTGGGTCCCAAGCTGTGCAGGAGTGGCTCTCCCTCTCCAGGGCAGCAGAGCAGAAACAGCGTCCTCCCTGAGTCTCCCTCACTCTCTGAGCTGCCTGTATGAGGAGTCCCTGCTGAAGTACTGCATGGAATATAACAGACGTGGGTGCCTATGCATCTAACACAATCGTGCCTCGACGGGACCTTCGGTTCATGGTCTTGTTTCCTGCAGGGCCCATGTCCCCTGCCTGGAGCCCTCCCCAGGCGCCGATGGCTGTTCTGCCTTGGATGGTTGTTGCAGTTAGCCCTCCCATTCAGAACATCATTTAAGCACCCCAAGCTGCATGACAAGAAAGACACTCAGATCTCCTCCTGGACAATGCCCCAGGGACAGCTGATAGAATAGTTAACTTTCGTCCCACATATTTAGGGATTCCTTCAAGACGGATCAGACATTTGCCCTTAAGGGAAGTGGCACCTACCCACTTCTGTCCACTTTAAGCCAGTCTAAAGACTTCCAATAGTCTATTAGCTCTGCGGGTGGCCATCTGTCTTTGTTTTAAGAGGCCACGTCTAACATCAGGACTGAGTTACACAGAGGAGGGAGGTGGGAAAGAAAATGAAGAATCATTTTGGAAGACCGAGGTGGGCAGATCACTTGAGGTCAGGAGTTTGAGACCAGCCTGGCCAACATGGCGAAACCCCGTTTCTACTAAAAATACAAAAATTAGCTGGGCTTGGTGGTGCATGCCTGTAATCCCAGCTACTCGGGAGGCTGAGGCAGGAGAATCGCTTGAGCATGGGAGGCGGAGGCTGCAATGAGCTGAGATCGCACCACTGCACTCCAACCTGGGTGACAGAGTAAAACTCTGTCTCCAAACAAACAAACAAAAAAACCCAAAACGACCCACGAAGAATCAGGTGGGAATCTGGAAAATCGGAATCTCTACAGACTCCAGAGCCCTGGGTAACGCATGTGGCCTGGCCTGGCTCCAGTGCACAAAGGGATGTAGTTGGCTCCAGAGCAGCGGCCACACATCTGTGTAGGAAGGTGCTAACACCACAGGCCCGAGGCTGATCTCCCTACAGAGGCTTGCTTGCAAGGCCGGCCCTTGGCTAGCGACTGAGATTTTAGATTTCCGGAGAGTTCCCACCCTCCCCTAACAGACGCAAGCGGCTCACTCTGCTAACACTTGTTTGTGCAAACAGTGTGTTTATGCTGTGCCCCTGCTTTCCTTCTGGGGGTCTGCAGTTTTGGCTTGTACTAGGCACTGGGTGCTTACACGGCCAACCCCCAATAAAAACTCTGGGCACTGAGACTCTATGGAGCTTCCCTGGTATAAAACACTTCACAGGCATAGTTACAACTTATTCCTGGAAGAATTCAGCATGGCCTGTGAGAGTCCACTGGGAGAGGAGCCTTCGAAGCTCTGGATTTGGCCGTGTGCACCGTTTCCCTTTGCTAATGTTGCACTAAATTCTTGTGCTGTTAGAAATCTTAGCTGTGAGTATGTTGAGTCCTGGGGGTCCTCGCAGCAAACCACCAATCCTGGGAGTGGTTTCAGGGAGCCCCCAAAACAGCATCCCTTTAGAACAGCAAGAGAAAGGAGCCCGCACTGCTTCTGTGGCTGGCTCACTGCTGTGTTTCAGAGCTCTGAGCAGGTGGGTGCCGAGGTCATCTCTATCTTGCAAACCTTAAGAGCAATCAATGCTTGCCACAAAATGGGTCTCCTTCTGACCAATGAGGCCTCCTGGGCTCCATACTCGGCGCATTCAGTTACTTTAAGGGGCATCTCAGGATCTCATTCTGTCACCTAGGCTGGAATACAGTGGTGCAATCACAGCTCACTGCAACCTTGATTTCCTGGCTCAAGCAATCCTCCTGCCTCAGCTTCCTGGGTAGCTAAAACTAGAGGTGTGTACCACAACACCCGACTAATGTTTTATATTTTTTGTAGAAACGGGGTCTTGCTTTGTTGTCCAGGCTGGTCTAGAACCCCTGGGCTCAAGTGACCCTCCTGTCTCAGCCTTCCGAAGTGCTGGAATTACAGGCATCAGCCACAGTGCCCAGCCTAATTTTGGATTATTATTATTAGTAGTTTTTGAGACACGGTCTGGCTCTGTCGCCCAGGATGGAGTGCAGTAGCGCAATCTTGGCTCACCGCAAACTCCATCTCCTGGGCTCAAGCCATCCTCCTACCTCAACCTCCCAAGTGGCTGGGACTACAGGTGTGGACCACCACGCCTGGCTAGTTATCGTATTTTTTGTAGTGATGGGTTTTGCCATGTTGCCCAGGCTGGTCTTGAACTCCTGACCTCATGCAATCCACCTGCTTCGGCTTCCCAAAGTGCTGGGATTACAGGCGTAAGCCACTGGGCTCGACCTGAATTATTATTTTTGAATTACAAAAAAACAAACAACAACAACAACAACAAAAAACTCACCTGAATGAAAAGGAAACTGCTGTTTGGCTTCTCCTGTGTGGGCATCCCAAATTATTGTTGTCTGTGTTCCGCAAACAAAGGAAAAAGTTAGTAACTATTCTGGCAAAGTTTTCTCTGGAAACATTTATCATACAAGAAAAGACAGCCCTTCTCCTTATAAACCGGCACTGTCCAATAGAGATAGAGAGTGAGCCTTATGGGCTAGTTTCAATTTTCTGGGATCCACATTAAGAAGAAAGAAACTGGTAAAATTCATTAGCAATCTATTATATTTAACTCCAACATGCCCCCAAATATTACCATTTCAACATGTAATCAGTATCAAAACCTTACTGGGATATTTGCCTTCTTTTTCTCCCATACCACATCATTAAAGTACAGCATGTTTTAAACTCAGCAATCTGGACGGCCACATTTGATGAACCTATCAGCCACATATGCTGGCATCTCCCTTAACTCATTTATGCCTGAGGTTGCAACTTTTTGAATTTCTGCAATCAGACCTTGGCGATGACCCTGAGCAGCAGGATATAAATAACTCCCACATGCTCAGCATTCCGATAATGGAAACTAGGCATAAATGGGTTTAAGGACAGAGCATCCCTAACCAATACTTGCAAGAACTACCAAAATTGGTAGGAATTCCTCCTCATCCCCAAATGCAGAAACTGTTGAAAAACCTGGAACAAAGCATCTCCAGAGATCTTTGTGGCATTTGTTCCAAGTGAAGGGCTGCAGAGACGAGCATTTCTGAAAATGCCTCTGCCCATCCCTCCATGAAATGGGGGCACTAGACATGGCAGAGCCATTGGCTTGCACTGGGGCCAGGCACCAATGTACTGGTCTAACAGTAAGTAGAAAGGTTGAGTTCTCCCTTGGAAAGCAAAGGAAATCACGAATTTTTATGAATTTACTGACGCTAGGAAGATAGAGAACCAGCTCAATGAATAGCATTGGAGTTACGTCTTCATCAACTGGAATTTTCAACTTAATTGGAAACTTTACACCTCTCTGTTACTGACGCTCAGTCAAGATTTTGCTTTAAGAAGAAAGAGTTCTATTTTGTGTTGACTGTAGACATTTTCAGAGGAAAGCAAGCAGTGAGTGTCTTTGAAACTTGGTACTCCTGGGTTTTGGGTCAGTTCTAGACCAATTAACATTTCTTTGTTGGGGTATAACTCTTCTTAATTTAGCCATGCAAAAACAAATCTAACACTGCAGAGAATATATAAACTCTTTCACAGTTCTGATACCATTTCACATATTACATCAGCGACTGGTCTCTTAGTTGATGTTTATGTTAAATGTACATTGGACAAAAGAAAACAGTTATGCAAACATTTGAAGAATGTGACATATATTTTAGTCACTCTGTGTTGGTCAACACCAGCATCCCCTAAGTTACATTTTCTCCCTGAGTGTTATGTACAAGGATGTTATTTTCACTCCTGCTGTGGTTGACTAAGTAATGATGGTGGATCGTACCCAGCCCAAGAGACTAACATAATTCCACATATGCATTTTCACTGATCACATAGTCCATCACCTGGTGGAGTTAAGACTGATAATCAGTGAGAAAAACAATCACAAATGTTAACAGTCTCCAGGTAGGAAGGAGGCCAGGAAACAAACAGCTATTTAGAATTCTACGGAAGTTAAAGGGCAGTAGTTACTGGTGACCAGGGTCTGAGTTCCCATCCCTCTGTACTCTGCACCAGCTGTGTGTCCCTAGGCAAATTAATAACCCTCTCCAGGCCTCCAGTTCGTCCTCTATAGAATGGGAGTGATCATACTTGTGCCTGCCTCCTATCTTGGCAGTACCGGATGGATTAACACATGCAGTAGTGAACTGCTTGATAAAGAAAAGTGCTGTCATTTTCATGAGTGATTTTAATAACTCAAGCAGCAATTACTGAGAGCCTACTGAATGCACAGCAAAGTGCTGCGTATGCATGTTACTTGAATTAGAACATCTTGGCAAAGATCTGATAGTAGCTACATGAGAACGTTTATGTGTCAACCACAGCAACTCAGCTTTTAAAATATCATAAACCAGGCTACTAAGTCTGAAAGGTTTCTTGGCTTAAAAGAGAGGGAGAGCAATTATGAATGAATGATTTGTTGACCTAGTTATACCCTAGTGCAAGAGTCCGCAAACTTTTTCTGTGAAGGGCCAGGTAGTAGAATTTTAGGCTTTGAGGGCCATCTGGTCTCTCTTGCAACTGCTCATCTCTGCCATTGTAGCATGAAAGCAACCATGGAGAAGTCTCAACAAAGGGGTGTGGCTGTGTCCCAATACAACTTTATTTAAATTTAAGAAACAGGTGAGGAGCCAGACTTGGCCTATGTGGGCCACAGTTTGCCAAATTCAATTATTTCATTTAGCAATTTCTCCCAAAGTGGGATGATGTTCAGAGGTCAAGTCTATCATTTTATTTATTTATTTATTTATTTATTTATTTATTTATTTGAGATGAAGTTTTGCTCTTGTTGCCCAGGCTGGAGTGCAGTGGCGCGATCTGGGCTCACCCCAGGTTCAAATGATTCCCCTGCCTCAGCCTCCTGAGTAGCTGGGATTACAGGCATCCCCCACCACGCCCAGCTAATTTTGTATTTTTAGTAGAGACAGGGTTTCTCCATGTTGGTCAGGCTGGTCTCGAACTCCCGACCTCAGGTGATCTGCCTGCCGTGGCCTCCCAAAGTGCTGGGATTACAGGCGTGAGCCACCACGACCGGCCAACTCTATCATTTTATAACTTTCAGAACTAGAAAGAACAGAGAGCTCTGACTCAGGTTTTGTTTTGTATTGTTTTGTCTTGTTTTGTTTTGAGACAGAGTCTCACTCTTCTTCCAGATCCAGGCTGGAGTGCAGAGGCGCAATCTCGGCTCACTGCAACCTCCTCTGCCTCGCTGGTTCAAGAGATTCTCGCGCCTCAGTCTCTAAGTAGCTGGGATTACAGGCACCCGACACCATGCCCAGCTAAGTTTTGCATTTTTAGTAGAGACTGGGTTTCACTGTGTTGGCGAGGCTGGTCTCGAACTTCAAGACCTAGTAAGTTTTCAAGTTATCCTGAAATCACCACAAAATGCAAAGCTTTGTGGAGGCCCGAGCATCCTCCAGTATTCAGGCATGGTTTCCAGTTGTTGTAGAAACACAAATTCATGTGAAAACACGTCTTTTTTTTTTTTTTTTTCTCAATTCTAGATAATGCTTCTTTTCCAAAGCCATGACTTAGAATTCCTGCTGAGTCTCGGGAACGCACAACTGTTCCATGAAGGCTGTCTCCGCTCATGACTCCAGCCAGCCTTGTCGCTGGACAAGTGAGGAAAGTGAAATGCACAGAGGCCGAGGTTGCTGGCTGGATCAGACTCGGGCCCAGGATGGAGTCTGCGTCCCCTTACTCTTTGCCCTTGGGTTCCCACCCCATTGATGGCTTTTACATGCACCTGGAGTTAACACTACCGTGTCTCCCTGCAGCCCTGCCCAGGTGCAGAGCAAGTCAATTCTAACCTGGCTCTGTGGGCCATCGGAAGAGCGTGCCCTTGTAGCCAGGTTGCTTGACTCCTACTCAGAGAAATCTGCGGTCTACGGTGGGAAGCAGCAGTTTATCAAATGAGGAAAGCCGAAGCCTGAAGAACACACACAGCCTGTGCCACTCACCCCTCAGTGGGTGCAAGTTCAGGCAGGGCACGCCCCATACCACGTGGCTCCTTCCAGCAACTGACAAATGCAATGTGGAGATTGTCCTCTCTCTACCACTGAACCATGTACCTCAAATAAAGGGAAGCTTTGCACGAGGGTCTGCAGAACAGCAGAATATATTAAGAGATGATGTGTCACAAATGAACAGAAAGATCAAAACCACAAAAACAAAGCCTAAACAAATCATTTTCATTTCTTAAGGGGAAGCACAAAGCCTACGAGTTCCAAGAAACCACGATGTTATTTTGAGATTAAAAATATATAACCACCTATAGATCAAAGGGATGTATTTTCAGCTAATACTCACTTTGTCTACACCAGCACTCAAAATGTAATTCCCCTTTCGGTTCCATTTCAAGGCAAAGATGGGGCCTTTATGTTGGCCTAAGGTGCTGGCCAGGTTACCTGTTAGTAAAAACAAACATGTTGACCTCAATGTCATGGTCTGTTCACTCAAGGGTTAAGTTCGGCAGCTCCTCTTACCCGACCCCAGCACGAGGGACACAGAACTCACCATCTTCCGTCCATATTCTTGCAAAACCGTCATATGAACCCGTAGCCAAGAGTGTTCCATTGGTCTGAGGGCCAGAAAGAGACAAAACCCCACAAAAACAACTTAGGAGCGGCAGCACCGAAGCAGCTCGGAGAGCCTCTCCGAGGATCCAGGTACACTGGAACCATTTGCCACTGCGTGTTCTTTAATGACAGAATTGAAAATACCATGCTGAAAGCTATCGTAAGACCTTGCAGAAAATAAAAAGCAGTCAAACTGTGTGCATCCCATGTGTCAATGCACAGAACACCTGGTGCTGAAATCCCAAGGTGGAGAATCACCTTTCCTGGGCTGCACGACGTATCTCTCCAGAAGAACTACCTTGGGGCTCCCAGCCTACCTTCCCACCATGAGGCCACAGGCTCATTTTGCTAAGGCATGCTCACGTGCAAAGATACGGCTACTGAATACACAGCTCACTGCCTGCCAAATGCAGCCTTGTTAATAGCTCTTAGAAGCCAAGACTGGCCGGGGGCAGTGGCTCACGCCTATAATCCCAGCACTTTGGGAGGCTGAGGCAGGCGGATCACATTGGGTCAGGAGTGCGAGAGCAGCCTGGCCGACATGGTGAAACCCCATCTCTACTAAAAATACAAAAATTAGCCAGGTGTGGTGGCATGAGCCTGTAATCCCAGCTATTCGGGAAGCTGAGGAAAGAGAATCGCTTGAACCCAGGAGGCAGAAGTTGCAGTGAGCTGAGATCACACCACTGCATTCCAGCCTGGGCAACAGAGCAAGACTCCGTCTCAAAATAAAAAAAGAAGCCAAGAACACCTCTCTGGCAGCCCATCAGAGTGGGGGCTGAGCACACAGGACCACCTGCCTCCTATGTCTGCATGGGCTCCATTGCTGCAGCCCCTGCCTGGTGGCTGGCCGATTTTACCAATTTCAAAGTGCCCAGGGGGTGGAAGATGCTTACATTCCAGTCCAGTGAGGTGACGTCTTTGTTACTCGGGACGTCATGGCCCCCCTCTCGTATACAGTGCCTCAACACGAGCTGGGTGGAGCCCCCGTTGCTATTCTCATTCAGGTTCCATATCCTTGCAGTTGAGTCTCCAGATCTACAGAATAAAAACACAGGAGCCTCTGGTGTTTGGTTCAAATGGGATAAGAAGCTCTCCACAGCTTGCTCTCTGGCCAGAGGGCATCTTCAGCACATGCTCTTCTGTCTTTTTCATCCCTCTGGATCCCTGTTTCCCTCTTTGCCATCTTTGCATTTGGTAATTTAAGTGCTGCTGTGTTCCTCACCACCACATGGAGAAAACGACTTGGAACTATGGCTTCTCCACAATATGAGACATGTAGAGAAGTGGCTCATAGAGCCACCCATTCCTTGGTCTGCCCACACACCGGGGTAAGAAGGGGAGTGTGTGTTCCTTTAGGCAGAACTCCAGAGAAGGGCGAGCAGCTTGCATCTCCCATCTCCCCAACTCTGGAGCGCCCCCCACCCTGACATCCTTACCCGGAGGCTAGCAAATCACTGACAGGATTCCAGGCACAAATGAACACCTCAGACTCATGGCCCCGAAGGACTGTGGCTTTGCTGGATGGAATCTCAACCTCTCCATCTATTTCCATTGGCTTCGCGTGATTATCTGTCACAGCAAACACAAAGAGACAAGTGGCTTACCAATACAAGAGAAACACACTTAAAGGGCTCTTTTGTTTCCAGAAACATTTTTTTTATGTACTAAATACTACCTCTGATGATTCCTTTTCTTTTTTTTTTTTTTTTTTTGAGACGGAATCTTGCTCTGTCGCCCAGGCTGGAGTGCAGTGGCACGACCTCGGCTCACTGCAACCTCCGTCTCCCAGGTTCAAGCAATTCTCATGCCTCAGCCTCTCAAGCAGCTGGGATTACAGGCATGTGCCACCACACCAGGCTAATTTTTGTATTTTTAGTAGAGGCGGGGTTTCACCATGTTGCCAGGGTCGGTCTCAAACTCCTGGCCTCAAGTGATCCACCTGCCCCAGCCTCCCAAAATGCTGGAATTACAGGCGTGAGCCACCACGCCCGGCCTACCTCTGATGATTCTAACGAAATCGTGGCTTTAGTGCAATTTAGTAAATATTTTAGGTTTCTTTACATTTTGACAGTCTCTAAATTTCATTGAGGAATAAAAACAGTTTGCTAAGTGCAGTGGCTCACACCTAAAATCCCAGTGCCTCAGGAGGCTGAGGAGGGAGGACTGCTTGAGACCAGGAGTTCAACAGCAGCCTGGGCAACATAGCAAGACCCCATCTCTATAAAAACAACAACAACAACAACAACAAGAAGTTAGCCAGCCCTGGTGGTGCACACCTGTAGTCCCAGCTACTCAGGAGGCTGCGGTGGGAGGATCACTTGAGCCCAAGAGATTGAGGCTGTAGTGAGCTATGATTGTGCCACTGTACCCCAGCCTGGGTGACAGTTATTTTTTGTAACTGGGGCCAGCTAACTACAGCCCATGATCCAAACCTAGTCCCTGGCTGCTTCTGCATAAATAAAGTGTGACTGGCACACAGCCACTGCCCATGTTTTCAAATTGTCTATGGCTACTGTTATGGGCTAAACTATGTCCCCCTAAAATTCATATCTTGAAGCCCCAATTTCCAGGGGCCTCAGAATGTGGCTGTATTTGGAGATAGGGCTTTTGAAAAGGTGAGCAGGGTAAAAGGAGGTCACAAGGGTGGGCCCTAACCCAGTGGGACTGGTGTCCTTATGAGAAGAGGAGATCAGGACACAGACACAACCAGAGGAACGAGCACGTGAAGACATGGAGAGAAGACAGTCTCTACAAGCCAAGGAGAGAGGCCTCGCAAAGGAACCAGCCCTGCCCACACCTTGATCTTGGTCCTCCAGCCTCCAGAACTGTGAGAGCAAATTCTTAAACAGCCTGGTGTGTGGCCTTTTGTTACGGCAGCCTGAGCTGACTCTCACAGCTGTTTTTGCACTCTGACAGACTTCAGCAGCTGTGACAGAGACTGCATGACCCTCAAAGCCTGGGACATTTACTGTCTGTCCCTGTAAAGAAAGTTTGCTAGACCCTGGTTTATGCTCCTGAGAAAGGAGCAATATAGCCTGATCATCAAACAATTAGCCATGGTTAACAGTTTCACAATACGGTGAGGAATTGAGCATGCTTTGTCATATGTCTTTCGTAAAGGTGCTCTGGTGGAAAACCCAGGAAACAGAAGCAATGTGATCTTAGGTTACGTGTCACTGAGTAGGAGTGCTGTTTATGTAAAAAATAAGAAAACGCCTGGTGGTCCTGCTTAGCTCGAGAAGCCTGATACAAAAGATTCAAACAACAATGGGACTCTTCAATGTTGGTGTTTCTTCCATGCTCTGAAAGTGTCATCTGGCTGGAAGAGAGGAAAAACATCTTTCTGCATGTGGCAGACCCACTGTCCCTGGTGATGGCAAGAGGGAAACTGGCATCTTAGCCAGCCACGCAGTGGCAGGGGGCCTGGTAACTCCAGGCAGGAGTGACAGCCAGTATTTTCATTCTTATCAAAATGCGGCCTTCCAATGCTCCTGTCTCCATAGACTGGGCTGTGGGTCAGGCACAAGATGCAGGGTTTGAGAAGGGGGTTGGGGTGGCTGTTCCAGAAGTTCAACCAGGGTGAACTCTGGCCACATGCACAGAGGAGGAGGGCCAGACTCTTCTTTTCCTGCCCCACAATTGTGGACCTTATCAATAGAAGGCTGGTAAGAGGTCTTTTCCTTTTACCTGAGGCAGGTGGCCTTTCTGTCACCCTATTGCAATAGAAACGTTATTAACAATCTGTGAACCTTCCATTAAATGCTGGATCTGCTTCTCCAAGAATTTTTTAGCTGGTGCCTGTGGATGGTAACTTGTCACAGGGCTTGGCTCGGGCTGCAGCCTCATCAGAGGCAGCCGGCTGGCTCTCTACACACCAGGAAGTTGTGGAGCCAAGACGTACCAGGTAAGACAGCAACGTCATAGTCAGCTCGATCTTCAAGGACTGCTGGGCTGCATGGCTGCTCCGAGGGCAACAACTTTCAAATAAGGAAGAACACACACACATACACTACACCATGCACAGGTGTGCGTGCGTGCGCACACACACGCACACAAACTTGTGCACACACACGCACAGGAACACAGGTGCGCACACGCATATACGCGTGCACGCACACACGCACACACGCACACATACACGCACACGCATGCATACACACTTGCACACAGACACAGGCACATACACATGCAGATATACACATGTACAACATACATATGCACCCATGCATACCTGTGCATGCAAGTGCATGCGCGCACACGGTGCGCCATGCACGGCACATATGCTCGCTCTGAACTTGCACCCTGAAGTGGCGTCCCTACGGGTGTATAGAGCAGTATGTCTAAGTGGAGCAGGTTCTCTGGGTAGAATTTTGGGCTCTCTGACTGGCCACATACTCACAGGCAATCACCTAACAGGGACTGATGTCCTGGGGTTTTGCAAAGACCAAATAAGCCTATGCCCAGTCTCTGGGGCCCAGTGCCCTTGGCAGGAACTGCAAGCTCAATAATTATACCATAATTTGGCCAAAAACCCTCAACATGGAAGGCTGGAGGCTGAGACTAAAGGTGTCCATGAATGAAACACTTTTGTTTATCACGGGCAATAATCATGTGTTACATGAGAGTTCTCAGATTAGCAGGCGCAGCACGATTTCCTAAAGTTGAAGATGAGGGTGAAGAAGCTCAGGTCCAAGGGTTGTGATGGAAAAAATGGAACGGGAAGTTCTTCCGGCCAGATCGTAAGCAAACACTAGAGAGCAGCTTCTAAGACATTTATAGCAGGCAGGTTTTTAAGAAGGCATTCGGATTTGCCCAAGAAGAAAACAATGAACCCAGAGAGGCCCACCGAACTCCCAGAGCCCCTGCACTCACTGACTGAATGTGCTCTGTTCTCTTCCCCATTCACCGTGGCCTCTCTGTTCTTCGATGGATTTTGGTGGGAAACGCCGGCTGAGGTCGTGGTGGCTGCTGTCGCTGCTGCCGTGGCCGCAGCCGCCGCCGCCGCCGCACTGGCTTGCTGCTGAGCGAGCTTCTCTCGGAATGCCTGCTGCCGCGTCTGCACCACGTCGGGCATCACGGCGTCTATCAGTGACAGGGACTCTATGGGGCGGCCGTCGAACACTGTGCCATCCTGGGGAAGCAAGCCAAGGTACAGCTGTCAGCTCACGGGGGTGAGGGCTCTGGGAATGGCCTCTGCTCTCTGGGCAGGAGAAGCGCAGGGAAGTGGGGCGTAAACAGCTGGCTCCCAGCAACCAGGGGGCCACGGGGGAAGCGGCATGGACCTGGAGCCTGGGGTGAAGGGATCCCACGGTGGGCAGGGAAGGGGACACGACAAACTGTTGGTAAGAACTAAGTGTGATGGTTGTTCTGAGTGTCAAACCCAATTGGGGCATTGAGGACAAAAAGGCCATTTATTCTTGACAGAAAGTGCTATCCCTGATGGCACAATTCTCAACGTGGCGGGGGCGGGGGGTGACTGTGACTCCTTGGGGGGCATTAGGCAACGTCTGGAGACTTTTTTGGCTGTTACAACTAAGGGAGGAGAGGTGCTCCTGGCATCTGGTGGGTGGAGCCCAGGGACGCTGCTCAACATCCAACAGTGCCCAGGATGGCCCCACCACAGAGAAACACGCAGCCCCAAATACTGAGTGCTGCGGTGGAGAAGACCTGCCCACGTGCTATCGCGACTGTGCAAAATCTCTGCAAATGACCATCCATTATATGGGAGGGTAACGCTTCAGAAGCAGAGCCCAAATGAGATGCACACAGCATTTAGGCCTGGATTCCAAGTCCATCTGTCCAGGGGATTTAATAAAATAGGCACTTGCTGCTACTTGAAATGACTCCTTGGGTTCAGGGTTAGACTAACCATAGCCATGACACAATTGACATCATTTTGTTTTGATTCATGTTTTTTTGACCATTCTTTGATTCTCTGATTTCCGTTTACCATGGAAAACTTTCCACACACGTTTAAAAATACAGCAGGAGGTTCTTTCCTTGTGAAACACGCCAGATATTCGAATCAGGTGAACCTCAGTAAGCCTTGGGGTTGTATCTGGATGTGCAAACACATGTTTATATGCTCTGAACCTGAATTACTTCAGAAGTGAGGAAGAACTGAAAGGCTCAGGTTTCAGCTGAAGAATAACTAAATGAAACATCACTCCAGATGATTTCTGATTACAAGACAATATTCAAAATAAAGAAAACAATACAACCTATGTAAAGAACTAGCTGCATCACCTCCTCAGGCACTCTTGGCCCTTGATTCTGGCCATGGAGTGGACAATGGTGACCGATGGGTCAAGACGCTCCCACACCCCCTTCCTCCTTCATATGTTCACACCCAAATGAACAAGCCCATGACAAAACGCGGTAACTGTCCAAAGTAGTAACAACATGTCCTCATTTAAACTCCGCGGGCACACTGTCTCTCTTTTTTCCTTAGAGACGGGGTCTCGCTCTGTCATCCAGGCTGGAGTGCAGGGGCACAGTCATGGCTCACTGCAGCCTCAAACTCCTGGACCAAACTGATCTTCCTGCCTTAGCCTCCGAGTAGCTGGGGTTACGAGCATGTGCCACTGCACCTGGCTAATTTTTTTTATTTTATGTAGAGATAGGGTCTCATTATATTGGCCAGGCTGGTCTAGAACTTCTGGCCTCAGGCAACCCTCCTGCCTTGGCTTCCCAAAGTGCTGCGATTACAGATGTGTGCTACCGCCCCTGGCGTCTCACTTTTTAATGATTAGAAACCATTGTGACAAATGGGACAGTCTTTCATTAGCCCCTAGAGTGCTGGAATCTGGAGTGCCGAGGGAAGGCAACTATGAAGGCTTCTCAACAGATGAGAGGTAGAAGGCAATGAGCAGAGAAAAACAGAGTCACAGGCGCCTTGAGATCTGATGGCTGGCTGGACCTTGGAGACATGTCCTCTTAGATACACACGTGTGTGTTTTGCAGTGAGGAAACTAGACAGGGCCAGAAGGAGTCAGTGGAAGATCCCGGGCACACAGTGTGAAGGGGTTTGCCAGGGAAAAAGGAGCACAAGAGAGGAAAAAACACCGGAGTTTCGAAAGCCACAGCTTTGCGAAAAATGGCAGGCAGAAGTGCAAGAAAGAAAACAGGGACTGGGTACAGTGGCTCACGCCTGTACTCCCAGCACTTTGGGAGGCCAAGGCGGGAGGATCGCGGGAGGATCGCTTGAGCCCAGGAGTTCAAGACCAGCGAGACCTCATCTCTACAAAAAATAAAAAAATTATCTGGACGTGGTGGTGTGTACCTATAAGTTCCAGCTGCTCAGGAGGCTGAGGCAGGAGGATCTTTTGAGCCAGGAGGTTGAGGCTGTAGTGAGCTATGATTGTACCACTGTACTCCCACCTGGGTGACAGAGAGAGACCCTGTCTTAAAAAAAAAAAAAAAAAAAAAAAGAAAAGAAAAGAAAAAGAGAACAGGATATTATTACTTTGTGATTTTCTAAAAGAGTTTTTTAAAGCAGTGTAACATGCTGTGAAGGAGAAAGGTTTGTAAGGGCAAGACCAGTTCCCAGAAAGACGGGACAGAGGGAATCCTGGAAGAATGTGACTGCCAGGTGGGATGGATGACGGTACAGTATGGAAAAGTTCAGTAGAATCACGCGCCTGGGTCAGAGTAGGAGAAAGAGAAGCAGAGGGAGGAAGCTGCAGGGGACTGAGAAATCAGTAACAGGGACTGTCTGTGGTCCCAGTGCTTTGGGAGGCTGAGACAGGAGGATCACTTGAGCCCAGGAGGTCGAGGCTGCAGTAAGCCATGACTGTGCCACTGCACCCTAGCCTGGGCAACAGTGTGAGACTCAGTCTCTAAAAATAAAATAGGGACTCAGGTGAAGGCGGCAAGAAAGGTTGTGGATCCCATTATTCCCCAGAAGTCAAGGGGATCTTCACTGCAGAATCATGAGACCAGAATAGGAGGGGACAAGAGAGGGTGAGGTGTGTGGTTTAAAACCAAAATTGGTATAAAATTGGCACAACTCCTCACTGTGGACCAATGTAAAAAGTGGGAGGGGTTCCAAGCCAAGTGCACAGTTTTAATGTGCATTTATTTTTCCATCCTCCTACCCCATCTGCTCTACAACGAGCCCGGTAATGAAGGCATCCCTTGAGATCCTCATTAACACCAGAGCCATCACCTCTCTGCCCTGACGCAGCCTCTGGTGATGCCCTCTGCCGGGTTCTGCTGAAATACAGATTCCACCTGACCATGTGTGGGGCCCCTCTCTAACCAACCTGCTCCAGAAATCAAGAAGAGACAGCAAGTCTGCATTAAGTGCAAGGCAAACGTCCACTCCGAAGCCCAGAGCAGCTGAAGATCTGCCGTATCTTTTTCAGATGTGGCGGTGTAAGTGTTTACATCAACTAACAGCCAGTGATTCTACATTTAAGTCAAAAACACAGAGCCATGTGGGAGGGGCACTGGAAGCTTGCTGCTGTGTGTCCACACAACCGGTATTAACACAAAGTGGAAAAGAACCCAACTTACTTTCTTCTTCTTCCTTTTTTTTTTTTTTTTTTAATTTTAGAGATGGAGTCTCACTGCATTGCCCAGGCTGGAGTGTACTGGTGCAATTATAGCTTACTGCAGCCTCAACCTCTCAGGCTTAAGTGATCTGATCCTCTCACCTCAGCCTCCCGAGAGCTGGGGCTACAGGTGCGTACCACCACACTGGGCTAATTAAAAAATTGTTTTTTGTAGAAATGCTGTTACACCATGTTGTCCAGGCTGGTCTCAAACTCCTGGGGTCAAGTAGACTTCCTGCCTCGGCCTCCCAAAGTCCTGGGATTACAGGCATGAGCCACTGCACCCTGCCGCGGAATTAATCCCAAATGCCTGAGGGAAATGCATGTTAGCTTCCAATGTGTTCCAAGCTCCTGCAGCTTCCCAGGGCTCTGCTGTTTGGGGGCCGGGCCCAGCAGCTACGTACCTCGTTGATACTGATCTCGGCCTCTACATACTGCAGGCCCTTCTGGAGAATGGAGATGAGGGCGGCCGGTGGCACTAGCGTCCCATTGATGTTGGACTGGCTGATGTGGCTCTCAATCCCAAACGTGAAAGCCGAGTGGGAAAAACCTGTGGCAAGAGGGGAAAGCTGAGGTTGAGTGAGACCCGAATTGAAGGAGGGAGGTGCAGCCATTGAGATCTGAAGGTGGCCCGCAGACTTCAAACACACTTAATTTGCAGGGACAGACACGGCTGCAGAATGCCCAGGGATGCTTCTGATTTGGGTTCAGTAAGGTGGGAAAGGGCAGGGAGAGAGGGAGGGACTTCAGACCCAGGAAGACCAGGATTGGTATGTGATGAAACAAGGGACTTAAATGGTAGAACCGTTTCAGTGTTATTAAGAACAAAGCAGAACAGACAATAGTTTGCCCTGCATGCCCCGGTTGGACATTTCTGTTACTCAAATTTGGCTCCAGGCTCCCCACCAAAACTCCGTGGTTCGTAAGACTGTGCAGAAGCTCATGCTGAAGCCTCTCTGTGTCACCCCCTGAAAGCACACAGGGCACCTTTCTTCAGCCCAAGATGAGGGAACAGCAAACGCTGACCCTGAGTCCTCCTGGCACGCGGGGCAAGTGTATCACAACTCAACAACTGAAGACGGAGAAGAGGCCGTCCTGGACTGACTGGTGTGGCACTGAGTCATTTTCTCAAAACACTGGGAATTTTCTCTTTGCTAATTGATGCTGGCTCTTTTCCTCTCCTCCCCCAGTGCATCTCTTTCACTGCCGCTCTAGGAAGCTGCTATCAATGATGCTTGGCAATTTAAAGGTGTTTTCAGATCAGCTTTGGATGAAGGCTCTTGAATGAAGCTGTTGGGAAGGGGGTCAGGACCGAATACACAGAAAGCCATGCCTTGCTCTTGTGGATGGCGCCTGCTTCAAGGAAAGAAGGCAATGATGCAGGGCATCTATGTGGAGGTCTGGGGGTGATGAGGAAGCTGCGACAGCCCTTCATCAAGGAGAGAGAGGGAGGTGGCATCCCACTGCCAGCAAGCCTAGGCTGCTGCAGGGAGTTTCCTAAAACAGGCAACCCCGCCTGGCAGGGCTGGGTCACTTTGCTTGGTGCAGAGGCGGCCTGAGGGTGCACAGGAGCTTGAAATCCTTGGGAGGTGGACATCATGGGGGGATCTCGTGTGAGGAACATGGACCCCCAGTGCTCGGTTCCTGGCAACAGGTGGGGTGGACACCAAGGCATTCCCATGGTGTGGCTTTCAACTCTCACACTGTTTACAACTTCCATGCATGAGGCAAATGAGCAGGAAGCAGGGAGTTCGGAAAGCAGCCACTCTACCTCCCTGGTTAGACCACTCTGCAGGCTGAGAATCTGCTTATCCCAGGAGGCAGGACTGTCAGCCTTGCTGGACAGGTGCTCCTCTTCCGCCGCCTTTCATTCAGCCAATGAGGGGCAGTGGCAGCCGGCTTCCCTCTGCTTCCGTATCAGTGCCCTTCTGCCTCGCCTTATCCAAATGCAAACTGACCTTGCAATAAACAAAACGCTCACCAGATGGGAATGTTCCTCCAGGAGACGAGCTCTGCGCTGTGCTCTCCTTGCTGCTTTCTTACACTTCACTTTTCTCTGTCTACTCTCCCTCCTCCTCAATCCACCCTCTGTTCTGTCCCCACCGCCAGGTTGTAAAGAACATATCAAATGTGTAGTTGAGATTTATCTAACAGAGTAATAGGGTAGCTGCTATTAATTTTACAATCAATTGCACAGAGCCTTGCATATTTCTTTACAGAACTATAACTGCCTACATTAGGTTCCAAAGGACGCCCTTCCAGGTTCCCCTATCCCCAAGGGTTCCTCCGCCCCTGTGTTTTTGGAGGATATAAGCCAAGGCTGTTTACAACAACCTTACCTTTTCCTTCTAACTTGCTTTCTCTCTATCCACCTTCCTTTTCTCCTACCCACTCCTACCAAAATGAAGCAACCCACCCTTGGGTTCACCAACGACTCTATTCTCTGCCAATGCTATACAGAGTTTTACCTGCAAGCTTTTATCATTGAGGTCTTTGGCAAAGTGTGGAAGAGAAAAACCCCAGTCAATGGATAAAGCGGGACCTCACTGCATTCTTGGCTTGACGATCCACTACATGGAATCTTCCTTATCTACTCTGGGCCACAGTGATTCCTCTCTCATAGACATCATGACTCTCACGGCTGATGGGGGCCACTCACGTGGCTCCTACTAAATGGCTTCAAGCTTCTCAGCATCATTCTGTCACTGCCGCTTTCCCCTTGATCAATCAGTCTCTGAGATCTTTTGAGGGTAACTGACAGCCTCCTGTTGCTCAGTTTGTAGGGGTGGGGCTGAGATCTAAGCCTGGGTGCCAGAAACCACTCTTAGCCACCATGAAACAGTATCTAGAAACATCTACTGAATGCACCAGAATGCAGCATTATGTGCTGATGACGGCACCTGACAAGCAAACCTCATGGCTGATGGAGCAATTGTGGAAGGAAAGTCTCGTGCTCCTGGGACATTTCATTCATCCACTCTGACTCATTCATTCCCGCAAGCAGCACTGGGCCACAGAACTGGTACTTGCAGTCACATGCTCTGTGAAACAGAGCCGATTCTGACCACATTACCATCTTCAACCAAACCTGGGCACTCTGTCCACTACCTCAGTCTTTGTAGCAGCTGTTTGGAGTTGGTACTGTTTTTGTTTCACACATAAGGACAAACATTGGAGACATCAGGTAACCCGCCCAAGGATCATGTGATATGACGCTGAACTAAACTGTGAACCGTAGACTATGTGACTCCGAGATTCCGCTTTTTACTTTACACTCCAAGACCCACCCACAAGCACAGGAACCAAAATTCTTGAATTCCCTGCATGGACACAGACTCCATTTCCACCTGGCTGCTCAGCTAGACCACTGGCAGCTCTGGACAGCAGCCAGCGTGGGTGCAGCTCAGGCAACTCACAAAGAACGGTGTGCAAAGCTCAGTCTAACCCACGGAGGGAGTGTGCCCTTGATTTCTCTCTCATCTGGGTTTTTAATGTTGAGTACATGTTTTGGCTGTATAACTTTATCTCTCTACATGATTATGCTCTCCAACACAGATTTCATTTCTAGATCGTGTGGACAACAGTATCCACATTCAATTAAGTCTTCTTGGAACAAAGAGATGAACCAGTAAAGATGGACTAAGGATGTGGCGTCTGAGACTTCTGCAAAGAGCTGAAAGTCGTCTGCCGAAAGGAATATCCTGTGCAGATGCACAATGACAAATGTGCAGGATAAAGTTCTACAGGGGTACCTCGAAGGTCTTTCATCAGCTTGGGTCCTCTTTTGGAGAGGGTAGGTCATGACTGGAAATTAGGCACCTTCATAAAGACCTGGGAGATGTGCATTCCATGCCATGGTTAACAGAAGTCCTCCTATTTGCTGAAATTTTCACTAGCTGCATTTCTCTGAATGGATCTCTACATGGCCTCTAGAGCAATGGTTTTTCAGTCCATTTGCTTGCAAGATTTTCTTACTGATTTCTGGCCATGTGGTCTCATGAAGGCAAGCAGGAGGGCTGGATGGAGAAAATGTCAGCAGCAGGCAGGATGGCTGGGTTCTGTCCTCGTTCTGCCACTGGTGCCTGGCCCATGTCGCTTCATTTGGCTGGGCCTGCATTTCCTCCTCTGTGATATAGGGATAAAAAGTACCTTGAGGTGCTGATGAGACACATAGATGGGACAGCAGCCAGACCCCCAACACATTTGATGGAGAGGAGACCACAGTGAGTGGAAAGGTTGCTGTCCCAGCTTTCCTTGTTGGAACAATAAGGATGTCAGATGAAATGGCTGCTAGGATATTTGCTAGTTCTGATATTCATTCTGGGACAGGAAGATGCCTGCTACGTTCTGAATGTTTGTGTCCCCCCCAGATTTGTATGTGGGAGACAAATCCCCAAAGTGACGGTATTAAGGGGTGGGGCCTTCAGGAAGCAATTAAATCATGAGGGATCCACTCTCGTGAATGGGATCAGTGTCCCTATAAAAGAGGCTCAAGCAAGCTCCCCTGCACCTTCCACCATGTGAAGACACAGAAGGAGCCATCCATGTGAAACAGGACCTCACCAGACACCAAATCTGCTGGCGTCTTGATCTTGGACTTCCCAGCCTCCAGGACTGTGAGCAATACACTTTGGTTGTATATAAATTACCCAGTCTAAGGTGTTGGTTATAGCCCATACTAACTAAGACAATGCCCAAGGACTATGTACTAGAGGCTGCTTGACCACTTCCTCTTAGGCCACAGTTGCCAGAACCAGGTGCCAGGGTGCTGCGGAAGGTAATGCCTGCCTCCACACCTGCCAGCATCTCACCCCTCCCACTTGGACTCCAGGGCTAATGGGCACATTCATATGCAGTCTGCCAGAGTGGTGAGACTTCGGTGCCTTGTGCCTCCTCAGCTTTCCCGCATCTCTGAACACATCTCTTCTGCCCAACAAGACATCCGTAGGAACAAAGACCAGAATGTCAATGATAAACGAAGCACCAAGGACTGCCCCTGCGGCAGGTGCAGAAGTAGTTAAAGGGCAGGAGAACAAAGAGCTTGGTGGTACCTCGATGAAAGATCGTGTGAGGGTGATGGGTTAGTGTCCTTGGTGTCACCAGTAGGCTAGCCTAGAGACATTCCTGAAGACGCTAGGCTTGCCACCTACTTAGGAGGCGTATTCCTGATGAATCTCTTGACAGCAGGGCTTCTCAAGCACAGCATGGCTGACTTTTAGGCTGGCTCATTCCTTGCTGTGGGGGACACAGTCCCATGCATTGTACGATGTTGAGCAGCACCCCCGGCCTCTACCCACTAGATGCCAGTAGCACACTCCCATTGTAACAACCAAAAATGTTTCCAATATTGTCCCATCAACCCCACCATGGTTGGGGAATTGACACCCTGAAAGGCCACTACCCCCAGCTCTACTCTCCTTACATTTCTGCTTGGTTCTTGGTTGTTGCTATTGAAAAGCAAGCCACCCTCTGCATGCAATTGGTCATAGACCTTAGATAACATAACACACAGTAACAGAGCATAACCAGATGAGGTAAAATTATTCCCAGGGAGAAAAAAAAGAGTATAATCATGATAAACTGAAAGGCTTACACAAAGGATGACATTTTATAAAGGATGGTAGGATCTTCCATGTAAAGTCCTGTCCATTTGGAATAAAACGTGTAATAGTCTCACAAGAGAGGAAACAGTCTGTATAAGAATTTGTCTCATCTAACTAGGCAACATAAACATTTAAAACAAACCAAGTACATGTATTGCGTTTCTTGCAATTATGACACTGCTAAACCACACCCCTCACAAATGACTTCACAAACCATTTGAGTTATACAGTGTACTACTATGCTCAGCTAATGTTGGCCTGATTCATCAGCAAAATCTGCTAAGTTATCAATCACTGGCCTTTAGAAATACTGCTTATTTGGCAGAGAAAAGTAGAATTTAATACTCAGGCAGCTGTGGAGTTGGTTTTGCATCTTCAGCTAAAACAAATACCAAGGGTATCAATTTGTAACATTAAAACTGGAATTTTTATTAAGTATTTAACAGACTCACATACTTGTAATACTTACAGCTATCCAAAGCTGAGGGACACCATCTGCTATCTGTGCATTGCCTAGATCATGGGCTTGCAAACTGAGGCCCACAGACCAAGTCTGGCTCACTGCCAGTGTGTGTAAATAAAGTTTTATTGAGATACAACCACACCCATGAGTTGATGTGTTGTCTATGGCTATTTTCACACTACAATGGGAGAGTTGAGTAGGTGCAACAGAGACCACATGGCTCATAAAGCTGAGGATATTTACTATCTGCTCCTCTACAGGAAAAGTGTGCTGACCTGATTTTATATACAGTTGACTCTCCATATCCGATAGTTCTGCGTCCACCAAATCAACCAACCACAGATCAAAAATATCCAGAAAAAAACAACAAAAAACAATATGATGATAATAATACGAATAAAAAACCACTGCAATATAACAAACACACTTTACTTCAGCCTGGGAGACAAAGTGATACACCAGTCTTGAGAGCAAAGGAAAGAAACAGAAGAGAAGAAAGAAGGAAGGACCATATTGGATGCAATGACATAAGAATTTGGTACCATTTCTTAGGCTTATGGGGAGAACACATTTAACCAGGTGCTCCAAGGCCTGGATCTGCCCCCTAACAGTTTCCCCAGCTCCCTTTTCTGACCCATGGACAGGTGGAATTCAATGATCTACAAGGTCCCTTTCAATTCTAAAATCCTATGTAGAGAAAATAAATTACCTTACAGTGCCAACAAAACCTGAAGGGTTTTAATTTATGGAGGTGACTGAGTGACAACACAAAGAGGCTAATGCCATTGAAAGAATTTATTACTCAGTTCCCAAGGAAGGGAGTATGCTGGGGCGTGCCACACCATGCCACACAGGGCAACAAGAAACCTTATCACACACAGGGACCGAGAAGCTGAGAAAGAGAGAGGGAGGAACTAGGAGTGTACCTTTATGACTACAGTAGTCGGGGAGTAAAGGGGTGGGGATATCCCTTATTGGATAGGAAGTGAAAATACATGTCAGAATTTGTGGCTGGGAGTTTCATAATATGATTTTGGCACGCCTGCAAAAGCCACCTTATGAGAGGTAAACAACTTTGGTTGTTGGTCTAGCTCTATGATCAATGGATACCAAACAGCCACTGGTTAACACACTTGTCCAATCTAGTAGGCTAAAGAGAAGGGGTTTTACAATACAGTCATTATGAAACCAAAACGTATATGTAGCACTTCCTTTTGTTTCTGCAAATGCTGACAGTTTTCCAACCTCCTTATTCATAGCGGAGTCAGCACAGCTTCTCCTCAGTCAATATTTCCTGGATCATAAAGGTTTCTCCAGCAGGACTGCAGCTGCCTGGAAAGCTGCCCACTTTCCTCTCAGTGCTGGGACAAGGTGGTGGAGGTGGGGAGGGTGTGATAAAAATAAAGATGCGAGAGAGGCCAAGGATGAGGAAGTGGGAGCCGGGATGAAAAATCAAATGGTGAAGAAAACACAGACACACACGCACACTCTCACGGAGTTAGGAACAGTAAACAGAAAAGGCGAGGGAATTAGAAATCCTATCTTCATCTGTGGGGCGAATTCACTACCAGTTCCCTTCACTTCAACAATGATGGATTAGTCTCACCAGAGGATTACATTTTCTGCCCAAGAAGCAGTTCTTATCATATGTAAACTCCAATTACATCCATGGTAAAAAGAAAAAAAAATATGCTGGGGAGAATTCTTTTTGCCTTTGCAGTCTATATCACTGAACGTGTTCATATCAGCTTTCCATTTTAATGTGTTTATATGAAAAAAACCCTCAAGGCCCAGTCCTCAACTCCCATCCTAACCTCCAACAACATTTTGCTACAGAAAACAGAGTGCAGTGAGAACATTTTTATGCGCTGCAGACCTGTTTGAGATGACCCACCATAACATGGAATTTAGCGTAAAATGAAGCTGCCTCGGACGGCGTCCAAAAGAAATACCAGAAGGATCTCGTTAAAATACGGTTTTGCCATAACATCTGGCCTGGACCCCAAGGGTGGTGGCTGAATACAGCTCAGGCCGCTGACAAGCGCAGACCAGGCACCCTTGCCAAGACTATTTTCATATCCTCTAGATGTGGGGAGCATCCAGGAGGGAAAAGCATTACTCAGGCCATAAACTCATGTGGCTACTTCCTCCCAGGGCAATGGCGGGCTAGGACAACGAGACAACCTTGGACGGGCCTCGGCTAGGGTAGGGGGTGCTGCTTCCTGGAAATGCTCACAGAGAATTGTAGTGGAGGTGATGCCAGGAGAAGCCTCAGCTCCTGCTGCAAGTCAGCTACTAGGAAGAGCTAGGTGCAGAGACGCTCATGTCCTCCAGCCCTACAGTGTGGTCTCCAGCACCTTGGAACACTCATGAATTCTGGATTCAATATTTGGAAATTGGAAGACAGCATGAATGCTAAACCAGAGATTTACGACGGATAGCACCATTGCAAATCACACTCAAACAAAAGTCAAGATATGACTTTGGGAATATAAGAGAAAGCAATTTGGAAGATGGAGAAATTAACTCACATTGTTAAACAATCAACACAACTCCTGTTCTCACATTGGGGGATTTCTTCCAGTCCCTTTTCTCTATGTATCTTAATTACTTTCTTCTTTTTTTTTTTTTTTTTGAGACAGAGTTGCATTCTTGTCACCCAGGCTGGAGTGCAATGGCATGATCTCGGCTCACTGCAACCTCCGCCTCGCAGGTTCAAGCGATTCTCCTGCCTCAGCCTCTCGAATAGCTGGGATTACAGGCGCATGCCACCACGCCCAGGTAATTTTTGTATTTTTAGTAGAAATGGGGTTTCATTTCATGTTAGCCAGGCTGGTCTCGAACTCCTGACCTCAGGTGATCCACCTGCCTCGGCCTCCCAAAGTGCTGGGATTACTTGCTGGGCGTGAGCTACCGCGCCTGGCCTGTGCGTCTTAATTTCTATGTATAATCATCATGGTCACAGAATATTGTATCCCTGTTCTCTTTTACCTAGCACACTATAAGCATTTTCCCTGGTTGCTGGTTGGTTTTGACAGCCACCTCTGTGGTTACTAATTTTTCACCAAGCAGGCAGGTCATCCTTTACTCACACTACATCCAGTTTTATCTTTCAACAATGAATCAACGGCTTCTAACTGGACAGGTTCCCGTGTCTCAGCTGGTGTTAATGTGCCACTAACCCTACTTGCCAGCATCTTTTCCTCCTTCCTGCCATCATGTGTCCTAGGTCCGCATCACCAAGATGGCGCATTCTCCTCAAAAATGCTGGGGTTTGCTCTTTATTTTTCTTGAAGTGCTCTTCTTACTTTGCCTAAAAACTTCTGGTTCAAATCCAGCTCAGATAGCACTCTATGCCCTTTCTCAAGCTGCTGGAGAAAAGGTGACAACTGCTGCATTCAAGTACTCTCTTGTGGCCTCCACATTTCTGACGGTACTCAAAATAATTTTAAGTAGCGTGAGGGCAAATGTTTGAAATTTAATAGCTATTTAAATGTATGTTATGCGAACAATAGAACTAAATGAAACTCGTAAACTAACAGGTATTGGTATATCTAATAAAAAGCAACTGTTTCAATTTAAGAAAATACTCCAGGTGTATGCAAATATGGTGAAAATTCAGATAACGAGCAAAGAACTAAGATTGGCACTGGGTGTGGTGGCTTATGCCTGTAATCCCAGCACTTTGCAAGGTCGAGGTGGAAGGATCATTTGAAGCCAGGGGTTCAACACCAGACTGGGCAACAAAATGAGACCCCATCTTTACAAAAAATAAAAATAATTAGTTGAGTGTGGTGGCCCGTGCCTGCACTCACAGCTACTGGGGGGGGGGGGGGGGGGGGGGGGCTGAGGCGGGAGGATCATTTGTGCCCAGGAGGCTGAGGCTACGGTGAGCCATGATTGTGCCACTGCACTCCAGCCTGGCCAACAGAGAGAGACTCTGTCTTTAAAAAACAATAAATAGGTCAGGCGCAGTGACTCACACTTGTAATCCCAGCACTTTTTTGGAGGCGAAGGTGGGTGAATCGCTTGAGCCCAGGAGTTCGAGACTAGTCTGGGCAACATGGTGAAACACTGCCACTATAAAAACTACGAAAAATTAGCTGGGTGTGGTAGCACATTCCTGTGGTCCCAGCTACTTGGGGAGACTGAGGTGGGAGGACTGCTTGAGCCCAGGAGGCTGAGGCTGCAGTGAGGCAAGATCATGCCACTGCATTCCAGCCTGGGCAATGCAGTGAGACCCTGTCCCACACATGAAATATATATCGGGCGGGGGGAGGAGGGCAGGCAGCCCCTTCTCTGCTGCGCTGCTCATTGCAACCTTAATTCATATTTTCATACTTGCTCTAATAAAACTGCCACTTTTAAAAATTAAAAATATATGTATTATCTTAATTGTTGTATTGTTATTTTTGTTTTTTCCAATGTATTATTTTTCCAATTTATTATTATTATTATTTCTGAGAAAGAATTTCGCTCATTGCCCAGGCTGGAGTGCAAGTGCACGATCTCAGCTCACTGCAACCTCTGCCTCCCGGGTTCAAGTGATTCTCCTGCCTCAGCCTCCCAAGTAACTGGGATTACAGGCATGCACCACTATGCCCAGCTAATTTTGTAGTTTTAGTAGAGATGGGGTTTCACTATGTTGGACAGGCTGGTCTCAAACTCCTGACCTCAGGTGATCCACCCACCTCGGCCTCCCAAAGTGCTGGGATTACTACAGGCGTGAGCCACCGCACCTAGCCCCCAATTTATTTTTGAGTCACAGTTGGTTGAATTTGTGGATGGGGAACCTGAGGATATGGAGGGCCAACTGTATTTGAAAGCATCACGTAGCACATGATAGCTATATATACATATATACATATGCATCTATAGGTAGATATAGATACACATATATAATTTTTATTACATTATTTTCAATGAATGTTGAATAAATGAAAAAATGAGAAAGATTCCAAAGCCAGATGGATGGTGTTCTGAATCCCAGCTGTATGACCTCCTTGAAGTGACTTGGGTAGGCCAGGACCTTCTCAGTACCTTGGGTTTCTCATCTGTAAATGAGGATGGAGCTGTTTCTACTTCCTAGGGATTGGTAGGAATAAACAGTTTCATCTGTCAATATTTAGAATCATGCCTGGCACACAGCAAGTGCTTGACAAATGTGAGATATTGTTACTACAACAAAACAGTGATGGGGGGATAGAGGTAACACTGACAAGGGTAGGATATCTGGGTGCCAGGTGGTGGGGAGGGAACTGAAGACAAGGAGGCAGTAGGAAAGATAACATGGAAAAAAATGTTTGAACACAATCCTGATGTTTTTCTACTAAACAGTGCTAATTCTGAATGCTTCTCTCCGCCCTTCTAAATTCATATATTGAAATCTAACCCCCAAGGGGATGGCATTAGGAGGTGGGGCCTTTGGGAGGTGATGAGGGTGGAGCCCTCATGAATGGGATGAGTGTCCTTATACAAGAGACCCCAGAGAGCTCCCTTGCCTCTTCCACCACGTGAGGACACAGGGAGAAGGCGCCATCTATGAACCAGGAAGCGGGTCCCCACCAGACACTGAATCTCCCACACCTTGATGTTGGACTCCCAGCCTGCAGAAATGTGAGAAAAAAATCTCTGTTGTTTATGGTATTTTGTCATAGCAGCTCGAATGGACTAAGGCAAAGAGTGACATAATCACAGGATAGAGGAAGCTTGTCTTTGAAGTGGACAGACTGTGGTAGGGAAATGGTGATGGTACCAAGTGTGGGTTTACATTAAAGAGTGCTCGTGAAGTGTCATTCAAAATATCAGTATGGATGGCAATGGAGAAGTTGGGGATACACACCGTGACTTGGAGGGGAGGAGTCACTGGAGAGATTGGGAGTGGACACTCAGACTTGGGGGATCAGCAGAGAGACTGGGGATGGGACTCAGACTTCAGGAGGAAGAGAGTGACATATTACTACAGGCACAGATGTGGGAGGGTAAAAAGAACATCATCTTGAGGACAGTAGTAGTTGAGAAGTGAACGGAGAAGGAGGCACCAGCAAAGGGATGTACAGAGACTTCGGGGAAGAGGGACAGTGTTGTGTCTGACAGTCCAGACAACTCGCTTGCTGTTCGGTCTGGAAAGCAAGAAAGGGAATAGAATTTGGCATAAAACATATCAATGCTGGGCACTTTTAAGGTCACAGTAGAATTTCAGAGCAGGCAAGTCTTGAATGTAACGGTGAATAAACTCGGAAGACAGGCACCTTGGTGAGTGGCTATTTCATCTTATCTAAAACAGGAAATGTGGACTCTCTTAGACATTTTCACATCGTCACCAATTTTTAAAGTAGGAAGTGAAATTTAAGGCTTATGTGCATCTTCAACAGAATCTGACCATTTTTGTGGGTGTCAATACCAATGGAGAATTTTTGACTACACTGAACAAGATGTATACTTAAACAACTGTAATTTATAAATACTCAACTGATTTTCATTCTAATTGCTTTTTCTCCCTGTAACAAATTAATGAGCATAAGAATGGCAAGTCTTAATTTAGAACAATAAACTTAGAAAAGATCGTACAACTGAAACTGCACTGGAACCAGGAGAGTGGAATGGTTATGAACATCTGGAATGTAAGAACTTCTGGATTCCTGCATTTTGCTACTGTAAATGGTTATAATCACACCAAGAGAACAGTTTAGCAAAACAGTCTTTTCAAACAGTTTGTTTGCAACTAGCACAGTTATGAGAGGGTTGGTAATTGAACAATTAGCCCCTTCATAACCTCCCATGTGAGCAGAGGCTCTGCAAACCTACACCACTGTATTTAGCAAAGGGAGAATGGACATACTTGGTGGAGGAGGATCAATTGTTCATGCCACACAGCTGGCCAGGGTGATGTGCTATTCTTTTCTATATGAAAGGCCTGGGTATCACGTTCTCCAGCTACTTACCCACTCCTACACATTCTTAGAAATTAGTTTTTATCATTGACATCTAACAAATGCATAAATGCACCAACGACAGATACAGAACCTCACCCAGATTTCCATGTGGCCTGGGCCTGAAGTGGTGTGGATAGCCTTGTATTCTCCTATTTTCCTTCTGAACCCCTCGGCATGGGCCGCATGCCCACAGGAATGGCCCCCAAATAAAAACCCTGAGCGCCAAGGTTCAGGTGAGCTTCCCTGGCTGGCCACTCTCCCGCACATGGCCAATCATATATTCTTCTGGGAGAATTAACAGCTTCTCTGTAACTCCACTGGGGGTGGCCACCTGCAAGGTTGTGCCTAGTTTCACCTGGACTTCGTGCCTTATGCCTTTTCCCCTTGCTGATTTTCATCTGTATTATTTCACTGTAATAAACCGTAAGTGTGGCAGGTACTGAGTCCTGTGAGCCCTTCCAGCAAACCACTGGGCCTGAGGGTGGTCTTGGGGGGTCCCAACATACCAGCAAAATGTGCTGCTCTCACTTAATGAGATCACATCAAAGCATGAGACATTACTGTTTTGCAGAGTTTCAGGGTACTTTCATCCTCTACTAATGTGGACATTTTATTCAGGTCTTCCTTATTTTATTATTTGATGAAACTAATGTTTTCCTTTATTATTCCTAAAGCAAAGACTGCCAACACCTCAAAGAAATGCTGGCCTTCACTGTTTCATAAAGATTCTTTTTTTAAACATGGATACACATTAGCAATGTAAAAGAGCCGCTGCAGTCAAAAAATATTTTTAGAGACTCAGCTGAACAATAAGCCCTGAACTTTTGTTTAAATTAAGATAGCTGAACCATTAAAATGATTTCCTGAATCCATGGAAACGTGTCTTGCATAAGAAGGCATTCCATGGCCCTAGGAAACACAGTGGAGTCTACAGAGTAATTTGTCAGCTGCTAGGATTACAGTGGGCAAAGCCACTTAATCATTTTTGTAGATGCAATTATTCACAAATATTAAGAGTAATGTAACCACCCAATGGATTCCCCTTGCCTGCTGCCTAGACAGAGCTGATTTATCAAGACAGGGGAATTGTAATAAAGAGTTTAATTCATGCAGAGCCGGCTGTACGGGAGACTGGAGTTTTATTAGTACTCAAATCAAGTCTCTCCGAAGGCTTAGAGATTAGGGTTTTTAAAGATAGTTTGGTGAGCAGTGGGGTGGGGTAGGGAGCATCCTGACTGGTTGGGTTGGAGATGAAATCATAGGGAATTGTAGCTGTCCTCTTATGCTGAGTCATTCCTCAGTAGGGGGGGCCACAGGACCGGTTGTTCGCAGGTCCAAGTGGGGCAATCTGGTTGTCAGAAATGCGAACACCTGAAAAGACATCTCAAAGGCCAATCTTAGGTTCTACAACAGTGATGCTATCTTCAAGGGGAAGATGCAAATCTTGACTGCCGGCATAATGGCAAATTATTATGGCATAATGGCATAATGGTAAATTATTTAGAATTCAAGCCCCTCTCATCCTAATTTGGTAGCCTTTCATTAGTTTTACAACAACATTTAGTTTGGGGGAAGGACTATTATCATTGAAACTATAAACTAAATTTTTCCCCCAGGTTAGCTTGGCCAGGAATGAGCAAAGACAGTCAACCTGTGAGCTAGAAGCAAGACAGTCAGCCAGGTCAGTTTTCTCTCACTGTCAACATGTTCTCAGTTATAATTTTTGCAAAGGTGGTTTCAATCCCTCCCTTTGGGTTTTATAACACCTTATTCTTAAGGTGTGGGCTATGAAGATGGAAAAAGAAGAGACGACTGCCCTAACTTCTTCCTGCTGACAGTGGGCATAGTGGGTGTAGCTGCAGACCCCAAGGTAAAAGGAGTGGAACCCCTTTGCAGCTGTCTGCATGTACTCACATGTGCCTGGTTGGGGTTTCAGGGCTTGCATGACAAAGGCATTAGGATGGTCATCTGTAGTTTTGGCACAGCATTGAAGTGAACAGTGAGCTATAAGGTCCTAGGATAAAGAGTGGAAGTCCTAGCTTCCGAAGCCTTTGTAGACTGGACCTTAAGCTCTGAGGGACCCAGGTGAACATCTCTGAGAACCAATCAGACATGGGGCGGCTAGCAGAGAGATTTGGGCCAGTGGTTGTTAGACAGACAGATTGGGATGGACAGGAAAGAACACATTTTACATATATCATCCCATATTCTTTTTAGGTCAGTTTCCTAGTCCTGAGACTAGATGTTTAATTAAACAGCTGTTTCCCATATCAGGAGGTGGCAATGCAGGTGGGTTAGGCCTCTTTCGTTATAGATGAGGCAGGCAGTGAAAATCTGAAACGTTTTTGTCGCCTATATTACGAGGAATAAGCTTCAGCTTGCAGGGCCTCAGGAACAAGGTAGTAGCATTTTACTGAGTCCAAGTTAGAAAAGTGGAAGAAAAATTTGAAAGCATTAGTTTGGGGACTTGTAGCCCACAAAGAATTCAGTGTTAACAGAAGATAATGAAAACTCAAGAAGTTTATAGTTTTTTGAAACATAATTTTTCTCTCTCTAGTCCCCATTTTTATTAAAGACAAATCATAGTAAGACAAATTTACTTGCAAAATAAGTCTTAGTCTTATTATGCTTGGACTGATTATTTGTATAAAGTGCAGCAAGAAGAATTATTTGCCATAATAGGCTCTTTCCTCCACCCAAGGTCTCAAGATAACTTGGGGCTCCCTAGGCCCGCCAGAAAATGACATTCTTTACTTACCACAAGTCAGGAACCCTGTACAGAAACCGCACAAGGTATGAGGCGTTTTCCTGAGGGGCTTTTGTTGGCTCTGTAAGTCAACTTTGATTCCTTAAAGCAGTCTGTTTATATTTGAATGCATGCCATTCCAGTCAAAGCCTTGGTAAAATAACCAGTGTTTCTAATTCTGTTCTGTTACAAAAGAGAACAGATTCTTACTGCACTTATGCAAATAACTATACTGCCATAAGTTGAGAATACTCAAATAGTTTCTATAAATTCTGCAGAAATCAGGTAGAGAAAAAGTAACATGCTCCAAATTTTGCTCACAGTAAATTTTGCACAAGTTTATCTTATTCAATTGCTAAAAGTGGTAAACAGCTAAAAAGAAAACATTTTCTTGATTCTGAATAACAAAGGGATTAGCAATGTTTAACACATCAGCTCTCCACGAGAGTCCCAAAAGTTTTTTTTTTTTTTTCCTATTCCAATGGCACAATTTCTAAACTTATCAGAGACCCGCATTCAAGAGTACCTGTCAGAGTCCTATAGCTGAATATAACAACTGCCTTCTGAAAAGGAGCAACACAAGACAATAATTGTCTATGGATGACACAAGTCTCAGGACAGCCATAAAGATGCAATCAACAAGGAATTCTGGTCGTCTCTGTGACACACAACAATTTAACATAACAATTATAATTATTAATGATAACATACACTGAAACATCAGAATTATAGGAATCTTACACAAGTTTGTAACACATACTAATAACATATTTATATGAATATAACCCAAAGAAAGTTAAACACCATTTTATATTTGACAATGCTTCCTGCATGGTTTTAATATATTGAATAAGCCAAATATATCTCTTTTGGACTTTAGGTGTCCTAATTTTTTTTTAAAACATAACCTAGAATTTGATCTTGGCAAGTTTGTCAAATATCAAAGGTTTAAAACATTAGATATTACAAAATAGAATCCCAGGTCACCATACCTAAGTCATTCATTTAGCCAAAATGATAACTCAAAAATTTTACGAAGGAAAAAATCTTTACTTTGATAGGAGCCTCAGCTTTCCAAACAACAGGACCCAATGAAGACAGCATGAAGCCAACTGAATCTCTTTCCTTTCCCCTCTTCCTTTTCCCTGCCATTTACTCAAAGGGGCAAACAAAAACCTTTTGTATCCCTTAATATTACACGAAAATCTTGTTTAAAAGAAAAAGCAAAATTTCACCTTTGCATTTGTGTACTATTAATGTTAAACCCAATTCTTAATAAAACCTTATAAACAAATCTATATAATCTTAATTCGTTTGACCATCAGGTAAAATTTTCAAAAACCTTTTAAAACCCTTTATAATTTTCTGTTAAACAGCTGATTAATTTCCTAAGAAAACCATTATTCAGACACATGGGCCCAGATTTGAGCCCTGTATCAGTGTGCTTTTATTTTAATGTTTAATTTACCAAAAACTGAAATAATCTCCTTCAAATCTTAGCCAACTTCCTCATACACACAGAACTTCCTTTACAAGATCAATCCTTCACAAACCCTTTATAGCTTGTTCTTTTTGGGGGTAGGGGGGAACGGAGTCTCGCTCTGTCACCCAGGCTGGAGTGCAGTGGCCGATCTCAGCTCACTGCAAGCTCCTCCTCCCGGGTTCACACCATTCTCCTGCCTCAGCCTCCCAAGTAGCTGGAACTACAGGCGCCCGCCACCACGCCCAGCTAATTTTTGTATTTTTAGTAGAGGCGAGGTTTCACCATGTTAGCCAGGATGGTCTCCATCTCCTGACCTTGTGATCCTCCCGCTTGTTTAAACTTGCAGTTTTGTCTTATCGCTCTTTTAGGTTAAGACGATCCTTAAAATCCCCTGAACTAGACAACATTACCTTCCCTTTAACAAAAACCGTATTTCCATACCTTCTTATAACATTTTACCAAAAATACATTCTATTTTCCTTGTATACCTTATAAGTAAAATTGTTTCTCCAGTATATTACAATGTTAATTCTCAGTAGCTTTAATTTGTGGTGTAATATCTGATAGGTAAGCAATTTTAACCATGTATTAGATTATAGAGCCCAGGACAAAGACAGAGCTGCAGACAATGTCTGACTCTTCCCAGCCTAGCTAGGGCACCTGGCTAATTCCACGTGTCCCCAGGCCTTATCTAGAATCCAATGGCTGTAAAACAGACAAGTCAAACAATTATTAAAAATCACAGAAGCAGTTTATGGGCTTAAAGCATCTAGCAAACAGTATCTGACCTGCCTAATTTAGACCAAATGTATAAATGTTGAAGACATTTTACTTTACCAATAATATTTTAAATTGCCTTTATTTTTCAAAGATTAGAGTCACGTGACCTAAATGCATTAATGTTTCTATTTTTCTGACAATTTTTTTTTAGCACTTTTTTTCTTTAAAAGTCAACTAATAGGAACATTAACATGTTTTATATAAACATCACACACACAACACATATAAATACACAGACAGAAGGGGATCCGGTAGTTATATGATTTTTTTATCTTTCAATTTTTAAGTTTCTTCATTGGATTACTGGCTTCAGGGTGGAGCCCTTATAGAAACAGAGCCAGGAGAGCATGTAGTTTCTAGGGCCTAATAAGCAGGCATAGCTGGAAGGCAAAAACAGATCCCCCAAATTAAGGGTCCCATTTTTATATGACATCTTGGATCCCCAAAAAGAGGGGAATGCAATGGGAGAAGAGAGTGCAATGCTTTTACCCTGCATTCCACTGCAAGGCAATCCAAAGCCAATCAGCCCATCCCCCAAGGGAGTCTCATCTCTCAGTGTGGGGTAGAAATATTTCCATACCTTCTAGGTGGCTGACAGCATGCTTCTCTAATCCAAAAGTGCAAAGAGCTGAGTATCCTTCCATAACTCCATTAGCCATCCCTTAAAGTATATTTCCTACCTAGTTATTACACACACAGGCTAAAAGCTCTTCTTCCTGCAAAGTAATTTCTGATACCTCCCAAAGTCAAAATACATCAGGTAACACGGAACAGAGCCTTAGATTTTGAGAGGGATCTAGCCTCCTTCAATTCCTGGGGTTCCATGAGGAAAACGTAGGTTTTTCTCAAAACAGGGTATGTGGCACCTCCTGTGTTTTTCCCAAGGAGTCCCGGGCTGTCAGAAATTACTTTAGGTCCTCTCATGTGGGCATCAAGAGTGGCAAGAAAACAGACTGGGGAAATAATTCAGCTGACTAAGAAGAAAAACAAAGAAAAATTTTTCTTAAACAAGATCCAAGAAGCGAAAAAGCACCAAGGCCTTTTATATATATATATATATATATATATATATATATATATATATATATATATAGCTTGAATATCAGTTTTTAATTAAGTTGATTTTAACCAGGAATGAGCAAAGACAGCCAGCCTGTGAAGCTAGAGACAAGATGGAGTCAGCCATGTCAGATTTCTCTCACTGTCATAATTTCTTCCGTTACAATATTTGCAAAGGCAGTTTCAGTAACACCCTTTTCCGGGTTAACTAACTTACTCACCAGGAGCCAAGCCAAAAAAGAAAAATCAAATGGAAAGTCTGCTACTCTCAATTATTTTATTATCTGCCAGAGAATGCTTTTGGCAGACTTTCTCCTTCCTCAAGGGAAAAAATACCTGCAAAATTTTAATAATAACAAGGACTGCATTTTGCTTGCCGTGAACGTCTATTTGAGTTCTGCAGGTAAGGGAATCAAAATGAAGCCCAAGGAGAACACAAGATGAAGGGCAAAGAAATCAGAATGCCATTAAAACTCCATTTCCCAAGAAAAACCAGTTGGAAGGAAAAAAAAATCCTACAACTAAAGGATATGAATCAGTGCTTCTTAACTGACATTGATTTTACCCACCAGGGGACATTTGACAAATGTCTTCCCACTCTCTCTCCATTGTAATAGAGAGTGGGCAAATGTTAGGGATGCTGCTGAACATCCTATAGTATTCAGGACAGTCCCCCCAAGATGAAGAACAATCCAGCCGCCATTGTCAATAGTGCCAAGGCCAAGAAACCCTGATCTCAATGAATGGGCTGAAAATGTTGAGTTAATGCATTATATGTTGTGGCCATTCACAACATCTTCAGAAGTTAAGACCCTCAAATCTGCCCACTTCTCTCAGGCTGAACACATAAATCTAACAGAATCCTCCACACTGAAGGTTCTAAGTGGATATTGTAAAAGCATTCTAAGACTCACTGGTAAATGAGCAGGGAAGAAGCCATGCACCGACTTTTTCCCCCAGTAAAAATGCAGCCCACCCAGAAACGACAGTCCCCAGTCTGCAAACATTCAAGCAATGTCCGTATGACAAATGCTGTTTGCTTCCAGCTGATTCTTCTGTTTCCAACGGCCCCACAGTGTCTGTGTGGCCATCCATTTCTCAGTTAATAGGGCTGCCACTCGAATCCATTACACAAGAGAGTACCCCCACCCAGCCCTAGGCCTGCAATATGGCTAATGACCTGCGAAATATAATAAAAATGTCTTGGCTGCCTTTGCATTATGGACCACCATCTATCACACACACAAAGCTTTGCAGACAATAGAAACATTGAATTACATTTTTGGTATAGTCTTTTTTACAATTAAATAATTCTGCAATTACTATGGACTCAGGGGAAACTGCAAAACTAGTGAAGTGCTGTGCACCTTTCATCCTGTCTCCTCCCATCTAGGCATCTTACACTACTGTCAAAGAGGATCAACACCACTAAGTAGGAGGCAGGACGGAAATGCTCACTGGAACACAAACTATCGTCATCCTTTCTGCACTGCATTCACTGGTTGTGTACGTATAATCTATGCAGTTTGATCCTACGTGTAGATCTGTGGAACTGTGTCTCTGGTCAAGGTACCAAACTCTTCATTCAACACAAAAGAACTCTCCTATAACCTTCCTTTGTACGCACGTGCTCCCATCCCTACTCCAGATCTGTAGCAGCCACTGATCTGGTGTCCACCTGTATATTTTCAGCACTTTAAGCAGGTCCTATAAATGGAATCATATAGTCTGCAATCTTCTTCCTTTTTTTTTTTTTTTTTTTTGAGACAGAATCTCGCTCTGTCGCCCAGGCTGGAGTGCAGCTGTGCAATTTCGGCTCACAGCAACCTCCACCTCCTGGGTTCCAGCGTTTCTCCTGCCTCAGCCTCCAGAGTAGCTGGGACTACTGGCATGTGCCACCACGCCTGGCTAATTTTTTTGTATTTTTAGTAGAGATGGGGTTTCACCATATTGGCCAGGCTGGTCTCAAACTCCTGATCTCAAGTGATCTGCCCACCTAGGCTTCCTAAAGTGCCGGGATTACAGGCATGAGCCACCGCACCTGGCCCAGTCTGCAATCTTCTGACGTGGCCTGTTCTACTCGGCACATTTCTCTGGGGGTTCCTCCAGCTTGCTGTGCCTACCCACAACTCCTTCCTTTTCACAGCTGAGTGGTGCTCCACGGCACAGGCATGCCACAGCTTGCTTCAACTACGCCCACTGATGGACACTGGCCATATGTCCAGAATATTGCTATTATAAATAAGCCACTGTTTTCTGTTTTTTAAATAACTGGATTTTGTCAGACACCAATGTAGCTTACAAATGATACTAGCTGTGCCAGGGATTTGCCCCAAACACTTATATGGGACTATGAAAAAGCCCTTATCATGTAATATTAGTAATATTAATATTACTGTGAATACAGGTGGTTCTCTCTTCCCTTTGAGACTAATTTTCTAAACTCTGAAAAACAATCTACACATGGAACTTCTCACCTATAATACCATGACCTCCCCCTAAAATCGTGGTAAAATATATATAACATAAAATATATCATGCTAACCATTTTTAAAAAAAATTTTTAAGAGACAGGGTCTCACTCTTTTGTCCAGGCTGGAATGCAATGGTGTGATCATAACTCACTGCAGCCTTCACCTCCCAGCCTCAAGTGATCCCCCCACCTCAGCCTTCTGAATAGCTGGGACTGCAGGTGTGAGCCCATGCCTGGCTAATTTTTGAAAATTTTTTTTGTTATTGAGACAGGGTCTTGCTACGTTGTCCAAGCTTGTCTTAAACTCCTGGCCTCCAGTGATCCTCCCACCTTGGCCTCCATCTTAACCATTTTTAAGTGCACAGTTCAGTGGCATTAGGTGCATTCACACTACTGTGCAACCATCACCATCAACCATCCCCAGAACGTTATTCATTTTGCAAAATGGAAACTGTACCCATTAAATAGCAACTCCACGTCCCCTGCTTCTCCCCATCCCCCAGCAACCACCCTTCCACTGCCTGTCTTTTTGGATTAGACTCCTCGAGGTATCCCTTCTAAGTGGAATCCTACAGTATTTGCCTTTTGTGGCTGGCTAATTTCACTTGGCATAGTGTCTTCAAGTGTCATCCGTGCTGGAGCCTGTGTCAGAATTTCCTTCCTTTTCAAAGCTGAGTCATGATATTCCACTGTATGGATGGACACGTTCTGTTGATGGAATTTCCTCTGTCAATGGACATCTGGGTTGCTTCCGCTGAGGTGTTCTAAAGGACACTGTACTGCTCCCCTAAAGTGTGAGGTCAGTCTTGGAAGGAGGGGGCATGTCTTTCTGTTCAGCTCTCTCAAGCCACTGTCCTCACAACAGCAGCTCACAGATGCAACAGGAGGAGATCAGCCCAGCACACAGCCTGGCCTCCACTCCGGCAAAAACTTGAGGATGATGAATCCCACTCGACTGACAGCACCCTGTTCAGAGGCCTAGGATATGAAGGGCATTGGAACACAGGGAAGCCTCAGGGAAGTGCTTCTTTCACGGACAGACTGAAGCTCCCAGGACCCCTCTTGAATCCAGACTGGTTGGCTTTGAACAGTGTTCTCTTCTACAGGGCATGAGCTACAACCCATCCCTCAGCATCAGGCCCCCACAAGACACCTGGTGCTTTTTCAGAGGGGATCTCACTTCACCCTCAGTCTTATGTTTCTGTAGAAAGTGTTGAAGAACAGGGAACCTTCCCCTCCGCTCCACCTCACTCTAACCGAGACCCACGCCAGCTTACCCGCTGTGAACTTGCTGGGTCATCTGCCAGGTACTCTTTTTGGACAGTATAACCTCGCTGCGTGTTGGTGGGCGCTCAGCACAGCCTTTTATCTCTGTGCTTGGGTTTGTTGTGGAAAGAGGAGGCCGCTGAGGTCTCACTCACTCTTCCATGCACTCCTCTGAGGCTAACTCACCTGAATGGCATCGCCACCAGAGAGAAGCACTGCAGGTGAAGTGTGTCACCCAGCAAGACTCTTTCTTTTTTTTTCAGACAGGGTCTCACTCTGTCACCCACTCTGGAGTGCAATAGCACAATTATGGCTCACTGCAGCCTTGACCTCCCAGGCTCAGGCAGTCCTCCCGCCTCAGCCTCCTGAGTAGTTGGGACTACAGGCATGAACCACCACACCCGGCTAATTTTTGTATTTATTGCCCAGGTTGGTCTTGAACTCCTGGGCTCAAAGCAATCCACCCACCTCAACCTCCCAAAGTGCTGGGATTATAGGCGTGGGCCTCCACACTGGGTAGAAATCTTTCTTATTAATGATTTTCTTGGCATGGAAGCTTCACGAAATGAATGACAAATGTCACTAAGTTATATTCACAACCCTGAAAGTCTGGGCATGTGGATGTACTACTTCACTATTATCTTACTCTGTTCGGGCTGCTCTACCAAAATACATAGAGTAGGTGGCTTATAAACAACATGTGTGTTTCACAGTTCTGGAGGCTGGGAGTCCACGATCAACATGTGGCAGATTGGGTGTCTGGTGAGAACCCGCTTCCCGATTCATAGATGGTGCCTTCTCACCGTGTTCCCACATGGTAGAAGGGGCAAAGGAGCTCTCCTCATGACTTCATCACCTCCTAAAGGCCCCACCCCCAAATACCATCCCCTTGGGGGTTAGGATTTCAACATAGGAATTCGGGGGAACAGAAACATTGGGACCATAGCAACTATCCTCCTTATGAGCAAGGATGACATATAACACAGAGCCATATATACGTTATGTAAATAAAAGAAGCATGCCTACTTCTACCCAGCTAGTCAGGTGTGCAGAAATGGGCTCTTTAGGAAAACAAGAGTGCCCAGAGTGTAGATGCTCACTTTTGATAACTAGTGATACTCTCACTCTGAATAACCCATGTTTGGTGACGTTAATGGAGGCAAGAAAAATGTATAATAAATTGGCCTCTCAGCTACGAATCAGGGCAAATCAGAACATAAGTTCCACTGAATAAGGAGATTTCAACCATCCTCTAGGGTCTTTAAATCTTTAGAGCTAAGCCAGAAGTTCCTCACTCTGGGAATTCAGCGTGTGTGAGAAGTGGATTTTTACCATTTATTATGGTGACAAGCTCCTTTTAGTAGCTACAGTGTTTAAAATTACTGCCGTCATGGACACGGAACTTGGTAACATCCCTGTGCCGGACACAACGTTAGTGAAATTCCATTTCTACTTGTGTTTCTTTTTCTTCAGTACTGTCGCCACCACCATCATCACATGGTTTTTATTAACTTGTCTGCCTGTTCCTGGTGGTGTGTGGACGTCAGTCACAAAGCTCCAGGTAGGGAAATACTTCGCTGGGTTTTCGATGACTTTGATACCATGGGTATGTGGGCAAATGCACAGAGAGCTTTCGTGGCCGCCACAGGGCCCAGCCTGCGGAATCCTGCTATCTGGAAGCCTGGCCTTTGCCTTGCCCAGATGCCTGGGCTTATCCACCGGAGGGCTGATGAGGCTGTATAGAGTTTTCTATTTTTAAGCAGAAGGTTAGACCAACGGCACTGCTTAAGGAGGGGAAGGTATGCAAACAAGGACGCTCTGTCATTCAGCCGACCTGGGCTACATTCATGTCGGCCCATGGAAACTGTGACCCTGACAGGTTCATGAAATTAGTCCAGAAGGCTAGCTGCAAATCCTCAAAGGAAGAATCACACTTCATGAGCGTCCTGCAGATATATACGCCAGAGCTAACGTCCCTTTACATACTTTCCAGTATGCCTTGTGCGACAGGCAGAGGAGTTCTGTGACTCAACTCACGTCTATAAAACCAGTCATGTTTACGACGTGTCCTGCCTCTGCCTTAGATGGAAAAGAATGCACTGGTTTCTGGTAAAGTGAAACCTACACTTGTCACACGACCCAGCAACCCCACTCCAAGATATTTACCCAAGAGAAATGAAAACCTGCGTTCATACAAATGACCTGTATGAAAATCTTTTTTGTAGCTTTATGTTGGAATCACCAAAACCTGGAAAGAACGCAAATGTCCCTCCACAAGAGGATGCATAAACAAATCGCAGAAACAGCATTCAAAATGGAACACCACTTAGCTATTCAAGAATGAATGGCTGGTGCACACAACAGCATGCATGAATCTCAAATGCATAAGGTTGAGTGAAAGACGTCACACTCTCAGGACCACACAATATGTGATGCCATCTCTATGCCATTCTTGCAAGGGCAAAACTCTAGGGACAGAGCAGTGGTGGTTGCCGGGGCAGGGTGGGGGTGGAAGAGGAGCTGAGTACAAAGGGATACAAGGCAATTTTGAGGGTGACAGAACTGTCCTGTGTGTTGACTATGCTCAAGCCAGCTCCGCGCATTCCTTCCTTCTTTCCTCTTCAGACAGTATCTTCTACTTCTTTAAAAAATATTTTTGGCCAGGTAACGCAGTGGCTCATGCCTGTAATGCCAGCACTTTATGAGGCCGGGGGGGAGGATCTCTTGAACCCAGGAGTTTGAGACCAGATTGGGCAACACAGTGAGACCCTGTCTCTACAAATAAAATAAAACAGAAAATAAGAAATTAGCTGGGCATAATTTCTTGTGGCACAAGCCTATAGTCCCAGCTGCTTGGGCGACTGAGGTGGGACGATCAATTGAGCTTGGGAGGTAGAGGCTGCAGTGAGCCGTGATCGTGCCACTGCACTCCAGCCTGGGCAACAGAGTGAGACCCTCAGCATGAGTGAGTCTCAAAAAACAAAATTTTTCATAGTACCTCCCTTTCCCCTGAATGTATCACCCGATTATCTTGCAGGCAGCTCTTTCTCAGTTAAATTCAGTTTGAATCTGTGGTTCTGTCCCCCTGTATTCCTCATACCGTTTTGCAAGTTCCTGTGAATTATTTAATTTATGCCAAAAATGTGGGTCTGGGAGAACATGTTTTCTTTATAGTTTGGATTTTGGGATGAAGTCCCAGAGGAAATAATATGTTTACAGGGACTCACTTGCCAAATTTTCTCTCTTTCCATACTAAGTGGAAAATGGACTTCCACTTCCCTGGCTGTATTCAGAAATATGCGGGGGCACACAACTCACGACTCCCCCAGCATTTGGGGGAGCTGCTCACTACAGCAGGTGCAGGCTGTGCACATTTCTAGGGGCTCGCTCCCTTGCTTCTCTCCTCCTGGGATGGTAACACGAGCTCACGGGAAAGGCACATGGCCACCATGTGATTCTTAAAAACTGCCCAGATAGCACAAGTGACCAGGCAATGGATCCCGTAAGACAGAGGCCAATGGACTCACACACTGTATTAGTCCATTATCATGCTGCTAATACAGACATACCTGAGACTGGGTAATTTACAAAGGAAAGAGGTTTAATGGACTCACAGTTCCACATGGCTGGGGAGGCCTCACAATCATGGCAGAAGGTGAATGAGGAACAAAGTCACATCTTACATGGCTGCAGGAAAGAGAAGGTGTGCAAGGGAACTCCCCTTTATACAACCATCAGGTCTCGTGAGACCTATTCACTTTTCACGAGAACAGCACGGGAAAACCTGCTCCCATGATTCATTTACTTCCCACTGGGTCCCTCCCCATGACATGTGGGAATTACGGGAGCTACAATTCAAGATGAGATATGGCCAAACCATATCACTCGTCAAAGCCAGACTGCTGAACTCATGCAAAAACCAACAAATCCATTTTGGCACTAGAGCTTGGTAATGCAAAAGTTCCCTACTACTTAACATTCTTGCTTTAACCAGTTTCCTCTTTCAGACTGCCATGAGTCTGCTGCTATGAGATGTCGCCTGTGGGTAACAGCTATTGAGTGCTTCTGATGGGCAAAGCCCTTGCTTTGGACAAGTAACAAGGGCAACAATGAAAATCCACTAATCCACACAGGTAGGGAAATATATGTGGTTTGCTAAAAGCCAGATGACCTGACTTCTGCCTGTTGTGGGCAGAGAACAAAACACATCTGTTTTTGAGGTTCTTTTCCGAGTTTGAAGAGATGTGTCTTGGATCCTTCTTCAACACCCTGCTTCCCGGCTGTCTGAGGCCATCAGTGCTCCACTGAAGATTCCTCCTTGCAGCCTAATACATCCTAACTGACACCATGGATACTGGCAGAGGGGAGGAAGAGAGGCACTGGTGAAGGAGATGAATGGATGGACAGGAGCGGCAACCTGGTCTGCTGGGTCCAGGGCAGAGAAGCAGGGCTCAGGCCACATGCTTGGTGACTCTGGAAAACTTGTCCGTCACTGTACCTGGAAGGTGGGGTTGAGTGTTCCAGCAGACCTTCCAGGGAAGCAGCTGTCCTGCCGCACTGCAGGGAAACACCTACTCCCTGCCTCACTGCCCACCCCCACCCGCTTCCTGCCACACACAGGTAAGGAGGGATGACCAGGGAAGGAGGAATGCCAGTTGCAGTAAGATCAGTGGATCTGGGAACCCAGAATTTACTGACAACTTCTAGTGGAGAAAGCCAGAGTGGAGGGAGCTGAGGAATGAATCATCTTCTGAGATGCAGAACCTGTTTTTAATGAGTTTGGTGGGGTGCAGGAGTAAGAGTACAGGTGCTTGAGGAGGAAGCATGATCAGGGAAATGTTTTCCTTTTTATTTAAGGTAGAAGGGAGACAGCGATAGGCTGAGAAGGTGTGCTTTCTTGATGGGGGCTCAATGACTATTGACCTAACCAAAACTTTAGGACTTGAGACGAACATAGAAAATAACCCCAGAATGAACATTTCAACATTAAGTATTTCTTTGCTCCCTTCTTCCTTTGAATACAACCTTGTAGGGTGCTCTAAAAAGTTCCACAATACACACAGTGAGCTGAAGAAGGTGTAATAGTCTCTCTCTTCAATATCAACTCTGCCTAAGAAGTGTTATTATACTTCAGTGACACTGATGAATCAGGAATGGAGCTCACAGATGTTACACAAAGTTGACATTTGCCAAGGTCTATGCATTGTTGTGCTCCAACTCTCCCTCTCAGCTGCCTGGTTACAGAAGCTTCATAAACAAACACTGAATAAGGAAGCCGACCTTTCTGGGGAGGGATGGGGGTTTCTGTGTTTATTTCAAGAAGCCAGCAAAGCTCATGCTCCGTGGCCCCCTGGGGACCAGCCAGCAGCATGGCTCTGTCTCCAGGTTACCGGAGCACGTGGTCCTTCACACCGGACAGTTCCAGCCTGGGACTTGTTTACACAAGAGCTGTGAGTCTCTTTGGCCTTCATCGTGTCCTTGTGCAGAGGTGTTGCTAAATGGAAAGAATCTCAAATTCCATGCCACAAGTCGACAGGGAAGCAGGGTTTGGTACATGGATTTCCATTTGCAGGCACCTCTGGAAAGCTATGGGCTCTGAGGCAGGAGATCACCTGTGCTCCTCTAAGAGCCGAGGTTGAGGTATTAGCAGAGCGGTTATCATTTCCCTGATTTCCAGAGTGAGGCAGTACATATTTTGTTTTGTATACCAACTTCCTATACTATGTTCTGGCAACAGCCAATCACAGGCATCTAATATATATGCAGAAAAGAATGTGTACTTTCCATGAATAACACTAGCTGGGAGCGCAAGGGACAGAGACCCAGGCTTGGATGGGGAAGGCACGCACTTACAATGTGCTACGTGCCTGACGTATTTGAGCACATTTGCCTGGGCAAGGAAACCCAGGCTCAAATGAACAGGCCTCACTCAGACTTGTTCGAGGATCAGAGCTCGAGCCATTCTGTGTGGCTCCAATGCGTACAGTCTACCCTACCAGGCCAGCTGTGAGAGAACTCAAGCCTAGAGGATCGTAGACTGGTTTTCCCTCCAATCGAATACATGCATCTCTGGGAGGACGGGGCCTAGGAACTGGGGTTTCCTTTTCAAATAATCAAGTTCCAGAATATATACAATCTGATATCAAGGGCACGAAGCTTAAAACCCAACTTAAAATCCCAAACCGACTGTTATGAGTTGAAGTGTGCCCCCTCCTCCACAAATTCACAGGTTGCAGTGTTCACCAACAGCGCACCTCAGAATGTGACACTATTTAGAAACAGGGTCACTGCAGATGTAATTATTGCTGTATTCAAAAACAATAGTTAAAATGAGATTGTCTTGGAGGAGGGTAAATTCCGAATCCAATCTGTCTTTACCGTGGGGAAATGTGGACAAATCTGAACACAGAGATGAGGGTGATGTGCCTACGAGCCAAGGAGTTCAAAGACTGCAGCAAGGCCCCAGGAGCCAGGCAGGGGCACAGGAGAGACTTCCCCTCAGAAGGAACCGACCCGCCTACACCTTCATCTTGGACTTCTGTCCTCAGGAACTAGGAGACAACATATTTCTTTTTAAGCCACCCCAGTTTGCGGTACGTCATTATAGCAGCCCTAGGAAACGAATCCACCTGCACCGTATGTCGCTTAGGAAAACGGCTGTGTGTAATAAACACGTGGAGATAACAAACAGCAAGTCCACCAGGGTCATCATCATCGAGGAAGGCGGGGAGGCAAACATGGGCGGGGTTTCCAATGCACCTGAGAGGTTTGTTTAAGTTGAACAGGTAGGTGGGTATCAGGACGTTTTTCACCAATATCATTTTGTAGGTCTTAAATTACATATCTTCTAAGTTAGAACCCAAGCCCTGGGCTCCGTGGCTTCTTCCCACTACTTCCCTGCTGGCGGAGGAGGGCAGCTGCTCAGCTCAAAGTCTGTCTTGTCAACAACGAACACATGTGATTGGCTGTTTACTTACTAACCATAAAGTAATGTCTCAGTGGTAATCAAAAATGTTGGAAGATGCTACGACGATTCCTAAGTTTTAGAAAATTGCCTAGCAGCCCATTTAGGGGGCGGGGAGTAGGGGAGGCTGGGGAGCTGAATAAATCTCTGGAGCAAAATCGAAGAGGTTCAAACACACACACCAGCTCATGCATGCCCTCGCCGAGGTGGAGGCCAAGAGCCCCGCACTGCTTCCGTCCTTTCCACATTCACCACAACCGCTCTTGATTCCTGCCTGATTCATCTGCACAGAAGTGTCAAGGGAAGAAAGAACACATTCCCTCTTTCCACCCGGGGATGGCACAGCTCCAGAACCTTCTCTTCTCCCCATCAGCACTAAGAACCTTCTTAGCTCTTCTTCTTCTTCTTCTACAGCCTGGTTTTGAATTAAGCGTTGATCCTTCTGCTTGTAAGATGCTGTAGATGAATTTCCTACCGACAGAAAACCAAGCCTCTTACCTGACTCCTGGAGATACCGATACACCAGAAAGTTCACCTCGTCACTGGTTATGCTCATCTTAGCCTCACCTCGCGGCGATGAGGTGTTGATGAAGTGGGAACCACCCTCTGTTCAAAAAGAGAAGAGAGTTTTGAAACACTGCTTGTATTTTTCTCTTTTTTTTTTTTGAGATGACTAAAGAAAATAATATCCATGCTATTATACACATGAAGGTAATTAATATCTGATTGTGTTATATTTTATAATTATGTGATTACATAAAAATTCCGTAATTATAGATAGAAAAATATGCCCAGGTGAAATGTTTTCCAAAAAAACAAGAGTTGGCCTATTTCCTAAGGCCGGGGAAGAATTGAGCAAAAACCACATGAATGAAGCCAGAAGCAGGGGCAACAGAGCACGACAACAAACAACTGACTTTGCGTTCAATAAAGCTCTGTGCATGCAGGGATCCGCAGCGCGCCCCATAAGCGGCAGGAATGGAATCCCAAAGTGCACTCAGGCAGACGTGGAGGGATTCAACACTGAGCACTTTTCTGGACACATGGAGAGGTGACCGAGTACACCCGCGGCCATGTCAACACCCCCAAAGAGTGACCACACGGTCCTGGCCACATGAGGAACCGCAGTACCTCTCCCTCGCAAACGTTGAAAGTGGTGCAAGACTGACTGCATGGCCCCTCTTCCTGCAGGGCGGTGGCAGCACGATGAAGAGGCGCCAGCGAGCTCGGTCATGCTACATGTCACCTCGATGTTTCTGCAAGGAGGCCAGGGCTCCTGGTGGAAAACCAGAACACAGAAGGCAGGGAGCACCTCTGTCATTTGTGTTTCACCACAGAATCCGCTGCATCCGTCTGGCTAAGACTTCTGGTGCCCAGAAGGCAGGCAGAAATCTGGGGAGGGAGGATGGGCAGGAAAACGTTCAGGGGCTTCTGTGTGAGACAGCCAAGACAGAGTCTGGTTTTCTTAGACACCACCCGGTTAGACACAAGAGCAAACCAGCCCAAAGGGAACAAGCAAGGAAAGAACTCTGTTGTCCATGAACAAACCAGAATTCATACATCAGTAAGAGCTGCTCACTCCAAACAGCTGGGCAGCCCCAGAAAGGCTGCAACTAACGTCAATGATGTCACCAACACTAAACATCTTTTTTCTTTTGAGACGGAGTCTCGCTCTGTTGCCAGGCCGGAGTGCAGTGGTGCGATCTCAGCTCACTGCATCCTCCGCCTCCTGGGTTCAAGGGATTCTCCTGCCTCAGCCTCCCGAGTAGCTGGGACTACAGGCGCCCGCCAATACGCCCGGCTAATTTTTGTATTTTTTGTAGAGACGGGGTTTCACCATGTTGGCCAGGATGGTCTCGATCTCCTGACCTCGTGACCCACCCGCCTCAGCCTCCCAAAGTGCTGGGATTACGGGCGTGAGCCACCACACCTGGCCTCTTTTTTTCTTTCTTTCTTTTTTTTTTTTTTTTGAGACAGAGTCTTGCAGTGTTGCCCAGGCTGGAGAGCAGTGGCATGATCTGGGCTTACTGCAACCTCCACCTCCCGGGCTCAAGCAATCCTCTCACCTCAGCCTCCCGGGTAGCTGTGACCAAAGGTGGGCATCAGCACGCCCAGCTAATTTTTTGGTTCTTTTTGTAGAGACAAGGTTTTACCCAGGCTGGTGTTCAGCTTCTGAACTCAAGCGATCCACCTGCCTCAGACTTCCAAAGTGGTGGGATTTCAGGCGTGAGCCGCCACGCCCGGCCAGCACTAAACATCTTTAGGCTGTTTGGGAACTGTCTTTGGTGTCTATATCACACATTTGCAAGTATCTTTACAGGCAGCAAAACTTTCATTGTTGAATGAGGATTGAGTTTTTGTTTGTTTAGGGGGAGAAAAGTACAAAGTATATGTTCAAGTTGGAAGATATTTTACATTTAATGGGAGGATTCAAAGTAATGGTTACTGCCAGGGACATACCTTACCCCCACAAAGTCCTGCCCTGGTATACTCCCGACCCTTGAGTATGGGCAAGATCTGTCACTTGCTTCCAGAATGCGTCAAGGAGATGGGGCACCACTCCCTAGGTTAGGTTACATTACATGGCAAGGTTGACCACATTTCTCTCCTGTGATTATTAACACCACATTGCATGATCTGTCCAGGCAATGGCAGGCAGCCTGCAGGGAGCTGAGGGTCTCAGTCCTGCAGCCACAGGAACTGAATTCTACCAACAACCTGTGCTTGGAAGAAAACCCCTGAGCTTAAAGGAGAGCGCAGCCTGGCTGACACCCGGACCAAGCCTTGTGGGACGCTGAGCACTGGCCCCAGCTGTGCTGTGCCTGGACCCGTGACCCGCAGCCACGGTGAGAGAATGAATGTGTGTTGTTTCAAGCTGCTAAACGTGTGGTCGTCTGTTATCCAGCAAGAGATAATGAATGCAGCTGCCCTGGCGACATTCCACCTCTCACTTTGCACTCTTAATAGACTTTATTTTATAGTTGCCAGAACACTGCCATTCAAAAATTCTTATCTTCTTTGCTTAATTTGATGACATTTCTGTACTTTTGCACATACTGCAATGAAAATTTGACAGTCAAAATACAAGTCTGTCCTAGGATTTGTGCTTGAACTCTGGAGAGGTCTCTCAAAAGACAGCATGCAGAAGAAAATATTAGAGACAAAATAAGCTATGAAATCATAGCATGACCTAATGAAAAATTAAATATTATTTAAGGAGACAAAATAAAACAACAAAAATCTATCTAAAGAATGTTGCAGCACTGGGCAGGCTTTTGGTGATGCTGAGTGCTGCAGTGACTATGGCAACACAGTGCCAATAGCAAATGTATAGAGTTTAGGTTTCTCTCTACATCTTGCACAGCTAGAAATCTCTGGTTTTCTATCATTAACTTCTGGTGACTGAACAATGGAAGGCTGGTTGCTACGAAGGGTTACTAGGAGGAGCAAAAAGAATGGACTGAAAAAATGGCTTGGGCCGGGCACAGTGGCACACACCTATCATCCCAGCAATTTGGGAGGCCGAGGCAGGCGGATCGCTTGAGCCCAGGAGTTTGAGACCTGCCTGGGCAACACAGCAAAACTCTGTCTCTACAAAAACAAAACAAAACAAACAAACGAAAAAACTAGCTGAGTGTGGTGGTGCACGCCTGTAGTCCCAGCTACTCAGGAGACTGAGGTGGGAGAATCATCTGAGCCTGGGAAGTCGAGGCTGCAGTGAGCCGCGATCACCACTGCACTCCAGCCTGGGCAACGGAAGTGAGACCCTTTCTCAAAAAAAAAAAAAAAAAAAAAAAAAAAAAAAAAAAGGCTGGCAGCTACAAATCCCAATATAAATGTATCACAAAATTATTACCAAAATTCTCTAGGCTATACATACATTTGTGAAAGACGGTAGATAAGGAATTTTGAAATTAATTTTGAAGAATCTATTATAAAAATAAAGGAAATAATTATAAAGAAGTTTGGCTAAAAGAGAAAATCACTGATCTGGAGCATGAGCTAAAGTTGAGCAATTACATTTTCACAATTGCAGCTTTTTATTTTATTTTCTTCTGTGAGCCAGTGAGTGTTTGAAAAATTGAAGTTTTACAATGTAAGACCTCTTAAAAAGGTAGGAAGAGCAGAGCGCTATAGCTTCAGCCTCACTTAGTCCCAAGGATTTCTGGACAGGCTTAGGAACAGGGCAACAGGGCTAGTGGGACCGGCATGAATCTGGAGTCCCGTGGAAAGGAAGAGAATTACAAAGGACGAGTCAGCCTGGGAGGCAGGGCACGGTGCCCCCTCCCAGTGAGGGCAGCTGGAAAGGACCAATCTTGGAGGGCATCTCATCTCTGCATGTTACAGATGAGGAAACTGAGGCACAGAGAGGAAACTATGTCTGGCAGGACCTGGCAAACACCCCAGCTTCCCAGCTGCCCTTCTTGTTTGCCATGCCTAGCTCCTTTCCTCTTTTACTCTGGGGGAAAAAAAAAAGCAAGCCTGTTCCAGGCACAGCACGATGTTCTGCAGCATCCTTGGACTCCCCCAACCTCCTTGCAGTGGTGACAACCAAAAATGCCTGCACACATTGCCAAATGTCCCACATTGCAAAACTGCAGCTGGCCGAGAACCATTGCTCTTTAGAGGGAAAATAAGCATTTTGTGTTTGAAATGAACTCCATTTATAAAGTAAGGCAACTGGTGCAGGCTCAGACGCTGCTTGGTGACCTGACCACTGAAAAGGTACCAGCTGGGCGCAATGGCTCATGCCTGTAATCCCAGCACTCTAAGAGGCTGAGATGGGAGGATTGCTTCAGCTTAGGAGTTAGAGGCCAGCCTTGGCAACATAGGGAGATGCCCTCTCTACAAAAAAATTTTAAAAATTAGCAAAGTATGGTAGCACATGCCTGTGGTCTTAGCTACTCAGGAGGCTAAGGCAAGAGGTTTGCTTGAGCCCAGGAGGCTGAGGCTGCAGTGAGCCATGATTATGCCACTGCACTCCAGTGAGTGGAGTGAGATCTTGGGTGACAGAGTGAGATCTTGCCTCAAAATAAGAGCAGATACTCTGATTCGTGGAGATGAAACACCTGTATACACAGCCTGGTTAATATTCCCCACCCCAGGAGCATCTGTGATAAATACAGGTGTCTCTGCATGTGTTTATATAGAACTATGGAGAATGAGAATATAAGATCCTGAGGAGATGGGGATTACGGGCCATTTTTAATTATCTGTTCCTCTAATTTGCATTATACATCTTTCTTTCTTCCAACTAGAAAAACTTCTGCTTCAGCTCTGGCTTTCTGCTTTCTGATCACAGATTCATTGTTTTTAAATGTATAAGTTAGGGTCCAAGGATTGGAATGCTTTCCCCAATACATTGTTAACTTTCTAAAGGGTTTTGATTTCTAAGCAGAAGAGAAAACAAAACAAAAACTATCCATGGCCTGCAATCGAGCCAGGATGTAATGTTTGGTAAGACTGACTGCTCCATCTCAAGTACATATTTTAATTTTTTAAGACTGATTTAATATTTGGATCAAACTTTTCTCCCCCAACAAACACTTACTTTGCTAGCTTTTAAATGATTATTTTTCTTTTAAAACCTAATTCCAAAAATTGTAGAATCTACATATATATTCTTAGATTATTAGATACAAGCATGAGAATATTCTCTGAATGGACTCCTAACCCTAACAGCTGTATTTAATGCCCTTCAGCTCTGTGGGCTTCATCACACCAAAATCAAGAGAAACCATCCATCAGCTGGGTGTCCCGGCGTTTAGCTGCGCTTATCTCTAAGTGGCTCACTTGAAGGTGGTGGTTGTTTTCATGGATCTTCTTCAGTTTTTTGACTCAAGTGAGTCTCCTGGCCAGTATTCCTCTGCAAGAACCACTGTTCCAGACAAACCTCACCACACACAAGGCTGGGAATAAAAATTCCTCCTCCTCCTCTTTTTTCTAAGACCAGAACTAAATTTCACAGGAAGATGGTAAATTATGGATCTCCCACCCAGGGCTTTGCTGTTTAATTTCCCACAAATAAATGTGCTGTTATTATAGTGGTATTCGTAGTGTAGCAGAACTCTCAAGCACAGAGAAGGTCACTGCAAACCTCATTTCTGGCTTGAGTGATGGCACACTGGTGTGCCGTTCCTGTCTGGGCGACATTTCCTAAGGCCAGTCCACAAGCACCTTCCTTCACAGAAGAGGAGGGGGATGTTTTGGAAGAAAAGTTAAATTCTTGACTGATGGAGACAAGACCCACGATTTTGGAAGAAGTCAGAGAAAGAGGAGAGAAGCACAGGAGCTCTGGGTGTACATGTGGGGAGGACCTGCTCTATGAAAATGATTTTTGACTTTTAATGATGTGTCACATGCACCCCTCAGCCCAGGGCATGAGGACTGCCCTCTACACCAAGGTTCAAAGCAAAGTGCCATCGACAGCTATGTATTCTGTGGGAAAAAGTCCGCCTTTGTCTTCTGTGCCAAGAACTATTTTTGTGGACAAATAACATGGAGTTTGGAATGTTCATGCTTTATTACAATTACTACTTTTTATTGCAACTATTACTTCTTATGACAGTTATGACTTTATTACAATAAAGTTAGGGTAAATCAGGGTGAGAGTCCCCATCCGTATAGGCTTATTGGCTAGAGATAAGGTAGCTCACGTCCTGAGAGCCACAGAGAACAGGTAAAGATGTGGGATTCAGGGAGCCTTTGGCCAAGCGCCAGAGACCCTGACTTCTAGGGGCAGCTGCACCACTATCTAGCCCTGGGATTGGAGGGTCAGTTATATGGCTGTTTCCTTATCTCTAAACTGAGTATCAAATAGCCCCTATGTAAAGGGGAGAGTGTGAGGAGTCAATGCTTTTATGCAGAGCCCGATGCACAGAAAATATCCAGTATGTGGGAGCTGGTATTTTAGCTCCTCCAGCAATTCCCCAAGAGAGACCTGAAAGGTCAGTAGGAGAGGATCAGGGAAACACACACCTGCCTCGCCCATGACCACTCAGGGCTCGACTCCTCGTCCTGGCTCATCAGCAATGTCAAGCAGGCAAGGTGGCACACATAAAGCCCAACCAAAAAGAACTACCACCAGAGGCCTGTGTTTGGGCATTCTTTTCTAGTATGTACAGCTGGAGACACAAGCCGCATTCTAACACCTAACCGGTTTCCCGAACAGCATCCGCTTCCAGCCTTCGAGTTCTGAGAACTCCTGTGGATGTTTTCCAATTTCTCCAGTTCTAAAATAAAGGAGAGTTTTGGCAGCACTCACAGCTCCTCCTTGGCCCCAAACAGGAGGGGGATGAGAGGGGAGTCTTAATTAGAGCAACTGTGTTTATTTTCTTGCCTGACCCAGCTTTGATTAAAGACACCTTCAATTAGGTTGATTTGAGGTGTTTGGAGTTGTGATTGCGCAAAAACGAAATAACCACCTTCCACTTTGGGTTAAAGCCACAACATTCTCTCACTGTGCTGCTTAAAGAAGGCAAAGAAGAACAAACGAGCATGGGCTGATGGCATTTTTGAAGTTTCTCTGCTAAAGATAAGTAATTCAATATAAGTGATAATTTGGGGTTTAGAGCCGTCAAGAAGCTGAAGGGGAGATTATTTATAGTATTTTTTTTTAAGCCTTGGTTTCAAGGTGGCCAAAAGTCCTATTAATTCGCAGTTCCCTTCACAAAACAGTTCAGCATTCGGTCCCAGGAGAAATGGCTGTTTAAGAGTTTCATTTCATTGAGTATGTAGTTAGAGCACTCAATATGCCATCATTCTGTGGGAGAACACTGGCCCCAAACAAAATCTTAATTGCTGTTTTAATTATCTTAAAAAGTAGAATCACATGGGGCCTGCTGGAGAGCTGGTGCTGGTAGTTAAGGACAGAAAGGGCAAGTTCGTTTCTTGCCAAGAGGCCAGCCGTGTTCTGAAACAGCGAAGGAAGCACGAGCTGATGAAGGGGGCGTGTATTGTAGGAAGGGCAGCGCACAGAGCTCCTCTGACATCACTGGAGGGGAAGCTTTATCTTTCAGCCATTTGCCCTGTTATGTAAACATCTTAAAGATCTTCTAAAGCAGCCCTTGGTTTCTGAAGGCACCTGAGAAAGTGAGTGTCATTAGTTAGGCTGCTATTAGTCAGGCTGTTGGCGTCTGTGCTGGAAGAATCCATTGCTTGGAGGGATGGCCTGGACAAGGCTCAGGTCTTTGGGGCTTGTCTCCATGCAGACTGGACCGAGCCAGGGTCACTGGAAGATCTGCTTGAACTGACCTCAGCCTCTAAAGGGCACCTCTTTCTCCAAGTTGCTTCATGGAAACGAGCAAACTCTGCCCATTTGGAGGCAGCGGCTCTTTTCTCTGCTCAGATGTAAACTGAGTTTATTTTCATTTCACAATCAGTAACCAGCTTAAGACAGAATTTTAAATGTATGTATAAAGTTTACATATAAATCCCAATACACCTTTTCTAACATCTGCCTGGGGAGCAGCTTATTTGGGGGCTGACACAGGCTTGTTTTACCACTTTGCACATCTTTTCATCCTATGTAATTGTAAAGAAGACAATGTGTGGTTCTCGAAACAATCTCATTGTCCAGTGACAGCACGATGAAATAAATTGCAGTGAACACATATGGGAACTATCAGGCCGCCATGAAGATGATTTTAGAAACCAATACACGGCATGGATTGTATGCTAGCTATCAGGTGTGAGTGCTATGTGCACGATACGATCGATCTCACCAGTCATAACTCCAAGAGATAAATATGACCATTACTCTTATTACCATTTTATAGGTTTAACAAATAAAGGCTTAGGGAAGATAACCAACTTAAATCCCAGCGAAGCTAGGATTTAAAGTTACGTTGTTTGACATTAAACGCTGTGGTCTTCCAGTGCAAGTTAAAAATTTCAAAGCTAGGTTAATGGAAAGATATTTATGATATGTCCCAAATTGGGTGGCAGGGGGCGACAACAAAACAGAAAAGAGGGCCAACAAGGTTACAGTTTGACCCAAACCTGTAGGAAAACACATACAGAGGAAAAGTTTGGGGAGAAATGCATAAAAATATTTTATGTTGCTTGCTTTCTTTCATACACTTCTCTCCATTTACCCACAATCAGATATACAATACTTTCAGTACGAAAATATTCCCCGCAAAGTAAAAAATTTCCCATTAGTTTTACGGTTATATTTATTTACTTGGAGTCAATGGTCTGAAATGGTAAATATAATCAAAGAATTATTTCTTCGTTACTAGAGTTCCAATGCCGAGCAGTGACGCCTCCATTTAAATATGGAATAAACTAGTGGCATAAGATGCGGCCAGGAAAACAGCATTTCAGGCAGGGGCAATGTCCATGACAGGGGACTGTGTGGGAAAAGCACGGCTCCCAATTGCATGTGTATCTTTCTACACGTTGTATAGTTTCTACTCTGAACATGGACTACTCATATTTATTAAAACGTAAAGAAAACCTGGGAATGTCGGCTGGGCGTGGTCGCTCACTTGAGTCCAGGAGTTTGAGACCAGCCTGGGCAACACAGTGAAACCCATCTCTACAAAAAATACAAAAATTAGCTAGGTGTGGAGGCATGCCCCTGTATTCCCAGCTATTTGGGAGTCTGAGGCACGACAATCGCTTGACCCTGGGAGGTGGAGGCTGCAGTGAGCCGACATCGTGCCACTGTACTCCAGCCTGGGTAACAGAGCAAGACCTTGTCTCAAAACAAACAAAAACGACCTGGCAATGTCTTCAGAGATAATCAGTATGAAAACAACTATATAGGAAATGAGGCTACAGGGTTGGGAGGGCAGAGCAGAGGAGAGGTTTTGTGTTAGAAAAGGAATGCCGCTTTTCACAGAATAAAATCATCCCTGACGGGACATGGTGGCTCACGCCTGTTAATCCCAGCACTTTGGGAGGCTGAGGCGGGCTGATTACTTGAGGCCAGGAGTTTGAGACCAGACTGGCCAACATAGCAAAACCCCATGTCTACTAAAAATACAAAAAAATTAACTGGGCGTTGTGGCGCACGCCTGTAATCCCAGCTACTCAGGAGGCTGAAGCAGGAGAATCACTTGAACCTGGGAAATGGAGGTTGCAGCGACCCAAGATTGTGCCACTGCACTGCAGCCAGGATGACAGAGCGAGCCTCCATCTAAAAAAAAAAAAAAAGAAAAGAAAAGAAAAAATCCCCATGATGAGGCATTCAGAAAAGGTCCTTTCTGTGCCCTGCCACCCTTCTGGGTTAATTAGTGGCTGGCTGGGGCTTTCATCCAAAGCCCACATGCACGTCAACGGCAGATGCTATGGTGACAGGAAGGAAGCCCTCTTGAAAATGCTCCACCTAGCAAGAGCAAGCCACTACCAGGGAAACCCACATCACATGAGCCGGACAATGCATGTAAGAAAAAGAGCACTGCCTCCCTTTCATCCTCTCCTCCTCTGGCCACAGTTCAACACAGATGCACGTGCCCAAGATTTCAGAGCAGACTGCCTTGGAAGGCACTGATGCTACTGCTTCCACGGAGCAGGAGCTCATCCTATTTTCCTGATGACCGTGGTCTTTAACCTAGCACTTCTGATATCCAGATCCATTATGACCTATTTTCCAGCCAGAAATTAATTTATGGATTTTAATTATCTTTTAGATAGACTGAACACAGTTTCTACACAATGTGCACCGGGCCTTCAAACAAATTTCAGGAATACATGCACTCTGGTCATGATATCTCTAAGACACTGATTTTTCACTGACATATGAAGAATTTAATTTGACCATGATGAGTCTCTTTCTGGCAGTAGATGGAGTCAGCAGTGGGTTCACCTACACATATGATGTGGCCTGTGAAGTTGTGAAAAATAAACTCTGAAGCGTACCCTACAGTTCGAAAGGCAGGCGGTGCCCCATCCCCCAATGTGGCCTGGATCTCATATAAATCTTAGTGTTATATCAGCATTTTGTTTTGTTTTAGTGACAGGGTCTCACTGTGTTGCCCAGGCTGGAGTGCAGTGGTGCAATCATAGCCTGCTGAAGGCTCAACCTCCCAGGCCCAAGTGATTCTCCTGCCTCAACCTCTTGAGCAGTTGGGACTACAGGTATGTGTTACCACCTCTGGCTAATTATTATGTTTTTACTTTTTTTGTAAAGATGGGGGTGTCACTATGTTGCCCAGGATGGTCTCAAACTTCCGGCCTCAAGTGATCCTCCTGCTTTGGCCTTCTAAAGTGCAGGGAGTACAAAGTGTGAGCCACCGTGCCTGGCCTATATCAATTTTGGAGGCTTATATTTAAATGAATGACAAAGACGTTTTTAAAAAAGGAAAAAACTAAAAGCATCATGAACCCAAATATTAGATCAGAGTCCAACCATCCTTACACTTATGTCAGCAAACACAGGTACTAAATTTTGTAATTTAATGCCCCATAGCCTATAATTCCACAGCCATATGACTGACAACAAGTACAAAATAAAGGGCTGACAGAAGCAGCGGTGAGCAGGACTCCTCAATCTCCTCACGTTTGACATTTAGGGGTTGGGGAGGATGTCCTGTGAACTGCGGGACATTTGACAGCATCCCGGGCCTCTACCCACTAGATGCCAGTAGCACCCACTCCCCCAGTGGTGACAACCAGACATGTCTCCACACATTCCCAGGTTATCTTGGGGGTGGAGACTCCCCCAGGGTGAGAACCCAAGTTAGGGCAGTTACACAGGCCCAGAGCCACTCCCTCTTATGTGGCAGAAAGGCCCTCAAATTCCTTACGTAAAAGTCCTGACCCCCAAATATCTGCAGTGCCTTCGCTACGTAATCACAATTTAGAGTCTGTCTTCATCACATCATGGCCCTTGGGTGGGCCTCTCGGAGCCTCACCTCCAGGTGGCCTCCAACTCAAAAGGCCACAATTAGAAAAGGTGGAAAGAAAACAGTTGTGTTCCTCTAGGTTAGGGTCAGCAAACTGCAACCCAGTATCAGTGTCTATAAATAGGGTTTTCTTGGCACTCAGCCATGTTCATACATTTCTGTAGGGCCTACACTGCTTTCACACTGCAATGGCAGAGTACAGCAGCTGCCGCACAGACCGCCTGGCCCGCGAAGCCTAAGCCCCTAACTATCGGGCCCATCACAGAACATGCTTGCTGAGCCTGCTCTCAGTCCTTCCTGCTCTACCACAGATTTTCCCACCTCTACATCCGAGAACGGACTGCCTAGTCCCTTCTCGGCTTGGAATCTTCCTGCCTGAGAACTTCAACAGTGAACGCCCCTGAATGTGAACATTCCTCATAACCATACCAACCCCTTTAAGACTGAGATACAAAAAACACTATCACCAGGGTCTGCGATGGATGCCTTTGAAAGGAGGACATGTGTTGAAACCACACACACCTCAAGGAAACCGTTAGAAGCCCTCACTTTCTGAGACGCAGCACGCAGCATAGGCAGAAAGAGTATGTTATGTAGGTTATTCCCAACCTTACTAATGAACTACAGCAATAGAGTACCATTTTTGAGGATAATGCCAAATGACTATCTGCATGTATAAACCATACAAGTTATCAAAGGCTACAAAAACACTCAGTCATGTATAAATGACTGAGGTATAAAGCCAAACACAGATACCTCACGCAGAGGAGAAATCCAATGTGTGCTGGATTCAATGAAATTGAAGCTTATGTTCCCAAAGTACTGAACTAATACCCACTCAAAACATTGATAAGAGAAAGATCCCCTCCCTGCTTCCCTCTGACATTTAAAATATGGTTCAATGGCATTTCGAAAAATATTGACTGGTGTAACAGCCACTTTGGAAAAATTCAGTTCCTCAAAATGTTCAACAGAGGTACCATATGACCCACTCCTAAGTAAATGCCACAGAGAAATGAAACATATGTCCACACAAAAAAACTTGTATATGTGTGTTCATGACATCATTTTTAATAATAACCAAAAGGGAAATACAACTCCAATTTCCATCAACTGATGCATGAATCAAATATGTTCTATCCATGGTCTAGCCACACAATGGAATATTCTGACATAAAAAGAAATGACACATGCCACAATGCACACGAACCTTGAAAACATTATACTGAGTGAAAAAGCCAGTCAGAAAATTCAAATTCACTAATACATTACAAATTTTGTTTTTATAAACAGACTACACCTTTCATTAAAATACTTATACATATTTAACTTGTTAAAACAACCTACATATGCATATGTCTGGCTTTAAACAAAAGTACCTCAAACAGTAAGCTGCTTATTTTAATTAAATTTAAGTCTATCATTTTAGTTCTAGTTGGTTCTCTTAAAATAGTAAATCAAAAAGCTTCCTCAAAATTCTATCTTTACACTTTAAAACTGCCCAAGTTCTACAGGTTTGTTTGTTTGTTTTTTTAACTAAAAAGGCATTAGAGAAAGAAACAGAAAATTAAATAACAATTAAGTAAAGTGAAATTAAAATCACACGTACCGAAAGGTAGTAAGATAACTTTTACAGAACTTTTGGGGCATGGGTCTCAGTTTTAGTTTGGGCTACGGGCTTCTCAACTCTTGACACCTGTGCACATACAATTGTTTGGTGTGCTAGTCAGGAAACCTTAGCATCTCACCAGATTTACACATAGTAATCTCCATGATTTTCTAATAAGTTTCAAAGTTAACTAGCAAATCAATTTGGAGACAGACACAAATCATATTAAGAAACTGATAAAGCATAGAATTAAGATATAGGAGCCAAATAAAATCTATACTCATGCACCCAATTATAATTAACTTGTCTGCATAATTGTAATTGATAATGTTGACAAGAGAGGTTGATTTTAGAAGGTGTCATCCTCGCCTGGTAAGACCCAGAAAAATTTGTTATAGCTCCTTCAGGATCCAAAATTCTCAGAAGGCAGGCCAGATGCAATGGCTCACACTTGTAATCCCAGCACTTTGGGAAGCCAAGGTGGGCGGATCACTTGAGCTCAGTTCGAGACCAGCCTGGACAACATGGTGAAACCCTGTCTCTACTGAAACTATTTTAAAAATTAGCCAGGTGTGGTGGCAGGTGCCTGTAATCCCAGCTACTTGAGAGGCTGAGGCAGGAGAATCGCTTGAACCTGGGAGGCGGGGGTTGCAGTGAGCCGAGATTGCACCACTGCACTCCAGCCTGGGTGACAGAGCAAAGACTCTGTCTCAAAACAAACAAACAAAAACAAAACAAAACAAAACAAAAACACAACCCAAAATTCTCAGAAGTCAGTAAAAAGGCAAATTTCTCATTTGGAATTGACTATGCAGCTCGCAATGATTTAATGATTGTCTGTCTACTACCTTCAACCTTCAGTAAGGAGAAAGACCGGGCACTTCCCCTGACAACATCATTTAAAACAGAAGGGGTTCCATTTTGGGAAAATGCAGTTCTGCTCCTCAAACGGATTTCAGGTACAAGGGCAAGGATCCAATGGCATGCTGGGCTGCTTACCTTATGGTGACTTCATGTATGGACCTGTGGACCAGCAGGCTTCCCAGCATCCGGTCATAAAAATGGGAAGCCGTCTGCAGGGACCAGCCTAGGGAGAAAGGGAAAGGTTTGAAACAAAAGACTTAAAAATCATTGGGGTGTGTTTACCTCTCAACCATCCCGTTCCTTTAGGTTTTTTCTTCTTCCTAATTAAAACTTAACACATTTTATTGGTTCTTAATTTCTGTCTTAGTCCATAGCACAGATTGTAAGGTTTTGTTTGCAAAGTGAAAGAAAGGAGAAATTAAAAGTGGCCGGTCAGGCATTATGCATGTAGAAGTTCTGAAATAAAAGAGTCTCAAAATAGATAAAATTAATGTTAGCTCAGCTATTGCTACTGCTATTATTTAAAGATAATTTAAAGATTTAAATTAATTTTAAATTACATTAAATTTAAAGATAAATTAAGGTTCCCTTGAAATATCAGTTTTTGGAACAGGGCCTTATTCAGCTGATACATGAACCTGTGCACACCCTCGGGAGAAGACAACACGCTTTAGCTAAACATTCCCCATCGCTTGGGCTAGCTTTCCAATAACTCTACCAGGCACATTTGTGTGCATATATGCATCCTCATGTACTGTGCTCATAAAAACACACAAACGGGTCAGAATCCTTTCTCCTCCGGCTCCTCTAAAATCAAGAAAACCAAAGGCACCCACTAACGTCTCAACTTTTCATTTACTCTTCAGACATTTCTGTTTCACAAGTGTTCCATTTGCACTGATTTATGAGGAAGCCAGGTTTATGGCTCATAAAATGATAATCCTTTATATCAAAAATTGTTTTTATTTCTCAGTCACTATAAACACTAATCAGTAAACCATTTACCTAATGATATTTACCTTATAAAATTTCTTTGGTTGTGAATGATTCCTGCCTCCTAGAGAGTATCAATTATCCTCTATCATCTACGAATTCAAGAACTAAGGAAATTAAATGTCCACCATTTTCTCTAAATTCTTATTTAATAGTCTTCAGTGATAATAAAAAGGTACCAGGTTTAATATAATTGAAGTCCACAAGTGAAGCTATGAGTGAAGGTGTTTCTTATTAGGGAGTTTATATAGAAACTCAAGTGTTTTAAGGAAATTCAAGCAAATTATTCCCACTGAGTCATGTTTATAGTTATGTTGTTTAAAGGAAGGAGATTAAAAAAAAACCTACAAGCAGGTTCACAGGCCCCTAAAGTGCATTACAGTACATTGAAAACAAAAACCATAAGGATATTCAAGATGAAAGTAATAACCAGGGCAATTTGTAAAAAATCTACCACTGAAGTAAAATAATGAGAGTGAAACTAAATTCATCTGTAACTCTGAATAGAAATGAAAGGGCACCAGGGAAGCAGGCACAAAGGAATCTTGATTTTGCTTATAAAATATACTTTTAACTATGAAAAAAATCTGCAGTGGGGATGAAACAGGACAATACTCCTTATAGTGAGCTGGAGAGACCAAATTACTGTTTTCAGGATTGGGTTATAAATTACCAGGGGAAAAAATAGCCTTATGATGAAATTGCTAAATACCATAAAGTATCAAAATATGAGCAGCTGTCACCACAATAAGTTCCAAATTGCTTGTAAATTAAAACATTAAAATCCACAATAATTCAATAAGTAATTAATATACAAACAGCTCTTATTACAAGCTGTTCAGAAGAAAGCTTGCAATCAAATTCCTATTCTTTGGTCCAAAACAGATGGTAACCCACAAATGAGAGTCTTGAAATTTGAGATTATCTCTTATATATGTTGTTAAATTCAATAAGTATAATTAACTTATCATCTGTGTGTGATCAACACAAAAATAGGAATTATGACTTTGGTTAATAACATTCTTCTGGTTATGAAACATGTCAAAAATAATTAGTTTATTGCTAGAAACAATACATTTAAATGAGAAATCAGACCTTCCAACACCTGGTCATTACTGATTTCCCCATTATTAGTATGCAAATAGAACCACAATAAACAGCCCTGGCAAGAAAGTTTACATATTGCCAAATATTTGTGTGAAATACAAACGATTTTAACAAATGCCATATGCTGTTTATTTTTACAGCTAAATAAATGCTGATATGTGACAAATATAAAAGGGATTCTAATTTTCTGGTAGCCCTCTGTTCTTGGTGTGGTGTGCCATGCATGTATAGTGACAGTCCCTCCACATTGAACATGGAGAGGTTTTGAAGGGGCTCTCTAAGCTGACACAACACAGCATGTACCTGCTTCTCCAAAGAAAGTAGGTTAGAATAGAGCTTGCAGTGCTACATACATCTCTTCAAAACACTGAATTCAAACACTGTAATCAAATAAAATACAAGATAATTTAGAAACTGCACATCCACCAGCCTGCTCCTCCCCCAAAATTTCTTTTTCTTTTAGTCACACAAGCACACCTCATTAAGAGACCCCAGGTGTTCCACTACTGAGTTCTTGCCAATGGTAGGTGAGAGGAGCTGGGAAAGGATGTGCACAACTTGTGGTCATGGGGGTTGCTTGAGAGCCTGTCTGACCCTTAGGAAGGCAGGATAGTAACACAACAGGAACCTGGATCCGCCGATGCTCTTGGGGATTTGACACCTACCCTTCTGGGACTACCGCCTGCCTTTGTCTCAAATTGCTGTATTTTGATGTTTAGCCTATTCCCTAAGTAGAATACAGAATCCCTGGGTGATGATCTCAATTTTCCTCATGGTATCCGGTGTTTCCTTCGGTCACACCATCCATAACACGCATTATACCTTTTCTACCCGAACAGGAGGAAGAGTCCTTTCTTCTTCAAGTTCATTTCTACAGTCCAGGCTTGACACATAACACATACTTGAT